>NC_000023.11:9012488-9637488 GCF_000001405.40 Homo sapiens | reverse complement strand
TAAAGTTAGCTTAATGAATGAAAGATGTACCATATATAATCAATCAAAACATTACAGTTGCTGATCACACACGTTAATACAGATTTCGGAAGTCCTCTACACATTCATTTCTTCATCATGTCTGCCTTAATTCTATTGTGAAAAATCAGAATAAAATGCAGCCTTTTCACATGGATATTGGAATTCAGAAAGATTCCTGTGGAGTTATTTTTACTGGCATCTTTGAGGATGTTCTTGGGGGAAGCACGAAAATTTCAAGAGATAGTTTTAAAGAAAAGGACACAGAATGGTCTGCTATTGTTTTCCGATGTTTTAGAATTCTAGATCTCCAAGTGCAAGCACCAGTTATCACCCCATTGTGTCTGTATTTATGAGTAGGCAGTCTTTGTGTATTTCCTTGAACTGGTGCCTCACCGACACTGTCATTTCACTGTTCGCTGTGTCTGGAAATAGACCTAGGCATATGTGAGCCAGCCACCTACAGTTCATTTTCCACCTTTTAATTCTTCACACAACTATTGTTTCATAGAGCTGAAGAGTTACAAAGGTCCAGCCAAATGTTGTCCAAACTCAATAGCACCCTCAGCTAAATTTCATCCTATATGCAGATCAGCTGGTTTGTTCCCATTCAACTATAAATCCTGTACATCACTTTTCAATCGTGCTTTGTGAATTCCTCTGCAGACTTGTAAAACCACTGTAAGGGATTTTTACATCGAATACAAGAAATAATAATCTAAAGCACTGAGAGACTCTTCTTTTTAATACTATGTTTTCAAATTCAGAAAGGGGCATTCCTCGAAAGCAGTCATTTTGAGAAATTATATTCTTTTCCTATCAGGAAAGAATTAGCAACTTTAAAGACTCCTCTTTTGATGCAGCCTTCAGAACCCATTCACCTAAGAAAAACCAGAACAGCACACCTCAGGCCCAACATAGACATTCCCCTGGACCATACATGGTTGTTGTTGTTGTTGTTGTTGTTGTTGTTGTTGTTGTTGTTTTGCTTTGTTTTCAGTTGGAATAAAAGTAACAACATAAAATTAACCATTTTATTATTTTTCTTTTAAAAAAATTCTTATTTTTTTTAAATATAGAGATGGAGGTCTTGATATGTTGCCCAGGCTGGTCTTGAACTCCTGGCTTCAAGTGATGCTCCTGCCTCAGCCTTCCAAAGTGCTGGGATTACAGGTGTGAGCCACTGAGCCTGGCCAAATTAAAGTGTACAATTTAGTGGTACGTTCAGATGTTATGCAACCACCACCTATGTCAAGTTCCAAACCATTTTCAATCACTTGGAAAGGAGTTCTGGTGCCCACTAAGCAGTCACTCCCATTCCCTCCTCCCCCAGGCCTGGTGACCACAGAATGCTTTCTGGCTCTATGAATTTCCCTATTTGGGGCACTAAATGAGATCATACAATATGTGACCTCTTGCATCTGGCTTCTTTCACTGAGCATGTTTTCCCAGAGCATCCATGTTGTAGCACGTTCCAGGGCTTCACTCCTTTTATGGCTGAATACTATGCTACTGCGTGGCTGAACCACGTTGTGTTTTTCCAGGCAGCAGCTGACAGGAACCTGGCTTGGGTCAACCATGCTGCTATGAACATTCATGTCCTTGGGGCAATGGCTAGCAGTGGAATTGCCTGGCATCGTTCTGCCTTTATCCTTCTTTACCTGAGTCTCCTCCTACCCAGGAATGAAAGGTGCACAGGATGGGCGGAGGGAGGCCAAGCTGGAGAGAGCCAGGACCTGGGGAAAGGAGCAGAAGGCCTAAGGCCAGCAGGCAGGGTGGCCAACAAAGGGGATGGATGCACAAGGAGGAGCCGGGAGCCTGCCCATGGAAGAGCCATAGCCAACAACAAGCGCATGCCAGAGCCCTGCTTGGCAAGCACTGTCTGTCTGACAAGCTCATGCTGTGTGCAGGGCCGCACATGCTCACTACCTGGCTGCCACTGCAGACTGAGCATTCCTCTACACAGATCAAATCCCTACCAAGCATTTGCCCAATGACAACAAAGGATGCACCATTTTCTGCTTGGAGCCAAGTTTTTTTTTTTCCCACTCAGAAGCATATGGATTACACATTTAATCCCAAATAAAAGCATGGGATTGGCATCACGTTTCTGTATTTCAATACAGTGTTCTGGAGCAGGGGAGACAGTGCCCGCTGCCGCCCCCTCCCCACACCCCCCGCCATCTCCCAGGGGATATTAGGCAATGTCTGGAGATATTTTGGGGTGTCCCAACTGGAAGTGGAGGTGCTACTGGCATCTCTTGATAAAACAGAATCAAATTTGTATGATAAAATTCCTTCGGGTGCTCGTGGCGAGGCCAGCACGGTACAACACTGACTGAGGCCCCCTGCCTACAGCCATACCAACTCAGCAGCCACAGGAAGGAGGCGCCGGGACACGGCCCCTCCAGCCCCCATCCTGCCTTTAGGTGGGCGGACATCTTGCCTGCAGCCTCGAAAGACCCCACGCTGGTATCACTCAGCTAACCGAGGCCAGCACTCCCGGCTTTCAGAATCTAACACTTTGTCACAGGCAGGTCGGAAACATACCTGGGCAAGGGGCCTTCTCAGCCAGCACCTCATCAAATGGGGGTAATAATTTGCAGAGTTGTTGCCAGGAAAAATGAGAACCAAGTGAACTTGGAAGCCAATCGACTGGAGTTTTAGAGTAAGTAGGGGAGTGTTTGCCAAGGCATGCTCTTCAGAGTGCCGTTTCTCAGGCTGTTTAGTAGATGTTTAGTATGTGTCATCTGAAAAACGGCTCCACACTTCAAAACAATTGGCAACACCGGGTTACATAAAGTTATTAAAAAATAATAGGCTGGGCGCAGTGGCTCATGCCTGTAATTGCAGCACTTTGGGAGGCCGAGGTGGGAAGATCACTTGAGGCCAGGAGTTCAGGACCAGTCTGGGCAACATAGCAAGACCCCATCTCTATTAAATAATAATAATAATAGCTAACATGTATATTGTACCTGTTACATGCCTGGCTCTGTTCTGAGAGCTTTGAGCTTGGATTAAATAATCTAATTAATAATTTTAAATATTTAATGTGCTTAGTACCATAAGTGCTTCTACAGCATACACTGTGTCCGACGGCAGTGGTGGTTTCCATGTGTACAGGAGCGTGTGAGGGAGCGCTGTTACTATCCCGTTCTCACACAGAGGGAACGGACACACTGACATGCAGCTCCATGTCTAGGTCCTAGGGCTGGGGACTGGTGGAGCTGGGGTGTGAATGCTTGCAGTCCGACTCCAGGGTTTGCATTTGTCACCATGAGGTTCTGCCGCCTTTTCATTTGCTGCAGTTTGCTAAAAGCTTTGATCAGCTATTGTGCGTCGTGAGTGCAAAGATGAAGAATTTAGGATTTACTGTGAATCCTACCTCCCACAACCTCACGGTGTATCTTCACTGACATATCCCAGGCCATACCAGCCAGTCATGCATCTGTACAATAAATGTCTAGTCGGTCCTCATGATTTCCTCCCAGCTCTGGGCTGCACGTACGTATCCTGGGCAGCACGTATCCTGTGAACCCCTCTATCCTGCCTTACTGCTAATGGACTTGTCCAGGTGTCTAAGTGCCCGTGCAGATGAGGATACGCCATGCTCAACGTGCTAGGGTTTGCCTGACTCTCCCCGGTTTCTCTATGAAAGACATCTCCACATGCTGAAATCCTAAAGATACTTTTCTGACTGACTCTGAATACCTCAGTCACTAAACATTCTAATAAGCTGAGATTTTACTGTTAAAAGACTATGTGTTCTCCAATGTGTATTTTTTTAAGACTCTGCAAGCTTGAAATCTAAAGGTGACAGTACTTGACTAAAATGAATGCAAGTGTGCCAAGATGGTAATAACTTATAAAAATACAAGTTACTTTTAATATCATAATAGTGTCAAGAAGCAGGGCAGTTCTGTGTGAGCCTCATCCACTGGGAATCAAAATTGGGCCAGCATCCTCATTTCTCTTTCTACTCACCAAACTATGAAAATGGGTATGGGGAGGTGGAAAGTCACAATGCATTCATTATTTCCTCATATCTTACCATCTCATCTTTTTTTCTTTTTAAATTCACTTTTGGAATAGTCTTGATCTAGGTGGATTATTTTTTACCACTGCAGTAAACCTCTGCCCTTCTTTTTCATATGTGCTCCTCAGAGGCAACTCTGAAGAGTCCCCTTCCTTTTAAAGTTGTATTTATGACATAAAAAAAGGTTCTATATTATTTTCTTAATAATCAATGACCAATTTTGCACACAAATTCCTTAGGCCTAACCTTTAATGTTCTTTAAAAATAAGCATATATGTTATAAGCAAACTAGAAGGCTATAAATTAAAAGCAAAGAACATCTTAAAAGAGTTTTCTTTTAAAACCAAGTCTGCATGATTAAATGATAAAAATTGCTTGTCCCATGTCTACAGAAGAAAACTACAGTTTGAATGTTTTTGAAATTAACATTTCAGTACTGCCATCTGTAAATGGTAACCCTGGGTATGCCATCAATTTCCCTTTAGTATGTTCATGGATCATTACTGTACAAAATGAGAGAGACAGATTGTGGTAATAGCTTTTATAGCTGAAACAAGCAAAAATGTTACTACTGGAGCACTCCCATAAAGCTGGCGGTTACACAGGCAATTGTTACTGATATCTTTTCCACAAGCTAACCGTGTTTGCATACCCTCTACATAATACCAGGCAAATGCCCAATTGCTTTCTCGTAACCCAACTCTAAAAGGTCCAAGGAGCCAATATGGAGTTATAAAAATATGTAAAAATAATAAACACTGGTTTTCATCAGTGTTTCTCTAACTGGTTTTAGTGTTCATTAATAAAACACTAGTACTGAGATGATAAAATATGTTACTTAAAACACATTTTGGCTGGGCGCAGTGGCTCACACCTGTAATCCCAGCACTTTGGGAGGCCGAGGTGGAGAGATTACTTGAGGCCAGGAGTCCGAGACCAGCCTGGCGAACATAGCGAAATCCCATCTCTACTAAAAATACAAAAAAGTTAGCTGGGTGTTGTGGCATGCGCCCGCAGTCCCAGCTACTCAGGAGGCTGAGGCACGAGAATCGCTTGAACTCGGGAGGCGGAGGTTGCGGTAAGCTAAGATCGCGGCCACTGCACTCCAGCCTGGGTGACAGAGCCAGACTGTCTCAAAAAAACCACAAAAACCAAAAACGCATTTTAAGGATTCCAAGATCAAATCAAGTTGTAAAACTCTCAGTTAAGGAAAGTAAAACAGATTCAAAACCCTAAACAAACTCCAAGCAGGATAAACAGCATAGAAAACCCCAACAAGACACAATCAATTTCTTGAAAATCAGTGACAAACTCTTAAAAGCAGCCAGAAAACAACCCAAAAGTTATATCCAGGGGAAAAATGATAGTAAAAACTGCAAATTTCTTGTCAAAAGCTATGCAAGGCAGAAGACAATGAAATCTTTAAAGAACTGAGAGGATGTATCAATGCAAAACTCTACACTCAGATGAAATATCTTTCAAAGAATGATGGCAAAATAAAGACTTTACCAAAGAAACAAAAGCAGAGAGAATTCACTTCTTGTAGACCTGCATTACAAGACAGACTGAAGGGAGTCCATGAAGGGGAAGAAAAACTTCGGATGGAAAATGTGGATTCCCACAAAGAAATGATAAGTGGCAGAAATAGTAAATATAAACATAAAAATATTTTCTTCTCTTTAAAAGAATCCTTTTCCATATAATTGACTTCTTAGTACAAAATTAATAACAACGTATTATGGTGTTTGTAACATGTATAAAAGTAAAACATACGGCAAATGTAGCACAAAGCACTAAGAATGGAAGGAGAATGAAAGCACATTGTTGTTGTAAGGCTCTTATATGTGAAGTAAAATATCTTTCAAACATAGATTGTGATAAGGTTAAACATGAAAATTGTCAACACTAGAGCAACACCCTAAAAAATAAAGCAATGAGTTATTGCTAATAAGCTTACTGTGAAGTATAGTCACAAAAAAGCCGCAATTTATGCAAAAGCACACAGGAACCGAGGAAAAAGGAAACACAGAGTAAGTGGTACAAAGAGAAAACAAAGAGCAAGTGGTAAATGGTATAACCACTCCAGCGAAAAGGCTGAGACACGAACAGCAGACACTGTGGGCTACTGCCGGGTGAAGAGTGCGAGGAAGGAGAGGAACAGAGACGATAACTATTGGGTACCAGGCTGAATACTGGGGGTGACAAAATAATCTGTACAACAAACCCCCCATGACACGAGTTTACCTGTGTAACAAACCTGCACATGTACCCCTGAACCTAAAAAGTTCAAAAATAAAATAAAAATCAAAGCAAAATAAATAAGAGGCCGAGATTGTGAAACTGGATTTAAAAAGCCAGAGTCTTCTCTATGCTGTCTATAACAAACCTACTACTTTGAATACATGTATATCGTTACTGAATATATATATATATATTATCCATATATCTCATATATGTTATATATTGATTATATGTTGTTGATATATAGTCTTTGAAAATATGAACAGCCAGCCCTCTGTATCCACAAGTTCTGCATCTACGGATTGAAAATATTTTTAAGGCCAGGTGTGGTGGCTCACGCCTCTAATCCCGGCACTTTGGGAGGCCAAGGCGAGAGGACTGATTGAGGCCAGGAGTTCGAGACCAGTCTGGACAACATTGTGAAACCCAGTCTCTACAAAAAATACAAAAATTAGCTGGGCGTGGTAGCTCACGCCTGTAGTCCCAGCTACTTGGGAGGCTGAGGTGGGAGGATCACCTGAGCCCGGGAGGAAGGGGCTGCAGTGAGCTTAGCAAGACCCTGTGTCAAAAAAAGAAAGAAAAAAAATATTTTTAAAAAATAAAAACAATACAATAAAAACAATTTTAAAAACAATATAACAATTATTTACATAGTATTTACAATGTATTAGGTATTCCAAGTAATCTACGATTTAAAGTTTACAGGAAGATGTGCATAGTTTATATGCAAATAGGACACTATTTTATATCAGAGACTTGCGCCTCCCTGGATTTTGGTATATACAGGGGTCCTGGAACCAATACCCCACAGATACCGAGGGATGACTGTATTCTATTCAGCTTACAGTTCTCCTCCTTCACAACTTCCTCCATTCCTCACGTCCTTAGGGAATCTGTGGAAGATATTTCGGAGGCAAAGAAAACATAAAAAGAAACGAAACATCGAGTGATTCCTGGACACTAAATGCAGATGCCTTTGGTAGAGAATTAATAAGCGAACTTAACACGACACGATGATGCCGGTCTGTTAGAAGGAGACTGGAGACAGCCAGACATTAGGCCCCTCCAGGAGACAGAGCATCATCAAACTGAGGTTGCCATTCAGCTGTTCACTTAAAACACCTTTATGGGACTTAACAAATATCCTGAACCCTGTATTAAATTATCCAGAAGATAACACCGGGAAGTCATGGGCCCTGCTCATGAGGACATACTAGAGCCAAGGAAGTGCTTGGACGGGGGTAGTAGACATGCAGGAAAGAGCGGGACTGGCATTCCAGAAAGCTCCCCACTGAGCCCCGTCCTGCTCCTCACTCCCATACAACCGGCGATCAGCGATCCCGAAGTATTCCACACTCACTTCCCATGTAATCCTAGTACGGTCTGTTTCTAGAGAAACCCTCTTAAAACTCTGGCCCCAACAGCCTGTCTGGTCCAATATCCTACACGCAACTGCCATGTTCTATCAAAGTTCTCCAGCACAAATGCTGCTACCGTTTTTTTAAATCAAGGAAAACGATGGTGTTTTGCTTCTTTCATGAACAAGTACATGAGCCAGGCATTTTAATAAATACACTCTGGTACACGTTACATGCATCTGATATGCAGAGAAACACACGCATACTCACTAAAAGCACTGAATAAAGTTGAAATATTCACAGTGCTCTCTATCATAATTTGTCTTGTTTGGCTATGCTGTTTACTATCCTCCCCCTTTCTGAAACTGAGATTAACAGATGGGAGATATACCTAGATATGGCAACAGAAGGGGAGAAAGTTCCAGAACCATGGAGCAGTGGTAGGTACACATTTTCTCTAAAGGGCCAAATAGCAAGGATCTTGGACTTTGCAGCCATCGTAGTCACGTGTACCTGGAAGCCACTGGCAATCTGTAAACAAATGGGTGTGTTTATGCAAACAGATGTGTATGTGTTCCAATAAAACTACCTACAAAAGCAGGCTGCAAGCCAGTTGGCCTGTGTGCAGTAGTTTGCTGAGCCCTACCTTAGAGCAGTATCATATTAGATTGATTAAGCTGTGCACTCCTAACACATTACTAAAGTAGAACAGATAACCTACTAATATCATCAAGGTGACCCTAGACAACTAACATGCAGAAGAAGAAGATCCGTATTCCACAAGTAGAGCAGGTTTGTCTTGGTTACTTAGAATGGCCCCACTGACAGGCCCACAGGTGCCTGAGGGCAACCTCAGCACAGGTTTTGGTCCCTGGATGCTTTCACAGCTGCCACCAGGAGTCTTTGGGGCAGTCATGCAACATCACTTTCTGTTAAGCTGATGCTTACAGAACACAAGCCCAAAACGCCTCGTAAAAACATCCAAGTCTGCCAGGCGCAGTGCCTCATGCCTGTAATCCCAGCACTTTGGGAGGCCAAGGTGGGAGGATCACCTGAGGTCAGGAGTTTGAGACCAGCCTGGCCAACACGGAGAAACCCTGTCTCTACTAAAAATACAAAAATTAGCTGGGCATGGTGGCACACACCTGTAATCCCAGCTACTTGGGAGGCTGAGGCAGGATAATTATTTGAATCCAGGAGGCAGAGGTTGCCAGTGAGCTGAGATCACGCCATTGCACTCCAGCCTGGGCAACAGAGCAAGACTCCGTCTCAAAAAAAAAAGAAAAGAAAAAGAAAAAAAAAGTCCAACTCTTCTGAGTCTTCAATATGTGAAGCTGTACAGACTAGCCTTGTCAGTTTGGAAATGACATCTTTTTTTTTAAGTTGCTATTAAAATTACAGAAGTAATGCATGTTTATATTGGGGAAATTTTCAGTGGTTCTCAAGCAGGCGTGATTTTGCCCCCCAGGGGACATTGGACAATGTCTGGAGACACTTATGGTGGTCACCATACGGAGAGGGTGCTGCTGGCATCCAGTGGGGGACGCCCAGGGATGCTGCTGAACCTCCTACAGTGCACAGGAAGGACCTCCCACAGATAGTTCTCCAGCCCTACATGTCAACAGTGCCACAGTTAGGAAACCCTAATGTAAAAGGAAAACATTAAAAATCTTCTCTTTCCAAGTCCTCTCAGTCTTAATGCACAGGCAGCCTCTGCTCTAAGCTTCTTCCACAAGTTCAGCAGAAATGTATTCTTAATTTTTACACAAACATAGCATCTTTTAATTGAGTCATGAGAACCACATATCAACTGTTTTCATTCCTAACATTCTTGAACAGCAAGGCTGGTTATGCATCTTCTAAATACAGTAACTCCTCACTTTCCCATTCAGAAAGAAAGAGTCTATTTAATATTATGTCCATTATATAACTGAACCATCACATCAGCCCTGTTTATTCTCATTTTGTAGATAAAGAGGCTGCTTTCTGAAGAGTGTAAGTGAACAATCTAGGCTGGCTTCACAGGTAACAAGTAGTAGGATTTGAACCCCAAGTCCTGGCTTCATGTTGGGTGCTCTCATTGTTTTAGACGAAAGCAATTCACAATTTACACTAATTTATATTGAAGGGAGTAGTAACTTACTTCTGCACAATGAGAATAAACAGGAATTGGGCAACTGAAACACAATTATTGGGGAAGTCTTACAAACAATTTCCAATGCACAATGTATCCATCACAAATCATTCTAACCCCTTCATCTTGTTACTCTTTAACACTTTTAGTTGGTGTGAAATTTATGCAGTCACTTGGGCTGTACCTACAAACAACTGCCTTCAATTAATTTTTGGATTTTCTATGATACTTTTTTCCTGACTCAGATAAGTCTTGGCTATAGTTAGTCCACAGAGTCCACAATATTGTAGCTGGAACAAAAATGAGTTATCACAGGGTTTTGCTTTTCACTCACATGTACATCTCTCTCATTATGTAAAATTCAGATTCATAGATTCTTAGATCAACACTTAATATATTATTTATAGATGAGGAGACCGAGCTCCATGAAGACCAAGTAGGTGGGTCATTCCTCTCACCAAGAAAGCAACAGAGTGCATGTTTAGATGAGTGAATCAATTTCACTTTTGATCTGTGCAATTCAGTTAACTTTTCGAGAATGAAACCTGTGCAATTCCCAGATACCCTAATTACTGTTAAAATCCGTACATTATTGGTGGCTCCTGCCTTCAATATGTAAATGCTTCCCTAGTTGCATTACAGCTACTGGAAACTTGCAAAACAACTAGCAACAATATTCCTAATATAAATGACTACAGAATCCTAGTTAAATATATACAATGCTTTTTAAAAGTGTGGAACCTTACATCAGGCCTAGTTTTGTGTGACTACAGCCGCTGAATAGGAATATTTTTCAATTCATAAAATAAAAGTTGCCACCCTTGTAAGAATTCTGATTCCTCAGTGTCCTTTCTTGATATGCGACACTGATAACTAAGACTCAAGGTCTGGGTGACATTCAATCCCCTAAAAACCAGGGCCCAGAAAGACATGTAGTTTGGCTCTCTCTGACACGATGGCTAAATAGTGAGGTTTTCTTCTATCTGGCTTTTATGTGCCTGAATAGCAATGATGCTGCTTTATGCTCATGGGCCATGGCCACAAATAGGCAGTTTACAGCATGAAATCATCGGGAAAGCAAACACTTCAGGGATTTCACTTGAAGCAAGACCAAGAAATCTATTGTTTCATTAAAAACCACTTCTACCACGATGAAGCACTTGGACACAAACCCTGTGGGGCGGGCAGGTACTACTGACCTCTGTAAACTAACGGCACAGGCTATGGAAGGACAGTACACTGCATGGAGTGTCAGCCAGTGCAGGGCCTAGCATTACCTTTGTCAAAAAGACTTCCGTGTCTACTATTAGAAAGGATGACCGAATCTTGAAACAGAAAAAGAGAGCTCACCATTTAAAAAATTTCCAACAGTCAAATATCTTTGCTGACTGGTGATCAGAATTTCCAAACTACTAGGGGACTCTGATGGTCCCCTGTGACTTTAGTGTCTGGGCATGGGATGCTGAGGTCTCAAAAAACATACAGAATCTCATCTTACCAGGTCAGGAATATGTATGTCCAAGGATATTGTGGTACAAAGAGACACACGCGACACGTGTCATGCTTCGTGTTACATGAGTTTAGTCTTCCCTAACACCCTGCCCCTCACTGCATCACCGTCCCGACATCTCAAAGACAAGGAGACCTTTTACTACATTGCCAGGGAGATTGGAATCCAGGAATGATCCCAGGTCGTCTGACCCTAAGTCCCATCAGCTTCCCGTTACACCACATGACCTATCTTAAAATAAAAAATAAAAACAACCAAAAAAGGGTAACCGCCCAGGCTGGAGTGCAGTGGCATGATCTCGGCTCACTGTAACCTCCGCCCCCCCGCCGGGTTCAAGCGATTCTCCTGCCTCGGCCTCCCGAGTAGCTGGGATTACAGGCGCCTGCCACCGTGCCCAGCTAATTTTTTGTATTTTTAGTAGAGACGGGGGTTTCACCACCTTGGCCAGGCTGGTCTTGAACTCCTGACCTCGTGATCCACCTGCCTCAGTCTCCCAAAGTGCTGGGATTACAGGCGTGAGCCACCGCACTCGGCCTAGTTTGCATTTTCTTTTATCTTACCTACATCTTGTTTGCACATCTCAACTACACTGTACTCATACCCAGTGTAAGCCATCTTTCTCTCCTCCGGATTCCAGTATGGCCTTGTTTTCCAGAAATTACACTCTAACAATGCAAGCTAGCAAACTCTGAGAAGCAGCATGATCCTGGAGTGAGGCTGTTCTCGGCTAAATCCCAGAATTTCGTGCTGAGGGCTGCATGTCCCCCAGTCAGTAACTTAACCTCTCTGTGCCACTAAGTGAGCACAATGCTTTATAGTTACACTGTATGAATTCACATATTAAAATATAGGTAAAGCCACATATGTAGGCTTGTAAAAAAACAATATAACCACACAGTGGGAACAGCTACACTCACTGGTCATTGGAATGCTGTTGTGTTCCTTTTGTTCTATTAATATTCTCAGACCTTAAAAGCAAACATGAAAGCAAGATGAAACTTTTATGTGTTTTTACCACAATTAAACACATAAAAATTTAAAAACCAAGATGAACCTGCAGACGTTTTCACCAGTCCCTCCCAAAAGGATAAATTTGAGCCATTTTTTTAAAAGGAACTTAAAATAGTCATACAAGTATCAAGTGAGTGAAGCTGTAGTTTCAAATGGAACAATATTTATCTGTGGCTTTCTTAAATGGAAACATATTACTTGGTTCTCCAACTGAATTTTTTAAATGAGCAAGTGTGTTTGAGAAAGGAAAAATGAAAAAGGTCAGATGAGAAAAAAAATTCAGACTAGATTGAGCTCTAGCAGATGTTAAAATTCTTAAATTTTTTTTTGTAAAGAGAACATTAAAATACTTTAGCAGCTTCCGTATCTAAGTAGCATTGTTCTTGCCACATTTAGTTATACGCATACCTTATTTAACAACGTCTTCATGTCACATTTCCCAAATCCCGCCTTTCTCTTTTCTACTATTCCCACTTTACCAGTCTAATAGAAAACAGGCTGCTTCTTCATGCAAATATCACTTCAAACACAATTTCAAAAGAGAAAACACGATGCCCCATTTCCTGCAAAACCCAAATACAAGAAAAATAGAATTTAATTCTGCTTCCTGGTTTAAACATAGCCTGATTTGTATTGATCCTGTTCAAATTTATCTCAGGTCCTAAGATCACCCTCATGAATAAAATAAAATAAAATAATAGGTTAAATGTAAATTATATAGGCACCTACAGTAGAGTTGGGTGTGTATATTAAGAAGTTCTGAGGCTGACATTCCTGACAACAAATTAAACACTATGAACCAAGTGTTGCCCTTAAATGATATGTTGAAGATGTCCTTTAAGTGAAAGAAGCTAACGGAGGAAACGGATGCTATGTGAATTTCATTTTTAACAAGTCACACTCAGCCCTCACTGCAGAGAACAGCTCTTTGCAAAAACAACAACAACTTGAAAACACTGCAGTTATGACATTTACATGACTTTACAGAAATATCACAGATTAAAAATAGAAGACTGCCTCTTAGTTGGCTATAAACTTCGTTCCAAAAAAGTGTATGATAAAAAGAACAATTTTGAGAAGTCTTCCTCAGTTTGGTTCCTCCACTATACAGAGATTTATCTCCTAGTCAATGGGAATAGATAGTTCCTTAAAAGGCATGATAGGAAGCCACACTTTGGAATTATAAACAGGAAAGGAAATGTACCTGAAATAAGCAAGATGCAAATGGGTTGGAGTTTTTACACTCTGCATCTCCTACTGAAGGAAATGCCCCCTGCAGGCTTAAGCAACTGGGATTGGTGCTTACATGCAAAAAAGTGACAAATAATGTGTAGGATGGTGTGAGTAATTAGGTGGACAGCTTGATGCACCTACTCAGACCCTTGGAAAAGCCCACGGAGTTGGGCAGAGCAGTCAACAGACGTAAGTAAGCTTTGTCGAACTCCTTATCATTTTAACCAGGTTTGCAAATGTGTTTTGTTTGTTTGTTTGTTTGAGACAGGGTCTCACTCTGTTGCCTAGGCTGGAGTGCAGTGGTGCAATCACGGCTCACTGCAGCCTCCATCTCCCAAGCTCAAGTGATCCTGCCACCTCAACCTCCCAAGTAGCTGGGACTACAAGCATGCACCACTATGCCCCGCTAATTTTTGTACTTTTTGTAGAGACAGGGTTTCTCCATGATGCCTAGGCCGGTCTCGAACTCCTGGGCTCAAATGATCCTCCCACTTCACCCTCCCAAAGTGCTGGGATTACAGGCATGAGCCACCATGCCAGGCCTGCAAATTTGTTCTCGAAGGGCCATAGCAAATCCCACTCCATGGGCCATACAAAGTCTGCTCCATAGACAACAGACAATGGGTATAACCGTGTTCCAATGAAACTTCAACTATGTAAAGTGAAATCTGAATTTCATTGAATTTCCATGGATAATGACATATTATCCTTCAATTTTTTTAGCCATCTGAAAATATTAAAAATATCCTTAGCATGTTGCCTGTACAAAATTAGCAAGGGCTAAATTTGGCTTGCAGGATACAGTGGGTTAACCTTTGCATCAAATCATAGGAGTCACGGTTGGACCCTACCTTTATCACATCTCACAAAAACTTAAACCTTCAGAAAAACAGTATGGCAGGCCCTCAAAAGAGTAAACAGAATTACCATGTGATCCAGCAAGTCCACTTCTAGGTATATGCAAAGGAACTGGAAGCAGAGACTCAAACAGACACTTGTTCCTCAATGTTCACAGCAGCATCATTCACAATAGCCAAAAGCTATTTTGGAATAGCAACCCAAATGTCTATGAACGGATGAGTGGATAAACAACATGCTGTTTATACGAACAATGACATATTTGGCCTTTAAATGGAATGAAATTCTGTTCAGGCACAGTGGCACACGCCTGTAATCCCAGCACTTTGGGAGGCCAAGGTGAGCAGATCACTTGAGACCAGGAGTTCGAGACCAGCCTGGCCAACATGGCAAAACCCCATCTCTACTAAAAATACAAAAAACAAACAAAGAAACAAACAAACAAGCAAACAAAAAACACAAAAAAATTAGCAGGGTGTGGTGGCGCGCACCTGTAATCCTAGCTACTCAGGAGGCTGAGGCAGGAGAATTGCTTGAACCTGAGAGGCGGAGGTTGCACTGAGCTGAAATTGTACCACTGCACTCCAGCCTGGGTGATAGAGTGAGACTTAGTTTCAAAAACAAAAAAAAAGAATGAAATTCTGACACAGGTGTGTGAACCTTGAAGACGCTACACTAAGTGAAATATGCCCGATATGAAAGGACAATTAATGTATGATTCCACTATATGAAGTCACCAGAGTAGTCAAAACAAGAGCTAGAAAGTGGGATGGTGGTTTTCCGGGGGTGTGGAGATGGGGGATGGAGAATCAGTGCAGGAAGATGAAAAAGTTCTGGAGGTAGATGGTGACTGTACTTAATGCCACTGAACTGTATGCTTACAATGGTAAATGTAATGTTATGTGCATTTTACCACAAACAAAATTGCAATGAAAATTGAAACTTAAAAGCACATATGTCTTCCAAAGACCCCTCTGTTGGTTAAAGAAAAAAAAAAAATCAGAAATATCGAAACAGTTATGAGAGTGAAAATGAGCATCGACCAGTTTGTTTTCAAACTAGCAAGTTAAGAATATATTAAGCCAGATTCAAACTCTTAACTAAAATTAAAAATGTACAGGACTTTTTTCTTTTCAGATTCAAAAATGTCATTCTGATATACTTTCCAGTAGAGTTGTGGCCTTTCCTAGAAACAGTCTCAGAATCTTGATAGTTTCTGGAACATCTGAATGTTCGTCAAACTTAGAAATTCTCAGGCCAGCTTCCATCCCTGGAGAACTGAGCTACGTGGCAGCAGAAGGGCACACTTCGGTTCATTAAATTTGTATTAATTTGTGTCGTTGGGAAATGGGCTGGGTGTTCTTGTTAAATCAAGGTTAATCACAAAATTCATTCAAAAAATTAACAAATGATGCTGTTATACGATGTTCAGGACTGTGCTTGTGGTTGTTAGTAAAAACTTCACAAGTCTAAGAAAAACAACAGATATTCAGGTCTAATTTAGCAGAGTGCATCATTTCTCTCTACCTCAGATGAAAACTGCAGAGTCAGAAAAAAAGGACAGGAGGATAGAAGTTAAGCAAAATTCCTAGTCTAGGCCATCTCCCTTATTTTAAAAAGGTGGGGAGTCAGTGAGAATAAGACAGTGATATTAATGTATATTCTCTGCAGAAGTCTCCAGATGGCTGGTTCCCTATATTCTTATCTCCTAAGAGGTTCCAAGTCCCTGTGAAAATGCAAGGAGGTGTTAAATGATTTTGGAAATGCTTTGGGCACCCTGAGTTTCTGAAAGGCATCTTCCCGACCTTTGAGTGCCCCTCGCTGACTACACCGCCATGGGTCTCTCCAGTGAACGAATCTAGTCTCCAGGTCTACATCCCAGATGTCTCCAGCCCCCAACCTCCATAGCTCCTCACCTATCCCTGCAGGGACTGCATGACTTGGCCACTTGAAGGTCCAAGCAGCATCTCAAACGCAACACGCCCACAGCAGAGACCTCCACCCACCCAACCATGGCATCTCGTCTCTCTTCTAGCCTGTAGTCTCCATAAGTCACACCTCCCTCCCACTCCGTGCTCACATGCCACACCTTCACTCCCCTGGCAGGACACATGCACGTCCGCTGACATTCTGCACTGGAGTGTCCTGAATCTGTCCTCTCCCCTTCTTGGCTCCGCTGAGCTATGCTAGTGGAAGGTGAGGTTATCTCCCTGCCTGGGACCCAGTGGGAGTCATCACAGTCCGTCCCTCAGCCAGCAGCCAGCCACTGGTTAGTGTGGTAGGAAGCTGCTGGGGGGTTTCAGGTCCACACTCATCCTCTTAGTATTATGGCCGGCAAAGCACTGTAGGCTTTGTTCACCGTGCACACCTCTGCTCTGTTGGTCACTCGCTCCACCATGCTGGCCTGGCCTGTGTTTTCCCTCAGTTTCCTGGGTGCCTGGCCTTCGCATGTGCTGGCCTCTCCACCTGAAACTCTCTTCTCCTGGCTCTTCCGGCTGCATCTTACACACTTCGGTTCATCCATCTCTTCCTCACAGGAGTCTTCTTACCTCTAATGTGCAAACCCCTCCAACCCATGTCACCTTGTTCGTCTCTGTCACAGGATGTGTTACTGTCATCAGATTATTTTGTTTCTTTGTTCCTCTGTTTGCTACAAGTCTCCCAAGTAACAGGCAAGCTCCATCAGGGCAGGGGCCTCTGCAGCCACAGCACTTAGCTTGGAGGGTGCCTGACTCAGGAAAGAAACTTAAAATACAGCTTGGTAAGTATGAGTTCCCGGATAAATATACAAACTTCAGAAAGTTCAGAAGTCAAGAGCCTGTAGTGGACAGCACAACCCCACGGAACACTGCATTTTCCTTCGTGAGGACTCACAGCATCTCTAGGTCTTGCAGGGCTTTTACAATAAGCATGAACATCAACCGTAAAGTGGATGGAGAAGTAGAAGCCACACGGTACCACATCCCTCCCAACTTACATGGGTAGAGCAGATGGGCTTGCTGTGGGAGCCACTGTCCCCATTTTGCCTACATTGAAGAGATTAATAGCACCATAATGTAGAGCTTACAACTGAGTTAGTCTGACACACAGGCAATTACTAGACTTCACACATTACTGGGAGGTCTAACAATAAAAAGATAAATGGCAACTAGTTCTTGTAAAGGCGTCTGCCTGTTTCCCGCCAGACACTGATTTACGTGTGCACAGCAGCAGGGAGCAAACCTGAGGCAGCTCAGGTAGGTGACGTGGCACTGGAGAAGAAACTGAAGGACAGACACCCAAGCATGAGGATGTAAGCTCGCAGCTAGAGGGCGGCACTCCGGTCCGCACCTCCACCTGTCCCCATCGCTGCCTACACCATCTCCCAAAGCCGATCCAAGTCTGCTCCCAGCCCCATTTCACTCAGTGTCCTCACTATTTTAACTACAAACTTTAAATATTACACAGACGGATGAAGTACGAGTACACACAGGGTCACAGCCTTTTTTCAAAATGAAAATAACATTGAATGTATGAGAGACAGGGTAAGTGTGAATCAGTTTTTACTTGAGGACAGGTGTGGGCAGCAAGACCGGGAAGGTAGAGAGGGGAGGTATAAATCTAGAGAGATGTACAGTGAGATGTCTGTGCAGCTTTGCTTAAGTTAACTGGAAACTAGAAGCCAGGAGGGATGCACCGCGGGTGTGGACAGTGCTGGGATCACTGGGGCACTCCAGGCTGTGGGCCATCCTCAGAGCAGAGGCCTGGGCTGGCCCACAAAGTATTGGCAGATGACTGCATATTCACATGCTTTCGCTTAGAACAAACAAACACAAAGTAAGACATGTATGTATCAGTTTTTATGATTCCCAGTCCACCAATGTTCAGGCCAGACTTGCGGGGGGTGGTGTCTCACTGTCCTTTCATAGAAAACTCAAGTTATATTTGTATGATGCTTATCTGTTTAGAATGTGCATAAATCCATAAGTCATATGGGCTTACATCATGAGTTTCTAAACAGTTAACAGTGATCATTCATATTCTAGAGTCCTGAGAAAGCCCAAGGTTAAACGTCTATCACTTTAAAATGTCAAATGAACACAAGAAAATCACTACCGTACACCAAACACCCCCAATGCTTTGAAGACCCTTCATGAAATTCAGCCATCTAAACTCTGAACCTACAACATGCCTTAATTAAGAGTATTTTCACTACAACCAGCGTCTCAATATTACCAAGGAATATGAAGTGGAACTCTGGAAATAATACTCCATTCCACTGACTAGATTAACTAGCTAATAAAAATTCATTTATGCACATAGTTTTTTTCTTAGATATAGACAAAGTGAGATACATCTACGAAGTGATAAATTTTTCAACAGCATACAAAATACTCAGAAAAATTCTATTTTATTTATTTATTATTATTTTTTGAGACAGTCTCACTCTGTCGTCCGGGCTGGAGTGCAGTGGCACGATCTTGGCTCACTGCAACCTCCGCCTCCCAGGTTCAAGCGATTCTTCTGCCTCAGCCTCCCAAGTAGCTGGGATTACAGGGGCGCGCCACCATGCCCGGCTAATTTTTTTTGCATTTTTAGTAGAGACGGGGTTTTGCCATGTTGGCCAGGCTGGTCTTGAACTCCTGACCTCATGTGATCCACCCGTCTCGGCCTCCCAAAGTGCTGGGATTACAGGCGTGAGCCACCGCGCCCGGCCAGAAAATATTTTAAAAGCCCACCTAATACTGATCCTTTCATCTAGTTCCTCACCTACCTCTACCTTCAAGGATCAGTTTAAAACTTATCTCCTCCAGGCCGTGAAGTCAAGCCTTCTTGATTCCAGGAGGCATGGCCTGATCATTTTCTCCTTGGGCTCCAGGGTATCATGCATGCAATGCTCTGAAAGAACCTACTTCAGTGTGCTCTAGTGGTGTCTTTACATGTCAGACGCCGCCTCCCAATGCAAGACTAAGATCCTTATATTTGTATGCATTTACCTATTTATTCCAGAGGTTCTCAACAGGCAATGATACTGCATGCTCCCCCTATGGCATCCTGGGACATCTGGCAATATCTGGAGACATTTTCAGTTGCCACAACTGGGGGAGGCGGTGCTACTGGTATCTCCTGGGTCCTGGGATGCTGCTAAACCTCCCACCGTGCACACGGCAGCCCCACCACAACCATCTTCCAGCTCCAGCTGACCACAGTGCAGAGGCTGAGCGGCCCATTCTACCCACCTTATTGCCATGAGAATGTGACTGTTCCCTCAAACTCAGTTTTCACTTTCTACACAAGTGTAATCTTTCTGGCTCCTCTCTTATCCAAAACACACCTTTGTGATACTGGCAGGAACTCAGCGTTGCTTATACTTTCCGGCACTCCAAGACTCTTATGGGCATCACTGAAGGAAGTGTGACCCCACAGGTCAGCAGTCTAATGCATTAATGTTTCTGTTTTCTGAAGCTGCTGTGTCATCCCCTCCACAAATAACCCTCATGTCCCCACTCTCTGGGTCTCCCCAGATCAATTCCCATTGAGAACAAATATACTCTCCTAAATTGAACTAGAATAAAACACTGTAGCTATGCCATTTGGTTATATTAATTAACAGGTGCAGTAACATTGCTATCAATATGCAGTAATTACTACACAAATGTGTATATATGAGAGCACCTTCTCCATCACAACAAAAAGCATGGGTACGGGTGGTCTGAGTCAGAGATCTCAGCGAACCTGACCTTCTACTCTCAAGAGACCATTTTCTACGTGGGCCTGCCCTGTTCTGCTCCCTGAGCGCTTCCAGAGAATGCTCTGTGGAAGGACGGTGGGCAAGGGGAGCAAATGAAGACCAAAATGATCAGAGACGCACAATGGGCTCAGGACTTATAAGGCATCTCTTTGAAATGCCGTGGCCCAACCATTAACACTATCTCATAATGCCCACCACATCAACAACTAGCCTATTCAGCCAGAAACGAATGGGTTACATTAAAAACACGGTGCCTTGGAGCTGTTCACACTATCTCACCATTCCCACTGGATTTCCAAGGCTCCAACTAGTGAACATGGTGTCATATGGATGTAGTCCACATGGAAGGACTTGTCATATATGATTCTGGGCCCCTGTGCACATCACGGGTAAAAAAGTTCACCATAAGTATAAGGAAATAATTCATCACAAAGCAGAATTTCCAAGGGCTGGGTCTGTCTGCATTTATCTCTTCTTAATTTCTATGGGGTAGAAACCTCCATTTAACAGTATCATCTTCACCAAATGGAAATTCACCTCACAGGACAACAGGAGCATTCAGAACCCATACACTGAGGAAACACAATTATAATGATTTACAAAGCTCCCTGGAAAGCAACATACTGTAAAAGGCTTAGTAATAATAAAGTTGTCCCATTTGCATAAGTTTTAACAGCACCATCGCTGTAGGAAAACATAGTGCAAATTTTCCTTATTGGGTCAGAACGTGTTATTAAAAGAAAATCAGGGACTTCTTATTAATCAGCTCAATTCTCTAAACCACTATTCACTCCATTCAACCTGCGTGAGTATAAGCTTCTCAGTAGTTTTAAGCGAGTTCATGCCTAGGGAAAAGCATTATGTTTTCTAATTTCTACACAAACTCCAGGAGGAATCAATTTCTCTGTACTGTCTTTTAATTGGCAAAAGTACACTAAAGAGTGTTTTTTTTCTTTAGAAAAAAATTGTTTTTTCAACCAAGTACTTTATATAAAGGGAAATGTGGCTTTACATATTTCTCTAAAACAAACAAGAATTTAAATAAACCCTAGATTTCTAATTACATGGCTCAAAATTACAAACACACGTTTCAAATATAATACCATTTAAAAATATTCAATAGTTTAGCACTTTTACTGTATTCTTTTCTGGTGGGTGGGGGGTACACACAATTGTTCTTTGGCAAATACACCAATCTGAAACTTACAGGACACAATCTAATGCAAATACCAAAGTGATTTAATATGTTCTCATTGTTGGCATCATAATACCCAAAGTGTCATCCGTGGGGTACATTTTTATCCAGTAGCACGTAAGATTTGTGTCTGGTCTGTTCATGGCTGTCTTCCCTGTGTTTCACATAGTAAATGTTCAATAAATACTTGCTGGTTCATTCAATGTGTTATGGAAACATGACGTGAATGCAAATGACTGAGGATTCTAAGTGTTCACCAAGAGCCTAATATGTGCAAATGTTCTGCAAGGTGCTACGCAGTGAAGAAGGATTCACAGAGCTGGAAGACAAAGGCCTTCCCTGTGCAAAAAGCTCCCAAGATAAACAACATGCACTCCTGTAAAAAGATACCTGCCAAGACCATGTGAGATCATCTCTGGCCAAGGATGGGAAAGGGGGTGAAAATGTTCACAGTGAAAATCTTCACTACTCCCTCTAATCATTAAAACACAGTTCATAGTCCCATCTGTGGAAAAAGAAAGAGGACTCTGGTTACAGGGCTAAAACTCAGCATCGGTAATGAGCAAGAGACAGGATATACTCAAAGCTGGGCATGAAAGGTAGGACAGAGGCGTCCTTTGTAGCAGCTATTAGTACACCATCTATGGCTCTGTTGTCCACAGCCTACAATTCTCCATCGAGTGTGTGATTGTCTTAGTAATGACAACTTTTCACCAGAATGAGGATGGGGACTAGGGTGGAATCTCTTTGTCTATTGTTATTCCTTCTTCCCCTTTATCTTTTAAGAATGAAATACTGAATTTTACATGGGTACTCAGACACAAGGCAAGACAATGCTGAGGTTCCCCATCATGAGGAAGCAGTTTAGGGAACAAGATGCCCCTCATCCTCACTTTGAAAGCTACAGAAAGTTATATTCTAGGCCATCAGCTACCTGTTGATTTATCTAACTCAACTTCCAACCTATCTTCTAAAAAGGTTAAAAGGTGCTAACCGATGTCATATAACACAGGAGAAAAGGGGTAAAGCATTCCATCTATAGCTGCGAGTGATGTCCTGGTCAGGAACCCAGGTAACCCCAGAGTGCTTGTACCCTAGCAATCCCAGAGTCCCGGTGACTGAGGATCACCATTATAGCTGCGAATGACTTCCTGATCAGAAACCCAGGTATTCCCAGAATGCTTATACCCTAGCAATCCCAGGTCAACGAGAATTATCACTTGCAGTACCATTTTGTAAATTTACTTTTCTGGATGTGGAACCAAATGTTAAGTTTCTGGAGCCCTGGGGTGTTTTCATCACATAAACAAAGCTTGAAGTAAGCCCCTTCATCAAAAGAGGTTACTGCTTTTTGGCCAGTGTCAAAGGAGACAGCCCTGGGCTTAATTTCAGGCGCTGACTCTTACTAGTTTCTATAGTCATGGTGCAATTATTTCATCTGTTTGAGACCTTTTACCTTAAGTGTACAATGGGAATAATCATTTTTATCTCATGGGGATGCTGCCAGGATGAGAAAAGCAGTATAGACTGAGAACCTGGCTCCCTTCCAAGTCAGATGAGCCTTGACTTCTCTTGGCCAATTCATTTTTTGTTTTGTTTTCTTGAGACAAGGTCTTGCTCTGTCTCCCAGGCTAGAGTGCAGTGGCATGATCCTGGCTCGCTGCAGCCTCAAATTCCTGGACTCAATGATCCTCCAACCCAAGCATCATGAGTAGCCAGGACTACAGGTGTGCATCAACACATCCGGCTAATTTTTTTTGTAGAGATGGGGTCTTGCTGTGTTGCCCAGGCTGGTCTCAAATGCCTGGCCTCAAGCAATCCTCCTGACTCAGCCTCCCAAAGTGCTGAGATTACAGATGTGAGCCACCACATTCAGCCTCTTGATATACCCAAAGTGGGAGCTTGGAAAGAGTTAGGATGAGGTCATCACATTTGAAGACGGTTCAACATTAAGCCTTACAAATCATCAGATTGACTCACTTGAGTGTTTGGAATGTCTGGTCTTGGGTTTAGGTTGGAATTTTATCATTAACTGTGAGCCTGTAATTTCAAACTCTCCTTCCTTTGTTACATGACAACTGTGGTCTAGATCTGCACAACCCAACAGAAATCTAAGGCAAGCCTTATGTATAATTTTAAATTAGTTTTCTTTTTCTTTTCTTTTTTTTTTTTTTTTTTGAGATGGAGTCTCACTCTGTCGCCCAGGCTGGAGTGCAGTGGCGCAATCTCAGCTCACTGCAACCTCCGCCTCCCGGTTTCAAGCTATTCTCCTGCCTCAGCCTCCCAAGTAGCTGGGACTACAAGCATGCCCCACCATGCCCGGCTAATTTTTGTATTTTTAGTAGAGACAGGGTTTCACCACGTTGGCCAGGCTGGTCTTGAACTGCTGACCTCAGGTGATCCGCCCGCCAAGGCCTGCCAAAGTGCTGGGATTACAGGTGTGAGCCACCGCGCCCAGCCTTAAATTAATTTTCATGATAGATTTTGATTTACTCAGTGTATCCAAAATAGTATCATTTCAACTTGTATTCTATTTAAAAAATTACTGAGATCTTTTACGTTCCTTTTTCCTACTAAATTTCCTAAATCATCACAGTGTATGTATTTTACATTTGTACTATATCTCAATTCACAAGTTAAATTTTCATTGGAAATACATGACTGGTATTATAGGTAACAAAATAGACCCTGGAAAATATAGATGCACACACCCACATGGTTCCCAACATTCCAGTAACCAAGGAAGTGTTGATTTTTAAATTTAAATTAATTAAAAGGAAATGAAATGGTAAGGGGTCTGTTTCTCAGTGATAGGAGTCACACCATTGGTGGGACGGGAGAGTGCTGGGCAGCTTGGCCACCAAGGAGAGTCTGCAGCAGCGGAAATTCTCCTATTGGAGTCTGCAGGGTGGAGGGATAACAGGGACTTTTTAGGCCACACGATTCCTCTTTAAGTAGTCCACATGCACATTTTCAAGTTATTGACCCATAGCATTTTTTTCTGGACTACTTCCAAACAGATTAATAACCACAAACTATCCTAGTTTAAAACTCCTAGAAACAGTGTAACTTTCAGCTTAAAAATTATTTTTCACATTATGACTTGATTTTCTTTTTTTTTTTTGGTAATAATTTGTACATTTATTTTTTTAAGGAGAGTTAATCTTTGAAAATGTAAAAAGGTAGTTCTAAGGTCACAGAGTTGATAATACAGTTTTTTTTTTAACTGTTATATACCAGATATTTTACTTATTTTTTGAAAAATACAATTATCTACAATGCTCTTTAATTCAGTTTTTAAAATTTTTTGTATATTCTTAAAATTTTTGCGGTTACATAGTAAGTGTATATATTTATGGAGTACATGAGATGTTTTGATACAGGCATGCAATGTGAAATAAGTGGATCGTAGGGAATAGGGTATCCATCTCCCATGACTTGATTTTCATAATTTCAGACAGACATTGGAACTTGGGATCTCAGACATCACTGACCAAAGAACACACTGGATTTTGCAGACTTTGTACAAAAAAGAAAGAACATAAAATATCTTGCGGATAATTTTTAAAATAGGAATCGCTTGTAGAAATGATGCCATTTTGGATACGTTGGGTTAAATAAAATATATTATGGCATTATTATATATTAAAATAGGTATTACAATAATAATTTAATACACAGTAAAAAAGATGTTGTAATATAAATTTTACCTGCTTCTTTGTACTCTTTTCCTGTGGCTGCTAGAAAAGTATAAATTCCATGTATGGCTCTCAATCTGCTGCTACTGGATAGAGCAAATCTAGCTGGCTTCCACAGTGCCCGCAGGCTCTACAATTTGTGGACTGTAGCTGGCAAGATGAAGAGGCATATGGAGGCTTTCAGTTTTTTAGGCCACATGATTCTTCCTGTAATTGTATCTGCCGACAAATTTTTAATTATATGCCCATAACATCTTTTCTTCCCCCCTCCCCGACCAGTGTGAAACAGATTAAAAATCACAAGTTGTTCTCGCTGAAGACTAGCCTTCTCTAGGAAACAAAAAGCGATTTTCTGTGTTTGAAGTTATTCTTAACAGTGAATTACTGTAGGTTCTGTGAGACACCTGACCAAGGTCCAGGCGAATGTTTGCGGGCTTCAGAACGCCCAGGCGATCGAAAGGCAGCTTGTGTCACTAGCCAACGCTCTGCCTTACAATTTGGTGCCCTCTGTATCTCTCCATTTTGGGGCCGCTGACCTGGCAGGCTGCACGGAGGGTTACAAACTCACAGGGCTCCCCACAGAGCATCCAGGCAAGGATCCTGCCTGGCTGAGGTTCCCTCACATATAAAATGGGGATGGCCGTGCCAACACCTGTGCCACCCCCTCCCTAACAGACTGCCCCGAAAGACACAGGCAATGGTGCCACTGATGGGCTTTGTGGGCAACAGCACAGCGCCACTCAAATCCCAGAGTGCTGCTAATTAAGACCAGGTGACCCCAAACAAAATGCCTGAGCCAGGATTAGTCTTAGTCACTGCTGTTATTATTGTTATACTAAATCCCCTTTTAGACATGACTTCCTGACCCTTACATTTTCAGCTGTCACTTTAAGATTTAATTAAGTCCTGCCCCTTACAAGCATTGGGGAATCAGCACTGGGGAATCCCCGCCTACAGATGCTTGGGCAAACAGCACTGGGTGACTGCATGCGTCTAATCAATGATGGCAAATCGAACACTCGACTGCCCTTGTTTTAGCAAGTGGAATATCATGGCCACGTTAAGTTCTGTTTGGAACTAATTAAGAACCACCCATAAGAAAGGTGGGCATCAAGGAGAAACCATTATTTTATAGGATGCAAATGATGCTGAATGAAGACAGAGTGTTTTGCTTGTATGTTTATTTTGGTGGGAGAATATCCGTTCTGTTTGTCCACAGCTTAAAGTGGCAGTGTGTGGGCACACACATGCCTGGTGACACTGAGTTCAGACTGAAAGTCATCCACCTGGAGCCACCTTCTGAAAGAAACTTGGCAGCATGAACGGCTGCTTCTCCATTCACAGTTTCCATACACACTGCATACTGTAGCATGAAGAGGACTCCTAGTCTGTAGGAGCAAAGTATTGAGAGAAAATGGAATCTTGAGCCCTGAAAGGAACCCAGTGTTAGAGAAATATGGCCATTTCTCCGAGGATTTGCTCAGTCTATTGAATTTGGCAGGAAATGATTCATTCAAGGCTTGGCTCAACTCCTACCTAGTCAATACACTTTTGAGGAAAAACATACAAACATCATTAAGAAGCTAAATCTGTTGTGCTGTAAAACGACAGATGCTCCGACCCAAAATTATCATAGCATTTGTTTTTAGCAATCTATCAATAATTTCTGAATCTTTTCCCTCTCCTTTCATTTGTTTTCATTTCAAAGTTTGAGAAGCTTTCTTTAAAGGGAAAAAGAAAAACAGAAATCATGCTTAAAATGAAGACTACAAAAGAAAGAACTGGAGTTGACATTAGGTAAGCTTTCTACCTGGGATGCCCTAAAGCAGTCAAAGGAGATGCAGAAGCAGCAAAAGAATGGGAATTTGAAAAAGGACTTCACAGAAATATAGAAAATGATCCTGTCCTCATCCTGTGTGTATCATAAGACAGTTCAGTGCTTCAAAGACAGCACAGAGCTTGCCACATAATAGATACTCAATTAATTCATGTGAAAAATACAACAGATGTCACACACAGACACACATTCACATATATCCTTGGGAAACACTGAACTTTGGCTAATGACAAGTAGAAACAAATTAGTAAGCTTGCCAATTTATAATAACATTAAAAAATAATCCGTTATTGGCTAACATAAGAATCTGTGCTTTTCCTACAACTGTCATTCTATAAAAAGTCTTTTGATCAGCACACCAGGAAACAGGAGAGGAGCAGCCTCCGCATGCTCTTGTAACACCCCAACACGTCAGCAGTCCCAACTGCAGTACACAACCAGGGCCCTTCAGGAGAGAGTGGTACAGTCAACAACAGAAGTGCCCTGGTAGGCCCCACCTAGGAAAATCAATCTGCTAGCTTCTTCTTGCTTTCTGGACTTAGCTCTTGTTTCATATGCAGCTCTGACATGAAGATGCATGGTTTGGCTCAGGCCAGGAGGCTAATGGACCAGCAAACATCAGACATGGCCCCTTCAGCTGAAACTCCAACACTGCAATCCTTAAAATAACTGGGATTCAAGAGAAACTCAGAAAGTGCAATATTGGAAAGAACCTGAGATAACACCTTTCAAAGAGGCTTAGGTCTAATACATGGAAAAAGAAATGCAAATAGCTGACAAATGTGATCAAATATTCCACCTCGTTAGGAATTAAAGAAATGCAAGGGGAAAAATAAAGATGTCACGCATTCCTGGCTCAGCTGACCATGTTCACATGAAGTGTTGGAGAGGCCTGTGCCCCAGCCCCTCCACTTACCCCCGTCCCTCCTCACTGCCACGCAACCCGCACAGCCTCTCAGGAAAGCAATATGGTAATCGGTCTCAAGAGCCCTCCAGTTCTATTTCCAGCAATTTATCCTAAAGGAAAATGGAAGCAATTGAAATCTCCAGCAACACATGTGATATAAATGATGGAACATGTACTTCATGAAAGAGATGCATACAAACATTTTCAATCGATGTTGCTGGATGATCAAATGCTTCCTGGAGAAGGTCAAGTGGAAGGGGCATACTACAAAGCTCAGAATACAGCAGGACACACACACACACACACACACCCCTACCTGGAAGAAAACACACCAAAATGCTGGGGCAACACACACACACACACACACACACACACACACACACACCTGGAAGAAAACACACCACCAAAATGCTGGGGCAAAACTTCTAGGGGTGGGTTTATAGATGTTTTTCTTTTCATGCTTACTTTTATTTTTAAAAACTGCTTACAGCATATTAATTTTTATAATTGGAAAAGAATTATGAAAACCCTGGCAAGCAAAGAATAATTACTAATACTTCCTCCGGTGGGTATTCATCAGATTACACGATAGCTGTTTACCTACTGACTTTTCTTCTAAGAACGTTTAAGACGGTTTTCCTTATGCAGTGTGATGTGTTGAGGAAGTTCTTTTCTCCCCTAGGTATATACTGACCAACCCCCGCCCAGTCACCTTTTTGTATTTTTATGACGCTAAAGTTTAGAAACACAACATTAAATATTTATGGCTGATATCTGCTGCTTCTAAAAATACTCAAGAGGAGAAACTCTCTTCCCAAGGCCTCCACTTAACCTGGCTGAACTGACCAAGGCGGGCAGCTGCTCCCTGAGCTTCCCCTGGGATCTCCCACCTCAGCTGCCTACCTGGGTCTGAAACACCCAAACTGCTGACTGCTTCAAACTCGCTTATGTCAGTTGGCCTTGTTATTGCATTTACGAAAAGTAATTGAATATTATATAAAATGGTGAACTAGGAGTACCCCCAAATTATTTTTTCGACAAAAACCACTTTGACTGCTTTTTTAGAGACTTAACCAAGACAGATTGCCTCAAGGGATTTGGGAAAAGAAAATAAAATCCTAGATAGATTCTATACCGAGATGGTTTCATAAATCTCTTTCAATTCCCACTCCGCTTCAAAGAGACAAACATTGTAGAGGCTGCACCATCCGGAATGGGGGAAGCTGACTCCAAACTAGGAATAAAGGATCCCTGTCCCAAGAAAAATCCTACTCCTTCTATCAAGAGATGGGTGAATGGATCTGCACTGATATATTTTAACATAAAACCGAAATAAACAACCTCCAGGAAGAGATGCTTAACACCCCTCCTCCACCCGAGTGGGGATTTTGAAAGAATACTACATGGAAAGGGAAAAACATTAATCGCAACCCAACACCCATGACCTAAACCCAGTGGTCAAGGTCAACAGCAACAGTGGTGAGTCAGGTTGACAGTACCTACCCTTGATATGATGTGGTGAGAAGGGCGCTTCACCTCTGGGGTCTCGTTCCTCAAAACCTACCACCCCAGTCCAATCATGTGAAAACCACTGAACAAGCCCAAATTGAAAAACATTCTCGGCCAGGCACATGGCTCATGCCTGTAATCCTAGCACTTTGGGAGCCCAAGGCGGGAGGATCAGTTAGTTTGAGAACAGCTTGGGAAACACAGTGACACCCTGTCTCTACAAAAATTGGAAAAAAAAAAAAAAAAAATTCCAGGCATGGTGATATGCACCTGTGGGAGGCTGAGGTGGGAGGATTGCTTAAGCCCAGGAGGTTGAGGCTGTAGTGAGCTATGATCACACCACTGCACTCCAGCCTGGGTGACAGAGTGAAGACTTCATCTCAAATAAATAAATAAATAAATCAACTTAAAAAAATAAAAGGAACAAAGAAAAAAAAAGAAAAAAGAAAAGCCATCCTCTTTCATGTTCTACTTCTATTTTCAGCTATTTTCTCCCTTGGGAAATTTTGGTTGCCCATCTCAGCTGGACTTGGAAAGCAGGGAAGGTGAGAACTCTCCAGGGAAGAATTAAAGCAAGAAGTGGGAGTGCCATCCAAGCCTCAGGTCTCAGGGCCAGGGCCACAAGCTGTGAAGACAGAAACACACTGGTACCATCAAGCTTCATGCCAAAGCAACTGGCAAGGGTGAGAGCGGCAACTCCAATGCTAGAACTCAGACACGTACCTGGAGGCTTTGGACCCTGGGGGCCCCAGTGGGCTCTGCCTTGTTTCCAGGCGATGCAAGTGCCAGGGTGAGGCGGTGCCAGCACCAGCACTGCCTCATCCCACTGGACTTCTTTCTGCCTTGTCTAGAAAATGTAAGGGCTACAAGCAAATCTCAAAGATTCTCTCCCAATTCTAAAATCTTAGGAATCTGCGAAATGTCCGATAAGTCAGGCCGAGTGTCCAGAACTGGCACTCACGAGGCTCATTTGTTCAAACCTCACAGGCCTCAAATCCCTGTTGAGAAAATCGTTTGCCCTTAGGACTGTGCTCTGTGTTTATGGCCCTGACTTCAGGGCCCAGGGCCTGGCACACACAGGTATTCAATAAACATCTGCCCAATGAACGAGTGGACAGACGATCTTGGTGCTGTGAGAGCCAAGAGCAACAAAGGGGCTGAAATCCTGAGTAAAAGGGAAAACTCTGTAAACTTTGTGAATGTTTGGAGAAAACATTCTTGATAATTTTTGAAGCTAACTTTGCACAGAAGACTGTAGTAGGTTATTCAACTGTTTTGTTCTTTTGAAAGGGAAAGGCCAACATTTCCTATATGTCTTGAGGCAGAAGGAACATAGAGAGACAGCAGCAGTTCTGAAGTTAACTGGAAGATTAACGCAAATTTATAGTGCAGGTGGGAGCTGAGGACGCTCGTCCATTAGGGGCTCAGGAACTGTTTGCATTTGATTGCAGGGAAAACTGTTTTTCTGTTCAAAAATGCAATTAAGAGCAAAAAAATTGGTATGTGATTCATTCTTTTTTTATTATTTATTTTTGGGACACGGTCTTGCTCTGTCACCTAGGCTGGAGTGCAGTGATGCCATCATGGCTCACTGCAGCCTCTACCTCCTGGGCTCAAGTGATCCTCCACCTCAGCCTCCCGAGTTCCAGCAACTACAGCCATGCGCCACCACACCTGGCTAATTTTTTAATGTTTTTGTACAGACAGAGTCTCACTGTGTCACCCAGGCTGCAGTAACACTACTTTCTAATGAACTGACTGCTAAGCTGTTGACAGTCTCCATTTGTGGGCTCTGATGGCTCCAAAGATAGGCCATGAACGTGGCTAAATCAACAAGTAATTTTCCCAGAATTTTCTGATAGACGATTATGGACTCAAAAGGAGTTATTCTCTGACCAAGGTGCCCATTTATGGGTGTAAAAGACAAAGAGAGACGTGACAGGCAGCTTCTCAGACGGTCGGTCCCCGTGAGCCCTGGCATTCACACTCCAGTACCGGCCTGTCCCACATTCACCAGGTTGATCCACAGGACCAAGAGAATTGTTGCACATGGTGCATCACTTCTGCTGCAGCCACACCCTAAGGGAGCTTGGAACTGACCCCCCAGCCCCACACGAGGTCTCAAAGGCTGCAGCGCAGGCTGCAACCTCACGAGAGACCCTGAGCCAGAACCACCTGGTTATGCTGCACCTGGATTCATGACACTCAGAACCTGTGTGAGATCATTAACGTTTGTAGTTTTCACCTGCTGAGTTTTGGGGTCATTTGTTACACAGCAATCAACAGATAACTGATACAAGGGCTGAAACTGGAGTGCATTGGTGGAAATGAGAGAAATGTGGCACAGAAACTAATCCAATACATCTGCTCCCCCTCCAAGCCAATAATTATTGTTTAATTTGACTTGTCTGCCTTCAAGCAAGCATGCAAACAAAAGCCCTAGCACACAGACTGGAACTGTCTTGCCACAACAAATTAGTCTGTTTTTAGTAAAATCTTAGTCTACTGGGTTAATAATTTACCTTCCAGATTCATGCAGCCATAGAAACCAGACTGATTTTCTTTTTTCTAAATCCCCAGAGAATAATTTGCTCCACTTACCTAAGCATTTCCATGTCTAAGTGGTATACATGACATTTTTAATTAGAAGAAAAGCCCCTGCTTAAAGTTCTTGATTTACTATGAGGTAAATCCTAAACTTGTCTGATTTATTTTAGCAAATTCTTGACATAAAGATGCAAGAAGCTCTTCTATCATATTGCATGAGCACAGAAGAATAGATCTACCTGATCGAAAGAGACCCTCTGTGGCTTTAAACTACTTGTATTATCTCATGTAACAGAATTGAAATTTTTTTCCTCCAAAGTGAAATTCCAGTTTGTGTGCTTAGCTTGTTTATGAGTGTGACATCATACCCAGAATAGGCGGAACTTACGGACGTTCACATGCTCATTATCTGGGATTCCAATTATAAAGCTGGATCTCATGTGTGGGCTCTAATGAGGATGTGAAATCATATCCCCTATCTTCACCACTGCCACTGGAAGATGATCCTGTGTGGCCCTGTGTCATGTCACCTGGGTGACATGACACCCAGGTTACCTCCTGTTTACCACGTGAAGCCGCCACCACCAGGAGATGACATTCCAGGGTCAAGGCTTCCCCTAACACTCTGAGGCTTCCAAATACAGAACATTTCTGAGTGGATGTTTGCTTGGCTTAGCATTTCCCTGAAAAGAGCCACAGTGTCTTGAAAGATGTTTCAGTTCGCGCCCAAGCCTCTCCCAGAGGATCATTTCTTCCCGAGAAAACCTCACAAGACTCCACGGGAAAGGCCTTGGATTCCAAACACAGAAAATCCAAGGGTGAAACGTCTTCTCCTCCTGACCCTCTATGGCCAGAACAGGGCCGGGCTCAGAAGCCCCGCTGGTGGCTGTGACCTCACAGAGTTAATGTTCAATGGTTGAATCAGAGAGGATTCCAGGGACACAGGCCAGCGGCGCTCGGCCAACATCCCAAGCGGAACAGCGGCCTCCTTCACAGCATTCCCGTCTTGTCATGTGGAGAAGCCCACGCGCACCCAGTGGCCAACAGCAGGCTCTCAGACCCAAAGCCACCCTGCACCCCAAACTAGGACATCTACACATCAGAGATGTCTCCCTACACCTCTGAACTGGCAAACACGAGAAGTTACCTCTTGAGGGAGAGACAATTTATGACAACCCAGATCAAGTCCTGCTTCATTTACTCAAAAACTGCCCTTCTGTTAAGAGAACAGTTGGCAGTCCACTGGCAAAAAAAAAAGGGGGGGAAAGTGAAATAAAAAGTCTACCCGGCTAATTCTGACTTCTGCATCTGGCTTTTGACCTTGCTGCTTAACAGGCTTCTGTTTATCAGGAGCCATGGTTCTATTGCCCTTTCACGCAACACTGCCCTTGGAGCACCGCCGCATTTACACATTAATTTTATTCAGCACAAAGAATTTCTTTGGCCACCCTGCCAAAGTGTCTAATGGCCAGTGGGCCTGGGTCATGTGTGGCCACAGAGCCACCCTGGAGTATACCAGGGGAATTGGGAGAAGGGTGGAGTGGGATGGGGTGGGGCATGACTACTGTTATGGGGTGACCTGAGTCCGCAGAAATCACATGCTAAAGTCCTAACGTGCAGCACCTCAGAACCTCATTTGGAAAAAGGGTCATTGCAGATAGTTAGTTAAAGTAAAATGAGGTCAAATCGCAGCAGGGTGGAGCCATAATCTAACATGACTGGTGTCCTTGCAAGAAGACAGAGACACCCAGGGAGGCCATGTAGTCACCGAGGCAGAGAGGAAAGTGCTGTGCCCACAAGCCAAGGACCGCCAGCAACACCAAAAGCAGCAAGGGGATGCAGGAAGCATCCTCCCCTGGAGGCCTCAGAGGTAGCTGGGCCCTGCGGACCCCTTGATTCTGCACTTCTGGCCTCCAGAACTGGGAGACCATACATGTTTTAAGCCAGCCAGTTGGTGGCACGTTGCTACAGCAGCCCCAGGAAACAAACCACCACCAACATGGTAAGCTTCACCCCTTCTCTTCCAAGGGAACTGCAGGTAGGAAACGGCCCCTCTACTGAGCTCTAGTCCTGGGTGTCAACCTCTGCAGTCCCCTCCAGATGGTTACCAAGCTCAGCCCGGGTCCGGCGTGCCTCCACCGTGTCCCTCGGTGTTCTGTGAGAGTGTACAAGATCCAAAATCATGGACTTGATATTTTAGTGATAACCAACTCTTGTCCACAAATGTATACCTATAAATAAGTACATCTGTGTATGCAACTGCTAAATATACACACTGCCATACACGCATTTACAGATCTTTTAAAACAGTATAATCGTTATTGTGTGTGACATCACTAGCTAATTATTCTAAAAACAAAGGTGGTGGGTGGGTTTCAGATCAATAAAAGAGATCCCGGAACAATGGCTTAGCCTGGACCCGAGGGACCTGTGTCACCAAACCACAGAATGGATGTGAAACCATTACTATAATGAGCTCTTTCTCCACTCCCAGTAATGAGTCCTCCTGAAGAATTAATTAAAAATTCTGCCATGGCTTCTCTTAAAGGAGAAGGATACACTTCTGGAAAGGATCAGGGAAGCTTGAATCCAAGAGCCAGCCACTCACCTGCTTTGATGCTCACCTTCCAGGATGTCTGAAAAGTAAACAAATCTTCCTTTACTCTGAGACTTCTCCAATGTATCATTCAATGATTTATGCACTGGGGCTTCTCGTTCACAACGACTGCTCCCAGGTGGATGAAGACAAGCATTTCAACATTTAATCAAGAACTCAGTTTGATTTTAGAAATTCTAGATTCTATTGCTATTATAAAATAAAAGATACTTAAAATCATTGAGACTTTCCTGACATTTCCAAAAGGGAGAAAACTCAGACTCATTATTTATTAAATAGCACATATCTCATAAGAGTTAAAATTCAATGAGAGTTGGATATGGGCAAAAGATAGAGAAATTTTAGTCAACTCTTCCCAATACTCATCATCCATTTAGTGTGAGAAAGTCACCTGTGCACTTTACCTAATTAAACAACTGCAATTTAAAAGTATATATTAACATTCAACTTCAAGCTACTCCAGGCAGATGAGCCCTGCAGCCAGGACCAGCCACTGTTGTTGATCTGATTTTCATGTTTCCTAATTTACAACCTCCCACGACAAAGCTTTCTGAGCCCCGTACCTCAGAATCAAGAAGGGCTTCTAAGGGATACAAGGTGTGGCTGAAAATTACTCAGCATGGTCAAGAAACCAGAACACTGGCGGCAAGCTAAGCTGAAATGCAGATAGTACCTATCTCCAAAAAAAAAAAGGAAGAAAGAAAGAAAAAGAACTTGGAAGACACAGCCAGGATTTCTACTTAATGATCATGATCATTCATTTTACATTTTATAACCTTGATATCACCTGAGGCTTAATGGTAACTTGAGCCATTCTAGAGAGTTCTATATATGAGAGCTGTACATAGCATAGAATATCGCTGTGCTTATAACCACTTCTCTCAAAAAGACAGCATTTGCATGAAATAAGAAGAAAAAGAAAAATGGAAACAAAATCATATTGTAATTATGCCTTTGACCTTTTGCGGACAGATAGTGTCAATATTTCTTTCTTTTTGTTTTCTCAAGACACAGTCTCGACCTGTTGCCCAGGCTGGAGTGCAGTGGCGCAATCTCGGCTCACTGCAACCTCCGCCTCCCGGTTTCAAAGGATTCTTGTGCCTCAGCCTCCCGAGTAGCTGGGATTCCAGATGTGTGCCACCATGCCCAGCTAATTTTTTTGTATTTTTAGTAGATACAGGGTTTCGCCATGTTGGCCAGGCTGGTCTTGAACTCCTGGCCTCAAAGTGATTTGCCTCCCAAAGTGCTGGGACTACAGGTGTGAGCCACTGCGCCCGGCCAAATAGTGTCAATAGTGTCAATATTTCTATCTAAAATGAACATACAGCTCCAGGCTACGCTGCAATTCCAAGGATCTCATTCAGTGGGATTCCTTCCTGCCCACCTGGGATCTGGCATCTCCTCACCTGAGTGGCCAGAGGGGTGGGAAGGGAGGCCAGATCAGAGTAAAAGAGAAAGGGGGATCCCAGAAATGTAAAATGGGGGGCGCTGATGAAAGACACCACTAGGCCTTATGTCCTTGAACTATAATCATCCCCAAGTCATGCTTCTGGACGAGTAAAGAGGTCTGCCTCAGTGACTGGCTTCCAGGAGCAGGCAAGCAAATACACATCCTGTCTCTACAGAAGCTGCCCAGAGCAGAACAGCTACCCCTGTATCTTTGCAATCTGTAGGACAAGAAAACCACCCATATGTACCTAGCCCAGGGAGTGTGTCCTTGCCACGAGATACCAACTCTCACCCCAAAACCCCTTCCTGAAGATCTCCATGGAAACCACATGGGGCCACTGGAATGCCTCCCTATATGACCCAGATGTCTACACTGGCCCAACTATGTGGACAGAGATGGGAGCTGGAAAAAGGGGGCAGTGTTGGCCTGGGTACCACCCTCCAGGCCCTGAATGTTCCATGTTCCCCTGCACTTCTGCCCTGGTCTGTGCACTGATTTGTTCACTATGGAGACTCGGATCTCGCCACTGCCCAAAGGTAACACACTAGAACACTGATTTATTTCATCATCCTCTGTTCAACAAAAATTCCAGTGGTCCCCAGAGCACCTGTAATCAAGTCTGCATGCCCTGACCTGTTTGTTCTCTCTATTCCAAGAAGATCACCTCTGGATAAAATTCCACTTCTTAAAGGCTCAGCTGAAACGCCAGCACCGTCCTTAAGCCTCTGTCATCCTCCGGAATGGAAGCAGACCCTTCTCTCTGCTCCCATGACACAGGGTTTGTACACTGACTGAATTGAGCATGCTGTGCAGATGGGTTTGCCTGTGTTCAGGCCTGTCCTACCCAATCAGACCATACAAAACTTTCATTTATTGTTACACCTAACATTATAATAACATCATATGAAAAAGCTTTCCCCGGGCCTCGGGAAAAGCAGGCAGGCTATGGTCCTCTCCAATTTTGTTTGTCAACAAGGATTTTCAGAACCAACTGGGGTCAAAATGGCTCATCTAAATTGAGAGGTGAATGCTTTTCTGTGTTACAAAGGAACAACGTCATTCTCTCTAGTGCTTTTTCAAGCTGTAATGTCCTATTCTATGGTCCGGACATTTGTGTACCCCCCCCCCCGCCCACCAAATTCCTATGTTGAAACCTAACCTACAATATGATGGTGTTGGGAGGTAAAGCCTCTGGGAGGTAATGCGGTCATGAGGGTGGGGCCTCATGAATGGGATTAGTGCCTTATCAAAGGGACCCCAGAGAGCGCTCTCACCCCTTCCACCATGTGAGAACACAGCAAAAAGATGCTGTCTGTGAGAAAGCAGCCCTCACCAGACACCAAAACTGCCAGTGCCTTGATCCTGGACTTCCCAGTCTCCAGAGCTATGAGCAATACATTTCTATTTTTTATAAGCCACTCAGTCTACGGTATTTTGTTACAGCAGCCGGATCAGACTAAGACGTCTTGCCAGGTTTTCATTGCAGGCAGCTAAAAGCAAATGGAAGTCCTAGTGAGTGAGCGAGTGTTACTGATCCAACTGAAAGAGATACAGCTGTGTCAAACATTGATTTCCCATCCTGGATTCAGGTTTAGTGTGTCTACTGACAGGAGAGAGTCACTGGCTGTCCTGCCCTCTCCGAGGCTTTGGGGTGGAGCACATTCTGATCAGCAGTCCCAGGGAGGTTAGCATGGCTTCATTTCATAAAGACGCTCCCCAAAAAGAAGTTTCCTGGTATTCTAACATATAATGTATTTTATTTTCCAATCAGATTTTGCTTGTAATCACAAAGTCTTATCTATGGGCAAAGTTTGTGGCATATTCATGAATAATCTTTTTTTGTTTGTTCGTTTTTAGCTTTAGCTTTGGGGAAACCTATATGCAAAAGTCACTGAATCAACTGTGCCAGAAGTAGTAATATGGCCAGAGCCTTGTATAAGGAAATGGGAGAGAAAACTAGAGACTTTGAAGAGGACATTTCTAGAAGTAATCAATTGATCTCTCTACAAAACTCAAAGACTCTAGTCTGGCCACCTCTGCCAAGGCAATCTATCTGCTTTTGTGTGTCTCTGTTTCTCTCTCCTTTTCCCTGCAATGACCCTGCCCTGCTGAGAGACCCTCCTCCACCAAGCCCACCCTGGCAACTTTTCCCAACCTGGCGGCAATGAAAGCAGAACCTTTTAATTGACGGTGTTATGGATTCAAGACTGCCCATCCCAAGGCGTATGTTGAAGCCCTAACACCTAGTACCTGGGAGTAACTTCTTATTGGGAAATAGGGTCTTTGCAGATGTAAACTCATTAGGAGAGAGCTCTAAGCCAATGTGACTGGAGTCCTTATAAAAAGGGGAAATTTGGCCAGTTGCAGTGGCTCATGCTTGTAATCCTAACACTTTGGGAGTCTGAGGTGGGCGGATCACCTGAGGTCAGGAGTTCGAGACCAGCCTGGCCAACACGGTGAAACCCCGTCTCTACTAAAAATACAAAAATTAGCCGGGTGTGGCGGCTCATGCTTGTAATCCCAGCTACTCGGGAGGCTGAGGCAGAAGAATCGCTTGAACCCAGGAGGCGGGGGTTGCAGTGAGCCGGGATCGCGCCACTGCACTCCAGCCTGGGCGACAGAGGGAGACTCCGTCTAAAAAAAAAAACAAAAAACAAAACAAAACAAAACAAAACAAAACAAAAAAAAAAGGTAGGGGGATGGAAATTTGGACACAGGGAAAAGGCCATGTGCAAATGAAGGCAGAGATCTGGGTGATGTAGCTACAAGCCAAGGGACACCAAAGACTGCCAGCAGCCACCAGAAGCTGGAAGATGGGCACAGGACAGATCCTGCCTCAAGCCCTCAGGAGGAAGAGCCCTGCTGACATCTTGATTTTGGACTTCTGGCCTCCAGAACTGGGATACAATAAACGTCTGTCGTTTTAGCCACTCCAGCAGCGCTTTGTTATGGCATCCACAACAAACTTATGCACGTGGCTTTGCCTTCCTCTTTCTTCACTGACCAGAAACAGCACGAGCTATTTATGGAATCCATCCAGATCTGGCCAGTCTTGGACATCATCCAGTGCCACCTGGGCAGTGAGAAGTGATGCCCGGGGTAGCGAGCAAACTCTGCTTGGATCAGGCAGAAGTACAGGCTCTGGCATCTTAAAAAGAGATTCCTCAAGGTTTCAGAGGTCAGGCCTTTTCATTTCTGGGTAATGAGAAAACTAGCTGAAGCACAGTATTCTTTCTCTTTTCCATTTCTGTAAGTTGAAGAGTTGCCATGCTGGGTGCATTTCATGGACTGAAATATTTGGGAAAGGCTAGTAACAGTAGATGAATTTCATAGGCCCAACATAACAAAGTACCACAAGCTGATTGGCTTCACAGAAACTGACTCTCTCACGGTTCTGGAGTGCAGAATTCAGAGACATCAAGGCGTCAGTAGGGTTGGTTTCTTCTGAGGGCTGTGAGGGAGAATCTGTTCTGAGCCTGTCTCCTTGGCTTGGAGGTGGCTGTTCACATGGCCTTTTCCCTGTACGAGTGTGTCCAAATTTCCTCTTTTTCTAAGGAAGCCAGTCACACTCGGTTAAGATCCCACCTCCAAATAAGCTCACATTCTGAGATGCAAGGGGTTGGAACTTAAATACATCCCTTTTGCAGGGACACAATTCAGCTCCTAACAGAGACACTGACTAACGCATGAAGCCCAATCCGTGGCCATCATTAACAACACTGGAGCCGGGACACTGACTAACGTCTGAAACCTGATCGGTGACACTCATTAACAACACTGGAGCTGGGGTTACAGGCTGACTGGTCATTCCTCTCTTGGGCTCACATCAGTGGAACATCAGAGCCTGCACCACCAGGAGCAAGGCCATGCCGACGGCTGTCTGGTAGCACCGTTCCTAAAGGACACGCATGGCTCAAGGACTGCTGGGTATAAATATTTCCCATAAATTCGGGGCATTTCATGCATTTCTTTCTTTTCAAAAGCACTCTGTCAGCGCCTGTAGCTTTTGGCATTTAGAATCCAGTCTGGCCAGTGGGCAGCTGGAAATGCGTGTGGGCCAAAGGACTGCAAGGAACTAGGCATTCACTGCTGTTCCCAATTAATGTCTCTGGGAGGAAAAATGCTCACAGCATTTCAGAAAGGAGATGAAAGGTAAAGACTTCTGCAGAGTCAAAAGGAACTTCAGTGGCAGAGGCAGTGTAGACTTGAGTCTTCTGAAACAGACCACTACACCCACTCTCTAAAATAAAGCAGTGAACAGCATGCTGGGTTTAAGGAGAGCAGCAGGTACTTCAACACCCTGCCCGTTCTCCGCATGGCTCAATCTTTTCTCAACATTTGATCTTTTCTCTACTTTTTTGTCCTTAGGTAAGATGTGCCTAAAGCCCAAGTCTTTTGGACCCATTTTCTCCTCTCCTGTGGTTGTTGAACTTTATTTCTAACTTGCTTTTTCCTGAGTCTCCTATCCACTTAGGTCTCAGCTCTCCTCCTTTTACCATCAGGGGCTTTCATGACTTTTTTCTTAGGAATATTTGAGAACCAAAGTCAAATATTCATGACCTCAGCACAATTATTTATAACTAGATACTCCGGGCATGGTTAGCATTATAGGAAACCATGGGCCATGGGCTTTAGGGTCCTCCAGCACAGTCCTAGCTCTTCTTCCTTTATGACTTTAAATCGGCATCTAGAATAATATTAAAGCAGCACGACCTAGAAAGGCTTCCCTGGGATCCTTATTCATGGGTTCTCAGAGACCACCACAGAACCCAGGGCACCGTGTTGGGGGATGGCTTCTATCTGTGCCCCTACAAAAAGCCAAGGCAGCTCGCAGGAGTCACGTCCCTCCCCTGAGCTCAGAGGAAAGGAGATTAAGTGGTTGATTTCAGAGTCTCAGTTTAGGGCAGTGGTTTTCAACTAGGGGTGATTATGCCCCCCAAGAGGCATTAGGCAGTGTCTGTAGACATGTTCGGATGTCACCAGTGGAAGAGGGATGGTGCTTCTACTGGGTGCATCATTCTTGGCTGTGGTGGGGCAGGGTGGGCTATCGGTGACCGCTGCATTGTAGGATGTTGAGCGGCATCCCTGGTCTCCACCCACCAGATGCCAGTACTACCCCTCCCCCAAGGTGACACCAAAAATGTCTCTAGATATTGCCAAATGTCCCCTGGGGAAAGACTGCCTCTAGTTCAGACCCATACAACCTACCAGTCTAGGCAGATGGCCAATTTTGCTGACCCCTTGTTTTCTATGGATAGCTGGGATTTTGGAAGGCTGGCCTATGTAACAATTACAAACATTTATTTTGCCTTCTAGACTCAAGCAACTCGAGCAAAGTCCCATCTGAACCATCTTTAGTTCAACATTCTCATATATTTTAAAAAGACTTTACATCTAATCTTCATTGATGAAGCCACACATCTCTGCAATATTCTCCCACACTGGCTAATACAACAGTTTGGTCCCATAAGTAGGCTAAACCATCTCCTTGTGGTTTTATGTACAAAATAATTTATTTTGTTTAGCCCAGGTAAATAGTGTAATGTTATAAAGTCTAAACAGGAAAAGAAAAAAACAACACACTTACAAAATTTCTGTGTATTTGATTTTTAGCTCTCCTTATGTTGAAGAGAATGCCTTTGCGGAAACAATTTAAACATGAAAACAAATGACCTAAGACTTCTGGAAGATATCTCCAACACTTACTGCATCATTTCATGGTATATTATTTTAAACATATCACAGAATGATGCTCCATCTTACTCCACCCATTCAGATGTGTAAGATACTGTTGCCAAAATCTCAGCTGTGCAAATCGGGCACTGTTTTAAATTCTTTTACTGGTGACAAACCAATTCGGGTGCTGGTTTGTCCTAATAATAAGAAAAATGCCTCCAATTTATAAGCCACACTGCTTTGCATGGAAGGCTTTGAGTGCTTAGTCCACCCTAAGGATTCAAGCTATAGTTAAGGTTTCCCTTTCATCTTCGTCTCCATTTTGCTAAAAGCCAGTGAGACACCGACAAGAAGGGCCCTGACCAGCTGCTCTCAGGAGCCACGCAAGCCGACTCAGGAGGGAATTATTTATTATGTGAACCCTCTCCATCGAATATCTGAAACAAGATTAACATCTGGGAAAAGAGGTATTTACACTTCAAATACACAATAATGAGTTCCCTCTAAAGGCAGGGTCAGCCACCAGGCCGGCACCCAGTGGAATCCACATGGAGTATACTGATGTAACCTGACTGATGGATGGCCAGGAAATCTCTGCTATTTGAGTCCCTGGCCCCTTTCCCAGCTCTATGTGGGTTTGGGCAAACCACATTTTTGACAGCGTCTTCTCCCTCTGTTAGAGAGGGCTAAGAATCACCAAGTCCCTCAGGGAGGCAGAGGGAAGGACCCCCTCACAGGTTCTGGGGACCCCTGTGCCAGCTGCAGGCCTGGGAGCCTGGGGAGGAGCCGGGGTCCACACCCCACTGCACAGTGGCGCTGGCTCTGCAGAGGAGACAGGAAGATGTCCCCTGTGCCTTCACTGTAACCTAACCTTGGAAACCCTGGTGCTTCCAGACTGGTAGTTGACCCAGCGGGGAAAATGAAATGTTAAGTTTTGAAACCTCCAAGATCGCTACTTGAGAGGTTATGTGACCAAACAGATTAAATGCAAATAGGGGTATCCGGAGGAATGGGGATGAAGGATAAACCAAGAAAGACACGGGTATACACCGACAATTCAAGAGAGAAAAAGAAAATAAACCCATTCAAGTCAGGACTACCCACTGATTCTAAGGAGAGTTTTCTCTCCTCTTCTAAATCAGGATGAGGGGAAATGAAAACCATTTAAAATAACAATTCACTTATCAGCCCCCTGTCTTCCCTAAAATATCTGGCTCCAGAATTTTTTCTTGTAGAAGCTCTCATCTTATAGAATGCAATGCAATGATCCCTTGTGGCTAAAACCCATTTCTTGTGGATTCTCAAGAAGTTGGTTTCCAAAATGATTCTCACCTTATCTGGGCAAGAAAGACACCTATAGAGATGGCCAGGGGATAAGTTCCTATAAATGACAGTTCTGTGAAGAATGAGTGTAAAACCAAGACGGGAGGGAGCAAAACGTCAACATGAAACATTTTCATGGAGAAAACTTCCCAAGACCAAGTACTATTCATACCAATCCTATCAAGTTATGGCTATTTATTCTCCTAGAAATCCTGAGAACTAAAACATACTAACCTCCACCTAAAAATGTGTCTGCACACAAGCATTCCTTTTAAAATAAAGATATCTAGAACTGGGAGAGTTACTACAATATCATGCACTGACATAAAAAACTGTTTGAGGTATATTCTTGGGAATTTCACACAAGTTAATCTTGACAAGGTGCCCTATTTTATAAACATAATTTTCATTTGCCCTGGCGCATTACAGCCACTCTATGTGTGACGCACAATAACAGCACCTTCTTGAAAGCTATATCCTAAGAAATGCATTTCCTCAAATAACTGTCTGCCAGCAGCCTCCCTGCATCCTGTTTTAAACCCATCTCCTATGCTGATCCCAGGCCAGTAACCCCGAGCGGGGCAGAGTTTCAGCTACATCGGGCATCACCAGTGCAGCGCAAGGGCTGGTGGGAAATCCCCAGAACACAGCCAAGGTAGGGAGAACCCTCCACACAGTGCAGCCCTTCTCCCCCTTGCAGTGGAGGGGGTGACCAGGATCCCAAGGGTGGAGGGAGGTGGGCCCGACGAGGGAGAGGAGATCCAGGTAGGCTATGGGCATGAAAGAAAAGGGAGGGGAAGCTTGAGGGCAGGGCTTGGGAGGCGGCTGGCCACGGAAATGAAAGAGCAGAGAGAAATAAATGGGGAAGTGGGGCGGAAGGATGGGTGTGGGGTTGGAAAGGAAAGGTGAAAGGGCACTGGGTGGAGGAGAGGTGAGAGAAAAGGTGGGGAAAGGGTCTCCATCACTGGAGTACCCAGCCTCCTCATCCCCTTGGTCAAACAGTAGGGCATGCCTTTCCCAAGGTTCCCACCTGGCCCTAGACCTCATCCCACTGGCTTTCAGAGGTAGGTCAAGGTTGGCAGTGTTTAGGGTAACAGGAAGCTCAGATCTGCTAAGCGAACTTCACCTGCTGGTGTTCTTCAATACAGAGGCTATTTCAATCAGGTGAACCTTATTATTATTATTATTATTATTTTTAAGATGGAGTCTCGCTCTTGTTGCACAGGCTGGAGTGCAGTGGTGCGATATCAGCTCACTGCAACCTCTGCCTCCCGGGTTCAAGCGATTCTCCTGCCTCAGCCTCCTGAGTGGCTGGGATTATAGGCGCCCACCGTCACACCTGGCTAATTTTTGTATTTTTAGTAGAGACGGAGTTTCAACACATTGGCCAGGCTGGTCTTGAACTCCTGACCTCAGGTGATCCGCCTGCCTCGGCCTCCCAAAGTGCTGGGATTACAGGCCTGAGCCACCGCGCCCGACCCCAGGTGAACATTATTACTCAACTCCCTTTCTCCACCCTTCCATCACACCCGCTATTTCATAAGCAGAGTATACCTGAGACACAGCACCACATCCCCACAACCACCCCTTTAGAAGTCTGGAAACAAGCAATGTACAAGAAAACTCACAGAAGAAATATATTTCCCATGAAGCACACGGTACAGCATGTAAAATGGACAGACCCATGGGCACTGTGGCCTTTCTGTACCAATCTGGGCACTGTACTCACAGCTACTCTACGTGTGTGCGTGTGAGTGACCCTACAACGGATTAGTATTCGGCCACAAAAATACGATGACATTTTGATATATGCTATAACACGGATGGACTTTGAAAACATTATGCTTAGGGAAATAAGCCAGACGCAGAAGGATAAATGTTATATGATTCCTCTTCTATGGGGTACCTAGAATAGGCAAATAAAGAGAAAAAAGAGAAGTCACCAGGGACTGAGTGTGGGGAGGGGAGTGTGGAAGGGCCAGTTATTGTATAATGAGCAGAGAGTTTTGGAGAAGGATAATGGAAAAATGTTTAGGTGTAAGAGGGTGATGGCTACACAACATTGTGAATGTTTTCATACCACTGAATTGTACACTTACAAATGTATTACGTAATGTATATCTTACCACAATAAAAAAAACAGAATATGCAACTAGACATGAAAGTTTTAGTAACGTGGTCATCTCTTTGACCCACTATAGAAATAATGACCCAAGGGTTAAGATTTTCTTAACTACCTACAACCAAGGTAGATAAAGAAGCCCCAAGATGAATAGGCCCAGCCCCACTACCAGGAGCTATGACATGATGCTGCTTCTTTAAAATGCCGCTTAGTGCATGCTTGGAAAAAAGGTCAACATCTCAGGCAGTAAACAGAGCGGACAAATGGAAATAAATGAAGGGAAGATGAGGATTCAGAGCAGTCGGCAATGATAAACGTCAAGAAGCCAAGAATTATTAAGTCAAGAGCAGAAATAGAAGACAGGAACAGGAGTCAGCAATGGGGAAAAAAATGACATCAACAGATACGAAAATGTAAAGATGTTTAAGGGAATGACCAATTTAAAAACCCCTTTGTCACATGGAACACTGAGTTTTATATTCCAACTCAAAAGAGTTTAGATTACAGAAGTAAAATCAAAGCTGTTCTTCAGGTGACCAAACGGCTTTCATTAAAATCAGCAGGCTGATATCGAGCCCATGCTCCATGCCAGTCCTTATCCCCTGCCCCCCTGGGTACCTTTCTCTGCCCCTACTGCCCAGGGGAAAAATTCCTGGAGGTACCCTATGAGTTCATGCTGTCCTCTTAGCCAAGGATGCCTTCCTCCTCTGGACTCCAGAAACCTCCTCTTTATCATGTGTGTGTCACTTGGCTCAGGTGTCACCTCTCTGAGCTCTGGAAGGCTGGTGCAGTCCTGCCTCCACCCAAGCCTGCCTCCCTCACACTCCGTAGAAGGGGTAGGCTTTGCTCTTCCCCCCTCTGGGCACTCCCGCAAGATGGCTGATGACCAGCTGATGCTCTGCACACACCTCCACCCCCTTACCTGTTATAACCTGCACAAAGCAAGCAGTAGTAAACCATCCTTGGATGAACAAATATACTCCAGAATAACAAGTATTTATTAAACAATAATTTAAATATATCAACAGTATTAAGTAAGCAAGAGACTGCATGAATCGGCTGGCCAAGGAAAAGCAGTCGATTGGGATCTACAGCAAGGCGTCTGAGAGAAGAAAGGTCAACAGGAGGCTGTGCAAGTGAACGCTCTCATCTGCTTTGTAAAATGCTGACAGAAGAGAACATCATCACAGATTGGCATCATGTCTGCAGAGGGGACAGGCACTGTGCTGAGTGCTTCACGTGGAGAATGATACTTCATCCTCTGGTGGAGGGTGAAAAACTAGTTTCTTTGACAGAGCATAAAATTGAGGCTTCAAACTTGGAAGTTTTGCTCAGGGTCACGGGGAGTAAGCAGGAGTTCCCACAAGCAGTCATGGCAGAGATGGCCTTGCCCAAGATCCAACCCTCATTCCTGGCTCTGGGATCTGTCCTGGGTCGTCCCTGGTAGATTACTCCTTTCCCCATACCCGTCCCCCCAACTATCCCCCCCACACATACACACTGCATAACGATTTGGGCATAGCCCTCGAGTCTCTGAGAAAGGCACAGCCCCCTGAAGTGTCCGCCCGCTGTTCTGTGGGACATGCCAACTCATACTCAATGGTTTCTTTCCCCATCCTCCCCACCCCCACAGTAAGACTCATGGCAAGTCTCAAGATCAAATGAAGTATGCTGCAGCAGTGATTTAAAACTGACAATAATAGTACCCCTGAACAGCACTGCTCATGAAAAATCAAAGCAATAAACAACCAAAAACAACAAACACCAAAACTTTAAAAAATTCAAATGCATTTAAAAGATACTGCATTTTGAACATATGTGGGCTTCCTTTCAAGGACAGGAGCACCACAAATTTCCTAAAAAACTTAAATGTTCAAGATTCAAATGCAAAACGAATCCTGACTTCATGATATTTTGTTCAAATGAAATAAGGTCTCTGCTGATGTTTTAGTATGAAGATTTGTTTTGATCCACATCCTTTACTAAGAATCCGAACTGAAAAAACTTATGGCGACACCAACCAAAAAGTTAATCATATAAATGGCTCCTTTTTTCTCTCTTTTTATGTTTTTTTTACTTATTCGTGTTTTCATCTGACTTTTTTAAAAAAAAAAACTTTTAATCTTGAAATAATTTTTAGACTTACAATAAGCTGCAGAAATAGCACAGAGTTGCATATAACTGCCACCCAGCTTCCACTTATGTTGACATCTTACACAAACATAGCAATTAGCAAAATATAAGAAAGTTAAGACCCGGCACAGCACAAGTAAGTGAACTACAGACTTACCCAATTTCACCGGTTTCTCCTTCCGCCCTTTCTCTCTCCCAGGAGCCCACATTCCTATAGTCAGCACATCCCCTTTGACCTGTGATGGTTCCCCGTTCTTCCCTTGTCACTCTTAATGCTTTGGAGGAGCAGGAGAGGTGTTTTGCAGAATGCCTCTCAGTTTGGGTTTGTCTAATTTTTCTCGTGATTAGACTCTTACGCATTTTTGGCAGGAACACCACAGGAGTGATGCTGAGTCCTTCTCAGATTATCACAGGGTGTCAACATGCCCTCATCGTGATGATGATGATGACCTTGACCACCTAGGTGGTATCTGCTGGGTTTCTTCCCCACATGTCACTACTTTTGTCCCTTTTGTAATTAACAAATGTCTTAGAGGAGACGCTTTGTGCCTATGCTAGTAATAGGTAATGATTCTTAACTGTTATGGATACAAGAATGAACATACGTCTCTCAGTGTATAATTTAAATAGTTTGCTTTACGGGTATTCTTTTCAGAAGAAAAACTCCCAATTAGAAATCTTTAAAAATGGCCATTTTAAAAAAAGAACTCCTGAATTCAATCATGGATGAAAAGTTAAACAACAGCAAGCGCAATGCTTAGTGTGTTCAGGGATTAGTGTGTGCACCGGCATCCAGGCAGATCACCAGCAAGACAGCAAACTCCGATCGGAAGGCTCAGTCCATGCGGCAACTTGCCAGTACTCCAAAAGGTATCCCCAATCAAGACCGGGTTTTGTGTAATTTCTATCCCGACTATAAACAAGAGTTCCCTTGTAGCATCTACAAGGGAACTGGAGCCTGGCGCCACCAAGAGCTGGAGGAGGCAGGAAGGATCCTCCTGTAGAGGCTCCAGACGCAAACAACCCTGCCCCCATCTTGACTTTGGACTTCTGGACTCCAGAACCGTGAGAGGATATACTTCTGGTGTTTTAAGCCAAGCCATTCAGTTTGTGGAAATTTGTTACAGAAGTTCTACAAAACTAATATAGTATAATGATAATTTTACTGGACCTGAGTTTAATCACAACACTGCTGAAAGGCATAAATATGGCACCACTGGTAAGGATAACCCATGGGTATTCTGTCCAGCCAAGTTAGCTCACTGAAATACACTTTCAAATTTTATTCCTCATGATGCCCTGGGGTATTCACAGCACAGTGTAAAATGTCAGGGCAGGGATTAGGATCACTTACCTCTGGTGCAAAATTGAAGGGGATGCCAGAAAATTCAACCATCAAAAGAAACAATAGTGTAATACATTATCTTTAAAAATCAAAATGAGGACGGGCGCAGTGGCTCACACCTGTAATCCCAGCACTTTGGGAGGTCGAGGCAGGTGGATCACCTGAAGTCAGGAGTTTGGGACCAGCCTGGCCAACATGGTAAAACCCAGTCTCTACTAAAAATACAAAAATTAGCCGGGCGTGGTGGTGTGTGCCTGTAATCCCAGCTACTCAGGAGACTGAGGCAGGAGAATGCTTGAACCTGGAAAGCGGTGGTTGCAGTGAGCCGAGATCGCATCACTGCACTCCAGCCTGGGCAACAGAGACTCTGTCTCAAAAAGAAAAAAAAAAAATCAAAATGAATGCAAAAAGTACATGACAAAATATCAAAATGTTAGAGAGAGAGACAGGATCAGTAATGTATGGAGCCATACTGGATCCTGAGGCAAAAGGAAACTTCAGAAATACTGATCCTGTGGTCTTTACTTAAAATTAATATTTTGTTCCTCATGGAATTTCTTGCATTCATTTTAATTTTTTAAATATCACATTAAAATATTATTCACTTAGCCAAAAAATGAATGGAAACAACCCAAACATCTACTGACAGATGAACACATAGATCAAATGTGGTGCAGCCGCCCCTGAGCATCCACAGGGGATGGGTCCAGGACCCCTGCAGATACCAAAATCCGAGTATCCTCCAGTCCCTTAGATAAAAGGGAGTAGCATCTGCATATAACCGCTCATCCTCCCTTACACTTTAAATCACCTCTGGATTATGTATCATACCCAATACAATGTCAATGTCATGTAAATATCTGTTATGCTCTATTTGTTTTTAAACTTGTATTTTTTTATTGTTGCATTATTATTTTTCCCAAATACTTTCAATCCACGGTTGGTTGAATTCATAGAAGCAGAACTCGTGGATATGAACAGCCGGCTGTGTACATATATAATACATACAGTACTGTGTAACAGAAAGGAATGTCTGGCACGTGCTACCACATGAATGAACCAGGAACACACGCAGAGTGAAAGAAGTCAGACACAGAAGGACAGACACTGTATGACTCTGCTTGTATGAGGTTCCTAGAGTAGACAAACGCATTCATCTACAGAAAGCAGAATGCACGGTGGCAGGGGTGGGGGTGGGGTGGGAAGTGACTGCCACTGGGTGGGTGTTTCTTCCCCAGGTGATGAAAATGTTCTAAACTGGGCTGTGGTGACGGGTGCACGCCTCTGTGGATATAGTAAAAACCTCTGAACTGTGCACTGCAAATGCGTGAATTGTATGGCTGTGCACAGCATCTCAATAAAGCTATTAAAATACACACAGATAATTTATCTTGATGTCTGTGGTGTTTGTCACCCCCTCAAATTTTTCTCCCAAAGCAAGCACCTCAGTCTCTTCACTCTGGCCCTGGTAAACATGGCACATCTTCCTTATAGTTTATCAATGGAAACTGATGTCCTTATCATTATATAAAAACAAACACAGATGTGCAAATAATGTGAACTCGGCACACACACTCATGTAAGACAAAATGAAACTTCCAAGCCCTTCTTTGCCTCTAATGGGTCACAGCAGGGGCCCCATCCCTACCTCCAAGGGATGCCGCCTCCCTCCCCACCACTGGGGGTGTTTTCATGGAAGTCACTGGCCTCCTCTGCTCTCCCTGGACTGCAGGAAAAGCTCCAAGCGCAAGCCGCGGACAGCAGACAGCTCTCACTCCCGACACAGATGGGTTTCCGCCCTGCCATCCGACCAGAAGGAGGGCAACCTGCTCAGGGATGAGGCCTCCAGCGCTCGGTGCCTCCAGGGCTCCTTCGGTACCTTCCAGGGCTGCACGCGGGTAGCCCTCTAAGCTGCCCTGGCTCACTCCAAGGGCGGAAATAACCCAGCCGGGCTCCAGGCATCCTTCCCTCCAAAAATACCTACAATTATTATACTGACAAGGCAAATCTAATTTTAGCCAGCCAGGCTCTGCAGTCAGCAATCGTTCCTGCACACAAAAAAGTAACGCTCCTCTCCATCTTTTATTTATTTATTTTTTTGAGATAGAATCTTGCTCTGTCACCCAGGCTGGAGTGCAACTGTGTGATCATAGCTCACTGCAGCCTTGACCTCCTGGGCTCAAACGATCCTCCTGCCTTAGCCTCTCAAGTAGCTGGGACTAAAGGCATGCAGTACCATGCCTGGCTAATTTTAATTTTTTGTAAAAGATGGGGTCTCACTATGTTGCCCAGGCTGGTCTTGAATTCCTGGCCTCAAGCCATCCTCCCACCTGAGCCTCCCATAGCCCTGGAACTACAGGTGTGACCCAAAACATCCAGCCTCTTAACCATTTTTAAGTACACAGTTCAACAGTGTTAAATTCACAATGCTGTGCAACCAATCTCCAGAACTCTCTTTATCTTGCAAAACTCCAACTCTATGCCCATTCAACAATTCCCCATTTCACCTCCCCCAGCCCCTGGCAACTGCCATTCTACTTTCTGTCTCTACGAATTTGTGTACTTTAGATACCTCATGAAAGTGGGATTATACAGTATTTCTCTTCTGTGACTGGCTTATTTCACTTAACATAATGTCCACAAGTTTCATACAAAATTGCGGCATGTGATAGGATTTCCTTCCTTTTCAAGGCCGAATACTATTCCATTGTGTGGACAGGCCACATTTTGTTTATCCAGTCATCTGCTGAGGGACATGTGGGCTGTTTCCACCTCTTGGTTAATATAAATAACGCTGCTCTAAACCTGAGTGTGTAAGTGTCTCTTTGAGATTCTGATTTCAATTCTTTTGGATGTATACCCAAAAGTGGATTTGCTGGATCATCTGATAATTCTAGTTTTAAGAAACTGCTGAACTATAGTCTATAGTGTTTACCTGTTTATGATCCTTCCAATAGTGCATAAGAGTTCCAATTTCTCCACATCCCTGCCAACACTTACTATTTTTTGGGTTGGTTTTTTTGTTTTTTTGATGGTACCCACATTAATGTGTAGTTTACTCATTTTTAAGATGACGAAATTGAGGATTAGAAAGGTTAAGTACTGCTACGGGTTCAACTGTGTTCCCCTAAAATTCACATGTTAAAGTCCTAGCGCCCAGTACCTCAGAATGTGACCTGACTTGGACATAAGGTCGCCGTACATGTAATTAGTGAAGATGATGTCATTAAGGTGGGGAATTTGGATACAGAACTGCACATAGGCAGAAGGTCATGTGAACATGAAGACAGCCTTCTACAAGCCAAGAAGAGAGGCCTGGAACAGGTGCCAACCCCACAACACCACAGTTTCAGACCTGTGGCCTCTGGAGCTGCAGAGCATTTGTTTCTATACGGTAAGCCACCAGTCTGTGGCACTCTGTTACAGGAGCCTAGGGAACGAACCCAGTCCCTTGCCCAGGGTCACAGTCATTAAGTGACCAGTCCAAAGGGCCACAAAACCATCCTCCTCCGACTGCACTTTACTGTCCCCAAATTACCCTCTCAAACTTTAATGTGCTTCTGAGCTGCCTAGGCAGCTTACTAAAATGCAAATTCTCATTCAGCAGACCTAGAGACGGCCTGTGATCTGCATTTCTGACAAGCTGTGGCGGGGGGGGGAGGGGAGGGGGGTGGCATGGAGCTCTTCTAGAGCTGGAAGAACACAACTCTAGATCCATGTATTAAAAGTTGCATCCAGGTGCGGATTCTGGCCTGGGAACTGTCTGTCTCTGGTGATGAATGAATGAGGTAAGAAGTGCTTAGAAAACTTAGGGCAAGTTGTGCTTGCGTTGGTGTCTGAGACATGATTGCTCTTCTAGTTATACATTTTAATTGCTTTTCACAAAGGCACCCACCTCAGACTGGAAATTTTTAAATGGTCCCTTTGACATGGATGCTTTGACAAGCCATTCCCTAGAGAATCTTCTCTCCTTGCAGTTGGATTTTTTTAAAAATTGAAGTAACATTCACGACATAAAATTAACCATTTTCAAGTGTACAATTTAGTGGCATTTGGGGGCATTCACAATGTTATACAATCACCGCCACCTCTGTATCTAATTCCAAAACATTTTCCTCTCCTCCAAAGGAGATCTAATACCCACTAAACAGACACTTCCTGTCCCCTCCTCCCCCAAGGTTTTCTGAGTATTTTCCACAAATGGAACCTTATACAGTCTTTTGTGGCTGGTTTCTTTCAATGTAGCATATCCTCAATTCTCACAATGTAGCATATATGAATACTTCATTCCTTTTAATGGCTGAATATCTATACTTTTACCAAGTATACACATTCTCACAGATTTTACAAAAATGGGTGTTTCCTATTGCTTCCAATAATCCCATTGTAAATGCGAAGCTTTCTCTTGGTTTTTGAGAAGCTGCTACTACCCCATCTCTAAAATCCACCTCTCCCCAACAGGGAAGTCCAATTTTTGGTATTTCCTTCCAGAAATATTCTACCTAGACCAGCCCATATAGCTCCTCCCACTTTGACATAGAACTTGTATTAAACTCTACTCACAATCAGGTATCTGTCTTGCTTTTTACATGCAAGAGCGTCATGTGGAGTTCATTCCATATACAGAATTATGCTTTTTTTCCTATTGTTTGATAGATTCTATGCCTTTATTATAATCTAACACGTTCACTGTGGGTGGTTGCTTTCATCCTTCTGCTTTTACAATGCCTTTGGTGAATATCATGTGAGTACTTCTTTGCATATATTTACACTATGTCCATGAGCTAAATCCCAAGAAGTGACAATTCTAGGTCAGATATCTTTTGCCAATCTGCTCCCCAAAGAGGCTGGACCTCTTGCAATGCCTGCCAGCAACAACACCCGCTTTTATTTGAGCTCCTGCCAGCGGAACACAGTCACACCTCTGACCTCTACTAATGGGAAAGGTGAAATGGTACCTTACACTTTTCATCTGCATTCCCCATGTCATGAGGGAGATTGAGCTTCATTCCATACATTTTAGAGCTATTCATTATTTCCCTTTAAGAAAACTGTTCATGTCTTTTTTCATTTTTCTCATGGCCTGCTGCTGGTCATCCTCCTTAGTACTTTATAGGAGTTCTTCATGTATCACAGGAATCATTCCTTTGCATTATGTGTTGCTAGTACCTAGTATTATTTCTTGGTTTGACATTTACAATCAACTTTGAGCCTCCAGAAAAAAAGAGGCGAACTATAATTACTAAATGCTTAGCATTTATATACTGTGTTAATGCTGTATTCATTTTTATCTTCACAACAATCTAAGAGGTAATTCACGGCTACCTTCACTTTATAGATGATAACACTTGAGGTTCACATATAATTTTAATCCAAGACACTGGCTCCTATAAGCATTCTGCTTGGCCTAAAAAACTTGCATTTCTTTTTATATTTATCAATGACATTTTCCTTTATATGCCATTGACCTTCTTTTTCAATAAATCATAATCTTAAGAAAACCCTACAACACAAAGATAATCTGTATTCCCCTAACTCATACATTCCCATGAGCACGAAAGAAACAGGATTAAGTACACAACCTGATCCCTGGACTCTGTGAATATGACCTTATATAGTAAAAGACTGAATGTGACCTCATTTGGGAAAAAAGGGTCACTGCAGATGTAATTAAATTAAGAATCCTGAGATGAGGTATTCTGGGTTATTGCATGGGCTCTAAACACAGTGTCCTCCTAACAGACAGAGATTGGCGTTATGCAGCCACAGGCCAAGGGGCACCTGCAGGCACCAGAACCTGGAGGACAGACACAGAAGGGGCTCTCCCTTGGAGCCTCCAAAAGGAAGCCACCCTGCTGCCGCCTGACCACCCTGCTGACCTCCTCAACAATGACACAATACATCTCTGCTATTTTAAGCCACCTAGTCTGTGGTCTTTTCGTTAAGGCAAACAGGAAACAATTACAGAATAATAGTATCATAAAAAAATCCTTCTATATTAGGGATACAACTTGAAATGTTTATAGGTAAAAATCACATGATGTCTGAGATCTGCTTTAAATTACTCTAAAGAGAAAACAGTGAGGGGACGATGAGACAAGCTCGTGACACGCTAACAGTGGCTGGAGATGAGTGAAGAATACACAGGAATATACCAAGATATTCTGTATACTTCTGAATATGTTTGACAATTTCCATATTAACAAGCTAAGAGTATATCTCAGGGACTGGCAGGCAAGCATCTGAACTATATATGTGGCATCTGTCCCAATCTTCACACAATGCAATTCGCTTTAACATCTAATTTTATTCACTACCTTCTTGAAAACAGTAAGGAAAACATTGGAACCCCATTCATTAAAGCTGCCACTGCATAGTGGCTTATGCGAGCAACCATGCAATTGAGTTTCTTGAAATAAATCTTAATTCTTAATCTCATATCTTGAAACAAATCTTAATTCTTAATCTCATCTCCCTATATACTTGATCAGACAAATTATATCTCATGCTGAAAGAACATACATGCATTTGGATAAAAGTAAAAATAAGGGATTCTTTCTTATTAGATGTACTATACCAGGAGCACGTGAATAGAACTGTAAGTACTAGAATCAACATGTTTAAAATACTACTGTTTTCTATGGAATCAGATTCCCAAAGGGAAGCAAATTGCTTGCAAAGAAGTGTGCTGCTTATAAAGATCTAATTTATGTAACATGGGCTAAGTCCAAGGATATGACCGTAATATGGGAGATCACACTTCAAGCTACTGTGAAAACACTTTAAACGTTAACTTGCAGCTCTGAAGCAGTAATTAAGGGTGGGACTGTACTGGCTGGGGACCTTTGCAATACTGAAACTGTGTAACAGAAGCCATGCTCTGCTACTAAGCACAGTACTCTGCAAAATGGTTATCCTGCTTCTTGTAAAGACGTTGAAGGTTCTTGATACATTCATTTAGCAAAGGCAGGGTCTAATTGTCCTAATGCTTCCTCAGGGAACACTGTGTTCCAGCTTCACCTAAACTGCCCTGCAAAGAAATGGAATAAAAGGGGCAGCCTGAGTCAGCATTCTTCAGAGAAACTTCGGTGGAATCTAAAGGAAAACCGAAATAAGAAACAGGACTCAGCTGGGCTGGGCAGCAGGCCTCCAGCTCTCATTTGCTCTATGTACAGGAGGCTTCTGTGATCCGAGCCTCATGTTTCCAACGGCGTTTCAGAATTTGAATGCCTGCATATCTGTCCAGTACAGGATACAGGATCTTGGCCCTCTCCAAGATGATGATCTTTGGCAGATAAACCTTCTCGCAGCACTAAGCAAATGAAAGGTACCCTAGAATGGGTTTCTTATGTTGGCATTTGTGAGCCATCACTCTTGGCTGTTGGGGCTGTACTGTGCATGGTGGGATGTTAGCAGCATCCCAGGGCTCCACCCACTAGCCAACAGCATCCCCCACACAGCTACTGAGACAACCCAAAATGTCTCCAGACATTGTCAATGTCCCCTGGCAGTTGCGGAGGGGTGCCCAATCCCCCCACTGGTGAGCATCAGAGCCCTAGAAAGCTCCTTGCTGGAGAGCCATGCCTGAACTGTGGGCTATTCTGCTACACAGGGGGCACGGTGTGAACTCTTCCCCCTACCATTCAAGCTGATGGACAACAAATGGTAAAACAAACCATCCACAAAGAGGCCATGAGAAAAGAATGTATAGATATGGAAGCATGCAAGTTTAATGAACTCAGATGGCCTTTCAGGAAGGCAAAATACAATTGTTTATGAACAGTGACAGCATCGGGCTGCACGTGAAAGGGTTCTGTGAGGTTCTCACTTAGCTATGTGCAATTCCTAGGGACACATGATGGATGCTGCAACCATTTCTCTACAGCCCTTAGTTTTTTAATAACAATGACAATCATAATGTAAACCAACAATAACATTCGAAAGCCCCCCAAGCACCTGAATGGACTTCCTCCTCTGGGCCAAGGCCAACTAAATTTATCCTGAAAGACGGACCAGGCCATGACTGCCGGGAAGTGGGGGTCAAGCATGCCTCATTAAGCCCCTCCAGCACGAACATCATCACAGACCTCAAGTCTGATAAGAAACATTTACAATCTGTTCCCTCTGAAGCCTGCTACCTGGAGGCTACATCTGCAGGATAAAACACTGGTCACCACAACCTCTTAAGGTAGCCCAGACATTCCTTTCTATTGGTAATGACTCTTTCAACCAATGGCCTATCAAAAAAATTTTAAATCTACCTATAACCTGAAAGCACCCCCCCTTCCCCCTGCACCCTTGCTTCAAGTTGTCCCACCTTTCTGGACTGAACCAATGTCTACCTTAAATGTGTCTGATCAATGCCTCATGTCTCCCTCAAATGTGTATGTGAAAGGAAAATAAATCTTGGGGCTCCCAAATCACTAAGTTAAAGGGAAAATCCAGCTGGGAACTGCTCAGAGCAAACCTGCCTCCCCTTCTATTCAACGACAGGCCTCTGCTCACTGATATAGATGCATATCTGATGGCCTCCTTTGGAGACGCTAATCAGAAACTCGTAAGAATACAACTATTTGTCCCTTGTCTACCTATGACCTGGGAGCCCCCTCCCCACTTTGAGTTGTCCCGCCTTTCCAGACCAAACCAATGTTCATCCTACATATACTGATTGATGTTTCATGTCTCCCTAAAATGTATAAAACCAAGCTGTGCTTGGACCACCTTGGGCACATCGTCAGGACCTCCTGAGGTTGTGTCATGGGTGCGCATCCTTAACTTTGGCAAAATAAACTTCCTAAATTGATTGAGACCCGTCTCAGATTTTGGGGGTTCACATATAAAACCAAGCTGTGTTCTCCCTAAAATGTATAAAACCAAGTTGTGCCCCCACCACCTTGGGCACATGTACTCAGGATCTCCTGAGGGCTGTGTCACAGGCCATGGCCACTCAGAGTTGGCTCAGAATAAATCTCTTCAAATATTTTACAGAGTTTGACTCTTTACGTCGACAGTAACAGCAACTCCAATAATGATAGTGGTTTAGGGATACCCATGATTTTAACTCCTGTCAAAGCCAGGAGCAGCATGGCTTATGAACCCACTGAAAGATTCCCTTAGTTGCCTCTTCCTTTGTTCCTTTCTTGGACATTCTATCACGGTGGTTGAAAGAACATTCAAAATCCAGCACAGGGGAGAAATGGCTCTGTGCTCCATGCTAAAATGAAAAGGTAGTGTGTCAAGGGGGTCACAAGTTGTAAAATAGCATTCACCCTCAAACCACCCAATAAGCAGTGCTGCTTCCCACAGGACCCGATGGAAACAAAGGATGTTCACTACAGTAGACACAAGGCACTTCTGACATTGACTCGGATGAACCTGCAGTTCCCAAACGCAGAGGCTCTGTGGTGTAAAGGAAAATGACGACCACATCTTAGCAATTCACTTCCCGGTCACTTCCTCTCCCAGCCTGTCAAGAAGGAAACAGGGCATGCTTTTGAATCCTTTCTTGGCTCATGTAAGAGATCTGGAGAGCCAATCTAATTACTTTGGTTCCAATTTCCAACTCTATCAGTAAGGCACTGATACAAGAAATGGGAAGACAAGTCTCCAGAAGTGGTAAAAATTGAAATCATAGAAACTGTGCACCTACTGTTGGGTGACCTAAAGATCCTGTCATACAAAAGTTAAGATCATCATTTGTGATGACACTTTTGAGAGGGTTTCCCAATGCACTGATGGTGAATACATCTGTTGGGTATTTCAGCTGTTACAGTTTCCTGCATCCCACTGTTGTGGAGCTAGACTCTTACAACAAGATGCTTCAACTCTGCTGAAAAGGAATTTAGCTGCCATCTCCCCGCACCCCGCTTCTGTGGTTTTACTTTCCATCTCTGGCACACAGGGTACTTCACACATTCACAGATATTTAGGGGGAAGAAAAAACAATACATTGCCTGGAACCATAAGCAACAGAGTACCTACTAGGTCTCTGCTTCAAGAAATTTTACACTAAGATAGATCCAAAGGCCCCTGGGTCTCCAGGTTTGCCAAATAGCTTATTTTGGGTATGTGAATAATTTCAATTTAACTCCTTGAATAACTGTCTTATTAAGACGCTGACACATCTGTCCTACCTCTGACTTTTGCAAATAAGATAAAAGTGATTTTCATTGAGTAGAGGCATCATGGTTTCCTTTTATCATTGTTGTTATCATCATCAATATTATCTGTTTGGCAAGCTGTGCGGGCTTCCTTAGGATGATAAATGCTGCCGCAATTTGCAGTATCTTTAAAAGAAACAGCCAATTCAATTCCACGATGCCAGGAGCCGTCTCTCTGCCAAAGCCACCCCTGCATCTGCCACAGGCAACCCATTTGTACTGAGCACAGGGGGACGCTTGTCTTATTGCAGCGTCTGGTTCTACTTAGCGCCGTCGACAGAGCTCTATTGCTGTCCCGTCTCCTCGTGCTCCTTTCTGCAGGCTCCAGCTTGGCGCAGTTGGATTTCCAATTTCTATGCCCAAGTGTGGTGTGCATTACCAATTGCAACACTGACAGCACGTGCTTCTCAATACCAGTGCCATCTCTAACGGCAGCACTTTTTGTGTGTGAGGGTTACTGTTAGCATTTTTAAGAATTTGGGAGGCTGAGGTGGGGGGACTGCTTGAGTCCAGGAGGTGGAGGCTGCAGTCAGCTTTGATTGCGCCACTGCACTCCAGCGTGGGAGACAGAGTGAGGCCTTATCTCTAAGAAGGAAAAAAAAAGTTAAGAATTTCATCTCAGCACTTAACAGGGCTGGTTTGCAAAGACCAACTTTCTAAACGCTTTCTAACAATCATGGGTTAAATAAGCAAGCGCAAAAGTGATGAGAACACTTCTGTGCAGCGTGGTCATCCCCACTTCCTTATCGATCTCCCACGAGTGGAACCCACAGCGATGCTGGTGGAAAGGGCACGCATGGTCTAGGGTCAGCTTTCCCTAAATTCAATTTCAGAGAAAACTGCAGAGGCAAAGAGGAGTTTTCTGTTTCTCTCCTTTAACAATAAAGCTATTAGACCAAAGCACGAAAGACTGCTTCTGTGTCACCGTCTTGACTCACGACAAACATCAACTTCATATTCTTACACTTAATACAAACTGGAATAGCTGAAGAGAAAAGAGAACACTGCCCGAGAAGCTCCATGGACTCAGACACTTGGCTAACTGTCCTGGCCTTGGCATTACCAGGCTGCTGCCTGCTCAAGCCTTATCTCTTCACTTAGAAAACTGGGTCTGTGCTGTCCACATCGTATCTTAGGACTGCTGGTCTTCGGAATAGAAAGCAGGGCTCCTCCATCGTGGCGCATATGGGGCTAGATGATTCCTTGTTATGAGGCCGTCCTGTGCACTGTGGGATGTTGAGCAGTGTCCCTGGCCTCTACTCACCAGATGCCAGAAGCACCCACTGTCACCACCAAAAATGTCTCCAGACATTGTGAGATGGCCCCTGGAGGGTGGGGAGGATACAAAGTCACCCGCTTTGAGAAGCACTATTCTAAAGGAATTCAGTACCAGCGGTTTTGAGCAGCCACCAAAATCAGGCCTAGGTGGGGCCGGCTCTTCCAGAAGCTCACTGTGCCTCCTACCAGCATCGTGAAACTCCCTGCAGTTATCCATCAAGCCAGACTGTTCATCTGTCTGCTCTGGCCACATCTTAAACACGTGAAAATTAAATAACATTCACAATTCAGTTTCTCAGTCACAATGGCCACATCTTTTAAGTGCCCAAGAGCCGAATGTGGGGCCATGTTCACAGGGCAGTCCTATTGGGGATGCCGCTCTAGGTCACCCAAGACATTCCGTACATCATGCATGCTTCTCTGAGACATCAGGAAAAGACTAATTGATGGGCAGATTCAAATGAACACTGGGCACATTTCATCATTGAGGCCTGGGAAAATAAGGATACCTCTTTTTTGGTTTTTGAGTTTCTCTGGGTTTGTTTTTGTTTGTTTGTTTTTTGAGGCAGAGTCTCGCTCTGTCATCCAGGATGGAGTGCAATGGTGCAATTACGGCTTACTGCAACCTTGAACTCCCAGGCTCAAGCAACCCTCCCACCTCAGCCTCCCAAGTAGCTAAGACTACAGGTGCACTCCACCACTCCCGGCTAATTTTTAAAATTTTATGTAGAAATGGGGCCTCACCATGTTGCCCAGGCTGGTCTCAAACTCCTGGGCTCAAGCGATCCTCCCACCTTGGACTCCCAAAGTGCTGGGATTACAGGTGTGACCCACCACGTCCGATGTTTTTTTTTTTTTTTTTTTTTAATGTAGTGCTTTTAAAAGATCTAAAGAGCTAGTTTTTCTACAAACTGACCACTCCATCCTGAATAAGCTTATAATTTTAAGAACTGTAATTTTTTTAAACAGGAAGTCAAGAAAGAAGGTGTTCACCGCAACTTTACATGCAATTAATGAAAAAAAAAGTATGAACCTGGAAAATATAGAAGTTGGCTTTAAATTATGGGAAAGGACAGATGGTTGACATGAACTCCAATTATTCATCTAAGCAAGATATCTGGCCCCATCTCAATGATATGCGTTAGCGCATCACTCAGGTCAATCTCTCCCGATGGGTGTGGTCTGGGTTTGTGCTCCCAGAGTTACCCAGGTTCATCCATAAACCCGTTCCTAGATGTTATGCTGCCTGCAATAGGCCTGGCATCTGCCCAAATGCAGAGACACACTGACGTGGCCTGATGCCTACACTGTGCAGCGCGTACTCAAGTGCACTTGTTCATCCCAACCCACTTCGCTAACAGTCAATCACCCTCTAACCCCAACCCATCACCTCCTAAACATGACAGCGCTCAGGCATGCTACACTTTGGGAGGAGGGGGGGGAATATCAAAACATACTTAAAAGCATAATTTACTCAAGATCTTTACAAAATAGACACTTTCCTTTTAAAAACCTTCTTATAATACTTTGATAGCCAACTGTTCACTGGGTCATCTTGACAGATTAGTATTAATCTCACTGATATTAATGTTTTTGAAAGATTCTCTCCCCTCCTCCATTTAAAGGTAAAATATGTCCACACTGACAACAGACTTTTCTCAGATTGGTTAACAAAAAGGTCCCAAGCTCATAAAATTCATTTTCTAAAAGAATGATAGCTTAAGAGTTTCTGCACAGCATTATAATATTTATGTAAGTATAATTTACACTTCATCATTCCTCACCCAACTTAATATAGTACACAGATAATCTGTTTTTAACTCCACCAAACAACATTTCTCTGATGGAAGTTAGCCAATCGTGTAGTAAGTGGCTTTCAAAAAAAATGACTTTGCATACATCCACACAAAAACGTGTGCTTAAATGTTCACAACAACACTATTCACAATCGCCAAACAGTGGAGGCAGCCCAAACGCCCGCCAACTGATGAACAGATAGTATAATCTGGCTATGAAAAGGAACGAAGCACCGACACAGGGGACAACATGAGTGAACCCTGAAAACACAATGCTCAGTGAAATGAGAACACAAAAGTCCCTATGTTGTGAGTATTTACCTGAAATGTCAGAATAGGGAAATGCATAGGGGCAGAAAGTAAATTGCTGGTTGCACCGGTTGGGACAGGGAGGGAAGAATGGGAAGTGACTGCTGATGGGTGATATGGTTTGGCTCTGAATCCCCACCCAAATCTCATGTCGAACTGTAATCCCCACACGTCAGGGGAGGGACCTGGTGGAGGTGATTGGGTCATGGGGGCGGGTTTCCCCCATGCTGTTCTTGTGATGGCGAGTGAGTTCTCACGAGATCTAATGGTTTAGAAGTATGGCGCTTCCCCTCTCACTCTCTCTCCTGCCTTGCTGTGGTAAGATGTGTCTTGCCTCCTCTTCGCCTTCTGCCATGACTGCAAGTTTCCTGAGGCCTCCCCAGCCATGCAGAACTGGGAGTCAATTCAACCTCTTTTCTTTATAAATTACCCAGTCTCAGGTAGTTCCTTATAGCAGCGTGAAAACAGACTAATACAGTGGGCATGGGGTACTGAACATGTTCTAAACTCAGATAGTGATGATTGCACAACTCTGCGAATACACAAAAAAACACCCTCGGAGGGAGTCTGAAGGTATGTAAATTACATCTCAGTAAAGCTGAAAAACTGCTTTGGCTAAAGTGGCTATCCCTCCATGGTGCTGGGTACACAGTGCAAATGCAGGGATGCTCAATGACTTCTTTATGACAGCTGGCACCATCAAGCACAGGCCAGTTCCACCCTGGGGAAGCAGAGGCAGGAGTGAGGGGAATGGTGTCCCAGTGCTTTCCCAGTATCCACAGAAGCTCGTTTCAGAAGGTCGGTGATTGGTAACATTTTCAAGGCTGTTTCTGCACATCCTACACAGAACAGAACACTTCCTTCTTGTTAGTGAATCTGGGGCATATGGGGGCATAAAAAGTCTCCCCAGCAAAGGTTCGGGAAGGTAAACAAACCAACACACAGACCTTCCTGTGGCCAGGCAACAAGTACTTTTTTTTTTTTTTTTTTTTTTTTTCATTTGAGACAGGGTCTCACTCTGTCACCCAGGCTCAAGTGCAGTGGTATGATCATGGCTCACTTGTAGCCTCGAACTCTTAGGCTCAAGCAATCCTCCTGCCTCAGCCTCCTGAGTAGCTGGGACTACAGGCACACACTACCACACCAAGCCAGTTTGGTTTTGTTTTTGGTTTTGTTTTGGTGGAGACAGGATGTTGCCCAGGCTGGTCTCGGACTCCTGAGCTTGGACTACTGAGCTCCTGCTAGGACTACAGATGTGAGCCACTGCACCCAGCCACAGCAAGCAAATTTTGTGGTGCTCTGACCTCCCAGGCTGAACTCACCAGAGGTCCAGGCACTTTCCAGCGAGTCCAAAGTGCATCACTTTAGCCTCCATTTTGAAAATCCCCACACAGCCACTCTACCCCACTACCTGCTGTAAGCGCTGCATCCTTTCCCATGAAGTAGTGATGCCGGCATTGAATATACTGGGCTGCATTTAATAAGATGCCCAGCAGGGTGGAGTGCTGTCTCCCCTGGCCTACCCTGTTCCGCCAGCTGACTGACCCAGGAGCTGGGGCTATCCTCCACCTCCAGAGATTAAACAACCACAAATGTGCTTTTGCCACTGGGACCCCTAAAGCATGCTTGGGACACAGCGTGCCCCGGCCCATGCCCAGCGTAGGCTGCTCAGACACATCCCACTGGACTCTCACCCGTGAGGAGGGCTCTCAGCACTGATGACTTCCTCAAAGGGAGCCCAGCTCCACTCTGCGGCCCCAAAGCACTAGGACCAAACCACAGGTGGCACAGGGCAGGAAATGCATCCCTGGCACGGTGAGGTATTGTGGGGCAAATGAGGTCACGCCAGCCCCTGCTAGCCACCGTCCAGAATTTATTTACAGTTCAACAACTTGCCACAGCTGCAGAGTTCAGAGGTTTCAAGCACCATAAATCCATCTGTTCCCTGCTTATCTGAATTTCATACAAGATTAATATTTTACCTACATTTGCTGACAAAGACAAATAGCTACAGCGTGCAAAGTGACAATATCCCATGTAAATAAACACTATGAAAAGAACCCAAGTGAAAAGGTGGTATTTGCAGCCAAAAGTTGGTGTTTTAGAGAAAAATTTTTATAAACCAAACACTGGTCACATAACAAAAAAATATTAAAGGTCAGTCCATCACTGTCAATTGTAGTGCTTCTAATAGGAAGGCTTTTAGCAAAAACATGAAAGCACCCAATAATGTAATTAATTTAAAAAGAAACTATAAGTTAAAATTTGAATCATAAAGTTAATCAGCAGTGTAAAATAAAGATTAAATGCACCCTAGTGCATAAACCAGAAAATCCTCCTGCTGTGATGATTTGCTTTACAAATGAAGGTTTTTCTTTAGGTTAACAAAAGGAAAAGTGAAGATAATGCCTTATTTAGTTTGAAGCAACAGAAAGCAGCTGTGTGTTTTAAAGGACTTTAAAATGCCAACAGAATGCTTTGGGAGAATGTGTACTGCTACAGGTAATACAGATTTTGTAACTGGTTTTTCATTATTTCAAGGAGCTCACATCAAGCTCCACGCTTGCCTCCTACACAGTTTCCATCCCCAACCAAAAATCAAATCAAACTTTGTTATGGCAACCCTAGCAAATGAATATCCTGCTCTCTCCACAACACCTGCAATCGGAAGGGCTTTGTTATCTGCTGAATAAATGAGTAGATCCATCAATATCAATTAAGTTGTCCTACTTTGCAGCAAATGTCAGAAGTCCATTTTGACTATTCCATGTAAATAAAGTCATAAACTCATCTGAGTTGAAAGCCTACCCTTGGTAAGTAAACAGCAGTTTCTTTGGAATTCGGTACTGTGATAACATGCTAGAACAAACTCACATCCAAAGATAGAGCAGTGATTTTGTAGATGATGTTTAAGTTACAGACACCACAATTTCAGAATCATCAAGAGTTTTCACATAAAAATAAAACTTCATCATGCTGATTGCGAAGTGTCCCCAAAGTTTATACACACGGATTGAAAGTTTATACTTCTGCAGGAAAGGAAGGTTGTAGAGGGTGGAAAAAGAAAAGCAAATTCAGGGACATGGCGAAGGCCGGCTACAGGGTTTTGGCAGGAAGCTCGGGAGAAGCTAGCAGAAGAGACCCCACTGCCAGAGATCACAAGGGGATGTGGGCTGGCACAGGGTTAACATGTGGACTTCTGCTGCTGCTTTTAATACTTCTACTATTCTTTCCTTTAAAAACTGAAAGGAACAGAAAGAGGTCACCTCAGAAGAAAAGTAGTTCCTAAAGCAGCAGAGAAGTGATGGAAAGGGCACATGAGGAAAGCTGTGGAGTTTTCCGCGGGGGTGTGACATGATTTCACCACGCACCACCTGGAATCACTGTCTGCATCTAAATAGTAGTCACAAGCCAGCCACCCTGGATTCGGCTTTAAAATAATTCCTTGTAAACAACCCAACTGTCCATCGATGCATGAATGGATAAACAAAATGTGGTCTATACACACAAGGGAATATTATTCAGCTTTAAAAAGGAAGGAAATTATGTCACATGCTACAATACAGATGAATCTTGAGGACATTCTACCAAGTGAAATAAGCCAGTTACAAAAGGGACAAATCCTGTAGGATTCCACTTACGGGAGGTATCCAGAGTCATCAAGTTCACAGAGACAGAAAGTAGAACAGTGGGTGCCAGGTGGTTGGTGGGGAGAGAAGGAATGGAAAGCTCATGTTTAATGAGGACAGAGTTTCAGCTTGGAAAGCTGGGAAAGTCCTAGAGAAGGATGGTGATGATGCCTGCACAGTAACGTGAGTGTACTTAATGCCACTAAACTGTACAGTTAAACTGTGTAAGATAGTAAGTTTTATGTTATGTATATTTTATCACAATAAAAATAATTCTGTGTACACTTATGTAAAGGCCAAGATCTTTCAGGTCGTCTTTTCTCGGGGAATTCTTTTCACATTGGGGGATCCCTTAAGAAATGACTAATTGTGCATATGGCTATCTTAAGGTGGGATATCCGCAGACTTCTGTAATAACTCAAAATAAATTAGATTCAGAACTCACTATGAAAAAGCTCAAATTATGCAGATGATTTTCCTTTTTAACACCCTGTAAATGAAATGAAGTTAAACTAAATTGATGCCTATGATAGATGGTCATATTGTCGAAGTGTGCAAGCTCTCTGCTTGCCCCTCCACCCCACCCATACACAGACGCTCCGAGGAAAGGCCGTGTGAGGACACAGCAAGAAGGCGGCCATCTGCAAGCCAGGAGGAGAGGCCTCCCCAGAAACTGAGTTTCCTGGCACCTTGATCTTGGACTTCCAGCCTCCAGAATTGTGAGAAAAGAAATTTCTATTGTTTAAGCCACACAGCCTGTGGTCTTTGGTTACAGCAGCCTGAGCAGACTCATATAATATCCTTATTGTTTTCCAAATTCATAATTATAATGGAGTATAAGAGTCACTTTGGGCCGGGCGCGGTGGCTCACGCCTGTAATCCGAGCACTTTGGGAGGCCGAGGCGGGCAGATCACGAGGTCAGGAGATCTAGACCATCCTGGCTGACATGGTGAAACCCCGTCTCTACTAAAACTACAAAAAATTAGCTGGGCATGGTGGCGGGGGCCTGTAGTCCCAGCTACTTGGGAGGCTGAGGCAGGAGAATGGTGTGAACCCAGAAGGCAGAGCTTGCAGTGAGCCGAGATGGCGCCACTGCACTCCAGCCTGGGTGACAGAGCAAGACTCCATCTCAAAAAAAAAAAAAAAAACAAAAAGAAAAAAAAAATCTGGAAACCATCCTTGTTTATAAAGGAAACACTAAAAAAACCAACATTCTTTGATTTGGGATAAGAGCCAGAGCCAGAGGGAGTGAAGCATGTCAGAAATGGAAGAATTCTTTCATTAGTTTCAGGGTCCTTTGAGGCCATTTTATAACCATAATCTAGAGCCAGTTTTAAGGGCTTAATCCTGCCCAAATATTCTAATGAATGTCCACGTGATTCAAATTCCATCATAAAGAAATTCACTGGATTTTCAACCTGCTTGTTGAGAAGAGGGTACGCGCTCCCCACGTCCCATTCCTGTCTCTTGGGCTTGAGAGCACGGGAAGTGGATAGTCAGCTTTTCTGGAGAAAGCAGGTTTCCAGATAATGCACAGAGACTTCGCAGCACTCCATATGCATGTGTGTTGGCTACACACAAATGCTGTTTGAAAGAAAAGAACGTTGAATAAATGTGAACCACAGATTGGAAGGGAGGAAAATGGAGAGGAATCGTTTTACCAAACAGCACTTCATCAGGGACTTTTCATCAGCCAGAGACCACAAAACGCAATTGTTCTGTTGGCTTACACACGTGGAATTCACATCTTTAAATCAACGAGCTGTGGTTTGGAAGGCGCCTGTGAAACTTCCTGGGTTTTAATAAGATAGATTAGCAGCACCTCCAGCCCCATCCCACCCCATGCCAGGACTGCGCCCCACGCCTGCCAAATAGCCTTCCTGGGGCACCACCTTTAGCAACTGACTATGAAAATCCTTCACGCCCAGGCTGGTCTTTACTCATCCAGCTGAAATCCACAAACCCTGCATTGTCTTTATGACAATTTCCAGTTCTAATTTATCCTAATGGGAAAGCCTTTAGGCTCCAGGGCACCACTTCTCTTGAGTTATGGCCCCTTTCCGTGACAACTACCTGGATTATGTATGTGCTTAGATTTCACAAATAAAAAGGAAGTGGCAGAACTGGCCACCCATTCCTGTTTCGTTTGGTCTTGTTTCTTGAGCCAGGGTCTCACTCTGTCACCTAGGCTGGAGTGCAGTGGCGCGATCACAGCTCACTGCAGCCTCCAACTCCTGGGCTCAAATGATCCTCAAGTGCTGGGACTACAGGCCTAAGTCATCGGGCCCAGCCCTGTCCCTGTTACTCAGATCTCAAAAAGGACAGTAATCACAGTCAAATGTGAAAACAGAAGGCGTGAGCTCAGGACATGTAACACACACACAGCACGGTACACAAATAGACACACACACAGTACACCACACAGACACACAGCACACCACACACGTGCACACACAGCACACCACACACACACACACAGCACACTGCACAGATAGACACAACACACACAGCACACCACACACACACAACACATTGCACAGATACTGCACAGATAGACACACACACAGCACACCACACACACACAGCACACTGCAGACACCACAAAGACAGCACATCACACACACACAGTACACTGCACAGATAGACACAACACACATAGCATACCACACACACAGCACACTGCAGATAGACACAACGCACACAGCACTCCACACACACACAGTACACTGCAGAGACACACACACAGCACACCAGACACACACAGCACAGATAGACACACACATACAGCACACCACACACACACAAAGAGCACACTGCACAGACACACACACAGCACACCGCACAGAGCACACTGCACAGATAGACACAACACACACAGTGCACCGTGCAGAGAGACACAACACAAACAGCAAGGTGCACAGATAGACAACATGCACAGCAAGGTGCACAGACGGACACAACACACATAGCACACCACACAGCCACGCACAGCACACTGCACAGATAGACACAACATACAGAGAGCACACCAGACAGACATACACACAGCACACTGCACAGATAGAGACAACACAAACAGCACACAACACAGACACACACACAGCACACTGCAGATAGACACAACACACACAGCACATCAGACACACACACAGCACACTGCACAGACACGACATACACATAGCACCTTGCACAGACAGACATACAGCACACCACACACACACACACACAGCACACTGCACAGATAGACACAACATACACAGAGCACACCACACAGACACACTGCACAGATAGACACAACACACACAGTACACCACGCAGATAGACACAACACACAAACCACGGTGCAGATAGACACGACATGCACAGCACGCCGCATATAGCCACACAGACACACAAAATACACAGCCACACACAACATACACAGCCCACCAGAGACATATACAACATACACAGCATGCCGCACAGCACGTGCACAGACACACACAACATACACAGCCCGCCAGAGACACACAACACACACAACACACACAGTACAGACAGACACATGCAACACAACACGCCACAAACACAGACACACATAATGCCACAGCACGTTGCACAGACACACACACACAACACAGAACATGCCACGAAAAGAGGACAAGAAGATGCATGGCGTCTTTGGGGGTTCTCAAGACTCCCAGGGGAAACCGTCCAACCACTTCCAGGCTGTAACAGGGAGCAGGGAGTGGGACAAGAACCAGGAGGGAGACAGAGAACTCGCTGGGCATCCGCAACAGCACCCAGGCCAATCAACGCAGCGTGCCACAGCACTAAGGGGGAGCACTGAACTGCCCCACTGCACAGAGGAGGAGACAGAGGCTCAAAGGATTGAACTGACGGCCTGGAAGTCCCAGGGCTGGACTTCTCTGCCTTTCATCTCTGCGCGTCCTTGTCCCAGTGGAGGAAACCTACAGGGGCTTCATGGAGGAGGTGGCACTTGAGTTGGCTGGAGAACTCAGGCGAGGAGGAAGAGAATGAGGCTGTAGTTTAAGTGGTGCCAAAGGCAAGGGATGGGGGCAAGATGGGGCGCTGAGGTTTCTAAAAATGTGGGGTGATGCCCTCACAGTGCTCACGAAAGAGGATGTGGCCTGGAAGGAGACATGGTGGTCAGAACAGTATGCCCCATCCATCCGAGGGAAGAAGGGGCCACCTGGGCAAGACAGCCCTGCAGACTGCAGATGGCACTCTCCTGGTGCAGCACCAAAATACTGGACAACCGGTTTGAGTGGGACACCAGCGTCCCCCAAGCTGGGGCAGACTTAACCCTCATCTGCTGAACCATGTGGGGTGAGGAAGGTTGATCCCAGGGGAAGGAACAGGGAAGTCATGCAGGGACCCACAGAGAAGCAGCTCCACACCCTTCCTCAACGGGCCAATTTCACTCTTCTGGCCACTTCTTCAAGAACAGCTGCAGTGGCGGTGCACGCTGGCTCCATGAGTGCCCTGGTAGCAAGAGCTGCAAGATAAGGAGGCCAGGGTCTTCCCTGTCAGACACGCCAATGCACCAGCCTACACTCTCCACCCAGTTCTGGGCCATCAGGAACTGAGGTACAGGAGCACCTCCTGGAAAGATCATGGAAACTACACTTCCTGCCTCTCTGTGCCATTTTCTCTAAGCTTACTAAGGGTACACGCCCCTGGCAGAGGATGCTGAGAACTTCTAACAGTGCGAAAATCCTGACAAACTCCCATGACCCGCCAGATGCCCTAGCCCTTCCCCAGCCCGTTCTATCATCCTCCTCCAGCATTACTGGGCACACATGTTGTATTTTAAAAGGAAAGAGTAAAACAGAAGAACAGAGTTCCAGGCCCCATTGTGCTCCCAATTAATTGTAAAAAACCCTCTCTGCACCAGAGTTTCCTCAGCTGTGAAATGAGGGTTTTAAACTATTTATGAGGTTTCATCCACATCAAAAAATCTGAGATACCATTTTCCTGTTGACTTCCTGTGTCAATTCTAGGGAAAAACACTTGACAATAACTTAACTAAGAACTTGCAAAAGAATTGTGGAGGGAAGCAGAGAGACAGAGAGGATCTGTCCGCAGCCACCTGAGCACTGGAATGCATCCAAAGGGTGCAATATTTTTGCCATAATGATTAACATTTCAACTCCAGAGAAATTCAAGTTGTACCATCATGAAAGCAACATGAAAAATCTAAAATATGTTTTCAGAAGCCACTAAGCATGACAGAGAAGCTGCAGTTTCCTCCTGATCCCTTTTCTGTTTTTAGTGAGCTCTGAATTAACCGGGCCAAGAGCCAGACGCTGACTAATACATGCACCAGCATGAGCATTGCGGGTGTTCCAGTGCCAGAGGATTCCAAACCGCTTCATTTGCTCCAGGGTTCAAGGTCTGTGTAAGGAAGCTGGTGTTTCCTGTATTACCAATATCAAACAGCAGGGTTATATATTGAGGTTTATTCAATGACATATTTAAAAATCCTTCAAAACAAGTGGTTCTTACAGGTAATTTTGACCCCCAGGAAACATTGGGCAATGTCTAGAGATACTGTTATTTGTCAGGACTGGCGGAGGAATGCCACTGGCATCCAGTGGGTGGAGGCCAGAGATGCTGCGGAACATCCCACAACACACAGGACAGGTCCTCTTAACAAAGAGAATTATTTGACACAAACGTCAATCAATGCCAAGGTTGTGAAACCCTGCTTTTAACTATGCCAAAATGTCTGTAATTATACAGATAGTATATCCTATACTTTCACTTTCCAAACCACTTTTAGTCTTTACAAAGTAATACATGTACAAAATTTTTTTTAAAATGCAGGTGAGGCAAAAGGCTCCTTTTATTAATTACATGCCTTTTAGCACCATCTATCACCAATTCCACTTCCCAAAGCAACCACTTTCTTGGAGCTGTTTCTGTTATTGGTGCTGTTCCCTGCATAGTGACTTCCAAGTTTGTTTTTTTGTTGTTGTTTTTGTTTTTTGTTTTTGGGACAGGGTCTCACTGTCACCCAGGCTGGAGTGCAGTGGCACCATCACGACTCACTGCAGCCTTGACCTCCAGGACTCAAGTGATCCTCCTGTCTCAGCCTCTCCAGTGGCTGGGACCACAGGAGCACACCACCATGCCTGGCTAATGCTTTAAATTTTTTGGTAGAGAAAGGGTCACGCTATGCTGCCCAGGCTGGTCTCAAACACCGGGGCTCTAGTGACGTTCCCGCTTCGGCCTCCCGAAGTGTTGTAATTACAGGCATAAGCCACCATGCCTGGCCAGACTTCCATGTTTCTAAATAGTCTGTTTGTGATACTCTAATCAATACATCAAGTTTAGATATCACTTACTGATTTTCACACACATAGGTAAGGATTGTTGGTTTTTTACATTCCCACCACCAATCTTACACTGACCCTTCCACGTTTTCGATAGCTCATATAACTTTTTTTTTCAGCTAAATCAATATTTCACATATATTACTTTGACAATGGAATGGGCACTGCTGAGTGGGCAATATAGTATGATTATGATTTTTTTTTTTTTTTTTTTTTTGAGACGGAGTCTCGCTCTGCCACCCAGGCTGGAGTGCAGTGGCGCCATCTTGGCTCACTGCAAGCTCCACCTCCCGGGTTCACGCCATTCTCCTGCTTCAGCCTCCCGAGTAGCTGGGACTACAGGTGCCCAACACCACGCCCGGCTAATTTTTTTTGTATTTTTAGTAGAGACGGGGTTTCACCGTGTTAGCCAGGATGGTCTCGATCTCCTGACCTCGTGACCCGCCCGCCTCGGCCTCCCAAAGTGCTGGGATTACAGGCGTGAGCCACCGCACCCAGCCTATGATTTTTTTTTAGTATACTTTTTGTGTTCTCCTAGAATTATTATTTGCCTCTGTTTTCATTTCAGTTTTCTTTGTACTCTTTGATAATCCTTCCCACACTCTCCAACAATCTATTACATTTTTTACATGATCAAAACTCTTGGATAATTTGTCAGTTCCATGCCCTTCCTCCCGCAACACCCACCCACATCCCTCCCACCTTCGACCAATACACTAACACCAAACTTTCTCCTAAAATTTCTTTTTTTTTTTTTGAGACAGAGTCTTGCTCTGTCACCAGGCTGGAGTGCAGTGGCGCGATCTTGGCTCACGGCAAGCTCCACCTCCTGGGTTCAAGCGATTCTCCTGCCTCAGCCTCCCAAGTAGCTGGGACAACAGGCACGCGCCACCACGCCCAGCTAATTTTTGTATTTTTAGTAGAGACGAGGTTTCACCATGTTGGCCAGGATGGTCTCAATCTCTTGACCTTGTGATCTGTCCACCTGGGCCCCCCCAAAGTGCTGGGATTACAGGAGTGAGCCATCTCGCCTGGCCTCCTCCTAAAATTTGTCTCCTGCTCTAGTCTGTACTACAAGAGCCACTGCCCTGAAAACACCTTTGTTTGAGAATTCCTTCTGCCTCTTTCTGTTTCCAAGATCCCAAACCTCCCCCTTTCTTGGTTTACTCCCTCACTTTGGTGGGACATATTCTCCATAAGTTTCCTAGAAGTGACATGTGAAAGTATTTTCAGTAGAGACGAGGTTTCACCGTGTTGGCCAGGCTGGTCTTGAACTCCTGACCTCAAGTGATCCACCTGCCTTAGACTCCCAAAGTGCTGGGATTACAGGCATGAGCCACCACGCCCGGCCCAAACATCTTTATTCTATCCTTAATTAATAATTAGTGGAGGAACACCTTCAAAATTCTGAGGGAAAATTATTTTCAAAGAAGTCTATGTTCAGTCTGTTTTCTAACTTCACGTGTTGCTGTTAAGAAATACAATGTCATTCTGATTCCAAGATCCTTCGTGTGACTCTTTTTTAAATCCGGGAAGTGCATAGATACTTCCTTTATGCTAATGTTCTAATATGTCATGACAATGAACTTTGATGTAGTAAATTGTTTTGATGTGGTTAATTTTTCTGCATTGCCCCCTAGTCCCTTGGTATAAAATTTTTCTTCTTCAGATTTAAGTTTTCCCTTTCTTCCCTGGAATTCCCAATAGGGAAATATCTGAATAACCATTGTTCTTCTGTCCAATAAAACTTTCTGCACTACATCTTCCTTGTCTAATAAGGTATCCACTGGCCACATGTGGCTACTGAGCACTCAAAATGTGGCTAGTGTGAGACAAACTGAATTTTACATTTTACTTAATCTTAGTTAAGCTTAAATACTCATGTACAGCTGGTGGCTACCATATTAGGACAGCACAAATCCAAAGACTATGCCAAAAATTTTTTAAAATACGAAAATCAGGGCCTTTAGCACCAACTCTCAGGTGGTATTCAATTTGTTTTCAGAAGAAAAAATTGAGTATAATTTCCAAATCCCACCATTACTATTTTCATAATAAGGTTCTGTGATTTCATTCCTTATGGCGTCCTTCCTTCCTCACAGGAACTCAAGGGCCTTGTAGAATGGTTATCACACAAGTGGAAAGGTCCCTTTGTGCATAAACATGGATTTTATTGCCCCTGAAGTATAAACAGTACTCCTTCAAGTACTCCTCCTTTTTTCCCCTTAGGGGAGCTGCTGAGGTTCCTCACGGAACAGTAACATGTATTATAAGAGAAGCAAGTATTAAAAAACACCTAAAATGAACAAGGCCACTGAAGGCAACTTCCTTATATGGCAAGCCGACTACTCCCCGTGTCTTTCCGCAAGCTGTGGTAAGAAACGCTGCTTCTGTATACTGGATGCTCTGGGTAGGGCAGAAGCCAGAACGGCAGCCAGGGCATTCTCCTTGCATGTTTCACTCATTCCATAAATACCACAGATATAGCAAACTGTCGTCCAAGCATTCTAGTGCCAAGGACATAGACAGAAAGTAGAATAAAACCAAAGTGCAAAAGTTCTGTATACCCACTTCAAAGTACATGAGCCTCCTGTTCCATTCGAATGACTGGAAACCACTTTTCATTAGAGCTTAGTGCCTAGAATACAGTGGGCATGTAATAGGTGTGTACTTAAAACAAATACAGAGCAAGATCAAAACCCAAAGGCAATCACTGATTTTTTTTTTTTCTGCTTTGAAGAAAAACAGACATATTAATGCTGTATATATTGAGAAATAAATATTCAGGAAAAATCTTTCATTTTTCTATGTAAAGATTCATGGAGAAATACATTTTCTTAGTCTACTCTTCAGGCAAGTCATTGAATATCCATTAGTTCCTATAAAATATGGAATCTTATTAAGCTTGTAGATTTTACAAGTTCAGGGTAAAAGTATGAGCCACTGAAATAAGGAGAAAAAGAGACATTAAAGTCACACAAACTTGATTTCCTCTTTAATGTCTTATGAGGCTTGATAAACAATATTTCATGCTTGTACAACTGGCAAAATCAGTACTTCTAAACAAAAAACAAGCCCACAGGAAATTTTAACAAGCTATCAGCTGCATAATATGTTTGTAAGCACTTATTATTATTTAAATTACAGCAAAAGATTAAATTTTATTTAGTGGCATGAAACTAATCTTTAGTGAGAGAAAGAAAAAGAATCACATTTAAAGATGATACATTAAAGTATTAAGGTAATATGATCTTTCCAATTCAGCAAATTGTCAATTAACAGCAATTCAAATCTGTCCCCGTAGATACAACTCTGAACTTTATGAAGATAATCCTCACGTAATACCAATCAGTTTTTTGTTCAGAGATGACATAGCGCATCTTGAGGTAGAAAAGAATCCTAATTAATCTCTTCCTCATGTCCCAAAGCACTGTCTCCACATTTTGCAATGAGGATGAAGCTTAATTTTAAATCTAATTGTCAAGCACTTTATTTATTCACTGTAGTTATGATAAAAGTTTCTGAACATCATATGGTCCTGGTACTCACGTTTCAGTTTCCATCATTTGCAAAACACTTCTGACTCCCTCCTCACCTGGAAAGGTCAACAGTACTGTCTTCAATTTCATTTAACAAAACAGCCAGCAAATCCCTTCAGGAAAGCAATTAAATATGCTCAAACAAATTCAACTATTCACTTACATAAGTATCTGAAAACCTAGGTCACCAATGTCTATAGAGAGGGAAAAAAATAATCAGCTAATCCAAGAACTGGGTCCTAAAGCATACACATGCACAAACACATACGTGCACACATACATATGAACACGTATATTTCTATTCACAAACCAAACTTGCTTCAACCGCCACCTCCATATTCATGCCATCGGGAAGAGCTGCTATCAGCAGCTTCACCTGTATGAATTTCACAAGGCTTCACTTTCACCCCAGAGAACATGTTTCTATACTCATCCTAGCAGAAGAAATCAGAACGTACAGAGAACCCAGATGTCACTCTTCAGACTTCAACGCTCCTGTCTCCATCACAGTAAAGTCCCCTGGCATTCTTCTCTATAGCCTGTTTGGGTGGTGGTTAACAGTTCCCCAATTCTCTCCTCCTGCATTACCCCACACCACCAAACAACCCCAACACTCATACAAATACTGGAGCTTCACTCTACTGAAAGACGCTGCGGAACTCCTGTAAAGCAGAGACCCGAATTAGCCAACTTTCTGATTCTTACCCTTCTGGAAATGGGTGCCTTCATAATGACTTCTAAGCCCCAGCCTTTTCCAAAAATGGAAATTTTTAAAAGGTGGTGGTTGTGGGGGGTCGGGGTGGGGTGCGGTTTGAGTGTCAGATGTCATGGTGATGGGTCATTGGGAATTCTGTTCTAGCCTACACAGACAGTCAGCCCTGGCTCCAAGCTTTTAGGCCTGTGTTCCCAACAGCGGGTGACTGTGCCCCCTCCAAGAGGCAGTTAGCAATGTCTGGGGATGTTTCAGGTTGTCACAACTTGGGGTGGGAGATGTTTCTAACATCCTACATCAGCCACTTCGGTAAGAATGACACAGTTCTCTGGGACTTGCGTATTTCACTTTGGGTGGTGGAAGGAGTTGGGAGGACCTGATTGTGCAGGTGTCATCTGTCGACAACAGGAGGTGGGATGAACACAGAAAAGGGGTTTTCCATCCGTAAAAAGCCCCGGCAAATCACCTTCATGAATGGCCCCGCAATCTGTCTACACCTGCTTCATGAACACTGCATGAACACTGCGGAATCTGTCTGGACCTACTCCCCATCTTTGGTCCACGCTATTAGCAAGGTCTCCTAACTGGTTTCCCATTCCTCAGCCTTGTACCCTGTGAGAAAACCCACGTAACCAACTCTTAACAACTCTCTGCTACAATGGCCCACCTCACCCTCTGTGACACCTTACCAGCTGTCCATGCAGAGCTAAGTCCTCCAGGCACGCACCTCTGATTCCAGAGTGAAAGTGAGAAGCAACGCAGGGAGCTTGGCCTCAGAGCCTTTTCTGGATGTGACGCGAACAGATCCTGTCACTCTATCTGGGATGCAGCTGGCCTGGCAGCAAACAGCACAGATGCTGCGCCAGAGGGACTGAGGGCGAATCACCATCCACCCCGTGCCAGCGGTAGTATCCTTGGGCCAGATGTCCTCAGTACCTCCTGTTCTCACCTGTACAGAGAGGATAACTGAACCCTCCCAACAAAGTTAGCAGGTGGATGCTATCATTCACACATGGAAAGAGCACAGAATCCCCCTGGCATGCAAGGAACACTACATAAACATCGCCTAGAATTGCCTTTGTCGTGGAACTCCACAGGTGACATAACTAGTTTGCAATCTTGTCAGTTACTAGGTGCATGGTCCCAGACAAGAACCCATGAGTCTCATAAAAATGGGGTGAAGGATATCTAGGTTATGCAGCTGATGGAACAGAGATATTATATGTAAAACACGCAGCCTAGCTCCCGGCTCATCAAAACTATAAACCGGAGGGCATTATTACCAGCTATGATTAACAGAAAAACCGGGGCTGCTGCACTGATGACAAAAAAGGCTGCAGATATTTCCTTCTTATAATTCGAGAAATAACTGATCCATTCTTTCTGCAGTAATCCTCATTTCTTGGGACACATTTAAGAACTTTTACTTCAAATACTTCGTTTTCATTTCCTGCTTTCCAACAAATGTTATGAAGTATACTGAAGGCTATAAGGCCCAGTTTTCAATGGGGTTTAGATGAAATTGTTCCCCAACAGTAATGGAGATAAGAAAAAGAATTTCCACTACATTCAATGTAACTTTAAGCCCACTAATTTTTTTTATTCCAGTAAAATTCAGTGATGCAGGAGCTCCATTAATCATTATGAATCTTTCTTTTTCTAAATTGATATTAAAGAACTTTATCTTAAAGCTCTACCTAGGGCCTAAGCACCAGCTGCTTTTGATAGAGTATTCATCGTAATAAATTTAGAAATATACTTCGTCTTGATGTACTTCAACAGGAAGCAGCTAGATTAGAATAAGATGACACTAACACACCAGAACTCAAAAGCTACTGCAAACCAACCTCCAAAAAGCCACAGCACCATCATCCACTGCAACACTTCTAACTCCCCACCCAGGAAAAGAAGAGAAAAAACTGGGGGTGGCTTCCAAAAACACATACAAAATAGCAAAAATAAAGTAATTCACTGGGTAAACTGGGGCCAAGAGAAGATCATGGTAGGACAAAGGAGACGAAGCTGAGACAGGAAGGCGGTATCCAAAGTTCGCAGTCGGATACAACCTGAAATCACTTGGAAGGGAATTGTCAATCCAATTCCAAGTTTCCTAGACCTCAAAGAAGGAACTATAGTTAGATGCTGGATTCACAGTATCTAAACAATAAAGAAGATGCAAATATCAGAAACACAGCTCCTAGACTTCTGATACATGTGCAAAATTTCTCCCAGAAAGAGGAAATTGTGGACTACATACAACGCTATCCTCAGTAAACACACGACACATTTCCTTGAGACACTTCTTAAAATAACCCTCATTATGAGATAACTGTACAACACCAAAGTCCAGCTATGTAAATCAAATTTATGAGTGGATAAACAATACAGAAGTGAACAGACCTCCTTGCAGCTTGGTTTACTCCAAGGACGTATCTTAGAGCTCTCAGAGTCCCAGCTGGGCTGCTGGTCTCCTGGGGATTACAGTAACACCATTGTAATATATTGTAAACACATGGACATGCCAATAAATATACCACTTCCACAGTACTATTTTTAACAGGTGCCTAGTAACCCATCATACGGCCAGGTCCAGCCTTACAACCCAATCTGTAACCACTATGTTCACTTCTTTGTAACTGCAAGTGATGCCGCAACAAACAGCAAAAACCAATTTTTATATACATATATATATATATTTTTTTTTCCTTCCTTTTTTTTTTGAGATGGAGTTTCGCTCTTGTTGCCCAGGCTGGAGTGCAACGGCAAGATCTCGGCTCACTGCAGCCTGCACCTCCCAGGTTCAAGCAATTCTCCTGCCTCACCTTCCCAAGTAGCTGGGATTACAGGTGTGCACCACTACGCCCGGCTAATTTTGTATTTTTAGTAGAGGCAGGGTTTCGCCATGTTGGCCAGGCTAGTCTCTAACTCCTGACCTTGGGTGATCTGCCCTCCTCGGCCTCCCGAAGTGCTGGGATTACAGGTGTGAGCCACTGTGCCTGGCCAAAAACCAATTTTTAATTGTCAAAAAGTTTCACAGATCACCTACATAAAGAAAGCATGCTGCATTCTTATTATGTAATGTTTCAGGAAAAAATACCAAATGGCAAAAATACAGAATGACTGTAAATTGAGTGACACCTTTAAAATAATTTGTGTTTCTATTAATCACACTAGGGTCCATAGACATTTGCAAAATACTTGAGTCAACTGACTTCAGTTTATAAACAATGTCTGGGGGTCTGTGGACAAATTTCCAGATTTCCGGAGAAATACTTACAAAACATCTAGCATTAAAATTGTTTCACAGATTTGACTGGGAATTCCAGGAAACATTTAATGAGCTAATGAGGACTTTTGTTTCAGTCCAGCAATATATTCTCATTATTTATTAAGCGGGTTCTCCACGCCCATTAAACACAGGCATTTCCCCAGCATTCTGCCCTTGTACCTCTCTTCCCTCTGGCATCACTCCCTTGTCATGTCACCGAATGTGGTGGCTTCTTTGTAGAAAATGCTGAAGCTCTATTTCATGCCCATATTTCCTCTGCCTGCTTCATATCTCCCTGTCCAGCATCCAAAGGTCACTATTTCAAAAGTAAATTTGCTCTCCCCAGCCTGATTCTACCCTTTAACTCCTCAATCGCTACCCTTTACTCCGAAGTCCAGGACTTTCCAACTGTCATCCTGGACTCATCTCTTTCCCTCTCCCATCCCTCTCCTGGTATTCCATCAATCAGACGCCAGTCCAGTCGCCTCAGCCCCAAAGCAGCCCCATTGCATCTCTTCAAGCCCACTGCCACTGCCCTCCTTGGCACCCCAGCCTCTGGACGGTGACACAGAACTCCCTCTGACCGCCTGTTTCCCCTGCAAATCCACAAAACCCTGTGACTCTTCCTAAAGCAGAAGTCTGATCTCATCTCGTCATTCGAAAATATGTAATGGATTGTGTCGCTGTTTCAGAAAACAAGTCCATGCTCCTCTTACTGCCTGACTGACCTCGTGTTTCTTACACAGCCAGCAAAGTAGGGCGTTGGGGTTAACGCCGTTTCCAAGAATAAATCCTACAGGATACTTTGACCAGGCGCCATTGGTGGCAGCCAGAGTTAAGGTCCATCCCCACCCAAGGTGTCCACATCCTGATTCCCAGAAACCATGAACAACTTAAGTTGCATGGCAGGGAGGAATGAAGGCTACAGGTGGAATTCAGGCTGCTAATCAGTTCATCTTTTAAAAAAGTAAATTATCTTGGATCATAAGAGTGGTTTTAACAGAAGTGGTTCATCAGAAGAGTGCTTTCAATGTGAAAGGGGAAATGCAATGTGAAAAAGACTCGAACAAGCAGTGCTGGCTTTAAAGATGGAGGAAGGGGCCATGAGCTAAGGAATATGGGCAGCCTCTAGAAACTGAGAAAGCAAAAAAAAAACAAAAACAAAAACAAAAAACACAAAACAAAACAAAAAACCAGAAACTTAACCCTCGAGCCTTCAGCAAATACCACCACCCTGTAGATGCCTCGATTTTAGCAGAATAAGACCCATTTGGAACTTATGACCTCTAGAACTACTTTTTTTTTTTTCCAGTTTCTTTTTATAGAGACAAGATTTTGTTCTGTCATCCAGGCTGGAGCACTCGCATGGCTCACTGCAGTCTTGACCTCCTGGACTCAAGTGATCCTCCCACCTCAGCCTCCAAGTAGCTGGGACTACAGGTGTGGACCACCATGCCTGGCTTTTTTTTTTTTAGAGAGAGACAGGGTCTTGCCATGTTGCCCAGGCTGGTCTCGAACTCCTGAGCTGAAGCAATTCTTGCACCTCAGCCTCCCAAAGTGTTCAGATGACAGGCATGAGCTACCATACCCAGCCCAGAACTGTTAAGATAGTAAATGTGTGTAGTTTTAAGCATCTAGGTTTGTGGTAGTTTGTTACAGCAGCCACAGAAACTAATCCACCTTCTCCCCCACCACTGCATTCTCATCATACTATATTCAGAACATCTGACGGCACTGAACACTTTGTACTGTTTTTTTTGTTTTGTTTTGTTTTTTTTTTGTTTAGACACAGTCTCACTGGCACCTAGGCTGGAATACAGTGGCACAATCATAGCTCACTGCAGCCTCTAACTCCTGGGCTCAAATAATCCTCCCACCTCAGCCTCCCAAGTAGCTGGGACCACAGGTGTGTGCCACCATGCCCAGCTAATTTTTGTATTTTTTTGTGGAGATGAGGTTTTGCCATGTTGCCCAGGCTGATCTCAAACTCCTGGGATCAAGTGATCCTCCCACCTCAGCCTCCCAAAGTGCTGGGATTCCAAGTGTAAGCTACTGCACCCAACCCATTCATTTCTTTATTCTCCCATCCACTCCAACCAATCTTTCTGAGAGGCCGGTTACACTGCATAGATATGAAAAAGGGGCCTGACTCCTTTCTCCCAGGTTTCCTAAAGCAGTTCATGGTAGTCCCTAATTTCATCTTCAACAAGGAACCCCCTAGGCATTATAAGAGAGATTCAGAAAGTTCTCTGAGAGAGAATAACAAGTGTTGGCGAGGATATAGAGAAACTGGAACCCTCATACATTTGGGTGGGAATGTGAAATGCTGCAGCCACTATAGAAAGCAGCTTGGCAGTTCCTCAAAAAGTTAAACATAGCATTGCCATATGACTCAGCAACTCCACTCCTAGAAATCTACCCCAGAGGAATAAAAGCATATGTGCATGTAAACACCTGTACACGAGGGCTCACAGCAGCTTTATTTATAACAGCAAAAAACATGGGAGCAACCAAATGTCCATAAACTGATGAATCAATCTAAAAATGTGGGATATTTATAACAATGGAATATTATCTAACAATAAAAAACAGGCCAGGTGTGGTGGTTTAAACTTGTAATCCCAAGGCTTTGGGAGGCTGAAACAGGAGGATCGCTTGAGCCCAGGAATTCAAAAGACCAGCCTAGGCAACATAACAAGACACTCTCTCTACAAAACTAAAAACAAATTAGCCAGGCGTGGTGTTGTCTGCCTGTAGTCCCAGCTATTTGGGAGGCTGAGGTGGGAGGACTGATTGAGCCCAGACGTTTGAGGCTGCACCGAGCTATGATCCTACCACTACATTCCAGCCCGGGCAACAGAGCAAGACCCTGTTTCTAAAAAACACAAAATAAAATAAAAAGTGAAGGATCAATCCATGCTATGACATGGATGAACCTTGAAAACTAAATGAACGAGGCCAGACATAAAAGACCACAGGTTATATGATTGGATTTATATCTAATGTCCAGAATATGCAAATCCAGAGACATAAAATAGATCAGTGGCCGCCAGGGGCTGGGGAGGACGTGACTGCTAATGGTTACAGGGACGCTTCCTGGAGTGATGACAATGTTCTAAAATTGTGCTGTCTCGATGTCTGTACAACTCTGTAAATTTACTAAAATTCACTGAACCTGTACATTTACAATAGGGGAATTTTATGGTATGTAAATTATATCTCAGTAAAGCTGTTTTTTAAAAAAGTGATCTGAGATCTTTGAAGGAAAGATGATTTATGTATGTGTGTATATATGATAAAGACAATATATATCACATTGTTACTGTACAACCAGAAAACTAGACTACTTCCAATTTTTAAAAGAACAAAAACTCTTCATTTGCTCTGGGATCTGCGAGGATTTTAAGTAAGTGTATTTCCTCTGATGTCAAAAGCATAATAGCATAATGTAAGTGAGCAAAAGGTATACAAATGGCTTTCTAATTCAAATTATACCCAAACAATAAATTGTATTGAATCAAGTCATATTTGTACATAACATGATTTTCAGCCAGTTTGTGATGAAAACTAAAATGCATAAAATGTGTCTTGTTACAATCACAACACAATCTGGAAGATAAAATATGCTAGAGTATCTGCTTATTCGGAGTTAATAATTCTAATACCTGAAGCTCACTTTCCTAAGTGGATTTTAAATTCAATGTAAGTGGATTAAGAAATTCAATTTTCTGTTGTCACATAGGACAAAAAGCTTGGAAAGTGATGGTAAAATATATTTTTAAAAATTGAGACTGGGCACCGTAGCTCATGCCCCTAATCCCAGCACTTTGGGAGGCCAAGGCATCTGGATCACTTGAACCCAGGAATTTAAGACCAGTCTGGACAACATGGTGAAAGTCCATCTCTACAAAAAATACAAAAATTAGCCAGATGTGGAGGTGCACACCTGTAGTCACGGCTACTCAGGAGGCTGAGGTGGGAGGATCGCCTGAGCTTGGGGAGGTTGAGGTGACAGTGACACCTAGTCTCAAAAACAAAAAACAACCTGCCCACTTGTACAGCTTCTTCCAGTGTTGGTACCAGCATCTTTAAGAAGAAGATGTATGTAACTTACCCTCTATAATTTTAGCTAATTTCTATGAATATATTCCTTTATTTTGGACTGAACCATTATTATAAAAACATAATTTTGTACGTTTATTTTCCAATGTTCTTCAAAAAACCACAGTCAACTTTGGTCATTTATGCTTAGCATAAATCACACTAGTAGAATCAGATCAATGAAAATAATAAACAGCTAACAAATTTCACCACGAGGCTGTCGCTTCTCATTGCAAGAGGAAGGAGGAATCCATAGAAACAGTTAGCAAAAGTCCCAGGCCCTGATCTTTTGCCAGTGATTAGCTGACCCTCCTTGCTCCAGCATATTAAACTTGACTCTACCATCTGGTGCTCACCCACTGTCTGCGTTTCCTGTTGCTGCTGTCACAAAGAATCTCCAGCTCGGCTACCATAAGCAACACAGACACACTCTCTTAGGTTCTCGATGTGCAATGTCTAAAATGGGTCACAGGGCTGTGTCCTTTTTTAAAGGCTTCAGGGGAGAATTCGATTCCTTGCCTTGTCCAGCTTCTAGAGGCCGCCAGCATCCCTTGGCTCATGGGCCCACATCACTGGGGCCTCTGCGCCCATCCTCCTATCTCCTCTGGGATTCTGTTCCCCCAGCTTCCCTATTCCACTCAGAAGCACCTCTGTGATTGCTCTGGGCCCACCCAGACAACCTCCCCAACCTCATCTCGATATCCTTTTGTTTTTGTTTTTTTTTCTGGGACAGTGTCTTGCTCTGTTGCCCAGGCTGGAGTGCAGTGGCGCCAACATGGCTCACTACAGCCTAAACCTCCTGGACTTCAGTAATCCTCCCACCTCAGCATCCTGAGTAGCTGGGACTACAGGCACGTGCCACCATGCCCAGCTAATTTTTAGTTTTTTTCTAGAGACAGGGTCTCTCTCTGTTGCCCAGGCTGGCCTTGAACTCCTGGGCTCAAATAACCCTTCCACCTCAGCCTCCTCAAGTGCTGGGATTACAGGCATGAGCCCCTGGCACCAGGCCTTGAGATCCTTAAACCACGTCCACAAAGTCCACTTTGCTATGTAGAATGACCTATTCACAGGTTCCAGGATTAGGATGGAGATACACCTTGAGGGCCATTATTCCATCTACCACAGCTACCAAGGACCATTTTGAGAAATGTGAAAATGATCTGGAGCCCAGGAAACAAGACACAGGCAGCAGGTGATAGCAGCAGAAACAGGAGTTGTAAAAGCCAGCATTCTTGCAACGACTTTGACCAGTAGTAACACCCTTTCTTTACTTTTGGCAGATTCACACATTTCTGCCTTCTTTTAGGACTCTGTACTCACAAGGTCTATGGCCTCCTACTCACCTGTAGAAGATTGTGAGAGGACAGGCTTTAGACTCTGCCTTGGAAGTGTCGTGGTTTAAGTCGGAGTGATACAAAGAATCAAGCGTCAGTGCAAGCCCAGCCAACTCCTCCTCAGGCAACCTTGACACACAGACATTGATGCAATTTATACTCTTATTTCACGCTCACATGTACTGTTATCCCCAAGTCACAGAGAAATAGACTGATGGTGGATGATCCCCCAAGACCACACAGGGTCAGAGCTGGGATCTGAGTTCCACACCATTGCCCTTTGACCGCACAAAACACCAGTATCTTCCTCAATGCCTACGCGGCCACCTCAATTCCCAAACACCCCAACCTCATCATCCCAAAACACCCAAACTAGATATGTTATCTTGAAGCCAAGAGAAACAAACCACGAGACTTATAGCCCCAAAGGGTGGCCCATCTGAGGACTCCCTCCTTCCAGTGCCACCTCACTGCACAGCGATGAACCCGGCCTCTCTTGGACCACCCGTTTAGGAAACCAAATTCCTCACTTCCTCCCTCCCCTAAGGGCTTTGCAGCCGGTCCTGCAGGCCCTTCTTCTCCCAGTCAGCTCAGCACCACCTGCACTAGCTCTGCCCCCTGCAGTGGGGGTCACCAGACTCACAGCCTCCCTATCTGATCAGATTGGAGGGTCTCCGGGGGAGAAACTATGCTCGATGCTCTGGATGACTCTGGAGCCAGCAGAGTGGCCAGCGTGCGTGTGCTTATGAGAGGTGTGCACCAGGACTCCATTCTCCTTCCTTAAACTTCATATCCGAAGCCCAACATGGAAAAACATCCCATATCTTCTCCACAAATACCTTGGAATACAAGTGTTTCCCCAAACACCCATGGGCCAACACAGTTCTTCCCCCCTCTTCATAGGGAGTATATGTCAGCCTGAGAGCCTCTCTGCCTTTATCCATCACTGATTCCACACCAGGAAGCTGAGGGGGACCTTGCAACATAAGCCATTTATATGTGTAAAAGGACATTTTGTTGAAATACGCTGCACTAAAAATTGGGACACCGTGAACTACATTTTGAAAATAGAAAACCTACTCTACTTGGAACCTTGAGCAGAACAACAGAGGCCCGTTGGTCTTAACATCAGCATCACCACCACCATGAAGAATGCATGAGAACGTGTTCGCCGCCTCACCTAGAACTGTACAAAGAACACTACCCCATGCGAGGCCTTGACCAGGCGGCACCATTCCTCCACTCTACCCCAAAAGGGCCTCCTCATAACTGACCTCCCCCTCTCCATGCTGACAAGGTACTGCAGCAGCACAAAGGAAACTGATCCCCTGGGCACAGGCTGGACACCCATCGTATAACCAGATCCCAGGGGACAGGTGCACTGCATACTTCATGGGTGCGCTGAGCAGAGTCATCTACATGTGTATGTACACGTATATATATGTACGTGTCTATACATATATTTTCCATTAAAAAACCCATAAAGTAAAGCTCCTACACATCCCCCGAGGCAGTTCCTCCACCTCTGGCGCTATGAACATCTGGGGCTAAATCATTCTTGGTTGGGGGGGGGCTGTCCTGCACACTGTAGGATGTTTGGCAGCATCCTGGGCCTCTACCCATTAGATGCCAGGAGCACCACCCATTTCCCCAAAACGTGACAACCAAAAATGTCTCCAGACGCTGCCAAATGTCCCCCAAGGAACACAACTGCCCTGGTTGAGAATCACTGCTGTATTCTACCAAAAGTTCCCAAGTCTGAGAGCAGCCTGTGATTATTTAAAGCACACGCAGTCCTTGAAACCAGAACAATCTACTTTCCCAGATTATAATGAGTTACAATCAGAATTATCTTCTTTGGAAGGTCTTGAAAATGCAATAAAGGGTACCCCACATTTTTTTTCCTACATTCCAAAAAATGACCAAAATGTACACTCCTACAAGAGAATTCGTAGAAGTCATTTTTCCACACACAAAAAAGGTCAATATTCTACCGAGATGATTTTGAAGAGTCTAATAAAAATCAAAGTTGCTTTCTTTCGGGAGCTTTACACCAAAAGCCTGAAATCAAGGGAGGGAACTCCGGAGACAGCCCTGTATTGTATTAAGCCCCATTCCACCTTTTCCTTGGTTGATTGAGATTTTTGTAGGTTACGTAAATATCATTTTTGAATGACTGCTTATTTTCATTCAGTTTGTGGACAAAGAATAAAATGGATTGCTGGAAACGGAGGCTACACTAAAGCTCTTATTTTATCCTTTTAACTATGACTCCAAGAAGGATTTCCCTGCTTTCATCTGTCTTCCTCTTTCTCCCCACCCCCTACACCCCCAATTAAGGTAAAGCTGTGGTACAGAATCACAGAGGAATACTTCTGGGATCCCAGGCCCACACCTCCTTTTTAAAGCAGCCAAGATCAGAAATACAGGGACTCTGGAAATGAGAGCAGTGCTCCAGGCGGGCACCGAGTGACTGCTGTTGTGGTGCAACCCTCTGCGCATTGTGCCCTGCATTTCCAGAGCTGTCTGATCTGCCACCATCCTCCTGGGCTGAAGGCTGGGTGTCACGAAAGCATCCTTTACACTGCTGTCAGGAGCTGAGCAGAAGGTGCCAGTGACTCAGTACCCTTTTCTTCCAGAGATCCCAAATCAGTGAACTGCTCTGAGCTACTAAGTCCAGACTCTGAACCATTCGTGTGAGATCAGATCCTGACCCCCAGCCCTCCTATCCCCGAAGAAACAGCCATCAAGTGAAGGCATCGCAGAATTCTGTACAGCGAGAACAACTTTCTGTATAACGAAACTCCATTCCAAAAAGGGGCCTGCCCAGGAAGGAAGGGAGGGAACAAGCGCCCTTTCTTTTGAGTCATTAAACCTACGAAAGTAAGTGGCTTTTACAACCGCTTGGGATGCACGGTCTTCTGCATCTTTTTGGAAGCTCTCATTCCACAGAGAGGGGGTCGGCGGACTCTTTCCGGAAAGGGCCAGAGAGTAAATATTTTAGCTTCAGTGAGCAGAAAGGCAAAATCAAGTATATTATGTAGTGACATTTAATAAAAAGAGAAAATAAATTTCTCTGAAACTGACAAAAATCAAAATGTATGACAGTTGACACTTTCATTTTATATCATTTTCATGTGTCATGACAAAATCCTCTTTTAGTTTTTTCACCCTGGCCATTTAAAAATGTCAAAGCCATTCTTAGCTGGATGGCCTCACTCAGGCTGGAGGTGGAGTCTGCCCCACGGGCTGCAGTTTGCAGAACCTGCCGCTGAGGAGCACAGTGGACGTGGACCCCCACCTCCTGGCCACAGACCTAGCTGACCCAGCTCCAGGCCTGGGGAGACTGGCTGGGGTCCAGGGAGCAACAGGCAAAGACAACAGAGAAAGGGGGGCAATCCAGACTTTGCCCTTTGTGAGATGAAAAGGGCTTCCTTAGTGCAATGCACTTTCTTTGGAGGCTGTTTGCACTGAGACTGAACTCAAGGGCCAGCTGCTGTCTTCAAGTAAGCATGAGAAAAAGCATCATATTGTTCACATGAATTGTAACACTTACCACTTAAACTTTGCACTTTACTTTTTATTCCACATTTTGCAAGATTATAAATCAAGAAAGATTGCATTGCAGGTTCCTGACAATTCCTGTGTTGCACACAACATAAATGTGCGTATCAAGAAAACACAAAAGGTCCCAGGTTTATCTCTTCTCACCACATCACTAGAGAAATCCTTCTAATTCCAAGAACACTAAACTCCTGCAAACCAAGCTTAATAAATCTTAAAACATTTGAGACTAAAACTGGATGTACCCATGTGTTGGGTATTGACATTAAGGAGACATGGGCATTTTGAGCAGATATTTGGTAAAGTACATTTTATTGGCAGTCGTCACGGTTTTGGATCAGTTCTCTCAATAACGGACCTGCATGTACAAACGCTGTACATTTCAATTCCACACACTGTCTAACCACCATGATGAAAACTCCCTAGACGGTCTCAACTTTCACGCTTTGATAATAAGGTTTTGGTCACAAAAGTCTACTTAAAAAGGTGACATTTTTGCTGGTTTACATGTAAGACTTAGCATTAGGCCTTTAAATGGGGGGCTTAAAAGCACTAAGTAGATGCAAAAAGAAACACACAAAAAAGATAAGGCAAAAAGTAATGGCAATGAACTGAAGAGGTGAGTAAAAATGGGGTGGTGGGATAAGGATGGGAGCTGAGAACTCTGAGCAAACCTATTAACAGAGTTTTGACTTTGGACCACGTAAACGTTTTCTATATTTGAAAAATACTTAACTCAAAGAGGATAAAATATGCATATCTTAAAATTCAATAAAGATGAATAATTTAACTTACATTATCAAATTGGTACTATAAACATCGGAGAAAAATTAAGTAACTTTTGTATATTGTCTGTACACCCACAGTGAGATACATCCTAACGACAAGAGAATCTCAAGGAATCTTGAACTTTATTTCATTGCTTTGGTAGCGGTGGTGGTGGCAGCACCAACGTAAAAATTTCTGAAACCTTTTTTTGTGTCCTATAGAAGAGAATGGATGTGTCAATATGTTGTTGCTGTAGGCAGCAGATTCTCACTACAGAAGCGTGATACTAGATGGCAAGAGGAAGGTGAGGAAGCATCCTGTGGAGTTGGGCTTGAGAGGGAGGGACAGTGTGAAAGCATACACAGAAACATCTATTTCCCTGGGTCTCTGCACCCAAGGAGCCCAGGAGCAATGATATCCCCATAGCAATGAGCACACTCAGTTCTCAGTTCCTGGTTTTTAAATATTAAATATCATTCTCCAAGGCTCTTTGGCCAAAGGCTGATTCAAGGTGAGGGGCAGGGAATTTCCACTGGGAACCTGAAACCTCTTCCGGTCCCAGAAAGAAAGGACACAGATACGAGGCTAGGCGCAGTGGTTCATGCTAGTAATCCCAGCACTTTGGGAGGCCAAGGCGGGTGGAGAACTTGAGGTCAAGAGTTTGAGACCAGCCTGGCCAACATGGTGAAACCCTGTCTCTACCAAAAATACAAAAATTAGCTGGGCGTGGTAGCACACATCTGTAGTCCCAGCTACTTGGGAGGCTGAGGCAGGAGAATGGCTTGAACCCAGGAGGTGGAGGTTGCAGTGAGTCGAGATCGCGCCATTGCACTCCAGCCTAGGTGATAGAGTGAGACCCTGTCTCAAAATAAAAACAACAACAAAAAAATGAAACGACATAGATTAAAGGGCCTTAGAGGAGCATAACAAAAGAACCCAGGCCCCATCCTGAAGGGGGCGTGACAGAAGAACACAGTGCCCAGCCTGGAGGGGTTCCCACTGGGCAAATTTAGGGCAACATTGTGTATCTAAAAGAATAATGTAATGACAACAACGTATAACACACTTTTAAAAATTAAGAATAAGGCCGGGCGCGGTGGCCCACGCCTGTAATCCCAGCACTTTGGGAGGCCGAGGCGGGCGGATCACGAGGTCAGGAGATCGAGACCATCCTGGCTAACACGGTGAAACCCCGTCTCTACTAAAAATACAAAAAATTAGCCGGGCGTGGTAGCGGGCGCCTGTAGTCCCAGCTACTCGGGAGGCTGAGGCAGGAGAATGGTGTGAACCCAGGAGGCGGAGCTTGCAGTGAGCCGAGATCGCGCCACTGCACTCCAGCCTGGGCGACAGAGCGAGACTCCGTCTCAAAAAAAAAAAAAAAAAAAAAAAAAAAAAAAAATTAAGAATAAATGAATCCATAGTGATTTTTAAAGGTCAAAACAGAAAGCTCTTCTTTAAGAATGCCAACTACTAAATGAAAAATGAATAGAAGAATTAGAAATGCATCATTTTTTGACCAAAAATGTACTAGATCAAGATTCAGCTAAATAGAAAATATTTTTGGCTATCTGGTCTCTGTCCCAACTCAATTCTGCTGTTGTAGTGCAAAAGCAACTGTTAACAGACAACACATAAGTAAACAGACTTGGTGGAGTTTTTTGGGGGTTTTTTTGTTTGTTTGTTTTTTCTGAGACGGAGTCTTGCTCTGTCACCCAGGCTGGAGTGCAGTGGTGCAATCTCGACTCCCTGCAAGCTCCGCCTCCCGGGTTCAGGCTACTGTCCTGCCTTAGCCTCCCCAGTAGCTGGGACTACAGGCGCCCGCCACCACGCCCAGCTAATTTTTTGTACTTTTAGTAGAAATGGGGTTTCACTGTGTTAGCCAGGATGGGTCTCGATCTCCTGACCTTGTGATCCGCCCGCCTCGGCCTCCCAAAGTGTTGGTATTACAGGCGTGAGTCACCACGGCAAGCCATAGTTTGCCAAAGCTGGACTAATTAATTTATGGTAATCAGTGGATGCTAAAACCACCAAAGGAAAACCACTGTGAGGAACAGAATAATCACACCATCTCACTGTATCATAGCACAGATTACTCATTGGTAACAGAGAGAAGGGAGCTTCAACAGGGAGCCATCTGGTGAATACACCTTCACCAAGGATGGAGAAGGAGATTCTGAGTTCCTGAGGGGATGCAATGGGAAATATAATCATCAGCTGTGCAGCGTTCCTGCCAAAACTGTTCAACATCACTCTAATCACATCGGGAAACAGACAAATCCCCAAACTCCTATGTCATAGAAGAAGGTTGGGGGACTCCTCTACAATACAGAAGACTAAAGAGACGTAAAATACAATACACTATCCATGAGTACAACTTGGATCAAACAACTGGAGAAATTTACATGTGACAGCATACTTAATAAAACCATCATATGTTTAATTATGAGGTGTGACAACCTCAAGAATGTAAGTACTATGGTTTTGTAGGAGAATGTCCTACACATCCATGGAGTGAAGGGAAGGAGAAGAGGAGAGTGAGGGGGGAAAGGGAGCAACCTTAGAGTAATGAGAGAAAACATACATTTGGTAAAAATGTTTAACGATCCATGAATCTATTCTTTAAGCTTTTCTGAGGGTTTGAATTTTTTTTTTTTTCTTGAGATGGAGTTTTGCTTTGTCACCCAGGATGGAGTGCAGTGGCGCAATCAAGGCTCACAAGCCTTGAACTCCTGGGCTCAAGCAATCCTCCCACCTCAGCCTCTCAAGCAGTAGGACTACAGATGTGCACCACCACACCTGGCTAATTTTTCATTTTTTTATTTTTTGCAGAGATGGGATTTTGCTATTTGTCCAGACTGGTCTCGAACTCCTGGCTTCAAATGATCCTTCTGCCTCAGCCCCGCAAAGTGCTGGGATTATAGGCATGAGCCACCACACCCAGCCAGGGTTTGAAAATTTTCAAACCATAAAAATGGGGGGACCAGCCTGGCCAGCATGGCGAAACCCCATCTCTACTAAAAATACAAAAATTAGCTGGGCGTGGTGGCGGGTACCTGTAATCCCAGCTACTCAGGAGGCTGAGGCAGGAGAATTGCTTGAACCCAGGAGGCAGAGGTTGCAGTGAGCTGATCTCATGCCACTGCATTGCAGCCTGGGCAAGAGAGTGAGACTCCATTTCAAAAAAAAAAAAAAAAAAAAAAAAGTGGGGGGAAAATAACTACATAAACCTTGGATTTCACTAAGTTATTCCACTGCCTCACACCAGTCCCACTTTGCTACTATTTGCCTTCAACAAAATACCCAATTAAGTCCGTTTCTGTATTGAAATAAATATTGAGGCTGGGTGCAGTGGCTCACGCCTGTAATTCCAGCACTTTGGGAGGTCAAGGCAGGTGGATCACCTGAGGTCAAGGGTTCAAGACCAGCCTGACCAACACGGAGAAACCCTGTCTGTACAAAAAATTACAAAAAAATTAGCTGGGCGTGGTGGTGCATGCCTATAATCCCAGCTACTCGGGAGGCAGAGGCAGGAGAATCGCTTGAACTCGGGAGGCGTAGGTTGCAGTGAGCAGAGATCGCACCATTGCACTTCAGCCTGGGCAACAAGAGTGAAACTCTGTCTCAAAAACATAAAAATAAATAAACATTGAGTAAAATATTAAAATAAGCAAAATAAATATTGAAATGAATGTTCACTGTCGTTTAAGGAAAAAAAAAAACCCACTCACTTTGCATTTGTACCACGCCGTCTAGTTAACAGCACTTTTGCATGTCTCTCTGGAGTCTCCCAGCCACGTACATGCTGGGCAGTGTGAGGATCCCTCACCTCTGCACACTCAGGCAGGCCTGGCATTCTCCAGGGGACCCCGTGTGCATCAAGCTGAAAACAGCCAGAATCTCCAGTGGAGCCCGCTTTCCAGACACCATGGGGCCCCAAGCTCTTCCACTAGGACACCTCACCAGAGTTTCACAGGCCCCATGGGATAGCAATGCCTGTACTTCTCCTGATCTTGACTTGAGCAAACACATAATAATTAGTAGGAGTTTGGAATACCTTTAAATTAATTCATAACAGCATTTACACACATTTCTTGGGATACGGGGTGGAAGTATCTGCTGGAGTAATTTGCCCCAACTCCTTGCAAAACTCCCCCTGCCAGACCCTACCAGGATCTAAGTGGGGGCAGGGGTGGGGAGGGCAGGGAGATTTGTGATTGTTTTTTGTTTTCTTAAGAATAGCAGATTATCCCTTTAAAACATAATGAGTTTAAGCCTCAGTGACATCTGCAGAGAATGTTCTGTGTTCGGCTACTGTCACTCAAGGGTGGTGGCCTGCTCCATATGTGGAGAGTAGCCCTTCACCCCTGTTTCTTGGCTGCGTTAAGGGGCAAGGGTACATCGCTGTCATTTTTGATACTGGAATTTTCGATTTGTGTCGAATTTTCTATTTCTATCACCTGTCCCGATACTTGGCACAAAGAAGACTTTAGAGAAGCTCAATTAAACAGGCAATTTAAAAACAACTGTCAACAGAGAGTCCCACACATGGTTTGGACAACATCCCTTATACCCGAAACAGGAGAGCCATCAAGGGGCAGGAGCGGTCACTTGCACACCCCCAAGACGAAGGGCCACACTCTGACAGCTCTGCCTCCTCTTTCTCCTGGCCTCCCATGGGTGGGCTGGGATGCCCCATTGAGTTTGTGAGCCAGCAAGAGGGAGGAGGGGGGAGGAGGGAGAAGGAGGGGCGGGGGAAGAAGCCAAGTCTCTTCGAATCAGGAAAATACCCATCTGATTTCAAAGTCACCCGGCCTTCCTGCTACTCTGAAAAGTGAGACACACGCAGAGCTTGGATATGGCCAACTCAAGCCGACCACCCCACAGAGATTCCTGGCCGGATGATTTCCCGTTCCTTCCCCTAGACAACAGACTTACCCACAACACACTCACACGCACACCCAGAAGAGCCACAAAATCAAATCCAGGGAGGCACTGAGGGTGATCGGCAGGCACAGGCGGCCAGAATCCCAGCACACGGATTCACGTCCCGTGCCCTCACTTTCTATGCCTCCGCAGCCATGGGGAAGCCACCCTGTGCGTCTCAAGCTGTTCTGTCCTTGTTGGTCCAGAGGGATGGTAACGCCCACCCTGCCTTGCTCACAGGGAGGAGTCCGGGGCAGGTGACATGAAGGTGTTTTGAAAACACACAGAGCACACACAAACGTTCAGTATGGTGACACGTGGCAGGGGACAGGCCACGGGCTGGCACTCACTCCCCACTGCGAGGCCAATTCTTCCCTCTCTGCAGCACCCAGGGATCGAATGACTGAGCTGTCATGTGACAAGTGACAGCTTCTCCATACACTGCAGCGTCCAGGGAAAATCGTACTCATTGCAATTCGGGGCTCTTATGAACAACAAAAAATATACAGTCGTGGAGAATACAGTCTGGTGCAGCGGATGCTTACGTTTTAACCACCTCTTGCTAGCCCTACCTAACAGGGTCCCAGTTTCCCTCTGGGGAGTTTCCTCTCCCATTCTGCTTTACAAACAGCGCTGAGAGAAGTTACCATGCTGCGAAGGCAACGCTGCCCGCTCCTGCTCCAGTCTCTTCCAAAGTGCGAGGCGGGGCCAAGGCAGAGTGTTCACAAGCTCAGGTCATGATGAAAATTTCCAAAGACAAGACACACTACCCACAGTTACCTCCTTCAACTCTGATGCCCCCATTCTAAAAGAAAATGCTGGGGAAGTGGGAGCTACCGGAATGCTGTGGTTACATCTATCTATATGGTCCAGGAGTATCCAAGACAGCTGTGTTGCCGCCGGTTGTAATGGTGTTGGAATGGCTTCCAGGAGCAATTCATTTGGAAATAAATCATCCAGTGTCAGGACAGGGTGAGTGGGGCCAGACAAGCACAGCATGATAGGGGCGGCCTGAGGGTAGGAGAAGCACAGTTGGAAAGGATCAAAGCCAGAAGCCAGTCCATGGAAAATTCTTCCGTAGAATTTTTATCACTTATCAAGTCATTTATCAATTTTTATCATCCATCAAATGCAATTACAGGCAAGTTTCCAAAATTTAACTAGGCAAAAGTTCATACTAGCAGTAACAACTTGTAAATCGCTACAACAATGGCAATGACAGAGCTGGACCCTAAACTCTGTTGTTGTTTCCTCACCTGAAAATGCTACTGCAAAACCACTAGCAGAGGAAGAGACAATCTATGAATATACAGATTTTTGTTAAAAAAAAAAAAAAAGAAAAAAGAAAAGAAAAAAGATATGAAGGTGGATCAGGCAATTAATTCACATTTTCCCAGACCATGAAGTTTGTGATCGTTGTCAACTTTAAGAAAATTAGTAAGTAGTGACTCCAGGCCCCTCAAATCCTAGCGAGGGTCATTCCTGGTGGGAATACTGCCAAGTGAGGGGTGACCAAAACGCTGCATGGCTTGTCCCCTGGTCCAACCTGGAGGTGGGCACATGGACCCCAACTCAACCAATTAGCTACTCTGCCTATGCACACACACTCACTTTCACACATACTTTGAATCTTGAACTACCAACACTAGAACAGAAATGTGTCTTAAGTATCTTCTGCGGCTGTGATGGTGTCCAGGCCACCAGTGGCAGTCGTTCCTGACACAGCAAATGTTGCTGTGTTCCCTGTTTTTTGTTTCTCATCTCTGCAAAGCTTCCTTGGTTCCTGCTGCTCCTGCACGACAAGCCTCCTTGCCCTCCATCAGTTCCCATGGGCTCCAACAACTCTAATAAACCCTGTGAGCTTCAGTTAGCCAGAACCGATTTTTGCAGTTTGTTGTTGGCTAAATCCAATCTAACCATCCAGTGTTTTCATGTGCAAGGCAGATACCTTTTTTTTTTTTTGGTCACTGGAGAAACAAAGCTGAACTGGTCAACTCTAGCCCTGGTAGCACGAAGCCCAACATACTGGCTTTCCCACATCACGTACCTAACATTTGATGAATAAGAAATTCATGAACAAAAGGATTGTACCATATGGCTTTATGATCATTTGTGTCTACAATATTAAATTAGTACAATTAATTATAGTTAAATTCTGCCAAGCAACATTTTTGTGTTTTTATATGGTTTGGTTATGTTTTGATATTGTCTGATTTGCAGGCTCCTTCTTTTCCCTGGCGAGTGAAATCTCTTTGCTTACTACTTAATGCCCCACAACAAAAAGTGAATTCTGACTTTTGTTTTCAATTGGAAAGGAGAGGTTGAGTTGGAAACTGGGGTAATATGAATGCGGCATCCTTCTCTGATTATTGACAGAAAAAGCATTTTACAACCTTTAAAAGACAATAAAAGAGGGATTTCACAAACAATATAGGATGCTGGACCAACTAAGAGTAATATTTCCTGGGGCTTGTCACTAAATTGGAGATTTTTCCAAAGAACATCCAAAGCACTAGTGAATACATAAGCATCTTATTTAAAACTATAGGAAAATATAATACTGACCTAACCACTGAATTTAGACTTGTTTGTGATGAAAGACTTAGTCTTTTGTTAATTGTTAATATAAAACATTTTGCTCTTCCTAAGTCAGCACATATTTGAAGGAAAGACCAACAATTGCCTTTGGCATCACTTCCCTCGGTTGTCCCAGCTCCGCGCTAACAAGCACAGTTTTTAATTTAACTTCCCTTGTGAAATGGCTCACTTTTTTAAAGAGAAAAACAGGGCAAGAAGACTTCATCTCCAATGGAAGAGCCACTGCCAGAGGTGGGGCCTTTCTGGTTCACAATTTCTCTCTGGCTTGCCTTCCCCCTCGCCAGCTGACTTGGTTGGCCTCAAACAAATTTCAACACAGTTGAGGGGCATCAGAACACTTGTATGGCTCTGGCCACAACCGCTGCAATAACCAGGCTCCTGTGAGTCAGTTGCCACCTAGTGTATAACCTTTGTTAACTTGCACCCCATGCCTGCATCTTTGTCTTGGTAACCCAACTAGTACACTAAACCCTCTAGAACCCAAATCCTGGCTAACGCATAAGTGTTCAGTGCTACCTCTGACAATGGGCTAGTGATGACAGTGATGATGATTAGTTACTATTATCTCTGTCCCCAGTGTGGATAGGGCCCATGACTTCATTTTAAACTGTAACACTTCTTGTGCCAAATTCTTCCTGCATTATAACTACCACCTACTGTGTACACACAGGTTATTCTGCACCTGTTCTGGATATTCTGTTCTGCCTGCAACTATGAATGTCTTTTAAGACCCCATCTAGAGCCAAATAAGTCCTGTGGCACATTTCTGAGTCACTGGGTTAGTCTAGTTCCAAGTCTCAGCTGTACTGCCTAGTAGGGTTTGCATTTGGTGGGGCATGCCCTGACCACGACTTGATAATGAAGGGGGTGGAGTGGGAAGATGTAATAACCCAGTCTTCACCTGTTTGACTGAGCTATGTGCCAGGCTCTGTGCCAGGTGCAGGACTACAAAGACGAGGATGACGTGGGCCTGCCCATGACACAAAGAACAGTTTGGTGAGGAGACAGATATCTCAAAAGACTATCACAAAACAACCCAGAAGTGCTATAAACAATATTCTCAGCATTTTACAGAACACTGATGAGTAGCCCAAAGCCATCTGGGTGGGAAACCGGGCTTCCTGAGGAAAGTGATATCGGAGCCACGTCAAAGAATAAGTAGAACTTAGCCATGAGGAGAAGAGGGGAGTAGGAATCATCACAGAATACCCCAAATTTATAACAGAAACTAACCTTTACCAAGTGCCCCTGCACCAAGATTTTGCCTATGTAATCTCATTGACCTCACACAACCACCTTATAGAGTACATACGGTCAACTTCATTCTTCTGATTAGGAAAAGCAAGCAGGAAAAGGTTAACTTGACAAGGTGCCACAGCTATGCAAAATGGTGGTGACACAATGCACCCTAATCTGAGTAACTCTCAGACCAACACAATTTCTATTGTACCTACGACCTTCATAGAACCACACTCTTGTGATAAAGGTCACAAGAAGCTCTTTGTGCATTTAATCAAGTATGCAATGTGCCTAGATGTTCCTTGTTGTCCTCAAACACAATGTATCCTTTTCCTCATTTTGGCCACCAAAAGATTCACAAAGGGAACAGAAATCAAGATTGTCATCCCCTCCTCTCAGTATCTCCCCATCAGAGTAACCCTAACTCACCGCTTCTCAACCGTCCTGTTATCTGAGTGCCACGTTCCCAGCAGCTTTTGCTGGCAAGGACAGCTAAGCCCTCCATCTGCTGCACTGCCCTGAGGCCTCATCTTGTGCTGAGAGGAGGGGCCCCAGCGGGCTTCTCCCCAGCAGGTGCACACGCACTCTGGCACCCTGGCACTGGGCCATGCAACCTTTCCCCAGCTGCCTTTCCCTACCAAAGGCGAAGCATGCAGACTTCAGGCTCATCAGAGAACGGAAACACCTTCTGGGGCTCTGGACACAAGGCACCCTCAAACAAACATCACCCAGGAAACTGATACAGAAAACAGAGCTGGAACCTCCCCCTCACCCTTCGGTACAAGAAAAGCATTGAGCAAGAGATGGGATAGCAGTTTTACAAGCGAGGAAGTATGAGGCTAATCTGTTCCCAAACAAAGCACCAAAGAGAAGATATCTGAAGGACGTACAGTCTAAAGTTTCAGCAGAGGATGGGAGACTGGGCACGTCCTAATATTTCGACAGATGTGTCTTAGTTTAAGGATAGCGCACATAAAAACTTTCCTTTTACCAAATTTATCTTTGGTAAACTAATTTCCCAGTCGGTGCCCTTGGAGAAATCTGTGTTAACTATTTGATAGTTCCCAATAAGAAAGGATACCTGGGCAAACATATGGTCCATGATATCCAAAGGAAATCTGAACCGCTTTTCTGCTATTGAGCAACATAAACCAGGCTGAAATTACTAAAATGGGGAGCAGCATGGTTACTACTAAGACCCGGGCTTTTGAAGACAGTGGAAAAAACCCAGACATTAAACCTAATCTCCAGTCCCATAATTGCTATTTTAACATTAACGGAACCTCCAGACATCAAGCACAGTGCAAACGTCCCAAGCAGTGAGCATTTCACGATTTCAACGCCAATGACCTGATCTCAGATGCACATTGGTGCAGTTGAGTCTGGTCACAGTCATAGAGCATCATGTTACTTCCAAAGCTTTCAACTCTGAAATTCTCATTTTGGGCCTCACTTCCCGCCACACCATTCCCCCTGCCTCGAGTGGCCTCACAACCCAGATCTGGCTCTCACCAAGGCCCCCAGCCGACAACTCGCTGCAGGTCACCCCTGTCTTCCCACCCAAACTAGGTCCTCAGGGCTATCAGGCCTAGGGTTGTCCTGTCTAATACAGCAGCCACTAGCCACACATGACTATGTAAACTTAAATCAATGAGAAGTAAACATATGCCAATGCTCATAGCAGCATTATCCACAACAGCCAAAAGGTGAAAGCCACCCATGTGTCCTCTGACAGATGAGTGGATAAACAGAGTGTAGTCCATCCATACACTGGAATATTATACAGCCTTAAAAAGGAAGGAAATTCTGACGCATGCTATGACATGGATGAAACTTGTGCTAAGCCAGACGCAAAAGGACAAATACCATATGATCCCACATATAAAAGGTCCCTAGAGTGTCAAAATCATAGAGAGAGAAAGTAGAACGTTGGTTGCTGGGGCTGTGGGGAGGGAAGAATAGGGAGTTTGTGTTTAATGGGGCAGTTTTCTGTTTGGTATGATGAAAAAGTTCTGCAGATGGATCGTGGTGAGGATTGCACAATGTAATGAATATTTAATGCTGTTGAACAGTGTACTTAGAAATGGTTATGATGGTAAATTCTGTTTTATGTATTTTACCACAATAAAAAAAATTGGGGGGCGGGGGGCAGTAGAGAGAGGAAACCTATCTGTAAGAGCACATTTTTCAATATGCCCAAACAAGAATATCAGGACCTTTTAATTGCTAATGCACGTAGATCACTCAAGACCACAGATGGCTCAAAGGTAAAAACCAAGATCCCTTTGGATCCCTCCCTGCCCGATGCATTGTGCTTTGCTCACAGTAAAAGCACTCAGTGATACTGGCTACATGGCAACAAGTACCAAATGATTACATGAGAGGTCTTTGGTAACTCTGAAAGGAAATTAGTGGATTGACCTTACAGTAATTGCTTCAAGACTTAAAAAGAAGGATTGGTAACTTAACGGCCTGGAAATCTTTCTTGGCGCATTCAAAACAAGAGAAAGCCTTTTGTAAACGCTTTGCACCTGTCTCACCACTGAAAGAGGGATTAAAGCCACTGCCTTGGTGCGAGAGGAGAAAATGTCTCTATGATAAAAGTCAAATTAGCAATATTTGACCTCCGGGTAATTTCACTCTGCAGCCCAGCTCCCCTTCTGCTGAGGTTAAAGGCACAACAGTGGCCAGGAGACAGCCCAATTTAAGAGTAACATGCGTCTAGTCTTATCAGAATTCACTGTTTTGATTTTATAGCAAAGTCAATGAGGCCCTTGGATTCTGTGGAAATTACCTCATAATTATTACCTGTGCAAGACAAATGTAACTTATTTAACTTTACAGGGCATTGCCAGTAAGACATGAATACTACATGATAAAAGTGCTCAATTTTGGCCAGGCACAATGGCTCACTCCTGTAATCCCAGCACTTTCGGAGGCCAAGGCAGGCAGATCACAAGGTCAAGAGATCGAGACCATGCTGGCCCACATGGTGAAACCTCATCTCTACTAAAAAATACAAAAATTAGCTGGGCATCGTGGTGCATGCCTGTAGTCCCAGCTACTCCGGAGGCTGACGCAGAAGAATCGCTTGAACCCGGGAGGTGGAGGTTGCAGTGAGCCGAGATCACGCCACTGCATTCCAGCCTGGTGACAGAGCAAGACTCCATCTAAAAAAAAAAAAAAATGCTCAATTCTGATGCTGGGGCAAACAAGAATTATCCAAGACACTTAAAATTGGACAGCTTTTTGTAATGGCCCAATAATAACGACTGTAATGCAGCAGCTTGTAAGGTACTTTAAAAAACAGAAAGGATATGTACTGAGGTTATCACAGGACAGAAGACTGCCTATGCCTGCTCACTTCAAATGGCCAGAGTTCATTTGAAACACAGCACAACCGTGTGCTTCTAGTGTTAAAATTCATGTGCCGCAGCCCACATTAGTGGATTCAGGCTGATCGATTTCAAACCATTCTGATGGCAAAGGGTGAATCATTTGAAAATGTCTTGGGAATATGATACAGAACCAAAAATGCTCATTCCCTACCTCTAGTTTCACCAATCCTCATACCAGCACTATCTATTGAAGGATTTGTTAAATGTCACTCTGTTCCTCGTATGCACACTAATTCCATTTTAAAAACTCACTCTATACACTCTTTTCAGAGTAATCAAGTAGAGAGGTAGTCCTACAGACTCAACTTTAAAGACTAGGATGTTTATACCCAGACAAGTAAAATATAAAGGGCACTGTCCTTTAACATTAATTTTGACAAGACATCAGAGCCAGATTTGATCATTTGGATATAATTAAAGAGTGCAAGGTTATTTTCACAAAACCAGAAAGACTTCTCTGATAGAATTCATCATCGCATCTTTAGAAGTTTGTGCTGACTCTCACATCAGGGGGGCTGCGTGTTTACAAACACACCCGAAGACTTTCACGATCAGGTATGCAGGGGAGACCTCAGGCCAGTGTGCCCAGGAGGTAGAATTCAGACACATTTCCAGTTAAAACTCTGGAGGCAAAAAAGTTTATTCCTCTGCACACTCGCAAGCCTGGCTGCAAGCCACACACACTCTTCACCTCCATTTCCTTCCCTCTATAAACAGAACCACATCTGTGCACGATGATTTCGTTTCCTTACAGGGGACTGGAAGCTTCCTCTCTGTCTCTCAAATAATGACAAAAATAACATTACTCAGGCATGCACAGCAGGCAAAGCCTTCTTGACAATTAGGATTTCAGAGCTTCTTTTTAGGGGAAAAGGGAGTAAGAATTCAAGTGGGATGGCTTCTGGAAGCCTGGGTCTGCACAGATCCCAAGCTGTGAAAAGACAGAAGCCCATGTGTCTGGCCTCTTTAAAAAAAAAGAGTAATATAAAAAGAATAATAAAAGTACTTACTGTTGACCGGATGCTCACCAAGCTCTGTTCTAAGCACTTTAACATGAACCAGCTTTTAAAATAATTCCACTTACACAAGCTACCTCAAGTTGTGAAATTCAAAGAAGCAGGGAGTGGAATAGTGGTTGCCAGGAGCTGGAGGGAGGAGAAACAGGGAGGAGTTGTTCAGAGGGTACATTGTTTCCATCCCGCAAATGAAAAGAGTCCTGGAGATGCTGGACAACTGCAGCTGACAATGCCTACACTCAGAGAGGGGGGAAGAGGGGAGATCTCATGTGGGACTTTTTTTAACCAGAATTTGTAAAATGCTGTAACAATATCCTATTAAGGGAGGTACCAACATCCGTCCCCAGTAAACACTGGCAGCCAAGAATCAAACCAAGGGACTGACAGATAACCCCAATCCTGAGTCTACTTTAGTGAAAAACGAGAAAAGGAAAATACTCAACACTGTATTTTTTTTTTAAATTAGGGTATTAAGAACTGTTGAATTAGGCACTTAAATGGGTGTTTGGTATGTGAATCATATCTCTATAAACCTTTTTTTAAAAAAAAGTCCACAATAGCTAAGAACAGGTGCATCTTATTATATATAAGCCACACTGAAATACGATGAGCACGAAAACAAATGTACACAGAAAGCACATAAAGAACCCTATACGAATAATACGTGGCCACTAAATAACAACTGTATGTCAATGAGTAAAAAATCATCACTTAAATGATGAAAGAAATTCAGATGACAGGAGCCTCACAAACCCAGTTTTCTGAAGACATTATTTATACTCATTAGGATGCCTGCACAGATGTTGCTGTTGATATGAAACAGACATTGTAGACACAGTGAAAGGGAGAAAAATGGCTGTCCACCATTTTTCACCTCCACATCTCTCTGGCTAGTCTTTAGTGGGATCAGACAGCAAAGCAGGAAAAGACAATTTGATACAACACCGACCCGACCTGCAGGCTCCTGGGCAACCCTTCTCCTCGCCTGCCTCCCTCCCTTGCTCCCGCATGGTTCTGGGTTCCTCCCTCGGAGCTCAGCACTGCCCAAGCACTGGGCACGGCAAGCCGGTGCTTCACTGTCACCACCCCTACCAGCTCCTGAGCTCCTGGAGCAAGGTCTCTCCAGGGTGCAAGCATCCCTGGCTCTGCAGAGCCTTCATGGCACCTATGGGAGCCCCATTTAACCACAGCCCAAGGAAGTCCACCAGCTGCTTCCCCTTTCGAAGGAGCCCGGAGCAGCACACCCAGCAGAGGTAGTGTCCTGGTCTCCATTTCTCGTAACTTGATCATGCTGGCCTGGTAAGCTAGCATCCCTGACCTCCACATTTTCAAAACACTGCACGAATACCCACCATCACTGTGCCTTTCTTTACTTGGGGTCTGCTGTCTGCGATAGGTCCCTCTTTGCCTTGGAAATTGTCCTGCCTTCACTTCTCCACAAAGAAAAGGCTGGGAATGTCTCAGGAGCATTTGAAAACTGCATTTAAGTTTCTCTTTCATGGAGGGTTTTCACTCAGAAGGAAACCAAAACTTCCCCAAAGGTAAAATATTTTCCTAAGTTATCTCCCTACCATCAGAACACTTCTTTGAACTGCAGCATTATGTTTATGGAATTTTGTGTAGCCACAAGTAAGGACTAGAAGAAACGTTTTGAAAAAGTGGGGAGGGGGAGGAAGGAAGAGAATGTATGATGAAATTGGAGAGTAGAGAAAAGCAGGCCGAAGGGTGCGGAAAGCAAGCATTCACGCACATCTTCAACAGACAGCTGTGCTAGGAGTTCGCGCTCGTCTATGGGCTGAATTATGGGCTGTTCACACCTGATGCTGCTTTCAACTCCCTTCCTTTTACCTCTTACCCTCACAGTTTTTGTTTATAACAACTTTACTGAGATATAATTCACATACCATGAAATTCACTCTTTCAAAATGTACAATTCAGTGGTTTTTAATACATTCAGAATTTTGCAACCGCTGTCTAATTCCAGAACACTTTCATCACTTCCAGAAGAAACCCTGTGCTGGCTAGCAGTCACCCCACACTGCCCGTCCCCAGCCCTGGCAAGCAGGAACCCACTTTCTGCCTCTATGGATTTTCCTGTTCTGGACATTAGGCATATTACATCCCTACTCCCAACTCATATGCTGAAGCCTTAAGCCCCAGGACCTCAGAATGTGACTGTTCATTTGGAGTTAGGGCCATTCAAGAGGTAACTAAGGTAAAATGAGGTCATTAGGACGGGCCCTAATCCAACAGGACTAGAGATGAGGGGACACAGACACACACAGAGGGATGACCTTGTTAGGACCCAGGGAGAAGACAGTATCTACAAGCCCAGGAGAGAGGCCTAGGGAGGAACCAACCCTGCTGACCCCTCGATCTGGGACTTAGAACCTCCAGGACTGTGGGAGAATTACGGGCTGCTGTTACAGCCGCCCGGCACGTGGTGCTGCGTTAGGGCAGCCCAGGAGACTAAGGCAAGCCCGCGGGCCCAGTGCCAGGCCCGTGGGAGGCGTGGGAATGCTAAGCAAAAGGATTCCCTCTCCAATTCCTGGAGAGAGAGCACAAGGAGTGAGGCTCATGGGCTTGCCCCCTAACCGCTACGTCCCAACCCTTTGTCCCTTATTAAGAGTGTTTAATGTGTTTGGATAGAATTCCTCTAGGGTAAAAATGCTTCACCCCCAATGTTAAGATATAGAATTGTAATTTTACCCTCCCTCACCCCTCCCTTACAAATCAGTTAACGCTCAGATGTCCAGGGTGGGGCAGAAATCTGTTAATTGACATAAAAGAAATGCAGCCTTCGCTTCCTGGGGCAGGGGCTCCCAGTGCAGGCTTGGACAGAGATCCACATGCAGACTAAATGTCCACCCAAAGCTCCAGAAGCATGTGCGCAGCTCAGGAGGCCACTGCACGAACCTTTCAGCATGGCCAGATCTACTTCTCCTCCCCTCCCACCCCACAGACAGCACTGATTTTAAAAGACGTGCTCTTGCGCCCCAGTGTGGTGGCTCACACCTGTAATCCCAGCACTTTGGGAGGCCAAGGAGGGTGTGGATCATTTAAGGTCAGGAATTCGAGACCAGCCTGGCCAACATGGCGAAACCCCACCTCTACTAAAAATACAAAAATTAGCCGGGTGGTAGTGGTGCGCGCCCATAATCCCAGCTACTAGGGGGACTGAGGCAGGAGAATCACTTGAACCCAGGAGGTGGAGGTTGCGGTGAGCTGAGATAGTGCCACTGTACTCCAGTCTGGGCGACAGAATGAGACCGTGTCTCAAAAAGAAAAAAAAAAGAGCCTCTCATTATGTTGCCCAGGCTGGTCTCGAACTCCTGGACTCAAGGGATCCTCCCGCCTCGGCCTCCCAAAGTGCTGGTATTACAGACATGAGCCACAGCGCCCCGCACAGATCTACTCTTCTTAAATAAGCGGAGATGCTTTTTATTTGTGTCTTTTTGTTGTCGTTGTTATTTTCTCTCAATTATTTAGAATGTACAAAATATTCGTGGTATTCAAGGATCAGGTAACAGCTTTACAAACCAGAAATGAGCGATTATTGACATTTAATCAACCAAGAAATATTTATGAAATATAAGGCAAAAAAACCCCACCACCAACACACACCAACACACACACACACACACACACACACACACACACACACACACACACACCCTCCAGGTTCTTAGTTCAAAAAAGTACCTAGAAATAAGGAAAAATGTAAATTGTTCTGAAGCATGCAAAGTTCATCCTGTCATGAATGAAAGGAACTCTCCCTCTCCCCTCCCTCTCTCCCTGTCTCTCCCTCTCCCTGACTCATTTACTGTGTGAGTTTCTTAAATTCGTGTTAGGGAATGCAGGGAATTTAAGCACTAAGCATACCCATCTCCCACTAACTCCACCCTCCCACCCAGGCCTCCCCCTTTTTAACACTCCCCACCTCTGCACAAAAGGTCCTGATCCTTCTCTATTCAGTTGCATTCTCTTAATGCAATGCACCCGGCACAAGCACACATCCCGCTCAAGGGTTAGCTGCTGACGGAGGGGCGGGGCTTTACCAGCGGCAGATAAGATGCTTTGGCAGGGAGCCTCTTTGCAGCCTCACACGTGATGCTCGGTCCATTTTTTTAAAGGGGGAGGACTACGTTTCATTGAACACATCTAAAAATGTAATGGAGGGAGGGAGGAATTAAAGTCAATGGGTAAAACGTGCCATTTAAAAGTATATGTATTCTCGGGAAAAAATCCAGAAACATTTTCTTTCCGTTATATTTTAAGATTTCTTGGGTTGACTTCAACACAGATAAATGAACATTTGTGATGAAAAGATAAGTATAGTTTCTTAAAATTGAGAAGTCAAGGGGATTTTCTCACCTTATTTTAAAAGAAACATGTAAATATTTTAGCGGAAGTAGAGAGGAAAAAGGAAACATGCAGGGCTTTTTTAAAAGAGCACCTTTTTTTACAGCTTTAAAGCCACAGATAATTTGAGAACATAAAAATGTGTGATGTGGTCTGTTCATTAAAAAGTAAGTGCCAGTATAAATTGAATTTTAAACTATCATTTAGCCAGACAATAATTTCAAATTTAATAACTAAATTGATTTTAATTGCTTTTAAATGGTCCTGGCAAAATCTGAGCAAGCTCTTCATTTCTGCCAATTCATTAGAAGCAGGCAAACTTGAATACAGAAGGAAAAAATCAAATCATTATAATTAAACAAAATTTTCTGCATTCAGTATCCTCTCCAATGTCAAGCAGACCTAGAAGCTACTGACTCTAACAAAAGCAAAGGAGACAGATGGGAGAATGGACCCCCTCGTGACATTAAAATGCCACCTGGCTTATAAATGCACGTTCGTTTTGGAAGACATCAACAATAACAGGGCTCTCCTGTTTGTTTTTTTAAATCGTCTTTTTAGGTCTTCTAAAACTAGAGGAGCTCAGAAGTGCTTTCCCCACATTCATCAGGTATTCTATTGTGGGTTTTCTTTACTCCACCACTCAGCGTATTTCTAGATATTAACCCATTCCTCCATGCATCTGCCATGGAGGTTTCTTTCTCTCTTTCTATCTCTCTCTTTCTTTCTTTGAGACAGGGTCTTGCTCTGTGGTCCAGGCTGGAGTGCCATGGTGCAATCACAGCTCACTGCAGCCTCAACCTCCCAGGCTCCCGCCTCAGCCTCCTGAGTAGCTGGGACCACAGGTGTGCGCCACCATACCTGGTCATTTTTTTTTTTTTTTTTTGGTAGAGACAGGGTCTCCTTATGTTGCCCAGGCTGGTCTCCAACTCTTGGCCTCAAGCGATCCTTCCACCTTGGCATTCCACAGTGCTGGGGTTACAGGCATGAGTCACTGCGCCCAACCATGCCATGGAGGTTTCCTTGAAGTTTTTACCCTGAGCCTCATGACCCCCCATGTCTACATTATTCTTACTCCCAAACAACATCAGAAACAAGGCGCACAGCTGCTGAAGGCTGCTTGGGCCTGGAAACCAGTCTCTACCTGGCTGTGCCATGCCTGCCTTCCTGCACCCACATCTGGGGTCTGAATGCATTCCACACAATGTCTGCAACCCCTCCTTTAGCACGTCTGAAATTCAGCATTCCAGGCAACTGCGGAGATGAGGCCATCATCCCTCAGGACTGCCTTTAACTCCTGGATCCAAGAAAACTGTGGCAACCACAAAGACCAGAGATAACAGAGGACCGGCAAGAGAGTAAACATCTTGGACCTTGAGGGCCATGCCATCTCTGCTGCAACCCACCCAAGTCTGCCCTGGTGGCACACTAAAGCAGCCACAGAGGACACAGAAAGCAATGGGCATGGCTATGTCCCAATAAAGCTGGATTTTCAAATATGGGCCGTGGTTCACACAGACCTAGAGCCTGATCAAAACGTTACCATAGGCACTTCCTTTGTGATTTAATTTTAACAAGCCATATGCTAATTTTGAAATTGTTTTCCAAAAAACCCAAACAAAGCAGGAAAAAAAAAATCAGAAAACTTTTCCACTCCGTATTTTTCAGTGCTGGTTTCCAGAACAGCCAACAACAGGTGGGATAGAATTTGGTGTCGCGGATATAGCAGTGTGTGGCCAAGATTCCCGTTCAGGGCTTCCCCCCATCTCCAGCTGCCACCCTCACCCAAAGCCAGGCCCCAGTGAATGGGCAATGTGGACCTTTACAAAGGCCTGGGCCCCTTGACTTGAGTCAGGACAAGCCGAGACCCAGAGCACCCATGGGTTCAGCTAAAGACTCTGTGACCCCGCCCCAGTCCACTCCTCCCAATCCCCAAAGCAGCACCCCCCGCCCCCACTGACCCCACCCCCTCCCCCCGCAAGCTCCTGCACTCCCCAGACTCTGATCCTGAGCCTCTCTCCCAAGATCCTCAGCACTGTGGCTTCCCAGGAAACCCATGTGCAGCTGCGGGTCACCTGCCCAGGGGCCCAGAGTGGGAACTAGGCAAAGAGGCTGGGGACGTCTGGAAAGGCAGGCCCGGGTACCATACTGAACTGTCCCTCTTCATCTGACAGTCGTTTCTATTTCAGAGACACTTCCTTCCAAACGCCAATGCCTCACAGTCTCTATTCCTGTTCAGGGCCTCGGGAGAACTCCTCGCTCTTCAAATGGGAAGTGAAGTTACCTGTGTTCCTAAGACCCCCTGCATATAGGACAATTCCTCGGAAATGAACTGAGCTGCAAATGTCCTGACACAGGCTACAACATGGGAGAACCTCAAGGACATTATGCTAAGTGAAAAAAGCCAGACACAAAAGGACAAACAGAGCATGACTCCACTGACATGAGGCACCTCAGACTAGTCAAATCCACAGACACAGAAAATAGAACGGTGGGTGCCAGGGGCTGCGGGGGAAGGGAGAATGGGGAGTTACTGTTTCATGGGGACCAGGTTTCGGGTTGGGATAATGAAAAATTTCTGAGGCTGGGCACGGTGGCTCCCACCTGTAATCCCAACACTTTGGGAGGCAGGAGTGGGTGGAATGCTTGAGGCCAGGAGTTTGATGCCAGCCTGGGCAACCTAAGGAGACCACGTCTCTACAGAAAAGTTAAAAAATCAGCCTGGCGTGGTGATGCGCACCTGTGGTCCCAGCTACTCGGGAGGCTGACATGGGAGGATCGTTAAGGCTGTAGGGAGCCGTGATGCACTCCAGCCTGAGCAACAGAGCAAGACCCTGCTCCACTCCTCCACCAAGAAAAAGAAAAAGTTTGGGAGTTATGAATGGCGGTGATGGTGGCGGAACAGTGTGAATATGGGATCCCAGCACCTCAGTGCCCATAAATAAACACACTCAGTCACTCACATGTTGTCAATGGCTGCTTTTGCCATATAACACCCAGAGACTACAGGGTTTAAAAACCACAAAATATTTATTATCTGGCCATTGACAACAAAAGGTTTGCCGACCTCTAACAAAAACAAACCAAAATATGGGGTGGAGCAAGAAAGCAGAGAAGATAAGGTTCCACCGATCAACCCCCACCCCAAGGACACCAATTTAACAACTATATACATACACACAAATAAATAAACCAAAATATCCCAAACCTTTTTTTTTAACGCACATTTAGGGTCAGTGCCTAAATACGGCCTAGAGAGATTATGGTGAATCACTTAAAAAAAGGTCGTACTACAATAAATACAACAGAGACGAGACCCCTATAGGAATTTTCCTCAAAGGAATCTGTAGGGCAAACGGGCATCTTGTCCTTCTCTCTCAAGAGTCCCTCTCCCACACTGGAAATAAACTCCCGTGGTGAGTAGAGACAGCTGGCTTCTCCTGAGACGCTGCTGAGCTGCAGCTACAGTCACTCCTCACACTGCGCCCCCTCTCGGCCCACCCTACACCAACGTGGGCTAGGGAAGCAAAGGGCTTTGGGGGTGGACAGGTCAGGACCTCCTTTGTCCTGTGTGATCCACGGCGATCCTCCTTTCCCCTGTGCGATCTCCCTGCCCACGCCTGGCTCATCTCAAATCCCACGCAATCTCCAAGCCTCAGCTTCCCAGTGGTTCCGTGTGGCGGGGCCTTTCTAAATGCACAGGGGAGGGCGCTCCCCATCACAATTCCCATGACAGGGGACTGACTCCCCCCTTTGGTGTGTCTGTGGCTGCTTTCCAGTATCTGCCTCCCCACAAGTCTATCAACTCCAGGAGGGCAGAAAGCAACTTTCCCCAACGCGACTACCTCTGAGCATGGACCTGCACAGGGGAAGCTGCTGACACATGCTTACAGAATATTCTATGAAATTCAAAAGTCAGTGGCCATAAATGGAGTTTTATTGGAATACAGCCACATTTGTTTGTTTATGCAATGTGCAGGGCTGCCTTCTCACAATGTGGCTGAGTTGCAGAGGTGAATAGTTGCCAAGACTGGCCCCAAAATCCTAAAATCCATACTCTCTGGTCCCTTACAGAAAAAGGGTACCCACCTTGCTGCAGAAGAAAAACCACAGGGCTTAGAACCGAAAAATTACATCTTGGCACAAGCTCTGCTTCCCAGGGACCCCGGGCAAGTCGTTTCACCTCCACTTCTCCGAAAGGAAAAGACCACACCAGAGTCATCAACATCTCTCTCAACTTAACACTCCAGTTCACTCTCAGATCAGCTCAGAGGACTTGAGAGCAGAATGCCAAAAACACAGGCTTCATCTAGAAAAGATTATGCGCAATCTATTCTGCTCATTTAGGTAACAGGCAAATTTTATCTACTTTTGAACTCATCTCCACCTCCGGCCCCAAAATAAGTAAGGAGGAATTCAGTAAAGCTCAGAGAGCCAGACTTCACTGAGTCAACCAGGTATTACAAAGAGGCTGTGTTTTTTTTTCTCTCTCTCTCTTTTCTCTCTCTCTCCCCTCCCCCGCCCGTCTCTCCTCTCTCTCACACACACACTCACACACATACACACATGCACAGACGTTCTCTCTCTCACACAGACCCCTTCATCTTGAACTATAGGTGCAGCTGCACGCATTAGTCTTATTTCTGACACAGAAAGAAACAAGACTAGAAACAAAAATGAGGCAGGAACGTTCCCGGACACAAGAATAGCGCTAGATGCTTCAGCACTCAAGCCTTTCAGGCAAAAAGAGGAAAGAAAACCACATCGAAGGCATCTAACACTCCTAATAGTAGTATTAGGGGTTTTTTTTTTAAACACAAAATCTCTTTGGGAAAAAATTATTTTCTCTGCAAAATAGAGGAAAGTGCCTGTCCAAAAATGTAATTTACATAAACATTTAAATTCTGGCCAAGTTGGTATTGTTTTATGTGTCACATATGCTTAAATACCAATGCACATTTATATTACAGCTGAAGTGAGTTATTTCCTCCTGCTCATAATCAGTTCTTAAACAGTACAAAGTCAAAGGCAAAACAACACTCAGGAGACTATGCAATTTTTCCATTCAAATCTGGATAATTTCTTTTTAAAAAGCAAATCTCTATCATGTAAATCTCAGCAAAAACTTCTCCTTATTAAGCAATTATAGACCATTTGGATACTCCAGGGAAGGTCTAATAACATCTTAATATGTGGCTCCCAGTGTTCCCGCGGTATTTGCTATTACAAGTTAGAGTTACGTGTTCACTTCTCTTATGGAGAAATTTGTCCAAATACCTAGGAAGGCAGGCTCAAAAAATAAAAATAAAAGCATACAGTCTATTGAGCTATTAGGTATACTACTTTAAATATTCAAAACAAGTAAAGTGTGACTCTGACCTCAAGTCTAATGGGAATTTGGAAGGAGAACAAAAACAGCTATCCTCTTAAGACTGCCTACGGGGGACCCATGGTGTTCCGGGTTTCCATGGAAGGTGTGTGGAAAGACGAAATTTCTCACCACTGAGAGAAATCAAGAATCCCAATAAATCCCACTGTCTTGTCTGTAACTGACTCCCATCTCTCCAGCTCCTTGACCACACCCTGGTCCAAGGAACCATCATCCCTCTGGAATATTCTAATGGGCTCCAACAGCCAACCCACTTCCATTGCCAACTCCCTCCAAGGACAGGTGATTGCTGGAGCCCAGGAGTTCAAGACCAACCTGAGCAACATACCAAGACCTCATCTCCACCAAAAATACAAAAATTAGCTGGGCATGGTGGCATGTGCCTGTAGTCCAAGCTACTTGATAGACTGAGGCAGGAGGATCGCTTGAGCCCAGGAGATCAAGGCTACACTGAGTCACGATCGTGCCACTGCACTCCAGCCTGGGGGACAGAGTGAAACCCTGTCTCAAAACAAAAGGAAAAAATAAAAAAGGTTTAGAAAGCACACATCAAAGAACTGAAAGCAGGATCTTAAGGAAATATTTGTGCAGGCAAGTTTGTAGCAGCATTATTCACAACAGTCAAAAGGTGGAAGCAACCCAGGTATCCATCTACAGTTACAGGAATAAAGTGACCTATCCATACAATGGAACAGCACTCAGCCTTAAAAAGGAAAGACATTCTGACACATGCTACCATGTGGACGAACCTGGAGGACAGTACGCTGAGTGAAATAAGCCAGTCACAAAAAGACACATAGTGTAGGATTCCACGTATCTGAGGTCCCAGAGCTGTGAAGCACACAGAAACAGAAAGTTGGGTGGGTGCTGGGGCTGGGAATGGGGAAATGAGTGGGTAGTTATGTATGGAGTTTCAGGACTACGAGACAAAAGGAGTTCTGGAGGTTGGCTGTGCAGAGTATGAATGTACTTGCTGTTACTGAACTGTACACTTAAAAATGGTTAAAATAGGCCGGGCACACTGGCTCACGCCTGTAATCCCAGCACTTCGGGAGGCCAAGGTGGGTGGATCACCTGAGGTCAGGAGTTTGAGACCAGCCTGGCCAACATGGTGAAACCCTGTCTCTACTAAAAATACAAAAATTAGCTGGGTGTGGTGGCGTGTGCCTGTAATCCCAGCTACTCAGGAGGCTGAGGCAGGAGAATTGCTTGAACCTGGGAGGTGGAGGTTGCAGTGAGTGAAGATCGTGCCACTGCACTCCAGCCTGGGCAACAGAGTGAGACTCTGTCTAAAAAAAAAAAAAAAAAAAAAAAAAAGGTTAAAATGACTAAATTTTATATTACATGTATTTTACCAATAAAAAGAAAAGAAAAAAGCACTATTCAACAAATCATGTTTTTGATATTTTGACAATTGCACTTTTAATCGCTTCCTTTATGATTCTACTTTTATTTTAGAATGTGATTCTGAGACCTCTGCGGCTTCACTCGATGACTACAGAGAGCCACGCACACACACAGAAAGGTTAAGAACACTGGTGTAAGGCAAGGGGGCCAATAAAGGCACACGACCCTTTGAGTCTCAGGCACAAGGAGTTTGCGCTTATTTCCCGTCAAGGGTGGGGCTGGGGGCGCCTCGCTGAAGTCTCTGTCCCCACACTGTGCTGAACCACTGGTGTTTTGAGAGAGTCTTGAGCATCAAGATAAAGGAGACACCAGAGTGGAGAAAGACAGGACCCTGCCAAGTGTGGGTGACATGGCCCAGTGTGGCCTGGGGTGGGTGACATGACCCAGTGTGAGTGGCGTGGCCTCATATGGTCCAGTGTGGGTGACCTGGCCCAGTGTGGGTGACTTGGCCCACGGTGGCCCAGTGTGGGTAATGCTGCCCAGGGAAAGGGGCACCCCAGGTTGTGGCACCAGTCGCTGTTGCTCAAAAGGCAGGGACAGAGGGGCTGGGCAGACTCTGGGGGTTCACAGTTCCGAGTTCCCGGGTGCCCTGGGAAGAGTGCTTCTTTCAAGCGGGGCAGAGGCCAGACTGCATGCGGTGATCAGGGTGAAAGGGTGACAGCTGAAAGGAGTGGAGTCTTTCTTTGAAGAATGACAACGAGGGAGAAAAGCTAAAGCAGGGCAATCAGCTACTGGACTTGGGGTTTGGGTTTTTTTTAAAACATAATGCTTAGTTTGTGTTTTTAGTGCTAAAGACAAGTGGAGAGTCTGTGTAGAGAATGAAGAATAGAAGACAGAGGTGAGAGAGATTTTCTTCCCATACAAAGCCTACAGTTTTTACTAAATCCCAAACCACAAGAACTCTTGCTGACCTCACAAAATTAAACCCATGTTGTCAACATGTTCAGAAAACCTTGCACACAGATGGAAACTTTCAGATGGTCTTTTCCTTTCCCATGGGGAAATGTCAACAGAGTCGCTGGGGATGGAGAGCCTGACAAGGGCCTCCATTCAAAGGTGGGAGCCTGAGAAAGTGAGTTCAACCGAGGCAGGAGGGACAAGGCATTCCTGCTGCAGAGAAGTGGGGGCAATGAACTCCACTTCAACTGCTTCTCCTTAGAGCCAGCTTTCCTTCACTAATTAATGAAGAACTCTCGAGCATCCAAGCAAGAAGAAAAATCACACAGTCCCAACCCTCCTGGCATTTACATAGTCATAATGAGAAACACACAAGGCTGGAATCCAGCACACCAAGTTCTGGGGTGTGGGATACGTGAGCACGGGCCCTGTTCTCCACCAGTGCTCAGCCTCGGCCTTCAGAGAGCTCCTCCCACCTGCTATGGTCAGCCTTCCCCAAGCCATGGGGCCTGCAGGTTTCGCTTCCAGAACCAGCCCACTGGGATCATCTGCAAGCCCTCATCCTTCCCTCTCACTCAAGGACCAGAGAGTCTCACGGGCTAACCTGCTCTGTCCAAGACACCTCCCCATATGGAGCTACTGAAATACATATTTAGGCTGGGCATTGTGGCTCAACACCTGTAATCCTAGCACTTTGGGAGGCCGAGGTGGAAGCATTGCTTGAGACCAAGAGTTTGAGACCAGCCTGGGCAACATGGCGAGACCCCCATCTCTACAAAAGTTAAAAAATTAGCCGGGCAAAGTAGCTCATGCCTGTGGCCCCAGCTACTTGGGAGGCTGAAGTGGGAGGATCGCTTGAGCCCAAGAGGTCAAGGCTGCAGTGAGCAGTGATCGCGACCCTGCACTTCAGCCTGGGTGACAAAGCGAGACCCCATCTCAGGGAAAAAAAAAAAAAAAAAAGAAACGAAGAAAGACAAAAATAAATATTTAAAAGGAATAAAATTTAAAATTCAATTCCTCTGTTGCATGAGCCACATTTCAGGTGCTTCATAGCCAGATATGGCTACTAGACTACACAGAAAGTTCCACTGGGCATGTAGTCCTTTTTAGTCTGCTCTGACTTAACCAATTAAAGCTTTGGTTTTTGGGGGTTTTGTTTGGTTGCTTGCTTTTTGTAGTTCAAACTATAACTGACCCTTGAACAACACGGATTTTTTTCAATAAATACAATTGGCCCTCCTTATGGGCAGGTTCTGCATTCACAACCAAATTCAGATGGAAAATACAGTATCTGGGGATGCAAAACCCATAGACACAGAGGGCTGACTTTTCCTATCAGCAGGTTTTGCTGAGAGGACTACAGGATTTGAGTGTGCAATCATTTGGGTATCCGCAGGAGGTCCTGGAACCAATCCCCCAAGGATACCAAGCGATGACTGTAATGAGTTCAAATAAGCTCTTAAACAGAAGGCCTTGACTCAAGTACACTAAATGAGGCTACTCTGATTCTACGCAGGGGTCATGGGAGGAAGGTCAGCCCTGGCCAGCAGCCTCCCCACCCCCAAGCACGCACTCTCTGCTCCCCAGTGTACAATCTGAAAGCCTGGGTCAGTTCCTGCATCTACCGGACCCACCACCTCTGGCTTTCCCTGCTCCCTTAAAACACCAAGACCTTCACATTAGTCATCTCTAGGCAAAACTTTTTAAGAGAAATCATCTTCCTTTCTGCTTCCAAAGGTTCCACGTTTACGACCTTCCCATCTGTTCTGCTCCTTTTCCAAGGCTAAAAACCCTCAAAATTTCCCTCCTGCAAAAAATACGTCCCCTCCCCCCATTCTTTATCTTATCTCTTTAACTTCTTTTTTTGTTCCCCTTAGAAACAAGGTCTCCCTCTGTCACCCAGGCCGGTGCGCAGTGGCACAACTGCAGCTCACTGCATCCTCCAACTCCTGGGGTCAAGTTATCCTCCCACCTCAGCCTCCCGAGCAGCTGGGATTACAGGTGCATGCTACTATGTCCAGCTAATTTTTGTATTTTTTGTAAAAACAGGGTCTCTCTATGCTGCTGCTACCCAGGCTGGTCTCCAACTCCTGGGCTCGAGCAATCCTCCTAACTTGGCCTCCCAAAGTGCTGGGATTACAGACATGAGCCACCATGCCTGGCCTCTAGAACCTGTTTAACTCAACCACAAGTCTCCCCTAGTGTAAAAAAATCCTTCCCCCACACCAGCTTCCCTGTCAAGTGCTGTTCTACGTCTCCCCTTATCTGCAAGGAGGACCACTCCAAGGAGAGGTGTTCCCCCAATACCCCCATCTTTTTAGCCACTATCCCATTTATTCCATCTTCAGCCAGCCGCAGATGCACTGCCCCTACCCTGGAAGCCAACGTGGATACTATGGCCTCTATGTGCCAAGGACACCTCTGCAGCCCTGATAACTCTAGGTCTCCTCTCGCCTCTCATCAATCTCTGCTCACTCTTCAGGATCTCTTAGGGGCACACTCTTCCAAGGAACTCCCCCTCCTCCCATCTCCCTGGTCTCTAGCCCCAGGCCATCTCTTCAGCTCTCAGCCCCATTTCCAATTCCTATCTCCAGAGTTCCCTTTTTACACCTCTGCCTTGTGTCTTCCAACTAGACCACAGTCCCTCGGTGGGGGGCGGGGGGCGGTCAAAGATCTGTGCTACTTATTCTGGAAGAGGAGGTGCTTGGTAAATAGCCGCTAAATCCAGCACCAAAGTTCTGCAGTGTAAGTGGGATTTGCCTCCTTTGGGTTTTCCATGCACATATTCCAGTTTGTGGCTACATAAAAGGAAGGTGCGGGGAGAGGAATATTTAGAGCAGCAAGTAATGGAAACCAGGGGCAGATGAAATCGTTCAATGACGAAGGAAGATTACAGTAATCAGCCCCACCCACAACTCCGACTGCCAGAACACTCATTGAAGAACACCTTCTTGTAAGCTCTGCTCCTACCAAGAAATACTCCAGGCCAAGGAGATCAAAGGGCCACATGCCCATCTCCTCAAAGTTATTTTTAGATCTTGTCAGAGTAGGACAGGAGAAATGAGAGATTTCCCACTCCACAATTATTCTGGCAGCTTTTAAAGTAGGTTAGCATGAAAAATCATCTGGGCTGTCACTGCCGTTTTTGAATTCTAGCTAATTTTTATCCCCGTTCCTCCAACCCCCTCTCCTTGCCACTCTCCCAGCAGCAGAGGTACATGCCTGCAGCTGAATGCCTGGAGAAGTCAAGAAAGAAAATGAGCAAAGGCAAACCAAGGAAGCCGCTTCCCAAAGACACCAGCGCCACTGTAAAAAAGATCCTGCCTGCCTACTTCATGTCTCAAAAAGAAAACATGTTGAGAGAAGAAATTTTCAAATGACAGTGCTCTCTAAATTAAAAATGGGATACAGCCCAAGTCTTCTTTTGTTACTTCCTCAGAAATGTTTTTCTCCTAGAAACTATGCTGTAAAAAATAGGGTCAAATTCCCAACTAGCCTAGAAAGGCTTTTTAAAGCCCACAACGTAACTGAAATGTACATTTGCAATGAAAAATATACAAGTAGGCCGGGCCCAGTGGCTTACACCTATAATCCAAGCGCTTTGGGACAATGCAGTGGGAGGATCACTGAGCCCAGGAGATCGAGGCTGCAGTGAGCTACGACTGCACCACTGTACTCCAGCCTAGGCACCAGAGCAAGACTCTGTCTCTAAAAAAATTAAAATAAACTAAATAAATATATATGTGTATATATATGAAGTATACCATATGGTGGCAACTGTACATTGTGGCATTCCATGTCTCAACCATAATGTTACTGAGGGGAATGTGTTCCACGTACCATGGACAAGACAGAAACCACGCGGCATCTCCTTCACGTGTTATCTCCCTAGTCCAGGCTCAAGGTGACACAACCATCTAAAATAGTGAACGCAAAGGCAGGAGATTGGGTCAGCACACTTCATATGTATGTTAAGCTGGCATTGCACAGAAGGCACTAGAATGTAGCTAAGCACCAGGGGAGCAGAAGGCTGTCCATGTAAAATCCCAGCTCCACCACCTCCTACATGGGTAGGAGGTGTAAGGCCCTGCCTTACACGTCAGCATGGACAGTCTGCCTGTGTGGCTACCACTCTGGTTCTATGATAACGGAGTAAGGAGGGTCTTCAGGCTAAGTGGCTCTCCGAAGCTAACACCAATTCCCAAAAGATTGTCACCAACAATCCCAATTTCTGGGTGACTGAGGAGGATACAGAAAAAGGCCATGAACAAAGGTCATCTTTCAGATGACCCAGCCTCCTCTCTTCTCATGCCCTGCACAGAGGTGACCCACACCTCCCTCATTTCATGCAACAGCCCTTAGGCTCTGTCCTCTGGTCGCAGCTGTTATAGGACAAAGCCAGCAACAATCCCTTCCAATCCTGAGGTATAAATAACTGATAAGGTTTAATGTATTACCTCTCCCAGGACTATTGGCACTTTAACTGGGACAAGACTTCACATGAAGTAAGTGACTCTCGAATTATGAAAATACCAGGCTTCTGCAAGCAAGGCAAGATGAGAGTAGGGTGGAAATGAAGAAGGGATCAGGAGAGGTGAAAGTCCAAGTCACACCACCAAGATGGTACGTGCCTTCAAGCACTCAGAACTACACGCTAGTTCTGCAGAGGACCAGAGAGCAAATATCTTAGGCTTCGCAAGACAGACAGTGTCTGTTGCCATGGTTGCAACACCCCTTGTTGTGAAAAAGCAACCATAGAAAATATGTCCATGAATGGGCATGGCGGAGCTCCAGTAAAACTTTATCTGAATGTCACATCATTTCCATGTATCAACAAGGTACTGTTTTTTTCTTTTCTTTTTTTTTTTTTTTTTTGAGAGAGGATCTGGCTCTGTTGCCCAGGCTGGAGTGCATTGGCATGAACATGGCTCACTGCAGCCTCGAACTCCTGGGCTCAAACAATCCTCCCGCATAGCTGGGGCTACAGGAGCACTGCCACCATGCCTGGCTTTTATTTTATTTTATTTATTTTTAGAGACAAGGTCTTGCTATGTTGCCTAGGCTGGTCTTGAACTCCTTGGGCTCAAGTAATCCTCCCACTTCAGCCTCCCAAAGTGTTGGGATTACAGGCATGAGCCGCCGCTCCCAGTCTCTTTACTCTTTAAACATGTAAAACTATCTTCAGCTCGTGGCTTCTACCCACAGAACCATCCACTCATGCACTCCCCAGGGCACTGTCCTGCAGAATCCTGACTGAGTAGTGCTATGAATTTTCAAGGAAACCCTTCCGGCATTTGGAGAAGCACCAGGGTGCCCTGAAAAGCACACGGCTTTAAAATCCCACTGGCCCACCTGCCACCATTCAGCTTGCAGATCTGCAGTTCAGAGTTTGGGGACCTGGCATTTGTCACTGCCTTGGCCTTAGTTTCCCAAGTTATAAAACGGAAAGAGTCTTTCTAGTGATGTGGATTTGCTATGCTGGCTTGAATGCACCTAGGGCACTGCCCTGCAGAAGGCAGATTCCTGAAAAAGGTCCCTGCTATAATACTGATTCTTTCTGTCTTTATCTCCCCTTGGGGCTGGGTTATGCTCCTGCCTGGGCCTCGGAGGTCGGGGTTTGGTGTCTGTTTGGGGATCTGACCACGGCACTGAGAATGCACAGGTGTATGGGAAGGAATCCACAGTTCAAAGAGCAGAGGGTCAAAGGCAGGGCAGGCTACTCGGATTTCCTCAAAGAACACACACAGATGTTGGCCTTACCCTCTTGGCAGGTCCAGCTCTCAAACGTGCAAGAAACTCGTTCCTGCAGGCTCTTCCTCTCGCCTTTCCTGGCCTTGTCTCCGGCCCTATCTGACTATCTCTACTCTGTCATTACCCACCCTGGGTGGTTCCTTCCTACCACGTTTCTTCTGCTCTCCCAGAGACTGTATAGTACTCAGTTTATAACGAAGATGTTTTACAATTCCTACTTTGTGCTGTAACAAAATAGCAAGACAGATGTTTAGGTAACAAGTCTCAGGACCCAAAACCCTGATTTTTTTTTTAACTTAATGTGCAATTTCAGTAATTCCTTTCTTATTTGAACTAAGCACCAGAACAACTCTACAAAGCTCACAGCAAAATTGCTGAATATCAGGAAATATGAAATGACCTCCTCAATGTGGTAAGCTTTTTTTGAAAAACACTTTTAACCAGAAGTATGCTTTTCATTTTGCTACATCATGCTTTATGAAGGGGACAGTCGTTCCAATGACTTAAAACGATGGGCTTCCAATCATTTCCAAGCAAGAGTCATTGGAGGGCAACACAAAGACTGGTTACCCAATTGCACCAAGTGTGTTGTCAATTTCCCTTGCATTCTCCCTAAATGCTCCGAAAGGAAATCACCTATGTCAGTTTTCATCTGCGATGATAAAGAGGACTTGAGGTATCAAGTATTTCCCCACCCTGAATAGTGAGATGGATGCTTGAGGAGCTGATGCTTGGCCAGTGTGCCTGTGGCTCTCTCTTTATCTCCGTCTGTGCTGGCCCTTGAGAAAGGCTGTATTTTCGCTTATCTTCCCTCCAGTATGTGTACTCCCCTCTTCTAAAGGGCTGGACCACATTCAGCTCAGCCACTTATCTCTTGCTTTCTCTCTTTTGTTTTATTTTGGAGAAGGAAGTGGGCAAAGGCAGTGGGGGAGAGAAAAGAGAAAAATACAAAAGAGATGACACCACCCCACTTCCTCTGATATGAACCATGGTTTCACTGCTTGTTATGGACCCTTGGTTCTTAATTGTGGCAACACGGAGATAACAGGCAGGGACACATTTTCTGGAACCAGTGAATCTGAAACTGCTATCTCCACAATGACACTGACACTATGTCCGTGCACATGAACCAGCTGTGACCACACTAGATTACAGGAAGTATTTTGAGGACATGTACAAAAACAGTGGTCCTGCACCCTTTTTTGACAGGTTTATTGAGATATAAAACACATGCCATACAGTGGACCCATTTCGAGTACAACTCAACAACTTTTAGTACCTGCAGAGTTGTGCAGCCACCATCAGCACAATTTCAAGAATTTCCATTAACCCTGTACCCTTTAGCAGTGACAACCTCTTACCCGCCTAAAGCCCCAGTCCTAGGCAACCACTCATCTACTTTCTGTCTCCACAGACAGATCAAACCCTTTTTCGTTTAGCCCAAAAGCCTCTATAAATGTTGGACAGGCTCCTTGGCATCGACGACACTCACAAATAAATTCTGTCTTATCATATCTCCCTTGTGCAAGGCAGTAAACGAGCCTGGCTTCGGTTTCTACAAGTCACGCAGGCTTCTGCAATTTCACTCCATGCCTCACTCACAAAAAGAGCTTCCCAATCCCCAGACCAAAGGAAATTGTGCTGAATTCTTGACCAGTGCATGTCCAGATTCCTGGACGGGGATGTTCGATGATCTGGCTCCGCTACTGAGGTCAAGGGCTGCCACCTCCTCTTCCACACTCAGAGTTACAGAACTCTGGGGTGTTTGCCATTTCCAATCTCATTGCCTTCTCAGCAAGAGGTGGGAAAGAAAAATCATTCTGCCACATCCTGTGCTGATGATGTTGGGTTCCTGTCTATTATGAGTTTACATTTTGATTCTCCTAGTAAGGCGACTAACTGGCAAACAGGCCAAGCAGATCAGAAGAAGGAATTCCAAAGGGAGGTGTATATGGGCTTAATTAGTGTAAAACACAAGATGATCATCACTTGAGAGAGAAAAGTTGTTTTATCAGTTTATAAAATAAGGACTATAGGAACTTAGGAAGTGGATCCAAGGCAAAGGATTTCAGGTTGCAGTAAGTTGGGTGTTATTTTTCCCCCCTCCATCAGTCTGCCTGGAGCTTAAAAGGGAAATGATTTGTCTCATTTCAGCATCAAAAACAAAAGGAGCACACCCCATACACACATGAGCGGTACACACATCACATTTTAACTCCTGATAACATCTGCCTTCCCGGGGGTTGTCACCAACGCTCCCACCTCGGCCTCCAAGAAAGTCAAGGAGCTCCTCGCCAGGTTGTTCGCCCTGGCTCGCTATGAGCTCTTCTGCTCAATCCTCCATCTCATTATAAACTCTTCTGCTCAATTTATGTTCTGTTGACATTTGGAAATATATTACTGACTCTCATCTTTAACATGCAACTCACAAATGAGTACACGCAAAAAGGGTGAAATCCAAGTAAGGGCTCCAAGGCTAGGTAACTGTGTTGCACCAACGTGGATTTCCTGGGTTTTCCTGCTCTATGATCCTGTGAGAAGCCACTCCCCTTGGGGAAAGCCGGTAAAGGACACAGTACTGGGATCTGACAGCACTATGTTTGCAACGCAGTGTGAGTGTGTAATTAATCAAAAGAAATCATTTAAAACAAAAAGTAAAAGAAAATGTTAAAAATCTAACACAGTCTCTGTTACTGGGGAACCCTCCTGGGGCTTTGGAGAACAAAACATGGCAAACCCAAGGGACACACATGAACCCTAGAAAGGTCAATAAAAACTAACTGCAACAAACACAGGCAACGAACCAGGAAAAACCTCTCTGTAACTAGCAAGGAAATAAAGGTCTTCAACTGGATTAAGACTCAATCTCCTGCAAATTAAAAAAAAAACACTCACAGTGTCATGTGGGGTTTTTTTGTTTTGGGTTTGAGGGGGTTTTGATGTTGTTGTTGTTATTGCCAGGTAACTGGCCTCCGGTCTTCCTACACACAATAAGCAAGTGAACTACAGTGTAGCCTAACTTCAACACTACTGACACTCTGGTGCCAGGTAACCCTGTTATGGGGGCTGCTCTGTGCACGGTAGGATGCTTAGCAGCATCTTTGGTGACATAGTTTGGATGTCTTCCCTTTCCAAATCTCACAGTGAAATGTAGTGGGGTAATCCTCACTGCTGGAGGTGGGGCCTGGTGGGAGGTGTTTGGTTCATGGAGGAACCATGGCTTGGTGCCCTCCCCCTGGTACTGAGTGAGTTCCCTCAGTTCATGCAAGAGCTGGTTGTTTAAAAGAGCCTAGCCTTCCCTCTGTCTCTTGCTCCCTCTCTTGCCATGTGAGACACCTGCTCTCCCTTTGCCTTCTGCTATGAGCAAAAGCTCTGAGGCCTCCCAAGAAACCAAGCAGATGCCGGCACCATGCCTGTACAGCCTGTAGAACTATGTGCCAAATAAACCTCTAAATTACCCAGTCTCAGGTATTCCTTTACAGCGACAGAAAACTAATACACCTGGTTACTATTCACTGGATGCCAGTAACACTCCCTCCCCAAGCTGTGACAACCCAAAATGTCTCCAGACTTTGTCAAATGTCCCCTAGGTGCAGATCACCCCCAGGTGAGAAACACTAGTCCAGGGAACAAACATCTGTTGAATCCAACTGGCAAAAATAACAGGAGTCTAAAATTTACTGGGTACCTCCTACATGCCAGGCAGCCTTCCATGTGGATTCCAAGTGGACGAATTCAGTGAATCCTCCTAAGGATCTGATAAGCAGGTGCTCTTAGGACATGCAAAGAGGTAACTAAGGCAGAAAGAGGTTAACCTGCCCCAGTCGGGAAGCAGATCCCTCCAAATCTTCTGCACCCCCCCACTGGAGTACACCATCAGGCCACCTCGTGAGGGGAATTTCTGCTTGACTATACTCGTCAGTAGAGTCTAAGTTCAGTGAAAACTCAAGCAACAACCTGGGTTAGTTTAATATGACTTGCTACCTTGTCCAGTCTAACAAAACCCAAAGCATTGACTCCTTTTAACTTAAAAAATAAAAAAGCAGAGAGGTCATCATAGGAATTAAAGAGGGATCTTCCTGCACGTGTAGCATGCTTTGTTTGTTTCCTCAACTGTGCCGAGACTCTGGGGGCTTCCTCCGGGTGCCTTCATTTGTATTCAAAATGCACAGTCCCAAGGCTTGGTTCTCGGAATAAGCAGAGCAAAGGAGCCGCATAAGGTCCTGGAAATACATGAACAGGCACCCTGTGGTTGTAGGCTCAAGGGAAAAGTGAAGACCACGCTGGTTTTTCAAATAAAGGGGGCTAGGAAGCCGTATAGTCAGTCGCTTGATCAGCAACTCCAACCTGACACGGAACTCAATCTTTCCCTGAAAGACTCACGGGAAAGGCACTAGGTGTCTGTGTTTCAAAAGACTTACACTGGCCGGGTGCGGTGGCTCATGCCTGTAATCCCAGCACTTTGGGAGGCTGAGGCGGGAGGATCACCTGAGGTCAGGAGTTCAAGACCAGCCTGGCCAACGTGGTGAAACCCCATCTCTACCAAAACTACAAAAAATTAGCCAGGCGTGGTGGCGCATGCCTGTAGTCCCAGCTACTAGGGATGCTGAGGCAGGAGAAACACTTGAACCCGGGAGGTGGAGGTTGCAGTGGATCACGCCACTGCACTCCAGCCTGGGCAACAGAGACTCCATCTCCCAAAAAAAAACCAAAAAACAAAAAAACGTACATAGAGAAAGTCTGAAAGCCCACAAGAGCAATTAGCAAAAGGAACCCTGACATAACAAATACAGTGATGTCCAAAGACATTAGCAACCAGGTAGTTAAGCTCAGGGGGTGCCACGTGTCATAAACTTGAAAGCTGCATTGGTCATGAGTAACACAAATGTAGGTGCTACCACAGACAGCTGGTGGGCATTTCAAACTTTCTCTTCATATCTATGATGAATTCATGGATACCCAAAACAGTGAGCTTCCATTTAGAAAAAGGAACCCCCTTGGCACACATCAACGATTTCAGTGTCATCAAGATCAATGTTAAGGCCAGGCGTGGTGACTCATGCCTGTAATCCAAGGTGGCTCATGTCTGTAATCCCAACACTTTGGGAGGCTGAGGCAGGAGGATCACTTGAGACCAGGAGTTAAAGACAAGCCTGGGCAACATAGGGAGACCCCATCTCTACAAAAAAATAAAACTAGCTGGGAGTGGTGGCATGTGTCTGTAATCCCAACTACTTGGGAGGCTGAGGTGGGAGAATCACTTGAGCCCCAGAGGTTGAGGCTGCAGTGACCTGAGATCGCGCCACCGCACGCCAACCCAGGCAACAGAGCAAGACCCTCTCAAAAAAGAAAAAAAAACAGATAAATGTTAAGAAGTAGACAACCTGCCCTCATTTTCTTCCCAAATGACTATTTCATCTCAAAAGCATCCATCGGTTTTGGCCTTTCAAATAGTCTTCATTATTAAACTTGGACCAAAACTTTAATTGCCAACGTCATTTCCAAAGTATGATGTTGCAAACAATTCCACTACACAATTCACTGAGAATTGAGAAGTACCAACTGTAATTGTGAGCTGGAAAATGATTAAAATGTGTACAAAACAGACAGAAATAAAACGTATTTAACCTATGTTTGGAAGACAAATGCCAACCCATCCTCCAGGGGTAGAATTTTTAAAATCTCCTATTTGGAATCACAGAATACTGGTATCTTTTCTTCACCCACAGCACATCCCACAGGGGTTCAGGTTGTCTTTCTGATAAACCCTAATTAACTTGCGTCTCAGGTGGTTACATGGCTTCCACTTCTTGTCATCAGGTGAGCTGATATTGCAGGAGCCACATCTGAGGAGAGAACATTTCAACCCACAAGCCAGGCAAGCCATTCCCTAAAACACATTCTGGATTAGAGAGATTAAATCTCCTGCATGCCAGCGGGTCAAATGTGCACAGGAGAAAAGAATGAAAGACCGTGATTATCACCATCCTGAGCCCTCTTGGCTTTTACAGTTTCTCTGTTTTAACTCCCATTGAGTACTGACTCAGCACTTCTCAGTTTCATGGAAGGACTTCACTTACCAAATCCAATGCTTGGCCTTTTTTCTGTAAAGGGCCAGAGAGTAAATATTTTCTACTTTGTGGGCCACACAATCCCTGTACTTACAAGCACGTATTCAACTTGGCTGCTGTGGCAAGAAAGCAGTGATGTTAGTCAGGGCTGTCCAGAGAAACAGTGCCAATAGGGTTTGTTTATGTGTGCGTGCGTGGATGGATGGATGGATGGATGGACGGACAGATGGACAGATTCTAAGGAACTGGTTCACACAATTGTGGAGGCCGGCAAGCCCAAACTTTCCAGAGCAGGCCAGAGACCCAGGAAAGCGCAGATGTCACAGTCTCAAATCCAAAGGCAGGATACTGGTAGAATTCCCTCCTCTTTGGCGGACCTCAGTCTTTTTCTTAAGGCCTTCAACTGATTGGATGAGGTCCACCCACATTATGGAAGTCATCTGCCTTACTCAAAGTCTACTGATGTGTTTATTTCATCTAAAAAATACCTTCACAACAACATTCCTAAGTACCTGACCAAATATCTGAATACTATGGCCTAGCCAAGATGACACATAAAGTTAACCATCACAGCAGCCAGAGACAACCCATGAATGAATGGGCATGGTTGTGTGCCAAGTCTGGACACGGCCCCGTGGGCCACAGTCTGCTGGTGCCTGTTGTAATCCATCCTTCAGACAGATGCCAGTTTTGTCTTTCTAAAGCACCTGTTCAAAGGTTTTTAATGGTTTCCAGGACCTAAAGAAAAAGCCCCCCTCCTCCCCACCCAACTTCTTGGATTAGTCCAGTGTCCAAGGCGTTCCACACACACAAGCTCTGCACTAACTGCAATCCAAATCCCACTTACCCCAGGATACAATTTCTCCACTCCAGTCAAATCTGTCTACCCTACGGTCCAGGATTTCTTACCTGTGGCACTGTAGACATTTAGGGCTGGATAATTTGTGGGGGGCTGTCCTGGGCAGTGTAGGATGCCCAGCAGCATCCTTGGCCTCTACCCACCCAATGCCATAGCACCCCCACCCCATCAGCTGTGACAACCAAACTCTAGATGTTGCCAAAGGTAAAACAGGAGAATGTTAGGGTGTGGTGATTATACCGCAATTAAAGCTAGAGGGAACGCTGTCAGTTCCTGGGCCTTCATTTGCTGACACAGAAGTGAGGTGTAGCTCTCTAGAAGCAACTCACAGTGTCCATATCATTAATAACACAAGTTACAGCAAGGACGGCACTTTCCTGCCCTCCACACACACAGCCAACAGTACAGTCAACACAGACTCGCAGCATGCAGGGCCATCTCTGATAACTCAGAAAATGCACGCCATTAACAGTGACAGCAAAAAATCATCCACTAAAAGCAATTCTAGACCAGGCACAGTGGCTCATACCTGTAAACCTAGCATTTTGAAAGGCCGAGGTGGGCTGATCGCGTGAGCCCAGGAGTTCGAGACCAGCCTGGGCAACATGGTAAAACCCCATCTCTACAAAAAATACAAAAATTAGCCAGGCATGGTGGCGTGTGCCTGTAATCCCAGCTACTTGGGAGGTTGAGGCAAGAGGATCACTTGAGCCCACGAGATCAAGGCTCCAGTGAGCCATGACCACATAACTAACACTCCAGCCTGGGTGACAGAGTGAGAACCTGACTCAAAAAAAAAAAAAAAAAAAAGCGATTCTGTACATACAAAATGATGCTATCTGGGGTCTCATACTACCCATGTGTCTGACTTCATCCAAGGGTTCTTTTAGGCAATGTACTAGAAATCTTTTTTTTTTTTTTTTTTTTGAGACAGAGTCTCGCTTTGTCGCCTCAGCTCACTGCAACCTCCACCTCCCGGGTTCATGCCATTCTCCTGCCTCAGCCTCCCGAGTAGCTGGGACTACAGGTGCCCGCCACCACGCCCGGCTAATTTTTTGTATTTTTTTTTAGTAGAGACGGTGTTTCACCATGTTAGCCAGGATGATTTCGATCTCCTGACCTTGTGATCCGTCCGCCTTGGCCTCCCAAAGTGCTGGGATTACAGGTGTGAGCCACCGCACCCGGCTTTTTCTAAAAAAACAAAAAAAAAACAAAAAAAACAGGATACATGCGCAGAACGTGCAGGTTAGTTATACAGGTGTATGTGTGTCATGGTGGTTTGCTGCAGCACCCTACTACCTAATTAGTAGCACCATCCCTACTGACCCTCATAGTTCCCTCCTCTCATCCCCACTCCCCAACAGGCCCTGGTGTGTGTTGTTCCCCTCTCTGTGTCTATGTGTTCTCAATGTTCAACTCCCCCTTATGAGTGAGAATATGCGGTGTTTGGTTTTGTTTCTGTGCTAGTTTGCTGAGGATGATGGCTTCCAGCTTCATCCATGTCCCTGCAAAGGACATGATCTCATTCCTTTTTATGGCTGCATAGTATTCCATGATGTATATGTGCCACATTTTCTTTATCCAGTCTATCACTGATGGCCATTTGGGTTGGTTCCATGTCTTTGCTATTGTAAATAGTGCTATAAGAAACATACACGTGCATGCATCTTTATAGCAGAATGATTTACATTACTTTGGGTATATATCCAGAAATGGGATTACTGGGTCAAATGGTATTTCTGGTTCTAGATCCTTGAGGAATCGCCATACTGTCTTCCACAATGGTTGAACTAATTTACATTCCCACCAACAGTGTAAAAGCATTCCTATTTCCCCACAGCCTTGCCAGCAACTATTGTTTTCTGACCTTTCAATAATCGCCATCTGACTGGCATGAGATGGTATCTCATTGAGGTTTTGATTTGCATTTCTCTGATGATCAGTGATGTTGAGCTTTTTACCATGCTTGTTGGCTGTGTAAATGTCTTCTTTTGAGAAGTGTCTGTTCATATCCTTTGCCCACTTTTTGATGGGGTTGTTTTTTTCTTGTAAATATGTTTAAGTTCCTTGCAAATTCTGGATATTAGACCTTTGTCAGATGGGTAGATTGCAGAAGTTTTCTCCCACTCTGTAGGTTGCCTGTTCACTCTGATCATAGTTTCTTTTACTGAGCAGAAGCTCTTTAGTTGAATTAGATCCCATTTGTCAATTTTGGCTTTTGTTGCAATTGCTTTTGGTGTTTTAGTCATGAACTCTTAGCCCATGCCTATGTCATGAATGGTATTGCTTAGGTTATCTTCTAGGGTTTTTATGGTTTTGGGTTTTACATTTAAGTCTTTAATCTATCTTGAATTAATTTTTGTATAAGGTGTAAGGAAGGGGTCCAGTTTCAGTTTTCAGCATATGGCTAGCCAGTTTTCCCAGCACCATTTACTGAATAAGGAGATCCTTTCCCCATTGCTTGTTTTCGGCAGATTTGTCGAAGATCAGATGGTTACAGATGTATGGTGTTATTTCTGAGGTCTCTGTTCTGGTCCACTGGTCTATATGTCTGTTTTGGTACCCATACCATGCTGTTTTTGTTAATGTAACCTTGTAGTATAGTTTGAAGTCAGGTAGCATGATGCCTCCAGCTTTGTTCTTTTTGCTTAGGATTGTCTTGGCTACGTGGGATCTTCTTTGATTCCATATGAAATTTAAAATAGGTTTTCCTAATTCTGTGAAGAATGTCAATGGTAGTTTGACAGGAACAACATTGAATGTATAAAGTACTTTGGGCAATATGGCCCTTTTCATGATACTGATTCTTCCTATCCATGAGCATGGAATGTTTTTCCATTTGTTTGTGTCCTCTCTTATTTCCTTGAGCAGTGATTTGTAGTTATCCTTGAAGAGGTCCTTCACATCCCTTGTTACTTGTATTCCTAGGTATTTTATTCTCTTTGTGGCAATTGTCTATGGGAGTTCACTCATGATTTGTCTCTCTGCCTGCCTACTGTTGGTGTAAAGGAATGCTTGTGATTTTTGCACATTGATTTTGTATCCTGAGACTTCACTGAAGCTGCTTGTCAGTTCAAGAAGTTTTTGGGCTGAGATGATAGGGTTTTCTAAATACAAAATCACATCATCTGCAAACAGAGACAACTTGACTTCCTCTCTTCCTATTTGAATACCCTTTCTTTCTTTCTCTTGCCTGACTGCCCTGGCCAGAACTTCCAATACTATGTTGAATAGGAGTGGTGAGAGAGGGCATCCTTGTTTTGTACCAGTTTTCAAAGGGAATGCTTCCAGCTTTTGCCCATTTAGTATGATATTGGCTGTGTCTCTTCCAGGTTTGGGTATTGGGATGATGCTGGCTTCATAAAATGAGTTAGGGAGGAGTCCTTCCTTTTCAAATGTTTGGAATAATTTCTGAAGGAGTGGTACCAGCTCCTCTGTATTTCTGGTAGAATTCAGCTGTGAATCCATTTGGTCCTGGGCTTTTTTTGGTTGCTAGGCTATTAATTACTGCCTCAATTTCAGAGCTTATTGGTCTATTCAGAGATTCAACTTCTTCCTGGTTTAGTCTTGGTAGGGTGTATGCGTGCAGGAATTTATTCATTTCTTCTAGATTTTCTAATTTATTTGCATAGAGGTGTTTATAGTATTCTCTGATAGTAGTTTGTATTTCTGTAGGGTCAGTGGTAATATCCCCTTTATCATTTTTTATTGTCTATTTGATTCTTCTCTATTAGTCTAGCTAGCAGTCTATCTATTTTGTTAATTTTTTCAAAAAACCAGCTCCTGGATTCAATGATTTTTTGGAGGGCTTTTTTGCGTCTCTATCGCCTTCGATTCTTCTCTGATATTAGTTATTTCTTACCTTCCGCCAGCTTTTGGATTAGTTTGCTCTTGCCTCTCTAGCTCTTTTAATTGTGATGTTAGGGTGCTGATTTGAGATCTTTTTAGCTTTCTGATGTGGGCATTTAGTGCAAAATTTCCCTATTAACACTGCTTTAGCTGTGTCCCAGAAATTCTGGTACATTATCTCTTTGTTCTCATTGGTTTCAAAGAAATACTAGATTTCTGCCTTAATGTCATTATTTACCCAGGAGTCATCCAGGAGCAAGTTGTTCAATTTCCACGAAATTATGTGGTTTTGAATGAGTTTCTTAATCCTGAGTTCTAATGTGATTGCACTGTGGTCTGAGAGACTGTCTGTCATGATTTCAGTTCTTTTCCATTTGCTGAGGAGTGTTTTACTTCCAATTGTGTGGTTGATTTTAGAATAAGTGCCATGTGGCACTGAGAAGAATGTATATTCTGTTGATTTGGGGTAGAGAGTTCTGTAGACTTCTACTAAGTCCACTTGATCCAGATCTGAGTTCGAGTCCTGAATATCCTTGTTAATTTTCTGTCTCACTGACCTAATACTGACAGTGGGGTGTTAAAGTCTCCCCCTATTATTGTGTGGGAGTCTAAGTCTCTTTGCAGGTCTCTAAGAACTTATTTTATGAATCTGGGTGCTCCTGTATTGGGTGCATATATATACATTTAGAATAGTTAGTTCTTCTTGTTGAATTGTTCCCTTTACCATTATGTAATGCCCTTCTTTGTCTGTTTTTATTTTTGCTGGTTTAAAGTCTGTTTTGTCAGAGACTAGGATTGCAACTCCTGCTTTTTTTCTTTGCTTTCCATTTGCTTGGTAAATTTTCCTCCATCCCTTTATTTTGAGCCTGTGTGTGTCTCTGCATGTAAGATGGGTCTCCTGAATACAGCACACCAATGAGTCTTGACTCCTTATCCAATTTGCTAGTCTGTGTCTTTTAATTGGGGCATTTAGCCCATTTACATTTAAGGTTAATATTGTTATGTGTGAATTTGATCCTGTCATCATGATGCTATTTGGTTATTTTGTACATTAGTTGATGCAGTTTCTTTGTAGTGTCATTGGTCTTTATATTTTCATGTGTTTTTGCAGTGGCTAGTACCAGTTTTTCCTTACCATATTTAGTGCTTCTTTCAGGAGACATTGCAGGGCAGGCCTAGTGGTAACAAAATCCCTCAGCATTTGCTTGTCTGGAAAGGATTTTATAGAAAGCTTAGTTTGGCTAGATATAAAATTCTGGGTTGAAAATTCTTTTCTTTAAGAATGTTGAATATTGGCCCCCAATCTCTTCTGGCTTGTAGAGTTTCTGCTGAGAAGTCCATTGTCAGTCTGATGGGCTTCCCTTTGTAGGTGACCTAGCCTTTCTCTCTGGCTGCCCTTAGTTTTATCCTTCATTTCGACCTTGGAAAATCTGATGATTATGTGTCTTGGGGTTGATCGTCTCATAGAGTATCTTAATGGTGTTCCCAGTATTTCCTGAATTTGCAGGTTGGCCTGTCTTGGTAGTCTGGGGAAGTTCTCCTGGATAATACCCTGAAGTGTGTTTTCCAGCTTGTTTCCATTCTCCCCACCTCCTTCTGGTACTCCACTCAATCGTAGGTTCAGTCTTTTTATGAGGTCCCATATTTCTGGTAGGCTTTGTTCATTCTTTTTTCTCTATTCTTGTCTGCATGTCTTATTTCAGTAAGGTGGTCTTCAAACTCTGATATCCTTTCTCCTACTTGGTCGATTCAGCTGTTGATACTTGTTTATGCTTCACGATACTTGTGTGTGCTTCACAAAGTTCTCGTGCTGTGTTTTTCAGCTCCATCAGGTTGCTTATGTTCCTCTCTAAACTGGTTATTCTAGTTAGCAATTCCTCTAACCTTTTATCAAGGTTCTTAGCTTCTTTGAATTAGGTTAGAACATGCTCCTTTAGCTCATTGTAGTTTTTTATAACCCATCTTCTGAAGCCTACTTCTGTCAATTCATCCATCTGATCCTCCGTCCAGTTCTGTGCCCTTGATGGAGAGATGTTGTAATCATTTGGAGGAGAAGAGGTACTCTGGCCTTTTGGGTTTTCAGCATTTTTTCATTCTTTCTCATCTTCATGAGTTTGTCTAGTTTCAGTCTTTGAGGCTGCTACCCTTGGATGAGATTTTTGTGGGGACCTTTTATTTGATTGTTGTTGTTGATGCTGTTGTTGTCACTTTCTGCTTGTTTTTCTTTCAGTAGTCCAGTCCCTCTTCTGTAGGGCTGCTGCAGTTTGCTGGTGGTTCACCTTCAGGCCTTATTCATCTGATTCGCTCCCATGCCTGGAGATGTCATTAAGGATGCTGGAGAGCAGCAAAGATGGGTGCCTACTCCTTCTTCTGGGACCTCTGACCTCAAGGGGCACCAACCTGATGCCAGTAGGATCACTCCTGCAGAGGGTATCTGACAAGCCCTGTTGAAGGGTCTCACCCAGTTGGGTGACACAGGGAGCAGGACCCGTTTAATGGAGCACTCTGTCCCTTGGTGGAGAGGGTGTGTTTTGCTTGGGGGAAACCCACTCATCTGGGCTGTCCAGATTCCTTGGAACTACCAGGAGGAAAAGCTAAATCTGCTGGTCAGCAGAGACTGCGGCCACCCCTCCCCTATGGGCTGAGGCCCAGGAGATCCAAATTCTGTCCCTTAGCCTCTGGCTGGAGTTACTGGAGATCCAGCAGGGAAGCGCCCCGCCCCACACACACCCCAACTAAGAAAGGATGGGTTGGGATTGGGCCTGAAGAGGCACTCTAGCCGCAGACTGCCACAGCCAGTGTGTTGGGCTGTGGGGACAAGTCTTGGGACCAAGCTGTCCAGCCTCCCTGGCTCTAGCAGGGGAAAAGCGTAGCCTGTAGCTACAGAAATGGGTGCCACCCTTCCCCCTGTCCAGGGAGCTTAGCATGTTAGGCAGTTGCCAGTGCTGGCTGCTGCCCCTCCCTGCAGGAGTTCAAAGGGCTTAGACAGCAGGCAGCTGCAGCTGGTACTGGTCACCCCTCCCCGAGGAGTTTGGTAAGCTTAAGCGGATTCCAGCTGAGAGGCTGTAAGAATCTGTGTGTTCTGGGGCTGGGACACGAGGCCCTGGTGGCGTGGGTTCACGAGTGAGATCTTCCAATCCGTGGGTTTCACAGTTCTGTGGAAAAGCAGTTTCCCCGGCTGGGTAGCGTGCTCACTCACCTCCTGCCTTATCTGGAGTGAGGGGGTTCCCTTTCCCATGTGACTCTCAGGTGGGCCGCCACACCACACTGTTCTTCCTTCTCTCTGTGGGTCACGCCAGCCTTCTAGTCAATTTTGATGAGAGAACCCAGATACCTTGGTTGCTGATGAAGGATTCACACGCTTATTATGGTCTTTTCTGATAGCAGCCTCCCAACACCGTGGCTTCTAGTTGGCCATCTTGGCCCCGCCCTCCATAAAATGTTTTTAAATTCACTGATTTGAGTTCTGGAGGCTTGGAAGTCCAAGATCAATCAGCCTACATGGTGATGACCTTCGTGAGTTCTGCAGGCTGAGAAGTTCACAATTAAGGCACCAGCAGGATTGATTATTTGGTGAGGGATGTTCTCTGCTTCCTTCCAACATGGCACCTTGTTGCTGTAGCATCCAGAGGGCAGAGGGCAGGAACACTGTGTCTTCACATAGCAGAAAGTGGAAGGGCAAGAGACTAGAAATCTTAATTCTTTCAAAAAAGCTTTAGAAAGGTCTTGAACAGCAGAGATGAAAGAAATAAAAATGGTCCCTGCTCTCTAGGAACTTACTATGTGTTTACATCCACAAAGCAATTGGAGACAGTAATCTATTAGGGACATGGATTTGGAGCAAGACAGAAATGAATGTGAACCCCAGCTCTGCTCCTTGCCAGCTGGTAAGTACCCCATGTTTCTGGAGGAGAGGTTCTACATGTATGGGAAGAAAGGTGAGAAGCTCAGCAGCCTGCACTCAAGACTAGCATCATAAGCAAAGCTGGGCGGGAGGAGCAGGAACACCAGCTGCCTGCACAGGCACTGAGCAGAGAAGATGAGATGGACACATAATGGGTGGCCCCGTGATGGACAGCTTAAACTGGAGGAGGCATTTGACTGAGCAGCCAGTGAGGAAGCAGGGCTGGTCTTGAGCAAGACAAGTGTGTAAGTGTGAAGGAAATCCACCTGTCTATCAATTTTCTGGGTCCACAAAAAAATGTCAAAAGAAAACAGGTGAAGTTACATTTAATAATACATTCTATTTTACTCCACGTATCCAAGTGATCATTTCAACATGTAAACTGTATTACATTATCAATAAGATACCTTGCTTTCTTTCTTTTTGAACTAAGTCTTTGAAATCCAGTGTGTATTTTATACTTCTACAAGGCATCTCAATCTAGACTGGCCACATTTCAAGCACTCCACAGCCACATGTGGCGCATGGCTACCATACTGGAAATTGCAAAGGTATAAGGCAACAAAATTATCCAAGAACTCCCAGAGGAGGCTATAGGCTATGGCAGAAGGCGCGGAGGGCGGAGGGGAGGAAATCTCACAGGAAAGAATTTCCAACGAGGCAAGAAGAGGGAAGTAAAATTTGCTGTACCTTTCACGGTGGGCCTGGTGCTCTGCGAGGCATCTGATATGGTATGATTTTCTTCCACCCTCACGGAAATCTGGAAGAAACAGTAAAATAGCAGCAGTGTCACATACCTGAAAACAGCATAATAGTATATCAATAATAAAGTCACTATTATCCCATTTTGTTGTGCTAAAAACAAGGCATGATGAGGTTCACAAACCTGCAGGTGGCAAGACTCAGCCCAGGGCATTCCAAAGCTCAAAGTCCCTTCCTTGTCACCAGGGGGACCCCAGAGTCCACCACTGCAGTAGCCTTTGGCCTTAGCTCCCTGAACTGCAACAGTGGAGAAGGCAGCCCCCAGGGGTCCTCACAGGTCACCATGGTCCAAGGAGCAAGAGAAGCATAGCTTTGCCATCTCGCTGAGGCCCAAACTCAATCATAAAGCTGTCTGAGTCCCTCACCACAGCCCCGTGCCACAAGGTGCTAAGCTCACCCATGTTCACAGTGACTCTTATGACGATGGATGCCAACAATAGTATGTTTTGCACACTCACTCTGAGTGACATGGGAATAGAGAACTTTGCATGTACTGCCTGTCAAACTCCAAAGTCAATCAAGACAGATGTCACTATGCCCAACTTGCTCTCGGTCACACCACTAGGATGGGTAGGGACTGAAACCCACGTCAGTCTGACTGCAAAGTCCTTGTACTTGACCCTTATGCTATGAGGTCTCCTCTCATGACCCCTTGAATGAGTCCTGTGTACTGTCCAGCTAAACTGTCCTACGTGGTGAGAAGAAAATGAAAGAGGATTGGGGCATCCAGGGCTTCCCACAGACTCGCAGAGCTTCTGGATGTTAGCCCTACTGACATTTGAGGCCAGGTGGTCTTGGTTGTTGTGAGGCCGCCCTGTGCACTGTGGGATGTTCAGCAGTATCCCTGCTCTCCATCCATTAGATGACAGTAGCACTCCTTAACCCAGTGTCACAACCAAAACTGTCTCCAGACATTGCCGAGTGTCCCCTGGGGAACAAAAATTACCTTTCTGGTTGAAAAGCAATGCACAGAAATCCCCCACCTTCCCCGGCAGACGTTAGGATGGGTTGTGCATGCTCTGGGCACATGGCCCTGCCACACTCAGTGTCTCAGCTCCCTCATAGCACTTGCAAGATTCTCAATTCCCACACCACCGCTACTGCAGGAGCCCCAGGAGGGGCACCCACCACAATTGGGTAGGTGCAGGTTCTGTTTGGAGAGTAGTTTTTTTTGTTTGTTTGAGACGGAGTCTTGCTCTTGTTGCTCAGGCTAGAGTGCAATGGCGCAGTCTCGGCTCATTGCAACCTCCACCTCCTGGGTTTGAGCGATGCTCCTGCCTCAGCCTCCCGAGTAGCTGGGATTACAGGAACCCGCCACCACATCCAGCTAATATTTTGTATTTTTAGTAGAGACGGGGTTTCACCATGTTGGCCAGGCTGGGCTTGAACTCCTGACCTCAGGTGATCTGCCTGCCTCGGCCTCCCAAAGTGCTGGAATTATAGGTGTGAGCCACCACACCTGGATGCTTTTTTTTTCTTGCTTTTTTTTTTTTTTTTTTTTGAGACAGGGTCTTCCTTTGCTGTCCAGGCTGTAGTGCAGTGGTGCCATCATGGCTCGCTGCAGCCTCCAACTCCTGAGCTCAAGTGATCCTCCTGCTTCAGCCTCCCATGTTGCTGGGACCACAGGCATACACCACCATGCCTGGCTAATTTTTTAAAGAGATGGGGTCTTGTTATGTTGCCCATGCTAATCTCGAACTCCTGGGCTCAAGCAATCCTCCCGTCTCAGCCTCCCAAAGCACTGGGATCACAGGTGTGAGCCACCACACCCAGCCAAGAGCAGTTCTTTTTTTTTTTTGGAGACAGGATTTTGCTCTTGTTGCCCAGGCTGGAGTGCAATGGCCTGATCTCAGCTCACTGCAACCTCCACCTCCCAGGTTCAAATGAGAGTCTCCTGCCTCAGCTTCCCAAGTAGCTGGGGTTATAGGTGCCTGCCACCACGTCCGGCTAATTTTTGTATTTTTAGTAGAGACAGGGTTTCACCATGTTGGCCAAGCTGGTCTCGAACTCCTGACCTCAGGTGATCCACCCGCCTCAGCCTCCCAAAGTGCTGGGATTACAGGCATGAGCCACTGCACCTAGCCAGAGCAGCTCTTAAGAATTCTGACATCAAATGAGACAGCCTTGACTCAAGATGACCATGCGTTCTTTCTGGGGCCAACGTTTGTCCCTTTATGTGATGATCTTGGCCAGCTTGTGGCTGAAACAGGATGTGAACATTTTAAGTGGATGGCCCCCTTGACCAGCAGTAATAGTTCTGTTCCTCTCTCGGCCTCACAAACATCAGCGTTTTTTATTCACTCTTTCCCCTTTCTCTTCCGACCTATCCCTATGTGGCTGCCCACTGGTACAATGATGAGTAACTTCCATTACCAGGGACAGCACTCTCTTTCATCTTTTTATTGTCTTTCCCCTCCCTGTAATGACTAGCGGGCGAGGTCCTCAGGTCGCATCAAGGGCGAGCTGGTCTCTAGCATGTATGTGACTCTGCAATGGACAGGGGTGGTGACAGACATCTCAATCTATGACCCTCTTTCAGGGGTTCTGGGAAGGACACTGATCACGTTGGCATAGTCTAGCCACAGACAATCAGGACACCCGACCATGAAAGGGCAGTGGGAACCAAGGAACACATAAGAAGGCTCTATTGCACCATGTTAATGTCAGTGACCAGGGCTGTCCACTATTCAGCCACAGCCTGTCACCCATGAGCGCCTCCACAGGGGCTGCTCCTCAACAAAGCCACTGCACTGCTCTCTGAATCAAGGAAGCCAAGGAGGCAGAGCCTGCTGGAGGGGAGACATTCCAGAACCCCTACCCAAGCCCAAGACCCCAAGCAAGGGGGGCGTCTCCCTGGGCAAAGCAGCCTGATAGATGTGGAACACAGCAAAGCCTCCTCTGTCTCATCATTAATGTCCCAACTGCCTTGGGCTCAGATCTCAGCACTGTGCAACCCAAAGGGGAAACCAAGCTCGCGGACAGCACGCAAAACCTAACTGCAAATAGGGAAACTCCCTCCTCCATGTCCCCAATGGGCACTAGAGTGGGGGGGCATGTGATTCCCCCACAGGCTTGCTCCAAGACAGTGAACTCAAGGAGTAGCCAGGCTCCTGCGGTCTCTGCAGACTTGTCAGATACTCGCGAAGAAGGCAAGAGCTGGATCAGCACCTGCTGTGGCTCTCAGTGCTCCTGAACAAACTACTGGGAGCCCTGGCCCAGCTCAGCCCTCTAGGGCTCAGCCACAGAGCTGCCAGGCCTTTGCTCAGGGCTGCACGCTGCACATCCATCATTTCGTTTATCAAGGAGCTGTCAGGGAAAGCAGATTCCTCATTAATGTTCTCCAGGGCCTATAGGTTTCCAGCCTTATTCATTCAGGGCAAGCTCAAACGCAGGCCTAAAAACCCTCTTTCCAGCTAGAATTCAATGCATGCTGCTCACCGTCACTCTGACTCACTTCAATAGCCATCTGAAAACAGAGGACGCTGTCCCCTTCCTTCTCTGACTTATAAAATGAGTAATGGAGCAGCTTAAATGAGGGCCTATCTTTGTTCTCACAACACACTGATTATGTCAATGACCTTTACTGATAAAACTATGTGTAGGTATCCATGTTATTGAAGCGACCCAGACAGAGAACAGAAATCAAATCATTATTTGAACAAAAGACAAAAAAAGAAAAATTAATTTGTATCAAATTTTAAAAGCGCGTTAGCTGGGAGGAAATAGCAGGAAAGGGAAAATAGGCCTGGCATAGTGGCTCATGCATGCTTGTAATCCCAGCACTTTGGGAGGCTGGGGCAGGAGGATCACTTGAGCCCAGGAGTTCCAGACCAGCCTGGGAAACTTAGCGAGACCCCACCTCAAAAGAAAGAGAGGAGGAGGAAGGAGGGGAGGGAGGGAGGGAGAGGGAGAGAGAGGGAGACAGAGAGAGAGAGAAAGAAAAGAAAAAAGAAAGAAACGAGAGGGAGGGAGGAAGAGACGGAGAGAGGGAGGGAGAGAGAGAGGGAGGGAGGGAGGGAGGGAGGGAGGGAGGGAGGAACACGCTAATCTCGATCTCCTGGACTCAAGCAATCCTCCTGTCTCAGCCTCCCAATGGAAGCCTTCTAAATGGAAGCACACTGTTTTGGGTATCCATAGATATGAAGAGAAAGTTTGAAATGCCCACCAACTATCTGTGATTAGCACCTACATTTGTGTTACTCGTGGCCAATGTAGCTTTCAAGTTTATGACACATAGCAACCCCTGAGCTTAACTACCTGGTTGCTAATGACACCACCGTATTTGTTATGTCAGGGTTCCTTTTGCTAATTGCTCTTGTGGGCTTCAGGCTTTCTCTGTGTAAGTCTTTTTTTTTTTTTTTTTTTTTTTGAGATGGAGTCTGGCTGTGTCTCCCAGGCTGGAGTGCAATCGCAGGATGGTGCCTGACTGCAACCTCCACCTCCTGGGTTCAGGTGATTTTCCTGCCTCAGCCTCCCTAGTAGCTGGGACTACAGGCACACAACACCACACCCAGCTAATTTTTGTATTTTTTGTAGAGACAAGGTTTCACCATGTTGCCCAGGCTGGTCTCAAACCCCTGGGCTCAAGTTAACCCCTCGCCTCGGCTTTCCAAAGTGTTAGGATTACAGGCGTGAGCCACTGTGCCAGGCCATGGATATCTTTAACGACAAGAACTGTGTGTGTTTGGTTTTAAGACCAAGTGGAGCCCTGATGGTTACATGTCCAACCAAAGGTTATTTAATATTCCCATCACTTCAGATGCTATAATCATAAGTGTGTCATCTGTCCTTGAAACATGTTTTCAACGATGGAATTTTTAAATACAGGACTTGAGTTTTCAGCACTCTCAAAAATCAGAAGGAAAAGGAAAGAGTTATCCAGAAAAAGCTCATTCTCATGGTCATGAGTTTAAACAACCTTAACTATAGACAGACAACCACCGTCCTCTCATAAACCCAACAATCCACTTCATCTCTTGGTTCCCTTTCCACCCTCATTCGGGCTAGGAACGTCTGATCCAATCAACCAGGTGAGAATCATCTCCATGATTCCTCATGCCACTGACTGGCTTCCATTATGGGTCTAATCATCTTCTGGATGAGAGATAGTGGATTTCTCTCAGCAAACAAAACACAGGCGTTCTCCTCATTTCAAACAGCATTATTGCACCTTTAAAAGATTCCATTGAATTGAACCCTAAGAGGCTGCCAGCATTTGACCACTTTTAATTTAAAAGAGCCAGTGTCATTTGGTTCAATCTAATGTGGGTGCAAAATAATTGATATGTACAACTGAAGTCAAAAGTTTGGTTTACAACTGTGTCAGCCCTGGGGGAGAGGGCAAGACTCTCATATCCTTTCCAGAAAGACAGAGTTGCAAATCCACGATGCTCCTTTGGAGATGCCTCCCCACTCCTAGCCCCCTATATTCACTGAGCAAGGCCCTCTGGCTGTAAGCAAGGGGCACTCTTTGCTCTAGGGTTCTCTGGCTTGTTGGCCAAAACCTTATCAGTTATGCATTGTGGTGTGGAGCTTTCCCTACTCAGTCCCCACCTCTCTTTCATCTCCTCAGGCCATGTCCCCAATTTAAACACTTGTACCCTGACTCCTCCTCACCGCACGCTTTCCAGAGGGCCAAACGGACACACTGGCTTTCATGGTGACTTCTTCAAAATCTCTCCCAAAATATCAATGTGTATTGTGTATACACACTATCAACACTACACTATGTATACACACACAGCCAAGCCTTGTTATTTACGGATTCCGTGTCTGTGAATTTGCCTATTGGCTAACATTTATTTGTAGCTCCAAAATCAGTACCTGCAGCGCTTTCATGGTCATTCTCAAACATGCAGCGTGTGGCTGTGTCACCAAATGCACATGTTCCCAGCTGAGGGTGAACAAGGCTCTCACTCCGTAAACAAGTGTCCTTTTCGCAGTCTATTCACAGTGCCAGTTTTTTGAAATGTTGTAGTTTCTGGGTGACTTTGCTGCTTAAAATGGCCCCCAGATGCTGCAGTGCTGTCTCATGTCCTGAAGCACAAGGCTGGGATGCGTCTTATGGGGAAAATACGTGCGTTAGATGAGGTTCGGCCAGGCGTGAGTCACAGTGCTGTTGGCGTGAGTGCAATGTAAAGGAACCAACAGAAACACACAATAGAAATACATACAACAAAGTTATGCACTGACTGCTTGACAACAACATTGTGACCAGAGGTTCGCAGAAGCCTCACTGTGTATTTTCCCTGGGGTGATGCTTTCTATAAAGTCTCAGCGACTTTACAGAACATAGCTCCAGTGAATAATGGGAATCAAGTGTATGCGTGTACAACATGAAGATGCAGCTATCCCAGGAATCTCTGTCGGACCTAAAAAAAAAGAAACCGAAACCCATCTTGCTGCATTTTCACATTCCGTAGACATCCCTGAATGACCTGTCATTATCCCCTCTCCCTTGTGCACCATTTCTCCTGCTCCTCCGCCCTCGACAATTCCTGCCTCTTCTCTACTAAATCAGGGCTACATACTTGTAGGATAGCTGCGCTCCATCACAGAGAAGACTCTCTGCCCATAGCCCTTTTATGCAGGTGAAATTTGATTAAAATGAACGTCGAGGGCAGCTGTGAACGGAAAAAGCCAGGGCCAAAGAGAAACTGCAGGCAATGAGGGACAGAGATGAACCTTTCCCTCTGTAGACTGATAGCTCTTGAGCCCATCCCACACACGAGGGCCCAACAGCCCCCTTCAATTCCTATGACTCAGCACCTCTCAGGAGCAGCTCTGGTGTTTGTCTCCATGTTTTATGTGGGAAATGGATGGAAAAAATGTTAGTATCCAAGGCGAGAAGCAAGCATTGGTTATGAAACAGCATGTCAACTCCTCCTTCCTGTTTTACAACTCCTCTAAGACCTGATGTGGAAACATTTCCAAGAAAGCAAATAAGCAAAAACAAAAACTCAAGACCGAAATTTCTCTTGTAATGTGAGTGATCCTAACAATGAACCAAATAGATTTTAACACGTCCACCTTCATGGAGAATTGTTCTAGCCCGAATTCTAAAAGGACCAAATGTATCAGGCAGGAAGGAATCCTTTAAAAAGAGATCAAAGCCTACTTAAGCAAATTCACGAAAGATGACCAATTTTCAATGAAGATCCTCAAGTTAAATATTTTTAAAATATTTTTTAAAAAAACTTTTTTTTTGAAGTTGAAGAAGTCTATGAGTTGATTTGCCAAGGACTTTAAAGGAAAACACCTGTCACCATGTTTAAAGGCAACACCTGTCACCATGGTTCAAGCTTATATATCTTCCAAAGAGAACTAAGATAATGAGATAAAGGTAATCGTTTTCCTTACTTCCATTTAGACTAAGTGTCTGAACTTGATTTTCTCTGATAGGGTCTAAGTCGGCCTTTAATTATGTCAGACGCACATGAGTAGATAACCAAGAAGTACCCTCAGACCCTATAAGACAACCCTAGAGTATGGAATATGCTGGAATGTTCTGGCAAATTCTCTTCTGGAATTTGGTTCCTCTCTTTCTTGGTTCCTGTTCAAGGCAGTTGAGTCACTCTAAGTTCCAGTCAACATAATAATTATACAAATCCGCTGTGGTGCCAAGTGAAGATCCCAAAGACAACGCTGTAGCCACTGGACCGCACCACATGCAGCTCTCAGCACTGGCAGTGGCGGTATGATCCCCCACAGCTCCATCAATTCAGATCAAGGGCTGTGAACAGTCTCGAAGATGAATCACAGTGTGGTGCTAAAACAACCTCAGAGAACATTTGTCTCAAGCTCTGAGATGACAGAAAAAGAGAGACAATTCCTATATTTTCCTGGGACCAGTGTCACGGGGTGGTTAGGGACAGCATCAGGACTAAATTCAACATTTCTGTTCCCACGAGAGGGTTCTTTCCAGGAAAAGAGACAGTATATCAAACAACAACAAAAATCTACAATTACGCAGGTTGTTTTTTGGTTTTTTTTGTTTTGTTTTGTTTTTGAGACAAGATCTCACTCCAGTTGCCCAGGCTGAAGTGCAGTGGCATGATCTCAGGATATCAGCTCACTGCAGCCTCGACTTCCCAGGTTCAGGTGATCCTCCCACCCCAGCCTCCCAAGTAGCTGGGACCAGGAACATACCACCACGCCTGGCTAATTTTCTGTATTTTTAGTAGAGATGGAATGTCACCATCTTGCCCAGGCTGGTCTCCAACTCACGGGTCCAAGCAATCCGCCCGCCTCAGCTTCCCAAAGTGCTTGGGTTATAGGCATGAGCCATCACGTCCAGCCTACATGGGTGTCCTTTGATTTAATCCAGGCAATCATAGATGAGTCCTGGAACTCAAATTGGGCTTACATAACCCCAATTTCCAAACAAGTGAATCAACAAATCCCCAAAAGTCTTCATTTCCTTTTATACATGCTGTACAAGTGGGCCGAGAGAACAGGTCCCCTGCAAGAAGTTAGACTTCCTGGAGGAGCCAGGCAGGAAAATCAGAATCCTCTCCCTCTTGATGAATGAGACAATCTTCCAAGGGACTTAGAGATTGCTTATGTGATAATACCAGTTCCTGTTCCCTAAGGCACAGCATAGCAAGTGGGAAAACATCACCTCCATTGAGCATAAAGAGTTCCTAGAAAGCATTCTGGCAAGTGGAATTGAGACTCTGCCCTATGGCACTGATAAGAAGCAGGTGGAGGGAAATAACCAGCGGAATATCTCTCTATCACACTCCCAGTCACATAGCAATGCACTACATTCATCACTGGCTCAGAAACCCAGCCAATGCCAAAATCGCATTGCTTGTCCTCAAAAGCATGTCTTCCAGCACATTCCCAAATGGTTTCATCCTTCCATTCCTTCCTCCCCTACACACACACACACACACACACACACACACACACACACACACACACACACACACACACACCCTCTAGCCCCAATCTCAACAATATTCCACTCCCTGCATCTGATACCATGCACCCTGTATCACCGTGCCATGAATCAATCAACAAAACGTCTTGGTACAGAGGCATACCGAACAGAAAGGGAAGTTTGATTCCTTCTTATGTTGCCTCTAGCTCAAGGCCTCTGGCACAAGTCACAAACACCGCAGACCTCCACAAAACGCTCACACCAGCTGAGGTAAGGGCTCCCTTTCCAAAAACGGACATTGGTTTTCTCACTACTAAAATGTGACTTTAAAGAGGCTGGCTCATTTTAATGTAAATATTCTTTAGACAAAACATGATTAGAAATTACCAAGACTGGTAGCATAATGACATCTGAAACTGTTAGTCCTGCACTTGGAAAAGTGGCAGTTAAAAAAAGCACAACATGGCTTTCTCATTTTTTTAATGAAGCCAAGTCCTCCTCCTAATTTAGTTCATATACTTCTATTTTCATCTTCCCTTTTACTACGCGTGAATTTTTAGGTCATCTGCTTGTCAGACACACCAGCTTAGTGTCTTAACAGCCAAGGGGATGAGAGGCAAGTTAATAAATTAGTAAAAAGAGCAACTGAAGGATGGACTCTGTTCCTCTCCCTGCATCCCACAAACCACTAAGCGTCCTTCCCACATGGGGAGCCAGGAAGAAAAGAAACCTTCGTCTCACAACTACTCCATGTACACAAGGAGAACCACTTCAGTGAATCAATACTAACACCCCCTTAAAGAAGTATTTCATAACAAAGTTATTTCTATAACTTGCTGGTAGCCCCCAGAGGCAATACTTGGCTGATCTGAGCATAGCAAATTTCAGGTGACACAGCATCCTCCATAGAAATGCTGCTTGCATGCTTTCTACAAGGAAATCTGTCCATGCTTGCTGTGTACAATTGAGGTGGGGAATGGAGAAGCTTTAACTCCCTGAACTGTACTTCTGTTGTCCTATCAGCAAGCAATTCTTGATTTTTTTTTAATATCTGAAACATTTCAATCACCAAAACAACTTGAGGGTAGGAGAAGAAAGGAGGCTGTCAGCTTGCCAGTGACAAGGACCTTTTCTCCTAATTGCCACACAGAAACCGAGCATCAATATGCCAACCATTCAGCCCCAAAAGCCTAGAAACAGGATTTATAGCAAAGTATAAAAGGCTGGTCCACGGATACCTCATAAATGAGTCTTTAACCACAGAGCGCAACTCACATTGCAATTGATACCATTAGCAACTGACTGATCATTATCGTATGCTGAGTACTGTGCAGAGTAGAAACAAAATATAAAGCGTGATCACTGCTATTAAGAACTTACTGGCCACTAGCTGGGTGTGGTGGTATGCACCTGTAGTCTCAGCTACTCGGGTGGCTGAGGCGGGAAAATCACTTGAGCCTGGGAGGTCGAGGCTGCAGTGAGCCGAGATCATGCCACTACACTCCAGCCTGCATGACACAGTGAGACTCTGTCTCAAAGAAAAAAAAAAAAAAAATATATATATATATATATATATATATATATATAAATATACTGGCCAAGTGCGGTGATGCGGTGGTGCAGTGGCACACACCTGTAATCCCAATACTTTGGAAGGCCTAGGCAGGAGGATTGCTTGAGCCCTAGAGTTCAAGACCAGCCTGCGCAACAACAGTGAGACCCCATCTCTACAAAAACAATTTAAAAACTAGCAGAGCATGGTGGCATGCACCTATAGTCCCAAGCTACTCAAGAGGCTGAGGCAGGAGGATTGCTTTAGCCCAGAAGTTCAAGGCTGCAATGAGCTATGATTGAGCCACTGCACTCCAGCCTGGGTGATAGAGTGAGATCCCCTCTCAAAAAAAAAATTAAAAACAAATTTTTTAAGAATTTATAATCTTGCTGGTGAGCAGGAATAACAGGACAGAAGAAACAGCTGGCAAAAGGCCACTTAGAAAAAAAATAAGCTCATAATAGAAATCTAATAAAACATAGATTTCTTCCCACACCAAATAAACGGTCCATTTATTAAGCTACTAATAAACAGCAAGAGTAAATACTTAATACAACAAAGAATTAATACAATATGAGCAGAACATATTTTTTAATTACAGAAGTAATAGATCTAACTAAGACCCTTGGGTTTGAATTCGCCTCTCCACACAACTATCTGCGAGATATCAAACCTTCCTTCCTAGATGTGTCCGTGTCTACTTATATGGAAAGAATCACCAATTCCCCTTCCCAGTTGGAACAGTCTTGCAAGACATGGTTCTCAAACTATAAAGTGCATGAAAATCACCTAAAATTGCCTGTTTGTGCAGGGTTTCTTGGCCTCAGCAGAACTGACATTTGTTGGGCCAGATAATTCTTTGAGGGGGGCTGTCCTGTGCACATTACAGTGCTTAGTGGAACCCCTGGGGTCTGCCCACAAGATGCCAGGAGCAACCCCCACCCAGCTGTGAAACGCAAAAGTGTTTCCCGACATTGTCAAATGTTCCCCAAGGGGCACAATCCCCTCTCCTCAGGTGAGAACAGGGCTCTAAGATGGAATCAAGGAAGCTGCAGGTTTAACAAGCACCCTGGCTAGGTGCAGTGGCTCACACCTGTAATCCCTGCACTTTGGGAGGCCGAGGTGGGAGGACTGCTTGAGCCCAGGAGTTCAAGACTAGTCTGGACAACATGATGAGACTCTGTCTCTACAAAAAAAATGTTTAAAAAGTAGCTGAATGTGGTGAGTGTGCACCTGTATTCCCAGCTACTTGGGAGGCTGAGGCGGGAGGAGACTTGAGCCCAGAAGAAAGAAGCACCAGTGAGCCATGATCTCACCATTGCACTCGAGTTTGGGTGACAGTGAGATCCTGTCTCAAAAATAAAGTAATAATAAAAAGATAACAAGCACACAGTGCTTCAAAAATCCACCTATAGAGCTGATTTTCTAGGGTATGACTGGATGTATCCACAGTCTCTTCCACAGGGATCACCTTCCCTTCCACCCACAAACATGGCAGAGGCACTGCAATGCTAACTCTTCCATCCTCCCATAGTGGAAGTCTATGGCTGCTCCCTTTGCCATGTGACTTTTCAGGGCTTTCAGACTAGAATAGCCCTCCCCAACCCGTGGAGGCTGGACCTCACCATGGGACTTGTTTTGGTCAATGGGATGTTAGGGGTAGTGACAAACAGAGACTTTAAATGTGCCTGCATGATTTATCTTGGCTTCCTATACCTGATGGGAGAGGCACAAACAACATGCCCCAGGGTCCCCTGATGAGGAGACACATCATTTCAACCCTAAGCCTAGCCCAGAACCTGACCAGGCCTTCCTATTCCCATATAAGCCCAGGAGAGACACAGCTAACCATGACTAGTGAGCAAGAAAGAAACGATTTAAGCCTCTGAATTTGGGGGCTGTTTGTTATGCAACATTAGCATGGCAGAAAGCTGACCAGTATACTCCCAAACTATTTTTGAGCCAAAATGCTGATTAACAAGCTAATTATTGTTGAGTCTTCTGTCCCTTAACTCCACCAGTCTTCCTCCACCATTCTGTGAAGCCACAAACCCAGGGGCTCTTGATTCAGGCCCCAGAAATCCACACACAGCATCTGCAAAGTCCTGGAAGCCAGGCCCCACCCGCTACCTCTGCTTGCTTCATGGTGGTCTCATTCCTTACCCACAGCTGACACAGACTCTGAGACTCCAAGTCCAGAAAAGTAGCTCTGGCAGAGTCCCTGATAAAGTCCAAAACCAAGAGTGGCAGGAAAGAGGACCTCAATACACAAGTGTGTCTCTGAGCTGTTCAGCAATCTAGGGGCTCTCCAAAATGGAAAGCAAATCCTGGCTCATTCAGAGGGAATCAATACTGAGGGCAAGCATGGTGGCTCAAACCTGCAATCCCAGCACTTTGGGAGGCCAAGGAGGGAGGATCGCTTGAGACCAGGAGTTTGAGACCAGCCTGGGCAACAAAATGAGACTGTCTCTATTAATCACTCAATCAACCAACCAATCAATCGACTCAGTGAGTGAGCAATACAAACCAAATGGCTCAACAGTACCAGATTTCTCAATTATTCGAGAGACAAAACACAAACGTTACATAAGCCTATGAATCTTGCAGGCTTCAGAGGAGCAAATTAAGAGACAGAAACAAAGGAAGTAAGTCTGTCCTTGAAGACTGACAATGTAGTAGGCAGAATAATGGCCCCCAAAGATGCTCATGCCTGAATCCCTGGGACCTGAGAATATGTTTCCTTATATGGTAAAAGGGACTTTACAAATGTGATTAAATTAAGTCTCTTGAGATGTGGGGATTATTCTGGATCTTCCGGATGGGCCCAATGTAATCACAGGAGCCCGGAAAAGTGGACAGCCTTTCCCAGCTATGGTCTCAGAGAGATATGCCTATGGAAGGACAGTCAGAGAGGTGCTACGCTGCTCCTCTGCAGATGGAGGAAGGGGCCACAAGCTCAGGAATGCGGCCAGTCTCCAGGAGCTGGAAAAGGCAAGGAAGCCAATTCTCCCCTAGAGCTTCCAGGAAAGTTGTGGCTCTGCTAAACCTTGATTTTAGCACAGTGAGACCCATTTCAGACTTCTGGCCTTCAGAACCGTAAGATAATAGTTTTTGTTTAAGCCAGTAAATGTGCAGTCACTTGTCACAGTAGGACAAGAAATGAATATGATCAATTATAACACCAACCAGTAAAGTACAATGGCCTTCAGTCTTATCAGTAAGCCCTTCATTGCAGGTACAGATGCCCCAGAAAATCATGTCCCATGAATGGTTTCAGAAAATCACCCTCCATATTCTCCAACCCAACCCGGGAAAAGTAATTTTGGTCAAACACAGACAAAAGGTTTGATAAATTCAGAAAAGTAAACAACCTTATGATTCTGTTCCTGCATCAGTCAGGGTTGTGACTTTGGGGACGCCGTAGAAAACAGCCTAAGTCTTGCTGCTTGGAATCCCACAACCTCAGCTCTGGAAGGAACACCACACAACCCCTTTGGGAAATGCAAGCTTCCTAACTCTTACACCAAGAAAGGACCTTCTGACTCCACCCAAAAGATGCAACACAAGAGAGACCTGCAGGCCCAGCTCTAGCTGACGAAAATTGTTTTCTACGTTGACCTTTAGGTATAGGAAAGTGGGAGAAATTTGGAGGAACTACAGCAAATGCGAAAGAGAAAATTACCGTTCATGCTAGAATAGAAGCTGAACTATAAACAATTTTATGAACAATGTTCCATTTGTGAACGATTTTCCATTTTAAATGTAATTGGAGGGAGGAGCAGCCTGTGTCTCTGGCTGACTTATCTCAGAACATTGTTCCACCTTCCTTAATCACCTGGGGTTTTGACAGAACATTTACAAGAAACTAGAACAACACATACTACAACATGGATGAAACTCAGAAATATGAAGTAAGAATCCAGGCGCAAAAGGTCACACATCACATGATTCTGTATCTATGAAATGTCCAGAATAGATAAATCCATAGAGGCAGAAACCAGATTCAGGGTTGCCAGGGGGGCTGGGGAGAAGGGGAAGGGGCAGTGATGTCTTAACAGGTACAGGGTCTCCTTTGGGAGTGATGAAAATGTTCAAAAATTAGACAGTGGTGATGGTTGTGCAACTTTGTAAAAATACTAGGAAATTCCTGAATTACACACTTTAGAGGAATGAGTTGTGTGTATGCTCAGTAAAGTTGTCATTAAAAAAGAGAAGAAGAAACTAGGATATTAGCCAATGATTACAAGTCACTGCAAATCCAAAATTTAACCATCCTAAGGAGATAAGCCTCCTTACAGAGCCTGGAATCCTCCAGGAATCTGTTCCACGACTTCTCCTGAGTGAAGAATCTGAAAGGAATGAACTGAGGTCAACAGCAAAGATAAGAAGCGGTGACCGGAGGTACCTGCAGAATGCACTCAGGGACAAACTGGAAGAGTAGGGCTTTATTATCAAATTCAAGAAGATGCTTTTGCAACAAAGAGTCCACAGTAATTTAAAGCTGCTCTCTGTCAATGAAAAAAGTCAAACTGCAAAACATTTGAAGAGATTTATTCTGAGCTGAATATGAGTGACCATGGCCCGTGACATGGCCCTCAGGAGATCCTGAGAACATGTACCCAAGGCGGTTGGGGCATAGCTTGGTTTTATACATTTTAGGGAGACATGAGATATCAAAATACATTTAAGATATAGATTGGTTTGGTCCAGAAAGGTGGGAAGACTTGAGGCGGCGGGGGCGTGGGGGGGGGGTGTGTGTTCTGGGATAAAATTCTTCTGATTGGCAACTGGTTGAAAGAGTTATTATCGGCAAGGCCTGGTAGCTCATGCTTATAATCGCTGTACTCTGAGAGGCCAAGGCAGGCAGATTGCTTGAGTCCAGGAGCTCGAGACCAGCCTAGGCAACATGGCAAAACACCGTCTTTACAAAAAATACAAAAATTAACCAGGTGTGGTGGCACACACCTGTAGTCCTAGCTGCTAGAGAGGCGGAGGTGGGAGGATCGCTTGAGCCCAGGAGGTCAAGGCTACAGTGAGCTGTGATCATGCCATCACACTCCAACCTGGGCAACAGCACTTGTCTCAATAATAAAAAAAAAAAAGCTATTATCAATAGAAAAAAATGTCCAGGTACCATAAGGGGTTGTAGAGACCTAGGTTTTATCACGCAGATGATGCCTCCAGGTAGCAGGCTTCAGAGAAAATAGATTGTAACTGTTTCTTATCAGACTTAAGGTCTGTGTTAAATGCTGTCGGCTGTTCATGAATTCCAAAAGGGAGGAGGGCATAATGAAGCATGTTCAAACCCCCTTCCTGTCATGCCCTGAACCAGTTTTTCAGGTTAACTATGGAGTGCCCTGGCCTAGAGGAGGGAGTCCCTTCAGATGGTTGACCAAAAGTATTACCTTTCCCCAAACTTAAAAAAATAAAATAAAATAAATAACAAATACATTGATCATACACATCTTCTGGTAGCTTCCTAGCTGCTCCAAGGCTTGTTAGATCAGACACCCGAAAGGCAAATTGGCCCCCTTTCGTGAATTGATTTGAGACTGGTTGATTTTGGCAGGGCAGGGGGATGAAGAAAGGATGGATTTGGTTTGCCTGTGAAAGGCAAGCCTGATGACTAGCTATGCTTTGCCCAAAGGTTCCAGGGGGCATAGTAGCACCTCAGAGCTCTTGGCACCAGGCACAGCTACAAACTCGTCTCATGTGGGCGGGTGCTGACAACACAGCCCGGCCATCCCATCAGAAGGCCATCCCAGCATCTGCAGCAGAGGGCACAATTAGGCCCAATGAGGGCAGACTCCCATTTGGGGGAGTGTCATGGTTTGAGTTTTGCTAACATCAAAACCTGCCTCACCTACTCCAAGTTATTCTTGGTATCTGCCCCTTGCTGGAAGGAAGCCATGCCCAGAAGCCCAAAGAAAAGACTGACATGTTCGACTACACAAAAATGCGAGCTTGATGCTTCAAACCATAAGCAACATTACATGGCAAGGAATGGTCTAGAAGAGAAATACCTGGAACAACTAACAAACGATTAACTATCATAATTTACAAAGACTTCCTTTAAGGCAGCAGCCCTCGAAGTCTATGTGGTCCTTGAACCATTGGCACCAGCATCAGCTGAGAGCCCATTAGAAAGGCAGAGTCTTAACCCAGCCCCTAATTCAATGAATCACAAACTCTGGGGATGGGGCCTGCCACTCTGTGTGTTGGTTTTTCTGGGGTTTTGGGGGGAGTATTTATGCAACAGGGTCTTGTGCTCTATCACCCAGGCTGGAGTGCAGTGGCACAATCACAGCTCACTGCAGCCTCAAACTCCTGGACTCAAGTGATTGTCCCACTGCAGCCTCTCGAGAAGCTGGGACTACAAGTGCACACAATACCTGGCTAATTTTTTTTTTTTTTTTTTTTTTTTTAGTGCCAGGGTCTCTCTACATTGCCCAGGCTGGTCTCGAACTTCTCGGTTCAAGCTATCCTCCTGCCTCAGCCTTCCAAGGTGCTGGAATTCCAGGCATGAGCCACCGTGCCTGGATGCTCTGTGTTTTAACAAGCTCTGCAGGTGGTTCCGATGCATGATGAAGTTTGAGAACCACTGTACAGCCATGTAAACATTTACAGCAGCATTATTCATAATTGTCACAATAAAAAACAAACAACCCAAACATTCAACAACTGGTGAATGGATACACAAACCATAGTGCATCCATACAGGAAGGAATCCTACGCAGCAATAGAGGAATGAGTTAGTGACATGTGCAACAACATGAAGCCCCAAAATCATGATGCTGAGGGAGAGACGCCAGGCAAAATAATGAGTACATACCATATGATTTCAGTAATATAAATTGCTAGAAAATGCAATAGTCACAGACTGCCCACCAATGGCTGCCTGGGAAAGGGGTAGAGGGAGGGGGAGAGACATTACAAAAAAGCACAAGTAAACTTTGGAGAGTGATGGAAATATTCTTTGACTGTGGTGCTGGTTTCACAAATATGGGTGTGTGTGTGTGTGTGTATGAAAAAACGAGCCAGGCACGGTGGCTCACACCCGTAGTAATCCTAGCACTTTGGAAGGCCAAGGCAGGAGGATCACTTGAGCCCAGGAGTTTGAGACCAGCCTGGGCAACATAGGGAGCCCTCATCTCTACAAAAAATAAAAAATTAACCGGGTGTGGTGGCATGCGCCTATAGTCCCAACTACTCAGGAGGCTGAGGCAGGAAGATTGCTTGAGCCCAGGAGATTGAGACCAGCCTGGGCAACATAGTGAGACCTTGTCTCTAAAAAATGTATGTAAACAAACAAAGAAATAAAAAAGAAAAAACAGATTAAAACTGCACACTTCATACAAGTCTAGCTTACTGTACTTCAATATACCTCAGTAAAGATACAAAAATAAGGAAAGCAGATGGTGTGAAACAAATATAATAGGACTCCATTCGGATAAAGACCCAAGACTACATATTAGCGTATGGACAGCTGAAAAGTGCTAGAAAACATCTATAATGTTGTACTCTAGACTGAATCCTGGTGATTCTGCCAGAGGGGAAGGAAGGGAGAACTCCACAAATTCACATAGATTCAGTATCACCTGGGTGGGGGTGGGAGGGATGCACTTAGGGGCAGGCAAAAAGACTTCAAAGAGACCCGCATAGGAGTTTGTTCAGAGCACAGATCAGGGCTTGTCGGAGGGTGGAAAGCAGAGGCAGGCAGGCTTCAGGGGGAGGGAGGAAAAAGACCAACCAGGCGAGAAGATGGGAGGAGGGTCAGCTCTTGTTGGGGGGAGTTAGGTAAAGAAGGCAGGCAAATGTGGGCACTGGTTCTTCAGGGAACAGACACGGATGAACGTGACCACCAGATCAAAGCCAAGGGGCGCTCAGGGTTTCTCCATCTACACAGTCATTTCATTGTTCATTTGTAAATGAATACTTCTAAAGGGTTTGAAAGTCACTTTTTTCTTCTAAACTGAGCTCCAAAGTCTTGTTGGTCTTTTTGCTTTAGAAAAAAATCCCTACTTCCATGGAATGTATGAAAACTAAAAGATGCTTGCATTGCTTTCAAAGCCCCATGAGATTTTTATTCCTTCAACTTCCTTACGTCTTCATGGAGGATGTAAATACCTCATTTACAGCTACCACGAGGTGCAAAGCTTCTAAGTCAGGGTTTCTTAATTTCTGCAATGCTGACCTTTTGGGGCTGGATAACTCTCTTGAAAGAGGAGGGGACCTTCCTCTGCACTTCAGGAGGCCAGCCCTGGCCTCTACCTGCTAGATGCCAAGAGCACACCTTCCTCATTTATAACAACCAAAACTGTCCCCTGGGAGCAAAACTGTAACCGCCTGAGGGGTTCTTCCTGCCGGCTGCATAAAGACCATGGGCATTTTAGTAGAGAAAGAGTTTAACAGACACAAGGCCAGCCACACCACATGGGAGATGGAATAACTAAGGGAAATGCAATAATTAAGGGAAATGAATAATTAAGAGAAAGGCAAGATGGGGGGTGGATTAGCTCAGATCTCTTTCACTGTCATCATTCTCTCACTGATATAACTTTTGCAAAGGTGGTTTCAATACCCCCTTTGGCTTTCATACACCTTATTCTTAAGGTGCTGGCTATAGAGATAGAAAAAGGGTGACCATCACTCTGGCTTCTTCCTGCTGACAGGGGGCATAGTTGCAGGGGTTGGTCCCAGGGGAATAGGAGTGAGCTCACCACCGTGCAGCTACCTGCATGTACTCACGGGTGTATGACAAAGATGTTAATGTTCTTACTCACAGTTCTAGTACAACACTTAAGTCAACAGTAGACTATATGTTGTTAGAAAGAGAGACTGGGATAAACAGGAAAGAGTGAATTTAAATATATTGTCCCATATCTTTTTAGTCAGTGTCCAAGTCCTAAGACTAGATCAGTTAAACAGCTGTTTCCCATATCAGGAGGTGGCACTGCAGATGGGCTAAGCTTCTGTAAGAGGCATTTCCATAGACACGGAAAAAAAACAAAGATTAACACTGGGCACAATTTATCCAGACATTAGACTCAAAACATCTTTAGTTATAGACGAGGAAGGTGGTGGCAATCTGACATGTTTTTCTCTCATAATAAGCTTCAGCTTATAGGACCTCAGGAAAGAGGTAGTAGCAATTTTATTGAGGCCAAGTTAGAAATGAAAGAAAAATTTGAAAGCATTAGTTTGGGACTTGTAGTCCAGAAAGAATTCACGATTCAGTCCAAATGACAGAAAATAATAAAAATTCAAAAATAGTGAACAAGACTAGATTCTAACAACAGGTGTTCTATAGTTTTTTTCTGAAACATAATTTCTCTCTCCAGTCCCTATTTTTACTAAAGACAAATCACATTAGGACTAATTTATGTGCAAAATAAGTTTTATTCTTACTATACCTGGCCCGAGTGTTTGCATAAGGTCAGCTAGAACAATTATTTGCCATATATGCTCCTTTTTAAAATTGGCTTTGCTGCAACTTTATTCCCTAAGAAATCTCACATTAGACTTCAAAGCATTTAGCCCAGCCACGGATTTATCTGTGCCTGCAAATACTTGTATTAATTGGGTGAATTCCTCACCTCAAGGGCTCAAGATAACTTGGAGCTCCTGGACCTGTCAGAAAGTGACATTCTTTACTTAGGAACCTGTCCAGGGACTGTGTAGACAAGGTATGAGGCCAGCTTACCCAAGGGGCTTTTATTGGCTCTGTAAGTCAACTTTGATTCCTTAAAGCAATCTGAAAGTATGCCATTCCAATCAAAGCTTTGGTAAAATAACCAGTGTCTCCAATTGTGTCCTGCTACAAAAGAAAACAGATTTGTATTTAACAAACAACTATAACATCATAAATTAAGTATACTTGCAAACAGTTTTCAAATTCTAGAGAAATCAGGTAGAGAGAGAAATGTGCTTCAGATTTTGTTCACAAGAGCATACTTTATCCAATTGTTAAAAGCTATAAATAGCTCAAAAGAAAAAAAAGGTTTTCTGGACTCTGAAAAACAAAAGAATGAGCAATGTTTCAAACGAAAAGCCAGAAAAAGTTTATTTCGGTCTTCCATTACTTCAGTCCATGTAATTAACTCCTGTTCTGCTCGATATCCATGAATACATTAGCTCTTAATGGGAGCCTTGGAAGCTTTTTCGTCTATTTTAATGTCACAATCTCCAAAGTTATCAGAAAACTGTCACAGTCCTATAGCTGATTATAAAACCACCCTGAAAATAACCAAAGTAAAACAATTGTGGATGACAAAAGTTTCAGAACAGCCACAGTTAAGGTCTGATCATCTCTGTGGCATACAATAACTTAACAATCATAATTATTACTGATAACATATACTAAAACATATCAGAATTACAGGAAATCTTATACAATTCTGAAACACATACTAACAACACATTCATACAAATACAGTCCAAAGAAAGCCAAACACTATTGCATACCTGACAATGCTTACTGTTATAGTTTTAATATATCAAATAAGCCAAATATGTCTCTTTTGGACTTTACAGTATTTAATATCTGGAAGGTTAACCAGATTAAAATAAGGGCGGGGGGGGGGGTGGCTTAATTTAGATTTTGACTTTGGAAAGTTTTGTCAAATATCAAATGTTTAGACCCTTGATATTACAAAATAAAATCCCAAGTCACTAGAAGTCATTTATTTAGCCATAATAACTCAAGAATTTTTAAAAGGCAAAAATCTTCACTCACTGATAGAGGGGAAACTCAACTTTCCAAACAGGACAAAATAAAGACAGTATGAGGCTCCTCTCTCCTCGTTTTTCTGTCATTCATTCAAAAGTCAAACAAAAAATATTCAACCTACAGAAAAACTAAATAATCCCCTTCAAGTCTTAGCCAACTTGCTCATACCCACAGAACTTCCTTTACAAGATGAACCCTTTACAAACCTTTTTCAACTTGCTTAAACTTTCAGTTTTGTCCCATTACTCTTTTAAGATGATCCTTAAAATCCTCCGAACCAGACAAAATTATATTCCCTTTTACAAAAACCATATTCCCATGCTTTCTTATAGCCTCCCACAAGACACATTCTACTTTCCCGCCAGGTGCAGTGGCTCACGCCTATAATCCCAGCACTTTGGGAGGCCGAGGCGGGTAGATCACCTGAGGTCAGGAGTTCGAGACCAGCTTGACCAACATGGAGAAACCCTGTCTCTACTAAAAATACAAAATTAGCCGGAGGTGGTGGCGCATGTCCTTAATCTCAGCTACGCCGGGGGGAGGCTGAAGCAGAAGAATCGCTTGAACCCGGGAGGCGGAGGTTGCGGTGAGCCGAGATCATGCCATTGCACTCCAGCCTGGGCAACAAGAGCAAAACTCCATCTCAAACACACACACACACACACACACACACATTCTACTTTCCTTCTACGCCTTGCATGTAAAACTGTTTCTCCAGTAGTCTCAATTATACGTGTTACAATCTTAACTTTCAGCAACTTTTATTTTTGGTGAAAAACCTGGTAAATAAGCAATTTTAACCATGTATAAAACTACAGAACCCATGATTCTTCCCAGCCTAGCCAGGGGAGCCGGCTAACTCCATGTGTCCCCAGACCTTACCTAGAATCTAATGGCTGTAAGACAGACAAGTCAAACAATTATTAAAAGTCACAGAAGCAGTTTATGACCTTAAAACATCCAGCAAAGAGTATCTGACCTGCCTAATTTAGACAAAGTGTGTTAACTTTGAAGACATTTTTATTTTACTTTACAAATAATCTTTAAACTGTCCTTATTTTTGAAAGATCAGAGTCATGTGATGTAAAAGCCATTAAAGTTTCCATTTTTCTGACAATGTTTAAGTGCTTATTTTTCTTTAAGCCAATTTTATTTTATTTTATTTTTGAGACAGAGTCTCACTCAGTTGCCCAGACTGGAGTGCAGTGGCGTGATCTCAGCTCACTGCAACCTCCGCCTCCCAGGTTCAAGCGATTCTCTTGCCTCAGCCTCCTGAGTAGCTGGGATTACAGGCGTGTGCTACCACACCCGGCTAATTTTTGTATTTTTAGTAGAGATGGGGTTTCACCATGTTGGTCAGGCTGGTCTCGAACTCCTGACCTCGCCCTGGCCTCCCAAAGTGCTAGGATTATAGGCATGAGCCACTGCGCCTGGCCTACGCCAATTATTTAGAGCTGTTTTATATAAACACTACATAACAGAGAAGAATACACAGAAAGACAGGAATGAAGAATCAAGACAGAAGTCCATTGACAGAAGCTTTCAGAGGGAGAACAGGGGCTTTAAAACAGTATCTGTACACATATCAGCTTTAATTAAGTCGATTTCTAACTACAGAGCTCTCAAAAGAAAAATCATTTTAAAATCTCTTTTTACCGGATTTCAGCCAGGACATTTCTAGCTTTTGAACCTTTTACTAAAGGGAACTTCCTATGTGCAATCAATAAGCCTTAACTAAGGGGATGGATTAACCATGAACGCAGGAGGTATCTCCAAAGAGTTGGTAAGGAATTTTTAAAAGATCTAGAATCTCCCCAAAGGTAGTTCAGAGAAAAGAAAATTTTAAAAACCTGAAAAGATATCTCAAAAGGCCAATCTTAGGTTCTACAACAGTGATGTTATCTGCGGGAGTAACTGGGAATCTGCGTATTTGACAATCTGGCAATGGTTCATGTCTTTGCCTTAGCAGCAATCAGGCTCCTCTCCTCCCCCATCCTGATGGCCTCCCATTAGTGTTACAGTTTGGGGCAAGTTTTGAGTTTGGGACAAGGCCTATTATCATTTAAACCGTAGCCTAAAAGTCCTCCAAAGTTCACCTGGCCCAATAGCCCAAGAATATTAAGGGAAAGGCAAGATGGGGGATGGGTTAGCTTAACATACTGTTATAATTTTCTCATTGATATAATTTTTGCAAAGGCGGTTTCAAAACTACCTTGGATTGAGGACCATAGAGCAGAGGTAGATCCTGGGAAAACATCCAGATTCCCTCCAAGCCTGAGGTTCACAGGCAGGTGCTTTCAAGATGAAAGACAGGGGAAGCATAAGGGGGTGTGTGCCCTGGGGTCCTGTGCTCAGCTCTCCAGGGACTTAGGCCACCTTTCTACAGGTAGCTCTTTTCCCACCTCCTTAACTATTTCCCACTGTTAACACGCAAACAATGAGCTCCTCCTCTATGCCAGATTCCCAGCTAATTACTTCCTACAGAGTTTCACATTTAGAGCCTGAAACTAGTCCATGGTTATCCTGATTTTACAGATGAGGAAACTGAGGCACGATGCCTGTTATACTACTATACTTGCCGTCTTTCCCCTTTCCCCACCTTCCTCTCCTGGGGATGAAGGGGCGGAAGGCAAAGTCACTAAATCAGGTCTCACCATCCGGGAAGTTCGACCAAGCACAGAGATACTCATTCTTGGAAGCACAACTCTAAAATATCCACAAAAGGGGAATCTATAGAGACACGAAGGATATTCATGGTGGCCCGTGGCTGGAGGTGGGAGCAGAAATGGGTGAGAACCGAGTAGGAGCGATCTTATTGGGAATTGAAAATGTTCTAAAACTGCATCATGGTGATCTCTACACAACCCAGTAAATTTACCAAAAATCCCTGAATGGTACACCTCAAAGAGGTGACTTTTGTGGCATGTCATTTATACCTCAATAACAATGTTTAAGAAAACTGACTTAATTTTAAGTCAGACTCAAGAGTTCTAAGTTAAATGACATATCTCTTAAAGCTGACGTCTTGGCAAGCCAAGGGCAAACATTTATGGCAAAGCCAAATGGAACAAAGTAATAGAGCTTGCAAAGGGGATGAGTGCCCAACCTGAATACACAATGTATCTAAGTCAACTCCAAGAGATAGAGAAAGCCAAACACCAGTAACTGCCCAACTCAGTGGTGTGGACAGAAAGAATTTCCACTCCAATGAACATCTGGGCCACCAGAAACCCATACAGAAAAATATATTTGTTGTCCAAATATAGAACACTGAATGGAAAAGCAAACAAAACAGGAAATTAGAGAAGGTTGAACATTTACTCTTAGATAGCAAACTACGAATCCAGCCCAAACTTCTCTCACAGCAAACGCCATGCAGAAAAATGGGATTAATGATCCCTGGGCTTGGTCCTCTGTTGTGCCAGACACATATTAGAAAGGAAAGAAAATTCAAAAAGGACAACTTACTCTGTGTTTTTATTATGCTTAAAGATGAACTGGGAAATAATGAAAGCATACAATATCTTGTTTCAACTAACTTTTCTAAAACCATGTCCAGGATATTCAAAAAATTACAAAACGTAACTAGAAACTAACTACTGGGTGGATATGAGCAGTACTGACTGAGATAAAAATGCAATGTTTCCATGAGCTAATCTTATTCTATATTTAGTTTGAGTACACTAATATAATTAACTAAGGTTATATAATTTTGCTAACTTCAAATTTTCACTTATAAAGCTTCACATACAATTATCTGAACTAAAATTGATTTGATTTTTATTTTTGTAGAAAGATGAAAATGGTTAATTTTAATAATCCTGTCTTCCTAATAAGTTACTGTCTTCATTGATATAAATTATGTAGATGGTGCTTCAACAATGCTCTAAAGTTTGTTTTCATAATCTCTTTCAAGGTTAGTGTACTCACAGATTCCACGTCCCAGGGGCTTTTACCATTTGGCCTTCCCATTCCCCTACATACCTCTGTGCCTCAAACTCCCAGAAACTAAACCTAGACAGCTGCCCCTTGAAAGCACAGGAAGTGTGCGCTTAAGAAATAAAGTCAATTCTGGTACAGGCTTCAGAGGTCAGCCGACTTAGGGTCATTCTCTGAGATACACTTCTGAAAGATTATATAGGGTGATTTGGATGGCAAATAAGCAAATGATTAATTAAGAGTGTCATCACTCAACAACAAAGACAGGAGAGGATTCCAGTTCACAGCTGAAGCAATTCAGTGGTTCCAATATGAAGTCAAGACCAGTCTAAGGCTTAAAGCAAAATATATTGTGCCATCTCTTTCCTCTTAAAGGGGTTGGGCTGTGGAGTCAGATAAGGTATATTCCCAAATATACTCTGCATCTGCTTTATGGTTCATTACAACTAAATTTCTTACTGGGGCCTAAATGCATTGGTCTCTGGAGAGGGGAGATAGGTGCATCAATCTAGATAGTAAAAAATTCTACTTCCTGTTTCTCCTCTCTTCACAGTGAGTGCCTTCTGAGTATTACCATAAAGAGAAGCAACAGGTTTTTTAAAAAGTAGACACAAATATTTCAGCTTATCAAAGGACAAATGGAGGTCTACATAGATTCTGATGAGCATTAATCATGGTCGGCATTAGGCATCCTGCTGGTACACGGAAATCTACAAGTACTGCTCCTGGCAGGCTTTCTAATGCACTGCGCAAGTGTATGAGCATCATTTCATATAACAAAGTTATGTTGCGAATTCAATATTCACAAAGAAGAAAACAGATGCAAACACCAAAAATTACACACAAAAACTAAAGCTGACATATCAATTCTCTCAAGTTAAACAAACTAAAAACTGGTCTGGAAACCCAGAACCACTTGAGGTTGGCATTTCATCTCATGAAAACCAAACCTTCAGCCATTCTAAGCAAATGAGCTCAGCCAGAAGACCTTAAATTTAGAGATGATTCCTATTTCTCACCTCCACAGCCCACAATGTGGTCTGAGTTGTGAATATAATTTTTATGTTTATTCACTCTGTAACACCAGTAGTGTAGCAGCAACTCAGAAAAAAAAAAAAAACCTAATGAGGCCAGGCGTGGTGGTTCACGCCTGTAATTCCAGCACTTTGGGAGGCCGAGGCAGGCAGATCACTTGAGGTCAGGAGTTCGAAACCAGCCTGGCCAACATGGTGAAACCACATCTCTACTAAAAATAAAACAATTAGCCAGGCGTGGTGGTGGTGGGCACCTGTAATCCCAGCTACTCGGGATGCTGAGGCAGGAGAATTGCTTAAACTTGGGAGGCAGACGTTGCAGTGAGCTGAGCACTCCAGCCTGGGCGACAGAGCCAGACTCCATCTCAAAAAAACAAACAAACAAACAAAAAACACCAATGAGAAATGCAAAAAAACAAAACACTTAATAACCATGATAGATGAAATATGTCTCAAAAACAAAAACAGCAGGTCACAGTGGCTCACGCCGGTAATCCCACCACTTTGGGAGACCAAGGTGGGCGGATCACCTGAGGTCAGGAGTTCGAGACCAGCCTGGCCAACATGGCAAAACCCCGTCTCTACTAAAAATACAAAAATTAGCCGGGTGCAGTGGCAGGCGCCTGTAATCCCAGCAACTCGGGAGGCTGAGGCAGGAGAATTGCTTGAACCCAGGAGGCGGAGGTTGCAGTGAGCTGAGATCACGCCACTACACTCTAGCCTAGGCGACAGAGTGAGACTCTGCCTCAAAAAACAAACAAACAAATAACCAGATTTAAAGATTTAAAGCACCCTAGGACTTTTATCACAACTCAATTCCAGTACAATCTCACGTTGATGTCTTTGAAATTCTGAACCATTTCTGCAGCAAAACGCCTAATTCTCCAGAGCCCTGAGGGCATCCGTCAATGAAATCAGCTGATTTATAAACAGAATTCAGTGATTATGAAAACAATGCAGTCATAAAACGCTTAAAAAGCATAGCATTGTTCCAAGGTTTCCTTGTGGACCTGCAAACAGGTACTGTCATCTAGTTCCGAAACAAGCGCATTTTTTCAGCTTTAAAAACAACACGCAAAATACAATAGATCCAGTATGTGCATGGTTCCCTGTTATTGCATATTCTTTCTTCCCTAAGTCAAATCACTAATACCTGTACCTCTGGAACGATGTCCAGTCCTTAAGCTGGTGGATCTCAAAGTTACTTAACGCACATACATGTGCGTGCAAACGCACACATACCTTAGTAGCTGAAGTCAGAGGAAAGGGGAGTACAACTGTGTCCTACCTGCAGGCAGGGACGTTGGTATCACCCCCTCTTCCAGCCTTTGGGGACCTACATCATAAATGTTTCTTTCATCATATATCCTTTTCAGCAAAAAAGTTTTCAGAAGGTGCTCCTAACTCATGTAATTTATTAAATATATAAAATACTCAAGTAACATGCATTTCATGGACAAGAAATATATTTTTTACAAGTATTAGAGATTTTCTTAATGGACATTTTCATAATTTCTTCCTGCATCCCAATAAATCTTGCTGTGCACCTGCCAGAGGGCATGAAACTCACTAAGACCCTTTTGGGAATTAAAATCTGAAACAAGTCATTTCTGTCCCCTGTCCTTCCCCCAAATTTAGAGACTACTGGCTTAAAGGAATTACACTCAGAGTCCCATAAAATTTAACAGAGCATCCCGTGACATGTAATATCAACAAGTATCTCTCCTTGCTCTCATCTGGTCTACAATAATTTCTGTCATGTACTGGACAGGGAAGATTATTCATTCTTATTTTCACGAACTTATGAGCTGAGTGCATCTCAAAGGTTAGGCTTTTTGAAGTATCCTAAGACAGATCCCTGGAAATGGCTGAAGTTGACATAGAACCACTGTGTCTTGAAAATGCAAGCTGAATCTGGTATTTTCTTCATAATCAAATTGGGAATTAAACCAAACCCCCTTCAAAGGTGGGGGACAGAACTGTCCCAAATGAGAACCATTAGTTGGCTGCAACATTCCAGAGCTCAACGTTGAAAACACTGTTCCAATAAGAAAGCATCTTTTCTACCTTCATTTCTAAAGCTTCCCTTTCTCCTGAACCCACCGCCTATCATGCCCCATCTCAATCTCTCTGATCCCATCGGACAAGAACAAACCTAGACAAGAAAAGGAAACAGTACCCGACTTCCTCTGAACAGGTCCTCCAGACTCTCCTGCTACTGTCAGAAGTTGGCAATTGCTGTTTTCAAGTTTATAATTTTGAATTCTTGAGTTTTTATCAACATGGAGCTGGCATTACAGTTGTGTACGATTCAAATGCTTGATAAGATTCTGTTGAAAAAAGAACTGAAGGCAAGGACACAAGTTTATTCTGTTCCCCAAATGAACCAAATGGCAGGGACGTCAATTTCCTATTCAGGGATATCAATTCTCTACGCTTTCGGGAAATACAATCTGAAACTGTGAAGCCACCTGGACTTTTATAGCACCTGGGAATTACCTTTGCACATTGGCACTACCGATTTTTACATGGCAGACTTTGGCGACAGTTCTCCACTCAACTTCATTTCTCATCTTCACATAGATGACAAGGTAACAGTGACAACTAAAGGAGCACAAGCATCCAGGCTGACAATTACCCAATTACCCACAGTGCACCAGAAACTGAAATCACGACTCAGTCCTGCTGAATTTTCCTCCAGTTCTTAAAATTATTGTTTTTTTTTTTGAGACGGAGTCTTGCTCTGTCACCCAGGCTGGAGTGCAGTGGCGCAATCTTGGCTCACTGCAAGCTCCACCTCCATGGTTCACGCCATTCTCCTGTCTCAGCCTCCCAAGGAGCTGGGACTATAGGCGCCCACCACCATGCCTGGCTAATTTTTTGTATTTTTAGTAGAGACGGGGTTTCACCGTGTTAGCTAGAATGGTCTCGATCTCCTGACCTCGTGATCTGCCCCCCTCAGCCTCCCAAAGTGCTGGGGGGCATGAGCCACCACACCTGGCCTCTTAAAATTATTTTATATGGTCTTGCCATATTAAAGTATATGTTGGCCAGGAACAGTAGCTCACAACTGTAATCGCAGCACTTTGGGAGGCCGATGCAGGAAGATTGCTTGAGTCCAGGTGCTCAAGACCAGCCTAGGCAACACAGCAAGACCCAATCTCTAGAAAAAAATTGAAAATTAAAAAAAAAAAAAAAAAGAAAGAAAAAAAAAAAGCTGGACATGCTGACTTGTGCCTGTCGGCCCAGCTACTTGGGAGGCTGAGGCAGAAGGATCACTTGAGCCCAGAAAGCCAAGGCTGCAGTGAGCTATGATCAGGGCAACAGAGCAAGACCCCATCTCTAAAAATACATAAATAAAGTATTTGTTATTATTGATTTAAGGAATAAAATGGCACCATGTACAATAAGCTTCTTTTTGTCCAAATTCCCTTCTATCAGGAAATTCAGACAAGCAAAAATGCTCGCAGCACTGAACAATACTGCACATTCACATGGACTCTAAATCCTAACAACAGGCAGGTCCCTAATTGGAAAGAGTCAAGCCTAAAGGGGACACATGCCCTTCTCTTCTTGCTCCGACATGATGGTGCTGGGGATGCAGTTTCAACAGACCCGAAGGAAGGTTTCAGCGTCTTGGAGAGCTGGCCGGGAAGGTTACCGGGCAGGAGAGAGCCTCACCTCCTCCCTACTCCCATATTCTAGCCTGGGCAGGTGTTCCAGAAAGGAAAGAGCCCTGTGCAGGCTATCTGGGGTCATAATCGGTTCCAGGCTCAAGGGAAACAGGCAGAAAAAACTCTCATGTTTTCTTTAAAGCATTCCGGCTACATCCACCACGATAGGAAAAATGACAAGAATTCAAGGCAGACACCCAGGTCAAGAATAAACACTGTGAGTTTTGCCGTGAGCATTGTTTGTGCTTCTTTCACAGGGTCTCCTGGGGCTGGAGAACTGCCGCACTCCCCGGAATCACTCAGAGGCGCCCAGCAGCACAAAGCGCCTTCTGACTCGCTGTGGGTTTCTGAACTAAAATGCGCAACTAACTTATCAATGTTTACCAAAATATCGCTTATTTTAATCATGGGAAAACTGATACTCTAGGCACCGGACATAAACAACTGTCACTTGATCCCAATGTTTAGTTAACATAAAACCGTCATCCTTAACCAGTCTGAAAAAAACATGGCCTCCCAGACCTTGAAGCAGGGTCCATCTTCCAAACCAAATCTTCACACCTGGGAGGGAGGAAAAGGCTTGAGGCCACTCATCCAGCCCTTTAACTCTACACGGTAGGACATGCACAGGTTCTGTGACTTCACACAACCAGGTAGACCACCTCAGGCAGGACAAAAGTCACCAAAATGCCAGGACAAGGATTATATTAGAAAACATGCCACGTCATGAGATCACAGAAAGCGACATATGGCCCAGAGTAAAACACAGGTTAGCAGCTCCATAGAAACACAGATGTAGGAATTCATTTTTTTATTTCTACAACAAAGGCAAAAACAACTTGATATTTTTAGCCTATTTTATATTTACGTGATTAACCCATTGGGAAAACGGCAAAGGTCCTTAATGAACATGTATCCTGTTTTTAAACTAAAGCCATGACTATAACCTTCTGATACATTTCACATATGAAGTACCTTTTGGTAGGACTGTGCAATAAAGGTGAGGGTAACATCCTCTAAAAGGACATCAGAGGTCGGGCATGGTTGCTCACACCTGTAATTCCAGTAGTTTGGGAGGCCGAGGCGAGTGGATCATCTGAAGTCAGGAGTTCGAGACCAGCCTGACCAACATGGTGAAATGCCATCTCTACTAAAAATACAAAATTAGCCGGGCATGGTGGTGCATGCCTGTAATCCCAGCTACTCGGGAGGCTGAGGCAGGAGAATTGCTTGATCCCGGGAAGCGGAGGTTGCAGTGAGGAGAGATCATGCCACTGCACTCCAACCTGGGAAACACCAATGAAATTCTGTCTCAAAAAAACAAAAACAAAAACACGACATTAGAAAATGTCCCATCTGAAACAATGAGGCATCAAGAACTAACTGGCATAGAACAAAGAGGAAATAAATAGGCCGAGCGTGCTGGCTTACGCCTGTAATCCCAGCACTTTGGGAGGCTAAGCAGGTGGATCACCTGAGGTCAGGAGTTTGAGACCAGCTTGACCAACATGGTGAAACCCATCTCTACTAAAAATACAAAAAAATTAGCCAGGTGTGGTGGCACATGCCTCTAGTCCCAGCTTCTCCGGAGGCTGAGGAGGAGAATCGCTTGAACTTGCGGGCGGAGATCGCGCCACCGCACTCTACCCTGGGCGACATAGTGAGACTCCGTCTCAAAATAAAAGAAAAAAGAGCAAATAACTAAAAGAGTATAATTGGATTGTTTGTAACACAAAGAATAAGTGCTTGAGGGAATGGATACCCCCATTCTCCATGATGTGATTATACACTGCACGACTATATCAAAATATCTAATGCACCCCATAAATATATACACCTACGTATCCAGAAAAATTTTTAAAAAATTTTAAAAAGGAGCAAAGCTTTAGCAGCCTCAACAACACACCTGATGTTTTTCCACTGTGGTTTCTTACATTAAGGAGCAAAGCTGTTTTTTCCTTGCTTGTGATAACATCTACAGTGCAAAATGTGCTGTTCTAAGAAAAGCGGTTGGCCAAAGCACACAAAGGCATGAAGTTCATGTGTCATCAGAGAGAGGAGGCAAAGGTGGTACTGGAAGAGCGGATGGATTCACCTAAGGCATTCCACCATGTGTTACATTCAGATGGGATCCCCAAGACTTCCAGAGCAGAGCAGATGGCTGGGTGCCCCAGATTCGGGGCTGGGGGGGGTGACTGTGGAGGAACTGTGGGAGACAGAGCCATGAACATCTCTGGGCTGAGGAGATTGTTCTCTCTCCTGATGATGATGGTGGTCACACCAATCTATGCATGTGTCAAGACTCATAATGCACCCAAAGAGACAAACTTACCATATGGTAATTTAAATAATAAAATTATATAGATACAGCCCTAAAATGTAAGAGGGAAAAGATAAGGAAAAAAACAAAGCAAACTACTAGACACCATCGTGACTGATGGTGATACCTTTCCAGACCCAATTCCCAACTTCAGAAAACAGGAAACTATAAGCATGTTAGGCTAGCCGGGCGCGATGGCTCATGCCCATAAGCCCAGCACTTTGGGAGGCCGAGGCGGGAGGGTCGCCTGAGGTCAGAAGTTCGAGCCCAGCCTGGCCAACATGGTGAAACCCCACCTCTACTAAAAATACAAAAATCAGCCGGGTGTGGTGGAGCATGCCTGTAATCCCAGCTACTCAGGAGGCCGAGGCAGGAGAATCGCTTGAACCCGGGAGGCAGAGTGAGCCGAGATCGCACCACTGCACTCCAGCCTGGGCTGTGAGAGAGACTTCGTCTCAGAAAAAACAAACAAACAAACAAAAAAGGCATGTTAGGCTCCAAGCATTATAATAATTCTATGTCGGTCGACTGAGTAAAGTGGCTCACACCTGTAATCTCAACACTTGGGGAGGTCAAGGAGGAAGGATCACTGGAGCCCAGGAGTTTGAGAGCAGCCTGGGCAACACAGTGAGAGCCTGTGTCTACTAAAAATAAAAATAAAAAAATTGCCAGGTATGGTAGTGCGCATTTGGTACTCCCAGCTACTTAGGAGGCTGAGGCAGGAGAATTGCTTAAGCCCAGAAGGTTGAGGCTGCAGCTAGCTATAATAATTGCACTGTCTCAAAATAAACAAATAAATAAAAACTAAATGAGAAATATAATAACTCTATCTCCTTTAATACAAGGAGCCTGGGAAATCTCTCTCTCCCTCTACCCGACCCCTATATATATAATTACATATATATATATATACTCCTACCCACCTCCTCTCTCAATGAGAAAATTAATGTTAGAGAAGTTCACTGATTTGCCCAAAGCTCCAGTCAGTGCACGGCAAGCTAGCTGCAAACCAGGTTTCCCTCATAGCTGTCCCCAGCGCCCAAGTTCAGCGGGAGCCCAGATTCCCCATGACCAGGCAGGGCTTGGGGCACCTCTGGGGCTCACTTGGACGTGGGGGCCAAGGTCCCGCAGCAGGACCACACTCTGGGAGCCCTTTTCCTACTGACACTTGGAAGAGGGCCTCCACGAGGAAAATGCAGGTCCACACCCAGCTGGCTCAACCTGTTTGCTAATTTAACAGTTGCAGGAAGGGAAATGTCTCCAGACATTGGCAAATGCTCCCTTCAAAAGTGGGGGACAAAACTGTCCCAAATGAGAACCATTAGTTGGCTGCAACATTCCAGAGCTCAACGTTGAAAATACTGTTCCAATAAGCAAGCATCTTTTCTACCTTCATTTCTAAAGCTTCCCTTTCTCCTGAACCCGCCGCCTATCATGCCCCATCTCAAATCTCTCTGATCCCATCGGACAAGAACAAACCTAGACAAGAAAAGGAAGCAGTACCCGACTTCCTCTGAAAACTCAACATATTCTCTCTTCCATCTTAACTTTAAATTTGTTCCAATTCCATTTGTAACGGTTTCCAATTCACTTCTGCAACCTTCAGGCATGCGGTGGATTCTCCCTAAATACTGGATGGCGATGGCTGTGTGGGAGGGGGCCAGCTTGGGAGGCGCAGGCATCTGAAGTCAGGCTCCCGCTGGCCAGGCAGGCAGCAGCCCGGCGGACTCCTTAACGGCTGTCTTTCTCCCCTGGAGATCTGAAACGTCTCTCCTCAGCCTAGGCTCTTTGCCCTTTAGAAACATGTGGACTTCTTCGGCCCCTTCCCATATCCAGCTTTTCTTTTGGTTCTGGTGGGTTTCATGTTTGCCAGTCTGGCCAGCATGGTCCATGTGGTCGAGCCCCACAGAAAGTGAGGGCGGGAGTGGAGGGGGCAAGACCGGAGGTAAAAACTCGAGTCCAGTCTCCGGCTAACTAAAAATAGTTATGGGGGAAAAAAGTTTATCTTTCCAACTAAAAAAAAAAAAGTGTTTACAATATGCCTTTAGTGTTGCTTCCTGGGTGGAACTGATTTTTCAATGCATGTGGTAGTGAAAGATTAACAACTTCTCGGATGTAGCATATTAGGTTTTTTTGCTTTTCCTAAGGGAGGAAAAAAAGCAAATCCAAGGCATCAGGAAAGCAGTGGGAGGATGGTCCTGCCTCGCTGGGCAGAGAAGCTGTGCTGATCAGCTAAGCCAGGAGGCCCACAGGGCACTGCTGCGGGGCAGAGCACCGGAATCTGGACGCCCTGCAGAAAACTGGGAGGGGGCCGGACCCAGGTTCTAGCGGAGGTGTGCTCCTATCCAGCAGGAGTAGATCGGATAATCTGAATTCCTGACCCTCGGGACCTGCTGGAGATGGCCTCCCTCTGCAGGGACCATTTTCCCGCCTCTGTTCGTCACCTTAAAAGGTGAAAAAAAATCTTCTAACTAAGATGATGTTGTACAGAACCAGTGGTACTGATATAATTGATGGGAAAACTCCAGAAATTGAAACATTCACTTCTAAGTATGTCTACAATAAAGTTATTTTTGCAAACTGTTTCCTCTTTAAAACCACTGACAGAGAGAAGTTCTCTGAGGTAAAGGGGCAAAATGCCTGAGAGTTGGGGAGCGAGGGTGGCAGCACTACACCACAAATCTCCATATTTGCCCTACAGGTGTGTGTTCTACTAAGGGCTGGAATCGCCTTAAGGGCCGGTGATCCAGTGATGAACAACTTTTGTTGTTTGCATTAGTTACCCAGCTTGGTGGCTTTCCACAAAAATGTGCAGCACATTTGAGACAGGACTACCCTTTAAAATAAACGCGTCATACTCAACGTTCTTCTGTATTTTATTTTTCCTAATTACATCTTTTCTAGGAAGGACTTGTAAACTTTTCATAAAATCGTCAAGTGCCACTTCCAACACCAAAGCCACTGCCTGGAACCTTAGCAGGGAGGTTGCCTTCCTTCCCCCTCGCCTTCCAGGTTAAACCAGGGACTGGGCGATGTTTCAGGAGAGGAAAACATCCAAAAGGCAGGTCAAACCACACATGACAATGCAAAGCAGAAACAGTTGCAAATACAATAGAGGGTAGGTTTTTGTTTCTTTTTAGGTTTTGCTCCAGAACATCACTGACTCGAGAATAAACGTCAGTCCCTACCTTTGTGGAACGTCCAACGCAGCTGGCTGGGGGAACACGAGGCCTTGCAGGGAGCGAGCCCCGGCCCCGGTCTGACGGAACACAGGCGACGCACGTGAAGTCCAGGCCCTATCCCAGCGCAGGCGGGCCTCCAGCGACCCACAGTTGTCACATATCCGGCCAGCGCCGACTCCCGAAGGCGCACTCCCCATACTCCACTCCGAGCACCGGTCCCATCGTTAGGGAAGGTCCCCCTGGATAGCAAGGCCGGGGCCCAGGATCTGCGAGACCCACCCCACCCGCCCCGTCAGAGCCCAGGAGCAGCAACAGGTCTGCGCTCTCCCCGGGCGGCGCTCTGCAGACCCTCGACGGGCCAAGGGTGCCCCCAGCCCAGCCGTGCGCTCAGGCCGGGGAGATGGGCGGAGGACTGGGGCTCCCGACTTCCTTGACAGTTTCTGCGCGTCAGAAACTGAGCAGACACGGGGCCCGCGCCACCTCGCCCGCCGCTTGCCCCACTCCGCGAGGCTGCGCTTCCACCCGGGTCCGGGAGGGCCGGCCCGCGTCCCGGGTATGAATGGGGCTCTTCTCCCCAACAGCGGGGAAATCCCGCCACCGCCCTCCACCCCGGTCCCCGGAGCCCGCGGTGGCGCAGGTTTGCCCAGCAAGCCCCTGAATCGGCAGACAAAGGGGCACCGGAGGAAAAGCCGAGCGCTTCCCTAAACTTACCGGCCACTTCCCCCTCCCCAAAACAAAGGAGCCCCCCGCCGACCTCCGTCTCTCCCCGCAAGGCGCGCCGGCACTTCGGGGAGCGGCCACCTCGGGGTATTGTTCAGGCTCCTGGGAGCGCGCCGCACCCCAGTCCGAGCGCCGCGGGGACAGTTGGCGACCTGCACCTACAGGAGTTCCAGGGGCGGGTGGAGCGTTCGGGCGCCCCGAGCCGCCGGCCGGACCCTGGAGGGTCAGCGCGGGACCCGCCTCCCCGCAGAAGTTTGCGGACCCCGCGCCCGGCCCGCCGAGCCCTGCGCACTCACCTCGTCGCGAGCAGCGCAACTTGTGGCGGCGCCGCGCGCCCGGCCGCGCTCCGAACCTCCCTCCAGCCGGCAGCCTCCGAGTCCCGGCCGTGCGGCGGCCGAAGAGGGCCCGGCGCCCCGGAGCAGCCGCGCGCCGCCCCCGGGCCGCCCCCGCCCCGCCGCCGCCGAGTCCCGGAGAGAGCGCGGGCGCTGGAAAGTTTCGGTGGCGAATGGCGGCCTGAGGGCGCTGCGGCGGCGGCGGGGCGGGGGCGCTGGCGGCTCCTCGCTCCCAAGCGCGGAGTGGGGGCGCTGAGGCGGGCGCGGCGGCGGCGGCGGCGGCAGCGGGAGAGGGCGGGACAGCGGGAGGGACTGGCACGGACAGTGACCTCCACGGGGAGCTGCCGCGAGCGCGCGGACCCCAGCCAGGAGGACCGCCAGGGGTCCGCCCCCGCCGCCGGCCCCTCCCTCACGGCCGTGGGAGGGGACCCGGCGTACCACCCGGCCCCGCCCCTGCGCCCCGGGGGAGCCGCGTCCCGAACCAGCCCCTCCCCTACGAGGGTAGGGACTCCGGCCCTGCCCCTCCCCCGCGGCTCCTAGTGGGGACCCGCGTCCCAACCCAGCCCCTGTCCCACGGTCGGGGGACCAGCGTCCCTACCAAGCCCGCCCCGCTCCCCCACGCCTAGGGTGGGTGAGGGGAACCCGGGCCTCTCCCTAGTTGCTCTGGTCCCGGTCCCTTCCCCGTGGCCTCCGTGGGACTGAGAGGACCCCAGGGCTACCCCCATCACATCCCAAACCCAGCCTTTCCACGACTGCCTCGAGGGGACGGGAACCTCGGCCACCCCCTCAGTTTCTAGGGGGCAGGGGAACCTCGATCACTGCTAAAGTGTTACCCTCCCCCACCCCAAAAAGGAAGCCACCCGGCTGCCCCAACAGAACCCCCTGCCACCTGCCCGATGGTGAATCTCCCTCAAAATCGGCGTCTTAGAAGACACCCCAGTAGTCTTTACCCCAGCTCAAAAAGTGGGGGTTCCGGCGGAGCCTCGACCTTTGCAAAACACCTCCCAAGAAGAGCCAGAAATGCTTAGGGACAAACTCAGACACACAGGCATAGGCGCCAGGAACTCGGGTGTGGGGGCTGAGGAGGTTGGGGGGACCTGGGCACTCGGGCCTCATCACTCCCACCCCAACCCCCCAGGCATCAGCCCTCTGGCCCTTGCAAAGTGCTTTATGTTGCAATGGCTTACACGGCCTGGCCCCGGTGTACCTAAGTCCCCAGCGCTCCTTCCTCCCCTCCACGTAGGCTACTCCCAACCACTCGCAGCCTTAATTCAGTTAAACAGATCTCCACTCCCCCTCCCCAGCACCTCTGGGGTCAGCCTCGTTGAATATTTTTCAAATATTCTTGCCCCTTCCTTTACTATATAATGAGCTTCGTGCTAAGAGCCCGGTACACTCAGCAATCTAAACTATAACCTCACTTGCTCTTCCTCGAACTCTAGACCATTTGTTGTTCTGGTTGTAGGGGGAGGGGGACCTAAGGTGAGGTTTTTGTTTTTTTGTTTTTGTTTTTGTTTTTCTGAGGAGTCTCGCTCTGTCGCCCAAGCTGGAGTGCAGTGGCGCGCTGTCGGCTCATTGCAACCTCCACCACCCTGGTTCAAGCAATTCCCCTGCCTCAGCCTCCCGAGTAGCTGGGATTACAGGCGCATGCCACCACGCCCAGCTAATTTTTTTTGTATTTTTAGTAGAGACGGGGTTTCACCATATTGGCCAGACTGGTCTGAACTCCTGACCTCAGGCAATCCGCCGGCCTCGGCCTCCCAAAGTGCTGGGATTACAGGCGTGAGCCACCGTGCCCGGCCGGAGGTGAGTTTTTAAGAGGCCGGTCCTCCACCAAAACGGCGGACCTCAAAATTACCCTGCAAAATATTGCTGTAAAACGTCAATGATGCAAAACGACTGTTGCTACACCATCATTAGAGGACATCAATAAAAAAATACACACTTACACAGTCTCCATAATTGTGAATCAGCAGAATAGATTGTGTCTTATTATGTATCAGTTGCCATTCAAGGCCCCCCAGAAGGACATGGTGGGGCCTTCCCTTGAGCCTGCCCTTCGTTGCTCCTGGGCTCCCTGGGCTTGTGCAGACTGATGCTGAGGTATTACATGCAATAGAAAAACGAAGGGTGCAATAGAAAACCCGAACGAGCTCATGATGCAACCCTGCCCTGGCTACACGTGCTTCCCTTCCCCCACCGCCTGCTGGTGGGAGTGCTGCGTTTTTTCCGCCTGTAGGGTCACATTGTGGTTGATTGATTCTCCTTTCGCCTTGCTCAGTCATTCAGATTTGGAAAGTAAATAACAAGTTGACATCATTACAGCTCTGGGCTTTACGCGGACGCAGCCCTCGGCTACCGCACACTCTGGAGTAGCTGCGCAGCCAACCAGCCTCCTAGCTTGCCAGACCTGCTTGTGGTTAGCAGTTGGAAATTCCAAGCTAAACTTGGTTAAAAGGCCTCTTTGTGTGTTTTGATTACTTGGCAGATGCCAGTCTTTTAAAGTATGGGAAAGTGGTGGAAATCCTCACTTTCAAACTGGAGCCCAGTGTGGCCAGGATTTACAGCTGAGCTCCTGTAATTGACAATGCAAAAGAGCTGAGAATTCATCTTGACTGTTTGACAATATCCCCATAATCCCACCACCCTTATTACCCGTAAAGAGTCAATATCTTTTATCATAGACTCACAGGACCCCAAAGGACACTGTAAGACCTAAGACAGGAAGAGAGACCGCCTACATTTATCGTGAAATCACCAAAATTCCTCTTTTTGAAATACTAGATGGACTGTAGGTGGGTGATAATTAGACTGTGTTATTTAATCTGTTTCAACGATTTTTCAAATGTGCAGTCCTATAAGGTGGGAGAAAACAAGGAAATAAAGTAGAGCGGCAAGGAGGTAGTGTATTCTGAGAAAGCTAAAGGATAACAGGGCGAGGGGTCCACAGTGATTTACACAGAAACCCACTGCACTAGCCATGTGCGTGTGTGCGCGTGTGTGTGTTGCAAACACTTATTTTCAGTTATTGACTGGAGGGAGGGGAAAACAAGAATCTGCTTGCAACAAATACTACCAGCATTCCCCATAAACAGTACCCAAAATTTTAATTAAAAGGCAGTAGGAATTCACACAAATATACTTAACTAATCTTTCACAAAGGAGCAAAGGCAATTCATCCTTTTTAACAAGTGGTGCTGGAACAACTGGACACCCATATGCCAAAAAAAAAAAAAAAACTAGGCTTTTTATCTTTCACAAAAATTAACTTAAAATAGAACATACCCCCAAATGTAAAAGGCAAAACTATAAAAACTCTTAGAAGATAACATAGAAAATCTAGATGACCTTGGGTTTGGTAATGACTGTGTAGCTAGAACACCAAAAGCATGATGCGTAAAAGAAAAAAAAATTGGTAAGTTGGGCATCACTAAAATTTGAAAAGTCTACAAAAGACACTGTTAAGAGAATGAGAAGACAAGTCACAGAATGGGAGGAAATATTTGCAAATTCCATATCTGATTAAGGATTGTATTTGAAATATGCAGGCCAGCATAGTGGCTCACACCTGTTGAGGCTGCTGTGAGCTGTGATCTCACCACTGCACTCCAGCCTGGGCGACAGAGAAGACCTTGTCTCTAATTTTTTTTTAGAGTGTGTGTGTGTGTGTGTGTGTGTGTGTGTGTGTGCGTGTACAGATATATGTACATATGTGTATATGTATGTGTATATATATATACATATTTCTTAAAACTCCACGATGAGAAAATAAACAACTGAATCAAAGAGCAAACGATCAGAAAAAAACTCATCAAAGAGATATACAGATGGCAAGTAAGCATATGAAAAGATGCTGAACATCATATATCATTAGGGAATTGCAAGTTAAAGTAACAATGAGATACTACTACATACATTAGAATGGCTAAAATCCAGAAAACTGACAATCCCAGATGCTGACAGGATGCAGAACAACAGCAACTCTCATTTGTTGCTAATGGGAATGCACAATTGTACAGCTACTTCAGAAGACAGTTCGGCAATTTCCTACAAAGCCAAACAGAGTCTTACCATACAGTCAGCCGTTGTGCCCCTAGGTATTTACCTAACTAAGCTGAAAACTTACGTGCTCCAAAAACCTGCACACAGAGGTTTATGGCACCTTTACTCGTAATCACCAAACACTGGAAGCAACCAAAGTATCCTTCACTGGGCGAATGGATAAACAAACTGTGGCTCACCCGCATAATGGAATATTACTCAGCACTACAAAGAAATGGGTTATCAAGCCCCCAAAACACACAAAGGAACCTTAAATGCCTATTGCTAAGTGAAAGAAGCCAGTCTGAAAAGGCCATATACTGTATGATTCCAACCATATGACATTCTGGAAAAGGGGAAACAGATAAGACAACAATAAGATCAGTGGTTGCCAGGGGTTCAAGGAGGAAGAAGGGATGAATGGGTGGAACACAGTGGGTTTTTACAGTGGTGAAACTATTCTGTGTAATACTATGATGGTGGATACACGTTATTATACATATAAGTGTGTGTGTGTATATATATTTGTCAAAATTCACAAAATGTACAACACAAAGAGGAAACCCTCATGTAACTATGGACTTTAATTAATAATAATATATGAATACTGGCTCCTTAGTTGTTACAAATGTACCACACTAACTTAAGATGTTAATAACACTGGAAGCTGGGGAGAGAAACATGTAACTCTGCACTATCGGCTCAGTTGTTCTGCAAATCTAAAGCTCTTCTTAAAAAAAAGCCTATTATTTATTTTTTTTTAAAAAAGAAACACTGTGCCAAATGCTGTGGCTCACACCTGTAATCCTAGCATTTTGGAAGGCTGAGGCAGGAGAATCACTTGAGCCCAGGAGTTCAAGACCGGCTTGGACAACACAGTGAGATCCCATCTCTACAAAAAACAAAAATAAAAAAATTAGCTGGGTATGGTGATCTGAGCTTGTAGTCCCAGCTACTTACTTGGGAGGCTGAGGCAGGAGGAACAGTTGAGCCTAGGAGTTCAAGGCTGCAGTGAGCTATAACCGTGCCACTGCACTCCAGCCTAGGTGACAGAGCAAGACTCTGTCTCTTAAAAAAGAAAGAAAGAAAGAAAGAAAGAAAACAAAAGAAAAAGAAAAAAGACAGGAGGAAGAGATATTGAACTTCTCATGACTTACTGCCTGGTTTTCACTGACTTTAGTGTCTAATTTTCCCCAGGCCCATCTAATTTTCAAAGACTCTTGACACATGGGCCAATACTTGCTTCCATGACTGGCCTAGTCAGAAATCCCTGATCTTCCAAGGATTGACCCAAATTCCTGGGATCCACTTGCCTCACTGTTAGATTACAATCTTCATGCCTGCCCCTTTCCTACTCCATTTTTTTTTTTTTAGACGGAGTCTTGCTCTGTGGCCCAGGCTGGAGTGCAATGGCACAATCTCAGCTCACTGCAAACTCCACCTCCCGGTTCAAGCGATTCTCCTGCCTCAGCCTCCCGAGTAGCTGGGATTACAGGCGCCCACAACCATGCCCAGCTAATTTTTGCATTTTTAGTAGAGACGGGGTTTCACCATATTGGCCAGGCTGGTCTCTAACTCTTGACCTCAGGTGGTCCACCCTTCTCGGCCTCCCAAAGTGTTAGGATTACAGGCGTGAGCCACTACTCCTGGCCTTCTACTCCATTTTTTTTAACCAAAGTTTAAGTAGATCTTATCATCTGTTTAGAGAGGAGAGAGGCCGAATGATATCCCTAACTTTTCATGTGATATGACTGTTATATGACTCAAAAGAAAGACCAGACAGTGCAAATAGGTCCCTAGGTACAAAGTCAAAGTAAAGTCCAAGTTTGCTTTAAATGACAATGGTATTCACTAGCTGCTATACATAAAGAACCACTCATGATAAAGCAAATTATTCATATCTGTTTCCTGAACTGATCTAGTGTGGGAAGCTCATGGTAGTGTTGTTTGGCAACCTCCAGATATATGTGTAGGCTGCACAAAAGTCCATTCTTGCTCTCCCAAGATATTGAAATTGAAGGCATGCTGGAAGTGATGATCTTTCCTTGATGTTTATAGATGTGACTTTTCTCTGAATAAGCACCCACCACGAGCTTCCCATATGAGATGAGGAAGGGGGGATGGACTTTTCAACTTCACTTACAAACATCTGATCTTTCTTTGCTTTTGAATTTTGCTTCTAATTTTCCTTAGAGAGACTAGAACCAAAACTATGAAGGAAGCCACTTGTATAGGTGGCATTATGTGAGGTCCTACTTAGAGAGGTATACAAAAAGGAGTGAAGATAAAAAGGCCTATCACCTGTCATGGAGCTGAGATAAGGTGGATGAAAACCCCTTTTGTATCCCTTGACCTAGGTAGCCACCCAATACTTCTTTTCGTTTTTTGTTTTGTTTTGTTTGTTTTCCCTGATGTTATGGGCCAGGCTGAATAGTGTCCTCACAAAAATTTGTATGTTGAAGTCCTGATCCCCAGTACCTTAGAATGTGACTGTATTTGGAGATAGGGCCTTTAAGAAGGTAATTAAGGTAAAATGAGGTCATTTGGGTAGGCTCTAATCCAATCTGACTGGAGTCCTTTTAAGAAAAGGAGATTAGGACACAGACACGCACAGGGAGAAATCAGTCATCTATAAGCCAAGGATAGAGGCCTGAGAATAACCCAACCCTGCTAACACCTTGACCTTGGACTTTATCCTCCAGGACTGTGAGAAAATAAATGGGTGGTGTTTAAGCAACCCACTCTATTACAGCAGACTCAGCAGACTAATGCATGTGAGCTATTGCTATTTTTCTTTTTTCATTTCAAATTTTGCATTTAGTTATCATTTGAATCCTGAAAGTACTTTGCATTTGGCATGGAGGTGTTCATGTACAGTATCATATTTGATTCTTCCAGGTCCTCCCTGAAGGCCCAATATTCAGAGGATAAAATTGAACTCAAAAGGTTAAAGAATTGAGAGAAGGGCCGAGCGCAGTGGCTCACGGCTGTAATCCCAGCACTTCGGGAGGCCAAGGCGGGCGGATCACTTGAGCCCAGGAGTTCCAGACCCGCCTGGGCAATGTGGCAAAACCCCGTCTCTACAAAAATACAAATAGCCGGATGTGGTGGCGCATGCCTGTAGTCCCAGCTACTCAGGAGGTTGAGGTGAAAGTATCACTTAAGCCTGGGAGGCGGAGTTTGCAGTGAGCTGAGATCATACCACTGCACTCCAGCCTGGATGACAGAGCGAGAACCTGTCTCAAAATAAATAAATAAAATAAATAAACTGGAAGTAGAAAATTTAAAAAAAAAAGAATTGAGGGAAAGAATCATAATATGTCTATGCTTCAGACCTCCTTCAGCAATTTAGTGAATATTGTTTCTAAATGCGTAAAATAATGCATTGATACATCAAATAATGCATAAGATTACAAAGAAACCCAATTGTGTTAAAACATAGTCATCCAATATTTTTTAAAATTCTGATATAGTAATATATGTGCTGCTTTTTCAATACATTCAATTCAGACTGTAGAGGTGATTCTAATAAGTTCCATCATTTCAAAGTAGTCATGAGACCAAACAAAACAAAAATCTGCTTCCACAGCAACCTGCTTGGAACACACATCAGATTTCTTTCTTTTCTTTTCTCTTCTTTTTTTTTGAGACACGGTCTCACTCTGTCACCCAAACTGGAGTACAGTGGCACAATCACAGCTCACTGCAGACTCCAACCCCCAACCAGGCTCAAGCCATCCTCTTGCCTCAGCCTCCCGAGTAGCTGAGACTACAAGCATGCGCTACCATGCCCGGTTAATTATTTATTTATTTATTTATTTATTTATTTATTTATTTATTCATTTTTGAGATGGAGTCTCGCTGTGTCGCCCAGACTGGAGTGCAGTGGCGTGATCTCGACTCACTGCAACCTCCGCCTCCTGGGTTCAAGTGATTCTCCCGCCTCAACCTCCCAAGTAGCTGGGATTGCAGCCACGTGCCACCACGCCTGGCTAATTTTTGTATTTTTAGTAGAGACAGGGTTTCACCCTGTTGCCCAGGCTGGTCTGGAACTCCTGACCCCAGGTGATCTGCCCGCCTCGGCCTCCCACAGTGCTGGGATTATATAGGTGTGAGCCACTGCGCCAGGCCTAATTTTTTATTTTTTATAGAGATGAGGTTGTCATCTCTAAATGCAGTCATCAAGATAAATAATATTATAATGCCGTATTTTAAAACTCAAAAGTGATGCAAAAACTCCATTGTGAACAAAATACCAAAATGTTAGATAAAGCTCATTCTGTTTGGTGATGATGATGGATTCTAAAGAGCAGAAATGGTCAGTGCCTGGGGCCCAGCCCCCCATTTAGAAAAGGTAAAGGTCATTGGAAAGATTGGCCAAATCAAATGTACCCTAGGAGATGCAGAAGCCGGCCAGCAAAGGAAGAGCTGAGTGGGTAGGAAAAGTACTAGATCAAAGGGAGCAGCAGATTTTGTTTTCGATCTGGCAAAGCTTTTATAGTTTCGAAACATTTTCAAACATTCTGTCACTGATTGTCATAGTAACGTATGAAGTGGTTGGGGAAATATTGTCATGATCATATTCATTTTACAAGGGAGAAAAGTTGACTCTCAGAGAGGTTAGTGGCTGGGTTAGTTTCCTGTCACTGCTGTAACAAATTGCCACACACTTAGTGGTTTAAAACAGCACACATGTATTATCTGATGGTTCTGGAGGTCAAAAATCCCAAATGGGTGTCACTGGGGGTGATGGTTAATTCTGCATGTCAACTTGACTAGGCCTCAGGATGTCCACATAACTGATTAAACATTATTTCTGGATGTGTCTTTCAGGGTGTTTCCAGATGAGATTTAGCATTTGAATCGCTGAACTGGGTAAAGCAGATCACCCTCCTCAGTGCGGGTGAGCACCCTCTGAGCCACTGAGGGCCTGAACAGAACACAAAGGCAGAGCATGGCTGGATTTGCCCTCCCTTTGCCTGACTGTTGAGCTGAGACATTGATGTGCCCTCTATACTTCGGGTGCTCAGGCCTTCAGACCCAAATTGGAGTCTACACCATTGGCCCTCTAGCTCTCAGGCTTTTAAACTATACCGCTAGCCTTGCAGCTTGCAGATAGCAGATCACAGACTTCTCAGCCTCCATAATCTCATGAGCCAATACCTTAATAATAAATCTCTCTCTCTCTCTCTGTCTCTCTCTGTCTCTCTCTCTCTCTCTCTCTCTCTCTCTATATATATATATATATATATATATATATATATGTATGTATATAATATTGGTTCTGTTTCTCCGGAGAGCCCTGACTAACACATTAGATAATATCAAGGTGTCAGCAAAACTGTGTTCCACGGCTGGGCATGGTGGTTCACGCCTGCAATCCCAGCACTTTGGGAGGCTAAGGCAGGAAGGTCGCTTGAGCCCAGGAGCTTGAGACCACCCTGGTCAACATAAGAAGACCCCATCTTTAAAAAAATGAAAACAATTAGCCAGGCATGGTGGCATGTGCCTGTACTCCCAGGTACGTGGGAGGCTGAGGTGGGAGGATTGCTGGAGTCCAGGAGGTCGAGGGTGCAGTGAGCTGTGATCGTGTCATTGCACTCTAGCATGGGGGACAGAATGAGACTCTATCTCAAAAAAAAAAAAAAAAGTAGAAAGAGAAGGAGAAAGGAGGAGGAGGAGAGAAGAAAGAAAGAGAGAGAGGGAGGGAGGGAGAAGGAGGGGAAGGGGAAGAAGAAGGCGAAGAAGGAGAAGAAGGAGAAGGAGGAGAAGAAGGAGAAGGAGAGGAGGAGAAGGAGGAGGAAGAAGAAGGAGAAGGAGAAGGAGAGGAAGGGGAAGGGGAAGAGGAAGAAATTCTTTCTGTGGCTCTAGGGGAAAATCTGTTTCCTGACTTTGCCCAGTGTCTAGAGACTGCCGGCATTCCTTGGCACGGGACCTCCTTCCTCCATCTTCAAGCCAGCAACAGAAGGTCAAGTCCCTCTTAAATAGCATTATTTTGACCTCCTCTTCTTCTACCTTCCTCTATGTTTAAAGATCCTGTGTAACCCAGGATTTATAGCCTGTATAATCCAGAATAATCTCTCCATTGTAGAGCTCTTCATGTTAGTCACATCTGTAGTCCCTTTTGCAATGGAAGGTGATGTCTTCACAGGTTCCCAGGGATCCCAGCACGGACGATTTCAGGGGACCACATTCTGCCTTCCACAGTGGGCTTGTAGAATGTCTCCCACTAAAAGGGGGCAGAACACATACAAATCCAGCTCCTCTGATTCCAAAACCCACAGCCCACCTCACACCAACCTTGGTGTCTCTCAAGGGGTGAACGTGTTCAGAGCCCACTTTCACCAACATGGAAAGCAAACCAAAAATCAAATAAATACAAAATGCTGCCTGTGTTTACTCAAAGAGCACATGACAGGCAAGAGTTGCAATTTCCCTCAAATAACACGTGGCTGTTATAGCTACAAAATAAGAGAGATTATCCTTTTCAAGGGTTTCCTCCCCTTCCCGCCTTTCTTTTGGTAACCATATTTCCTTGAAAGAAGTTATGGGCCTGTAATCCCAGCACTTTGGGAGGCCGAGGCAGGCGGATCACTTGAGGTCAGGAGTTCGAGAACAGCCTGGCCAACATGGTGAAACCCCGTCTCTACTAAAAGTACAAAAATTAGCCGGTGTGGTGGTGGGCAGCTGTAATCCCAGCTACTCGGGAGGCTGAGACAGGATAATCGCTTGAAACTGGGAGGCGGAGGTTGCAGTAAGTGCAGTGAGCAGAGATTGTGCCACTACACTCTAGCCTGGGCGACAGAACGGACTCGGTCTCAAAAAAAAAAAAAAGAAGTTATGTACTTCTCCCCCACCCCACCATTTGTTTCCACTTCTGCATTTCTTTTTTTTTTTTTTTTTTTGAGACAGAGTCTCACTCTGTCCCCCAGGCTGGAGTGTAGTGGCACAATCTCGGCTCAATGCACTCACTGCAACCTCTGCCTCCCGGTTTCAAGCGATTCTCCTGTCTCAGCCTCCCGAGTTGCTGGGATTACGGGCGCACGCCACCACACCCGGCTAATTTTTGTATTTTTAGTAGAGATGGGGTTTCATCATGTTGGTCAGGCTGGTCTCGAACTCCTGACCTTGTGATCCCCACACCTCGGCCTCCCAAAGTGCTGGGATTACAGGCAGGAGCCACCACGCCCGACGACACTTCTGCATTTCATGCTTAACTTTTAACACTGGCTGTAGAGAATAAGCATGGGAGACAGGAGGATTTTATAGACAGTTTCTTCACAAAAATTCATCTCCCACACAGTGAAGCTCCACACCACATTAACAAAGAAAATCCCCGAGGCAGGTGGATCACCTGAGGCCAGGAGTTCGAGACCAGCCTGGCCAACATGGTGAAACCCTATCTCTACAAAAAATACAAAAATTAGCCGGGCATGGTGGCACGTGCCTGTAGTCCCAGCTACTCGGGAGGCTGAGGCAGGAGAATCGCTTGAACCCGGGAGGCAGAGGTTGCAGTGAGCTGAGATTGCGCCACCACATTCCAGCCTGGGTGACAGAGCGAGACTCCATCTCAAAAAAAAAAAGAAATTTCTTTAAGAAAAGCACAAGTGAAACTCAATGGGAGTGGAACGTGGCGTTTTTCTCCAGCGCCTTTGTCACAAGGCCTCTTTGATGTTATTACTTTTACAGAATCAGCAGGCACTTGATAAGATGGGACACACATCATGTGTAATATACCCTGACAGCCCCCTTCCTACATGTATACCCAAGAGAAGTGAAAGCTTAGCTTCCTGCAAAAACTTGTATGCAGAAACCTTTATTCATAGTTGCCAAAACCTGGAAACAATCCAGGTGTCCTTCAACTGGTGAAGGGATAAATAAACTGCAGTATGTCCATACAAAGGGACATGGATATGGATATGGATATATCCCCTTGTACGGATATACACTTTTCAGTGTTGACTCCATGAACACTGAAAAGGAGGAAGCTATTGATCTGTGCAACAGCATGGATGAATCTCAAATGTAAATGGCTGAGTGAAGGAATTCAGATTCAAAGGTGACATATTCCATGGTTTTGTGTTTTGTTTCTGTTTTGTAGAGATGGGGTCTTGCTATCTTGCCCAAGCTGATCTTGAACTCCTGGGATCAAGCGATCCTTCCACCTCGGCTTCCCAAAGTGCTGGGATTACAGATGTGAGCCACCACACTCTGCCATATTCCATGGTTTCATATGGCATTCTGGAACAGGCAAAACTACTGGGACAGAAAGACCCTCCATTGTTGGGATTGAGAGTAGGTTGGGGAAAAGGTTGACTACAAAGGATCATGGGGGGATATTTTTGAGGGACTGAGCTGTTCTGTATCTTGATGGTAGTGCTGGTTGCAAAACTGTCAATGTTGGTCAAAACTCATAGAACTGTATAGTCGTCTCTCAGTATCCACAGGGGATTGGTTGCAGAACTCTCTGCAGATACGAAAATCCACGGATGCTCATGTCCCTGATATAAAATGGCACAGTATTTGCATATAACCTATGCACATCTTCCTGTATAATTTATTTTTATTTTATTTAGTTAATTAATGTATTCTTTTTTTCTTTTCTTTCTTTTTTTTTTTTTGAGACGGAGTCTTGCTCTGTTGTCACCCAGGCTGGAGTGCAGTGGCACGATCTTGGCTCACTGCAGCCTCTGCCTCCCGGGTTCCAGCGATTCTCCTTCCTCAGCCTCCTGGGTAGCTGGGATTACAGGTGCACGCCACCACGCCCAGCTAAGTTTTGTATTTTTAGTAGAGACGGGGTTTCCCCATGTTGGCCAGGCTGGTCTTGAACTCCTGACCTCAGGGGATCTGCCCGCCTAGGCCTACCAAAGTGCTGGGATTACAGGCGTGAGCCACCGTGCCCGGCCATATTGACATATTATATTTATAGACAGGGTCTTGTTCCATCGCCCAGGCTGAAGTACAATGTTGCAATCATAGGTCACTGTAGCCTTGAACTCCTGGCTCAAGTCATCCTCCCACCTCAGCCTCCTGAGTAGCTGGGACTACAGGTATGTGCCACCACACCCAAGCTAATTTTTGTATTTTCTGCAGAAACAGGGTCTTGCTATGTTGCCTAGGCTGGTCTCAAACTCTTGGCCTCAAGTGATCCACCTGCCTTGGCCTCCCCTAAAGTGCTGGGATGACAGCATGAGCCACCTCATTCAGCCTCCTGTATAATTTAGATCATCTCTAGATTAGTTATAATACCTAATACAGTGTAAGTGTTGTGCAAATAGTTGTTATAGTGTATTGTTTAGGGAATAATGATAAGAATAAAAGTCTGTACATTCTCAGTGCAGACGCAACCATCCATTTTTTTTCAAGTATTTTTGATTTGAAGTTGGCTGAATTCACGCATGTGGAAGCCATGGATACAGAGGGCCAACTGTACACTAAAAGCTTGAATTTTAGCAAATTTGAGAAAGGCACAGTAAAGCTACATGGAATTAGAGCCCAGCCTTTCCCCCAGTACCTGTGTAAGGAGGCCTTTAAGGTTTGTTGTTATTTTCACTAGAGCACAGCCATTTGATAAGACCAGATACAGGTCTTATAGAAATTTTGAAATGTCCCTGAGGGAAGGGAGGGAAGGGAAAGGACATTTTAGTATACTTCTGAGATATTAGTGAGAATTGATCACGTTTTTAGAGATAACTATTTATTTATTTGTGTATTTATTTATTTATTTGAGATGGAGTCTGCTCTGTCGCCCAGGCTGGAGTACAGTGACGCAATCTCAGCTCACTGCAACCTCCATCTCCCAGGTTCAAGCAATTCTTGTGTTTCAGCTTCCCAAGTAGCTGGGATTACAGGCGTGCGCCACCATGCCTGGCTAATTTTTGTATTTTCAGTACAGATGGAGTTTCACCGTGTTGGCCAGGTTGGTCTCGAACTCTCGACCTCAAGTGATCCACCCACCTCAGCCTCGCAATGTGCTGAGATGACAAGCATGAGCCACCACGCCCGGCCAGAGATAACTATTTAAAATAAAACTCCCCCCACTCACAAAAGGTTGCAGCAGCACACAGCTATCCAACTGCATGGATGTTGGGCGGATTGACATCAGCAGGTAGAGACGTTTCAAGGAATGGTTTCAGCAACGGTCAGGGCACCAGGCAAGGAATGTTTTCTGGAATGGGAGAAAAATAAGTATGCTTCTGGCCAGGCGCGGTGGCTCACGCCTGTAATCCCAGCACTTTGCGGGGCCAAGGCGGGCAGATCACTTGAGGTCGGGAGTTTGAGACCAGCCTGACCAACATGGAGAAACCCCGTCTCTACTAAAAATACAAAATTAGCCAGGCGTGGTGGTGCATGCCTGTAATCCCAGCTACTTGGGAGGCTGAGGCAGGAGAGAGAATAACTTGAATCCAGGAGGCGGAGGTTGCGGTGAGCCAAGATCGTGCCATTGCACTCCAGCCTGGGCAACAAGAGCGAAACGCCGTCTCAAAAAAAAAAAAAAAAAAAAAAAAAAAAAAAGAAGTATGCTTCTAAAAGAGTAGTTTTCCTTTGCACAGGTCCCTTTAGATGACTAAAATAAACTTTTTCAGTTGACTACATAATTTCAAAGTGGTTTGAATTTTTAATGTTAAAGTTCTTCCCAGAAGTTTAAAATGGAAAGGTTTCACGTATGAGCTAAGAATATGAAATGGTGGCTGCCTCTCTCCTGGTTTTCTGTATTTTTGTATAAAGGGGACAAAGATAGACATTACAATAACTGCATTAAATATGTGATTCTATTTTTAAGATAGATTAATGTTTGTTGAAACATTAGGTATGCAATGAAATGCTGTAAATAAAAACCTAAGAATGTCCAAACATCCACAACCCCAGTCCAATCATGAGAAGGCATCATACAAACCTAAACTGAAGGAGATTCCACAAAATACCCAATCAGCACTGCTCCAAACTATCGAGGGCATCAAAGACAAGGAAGCATGGTGAGCCAGTCACAGCCCAGAGGAGCCCAAGGTGATACGATGACTTAATGCAATGTATAATCCTGGATGGGGCCCTAGGACAGAAAAAGGACATACATGGAAAAACTGGGCATTGAGTTATTAGTTATGTACCAAGATCAGTTTCATAGTTGTAACAAAAGTACTATGGAGGCATAAGGCTTTAACAATGGAGAAACTGAATTATACACAGGAACTCTCAATCTTATCTTTCTGTAACTGAAACTATTCTAACATTTTACAAGTTTGCTTAAAAAATTAGAATGCTGCACTGCAGCTGATTTGAAAGATAATTATTTTGAAACATACAAAATTTCTATACTACACACATGTACAATTGCATTTTTTTTGAGAAAAGGTGTCACTATGCAAATTAAAAACCAACAAGTGGTAGAAGCTGGGTGTGGTGGCTCATGCCTATAATCCAAGCACTTCGGGAGGCTGACGTGGGAGGATCTATTGAGTCCCGAAGTTCAAGACCATCCTGGGCAACATAGTGAGACTCCATCTCTACAAAAACAATTTTAAAATAATTATCAGGGTGTGGTGGTGCGCCTGTGGTTCCCAGCTACTTGGGAAGCTGAGGTGGGATCATTTGAGACCAGGAGGTCAAGGCTGCAGTGAGCCATGATTGCACCACTGCACTCCAGCTTGGTAACAGACAAGACCCTGTCTCATAAAAACAACAACAAAAATACAGTGGTAGAAGACTCCATCTCCTCCCATTTTCCCTGCTCTTCTTTCTTCCCTGCACACCCACTCCTCAACATGCTTGTGCTGTTCCCTGAATGTTTGCAGCTTCTTGTCACCTGCACCCAGTGCTGCTTCTGTGAGGACGTCTCCTCCAGGAGGGACCCCAGGCTTCTCCGAGCATTTCGGTCTCTGCTCTGATGGGTGCCCTCTCCCTCCCTCTTCACCAGTCTTTCTTTCATGGGCTAACATGTTCATGTTCATTTGCTCATTAGTTTTTTGTTTTTGTTTCTTGAGACAGGGTCTGGCTCTGTCTCCTGGGCTGGAGTGCAGTGGTTTGACCATGGCTCACTGCAACCCTGGCCTCCCAGGCTCAAGCCATCTTCCCATCTCAGCCTCCTGAGTAGCTAGGTTTACTAACGAGCACCAACATGGCCAGCTAATTTTTGTATTTTTTGGTAAAGATGGGGTTTGCCATGTTGCCCAGGCTTGTTTCGAACTTCAGGCCTCAAGTGATCTTCCTGCCTCAGCCTCCCAAAGTGCTGGGATTACAGCCATGAGCCACTGCGCCTGGCTTGCTCATTAGTTTTAATTGTCTGTTCCCCCAGCCAGAATATGAGCTCAGTGGACATGAAGAGGGTTGAGATGGAGGGAAGGGAAGGGAAAGGAAGGGGAGGGGATGGAAGGGGAGGAGATGGAAGGGAAGGGGAAAGGAGGGAAAGGAAGGGAAAGGAGAAGAGAAGGGAATGGAGAGGTGGTGGTCTTTTGATGTGTCCGCTTGCCTAGGCCACAATCCTCAGTTATTCCATCAAATACCATTTTCATTCTCTAGGGCCGCTCAAACAGGGAACCACAAACTAGATGGCTTAAGACAACATAAATTTATTCTGTCAGATTTCTGAAGGCCAGAAGTCTGAAGTCAAGATGTTGGCAGGGCCATGTTCCCTCTGAAGGCTCTAGGGGAGGATGCTTCCCTGTCTCTTCCAGCTCCCGATGACAGCTGGCAGTCCTTGGTGTTCCTTGCTTAGTAGCTGCATCACTCCAATATCTGCCACCATCTTCACATGGCCTTCTCCCTCCCTGTATGTGTGTGTGTGTCCAGATCTCCCTCTTCTTTCTCTTATAAAGACACAGGTTATCCAGTTAATGGATTTACCGCCTCCCTTAATTCAGTATAGCCTTCATTCAACTTGATCACATCAGCAAAGACCTTATTTCCGAATAAAGCCCCGTTCACAGGTACCAGGGGTTAGAACTTGAACTTATCTTTTTAAGGATACACAATCCAACCCACTACAAACACTAATCTAGGTGTTGCTTCCAGGCTGTTTTGAGATGTAAATAAGGTCCATAATCAGTTGACTTTAAGCCGGGGGAGAGATTATCTTGGATAATCAGGTGAAAGGCCTCTATAGCAGGACTGAGGCTTCCCTAAGGAAGAAGAAATTCCTCCTGTGAACAGCCAGTGCCCAAGAGAGTTCCAGTCTGCCTTCTTAACTGTCTTCCCTACAAATTTCAGGCCTGCCTGCCCAGCCCCACCCAATGACATAAGCCAATTCCTTGCAATAAATCTAGCATGTATCTTCTACTGGTTCCAGTTGTCTGGTTGAATCCTGACTGGTCTATCAGGATTGGAGAACTGCCTTGGGTTTCTTAGATACACACAAGTGATACAATTGGTTCTAGCATGACGAAGGGCCATTTGTGTTCTATGAAGACCATTTGTCAGCAAGGCACTGGGGTTCCTGTTCCAGGGCACCTAAGCAGGAGTTCTTGGCCCACAAAAGTGAAAGTTGAATTTTACTGTGTAAGCTCCAAGGATTTAATTTTGAACTGAGTTTTCAGGAATTATTTTTCTACTTAAGCATACTCAATAAAGCACTTATAGACTTGTAAGGGATCCAAGTGTAAATGTTTTACACTGGACCAGACCGTGAACGTTGGAATCCAGACACCTGGCTTTGCCACTTAGTAGCTGTGTAGCTGGAGCAAATTATGCAGCTTTGTCCTTCTGAATTCCAAGATTTTCTGTTTGTAAATAAGGAAGGGATACTAATAATAATAGTAATAATAGTACCTTCCCACTTTCGTGAGAAAATTGCATTAGATATTATATGTAAAACTAATTTAGCTAAAAAAAAAATACAAGGTAAATTTACACAAATCCTTATTAAATTATGTATTTGTGAAAGAGACTGCACATAAGGAGAAGGTAAGGGTTTTTTTTTCCTCCTTTGGGAGATCCTTCTGCTACAACCTCAGAAATCATTCAGGTTTAAATACTTTCTATTTTTTTTAACTGTAAGTTCACTTGGTGTAAGAAAAAAACAACTTTGCCAGAACCTATGGGCAAATTTCAGAAGCTATATAAATATGACAGAAATGTAGTTACAAGCATAAAGTTTTTTTAGACAGAATTTCACTCTTGTTGCCCAGGCTAGAATGCAATGGCACGATCTCAGCTCACTGCAACCTCTGCCTCTTGGGTTTAAGCGATTCTTCTGCTTCAGCCTCCCGAGTAGCTGGGATTACAGGTGCCGCCACAACTCCCGGCTAATTTTTGTATTTTTAGTAGAGACGGGGTTTCCCCATGTTGTCCAGGCTGGTCTCGAACTCCTGACCTCAGGTGATCCACCCGCCTCGGCCTCCCAAAGTGCTGGGATTACAGGTATGAGCCACAGTGCCCAGCCCAAAGTTGTATATTTTATTTGCCATGTAAAATACTTTAGAGCGGAAATACCATTGGATAAGTTAATCAAAAAGTAGGTAAAAATTTTTGTTAGGGTTCATTTATATGAAAGTCATTGAAAACAGAGACTTGTATAAAATGAATGATCCAACTCTCTTTTCAAATTGCATTAGTTATAATTTCTAATGGATCTGGAAGTTTTTAGATACTACTTCATTTAATACAATTCTGACTTCCTAAGTCATGATTCAAAGCTATTCTTAAAATAGCAACTCACTGGCTCCTCTAGCAAAAATAAACAAGCTGAAAACAAAAACCCTTTTAGTAATACAAATTTAATTCTGATCAAACAAACATTCACTGAGTACATTTTATGGATTTGTGGGGGAAAAAATTAAAAAAAAAGACACAGCCTTATCTTCTAGAAACTTATCATCTCTTAGGAGACAAGCTCTTTTTTAAAAATTTTTTATTCTTTTTTCATTTTCCTTTTATTTTACGGTGCTCTACACATCCAGAGAAACTTCTCTAGTAACAAACTATAGAAATGATCCCTGAGTCTTAGGAGAAACTCTTAACTCTCATAAAAGTTCTGAGTGATAAATAGTAGAAATGAGTGTGTGTGTTTGGGGTGAAGGTTAATCGTCTCACGAGGATTTACATATCTATTTTTCTAAGTTTGGACTTTGCCTAATGGGTGTTCTAAAAGTTTGCTATTCTGTATTCCTTTCTTTTTGAAATTGCCCTATTTATAATTTTATTCAATGAAATGCAGAAATATTAAAATGAAAGGAGAAAACCATCTAATTTTCAAAGGCACATCTAGTGTGACTTCATGATAGTCCACCATAAATTACCGAGGATAATTGAAGAAATTGTGTTCACCAACATGTTGAGGCCTGCAAATTCCACAATCTCCACTGCAGTGCGGGTCTGGAAAACTCAAAACAGCACACGCCTGTTCCCTGGCAGGAACTCTTTCTATCGCTTCCTTTCCTTTCACCTGCTTTCATCTGCTGGCTGGGTTTCTGGGAGATTATGGTGGGGAATGTCTGACATGTGCTCACGGTCTACCAGCACTTACTCAGTCCCTGGCCTTCTCCAAGAACCAAAGCAGGTATGAGACCCTTACTGGCCATTGGGTTGGAGAGAGTAGACAGGGAGGACCAAGGACACCAGCGCTCACATCTTTGTTCCCACTGCCACGGCCATTGAGGACGCCGAGAGGCTGTGGCCTTGCTGAGAAGCCATGCAGCTCTGCACACAGGGTGCGTCACTAGAAGCAGGTCACCATTTCCACTGGTGAGAACGATTCGGCTGAAGCTAATGCATCATTTAGCCTGTTTAGAGAAACAGGCAGCATCTTAGGGTGTGTTTTTTTTGCTTTTTCTTTTTTTGAGACAGAGTCTCGCTCTGTCGCCCAGGCTGGAGTGCATTGGCGCGATCTAGGCTCACTGCAACCTCTGCCTCGCGGGTTCAAGTGATTCTCCTGCCTCAGCCTCCCGAGTAGCTGGGACTACAGGCATGTGCCACCACGCCCGGCTAATTTTTTGTATTTTTAGTAGAGACGGGGTTTCCCCATGTTAGCCAGGATGTTGTCAATCTCCTGATCTCGTGATCTGCCCGCCTCGGCCTCCCAAAGTGCTGGGATTACAGGCGTGAGCCACTGCACCCGGCCGTTAGGGTGTGTTTTGAGGCACACACTTTAGTCCCTGGGAACCCCAAAGAGCTAAGTGTTCCATAAACAAATGTGACAGGGGTCCCACGTCATGCCTAGTAGCAGGTTATGATTCTTCTGTGTGTCCTGTTGCTGTCTCCTTTTCCTCTGTGGAAGGAGTGCGACTCCACCCTAGGGGCTTGGGGCTGTATCTGTGGACTCCTAGTGATGATCTGGCCCAGATCTCACCCTTCACCCAAGGAAACTCTGTCCCTGTTACTGAATTTCCAACTTTTGTCAGATAGACAACCTTCTCCAAGTTACCCAAACCTTAGCCTTGAAACCTTCTGTAACTATTCTCCTCCCCACCAATCCCAACAAGTCCCCACAAGCTTCCCATCCAGCTCCTCCTGCCTTTGCCAGCCGTTATCACCTGCCCTTTCCTTCTAGCTCCACTGCCCCTGCTCAGGACCTCTTTCCCCATAACTGGATTATTCTGACAGTCTCTGAATCGCCTCTGACTTTAGCCAGCTTTAACCGTGGTGTCTTTGTTCTCTCGGGTTGCTCCTGTAACTGTAACAATCTCCTGCCCCTCCCCACCTACTTCACTTCCTGCCTGCTTTTCCAGCGGCACTCAGCTATTCCTGTCTTTTCTGAGTATCAGGGAGCGCTTGGGGCCTCTACCAACCATGGGGAACTTAGCACATCCTGCCTCGTATCCCAGCTGAGGCTTTCACTTTACACCTCCTTCTGCCTGGCTGAGTTGGAAGGTCCATGATGTCCCCGCATCATTCGTGATGCCCAAGGTATACCTGGGTGGGGAAAAATGTCCTTTCTTTGATTGGTTGAGTAGTTATTCCAAGAGTATGATACACTAAGTGAGGATACAAACGAGGGAGGAGCTCTGCTTCAGAGCTGGAGCCGAGGGTTTTGAAGAGTGGGGAGGGGCCGGGCTCCATGGCTCGCCCTGCAATCCCAGCACTTTGGGAGGCCGAAGTGGGCAGATCACTTGAACCCAGGAGTTCCAGACCAGCCTGGCTGACATAGTGAAACCCTGTCTCTACAAAAACTACAAAAATTAGCCGGGCATGGTGGCATACCCTGTCGTCCCAGCTACTAGGGAGGCTGAGGTGGGAGGATCGCTTGAACTCGGAGATTGAAACTGCAGTGAGCCATATTCTCCCCAATGCACTCTAGCCTGGGCGACAGATCAAGACCCTGTCTTAAATAAATAAATAAATAAATAAATAAATAAATGAAGGAAGAGTGGGGAGGGGCAAGGAAGAGAGACACGACGGGAAACTTCTTTGAGAAGGGGGCATGACTGGAAACTGTTTTATTTATTTATTTATTTATTTTTTGAGACGGAGTCTCGCTCTGTCGCCCAGGCTGCTCTGTCGTGCAGTGGCGCGATCTCGGCTCACTGCAAGCTCCGCCTCCCGGGTTCACGCCATTCTCCTGCCTCAGCTTCCCAAGAAGCTGGGATTACAAGCGTGCACCAACACGCCCAGCTAATTTTATTTATTTATTTATTTATTATTATTATTTTTTTTAGTAGAGACGGGGTTTCACCGTGTTAGCCAGGATGGTCTCCATCTCCTGACCTCGTGATCCGCCCCCCTCAGCCTCCCAAAGTGTTGGGATTAAGGCGTGAGCCACTGCACCCGGCCGACTGGAAACTGTTTTGGGACGCGGCCATGGCGGGAAACTCCCTCGGGAGAGGGGCATAATGGAAAACTGCTTTAAGAGAGCGGCCATGACAGGACCTTGGGAGAGGGGCATGATGGGAACCAAACTACGGAGAGACAGAATGCCCAGAGTTAGTCCCCCTCCCTCCGCCCCGCGCCGCGTGGGACCCGTTGAAGGAACCACCTGGGTTCCGTTAGGGCTGGCTGGGAAAAAAGATATGATGGAAAGACGTGGGGAGACGTCTCAGTGGTCTACTGTGGTTGCTCCTGGGCTGGAGAAGATCAGGTACAAGGCGGGGGTTGTGGGCGGGGGCTGAAGGAAAGTGGGATGTTATTTTCCCGTTTGCTTCCCTTTCAAGTGAACCAACGTTGACATCGCTGCATGTTCGTTTCCAAACAAATCTTTCTAAACAAAATGGTCTGTGTCTCGTCTTTTAAAAAGGCCACGTGTATTCTCGCGGCCAAGTCTTTGTTCAAATCTTCCCTTTGTCCATGAAGGCCATCACCCTGCCTCTCCAAGTCTCCCTCCCGCCCCTTCGTCCAAGTCTCCCTCCCGCCCCTTCGTCCAAGTCTCCCTCCCGCCCCTTCGTCCAAGTCTCACTGCTTCGGTGAGGCCTCCGGGACCTTTCACAGCCCTGAGCCTTGGGGGCCACCCTCTGTACTGGAGGAAGCCGTGTAGTCTGTGTCATCAGTTACCACTGCTGTCTGCATTTTGCGTTTCTACCCTGCAAGCTGGGCCTCTCCTGAGGGCCGACTCTTCTTTATGACAGTCACAGTGCTATGCTTTCTGTTCATTGACATATCATGAGTTCAAACGACAATTCTAAAATGGCTTGTGTGGTCTTGGGGGAAACGGATCTTGTCTAAGAAGGGGAGAAGGGAGGGTGGAAAAGCCTATGAGTCACAGGGATTTGGCTACTTTGGGAACCAGCCACCTCTAGTAGTTTTATGTTAGAGACTGAGGCATGGGAGTGGGGTGCTGCAGGCAGGAGACTCATATGCTTGTGTCCTACAATTATTTCACAGAGAATGCCAACCTTTCCAGCATGCTATGTATAGTACAGTGCCTTGCACACAGGTGATCAATAAATAGTTGAACACAGGAAAATGCCCTTAAATATTATTTTCATTTAAAAATAAATTTAATGAATTACTGACACATGCTATAATGTGGAAGAACCTCAAAAGCATTATGCCGAGTGAAAGAAGCCAGACACAAAAGATCACATATCACATGATTTCATTCATATGAAATGTCCAGAATAGGTAAATCCATAGAGACAGAAAGTAGATTAGTGGTTACCAGGGGCTGGAAGAAGGCGATAGGATGGGGAGTGACTATTGAATGGGTATGGGGCTTTTTGGGAGGCTGGTGAAAATGTTTTGGCTCTAGACGGAAGTGAAAGTTGCACAAGTCCGTAAATGTGCTAAATGCCACTGAATTGAACACATTAAAGTGGCTAATTTAGTTATGTGAATTTCATCACAACTAAAAAAAAACACAGGAAAAACTTTCGTAAAACTTTTTTCAAAATAAAATTAATTTAATACATGAAAAAGTAACCAGAAACCATTTCCCCACTGGACTGCAGAAGCACAAAAGACCCTTCTACTTGATGTTTGGCCAAGTTTTTATTTCAGAAGTAGCAAAAAGGAACACCTGAAATCAGAACCTACTGCAAATATACATATTAGTGTAGGTTCAGTCCCCTCACACATTTCCCAGCACTGATTCCTCAGCCATCTATATTGAAACCAGAATGTTGATTGCTTGTGCTTCATTGGGCAAATAACTGTTTTCTTCCTTCATAGAGACAGTAAATGATAACAGCTTAGCTCACAGAAAAAGGATAAGCAATACCAGATTTGGAACATATTGAAAGCTGTATCGATCTATGGATTCTACCATCTACAGAAATGGTCAGTGGCTGTTAGCTACAAGAACCTGTCAAGCAAAATCAAAGTGTAGAAATACAATTTGTATGTCTTTGTCCAACATTGAAGGGTGGAATTAGAACACATCAAGAGGGAAATATGAATAATATAATATTAAACACTTAAGCACTACATTTTTGTGCCAAAGCTGGTTGAAAAAGAATAAAGTAACGTGCAGCAAAAATAACCCTTGGAGGGCAAAGGTGTGGTGGGGTGGGGAAGAGAAGGAAGAGGGTAAAACAGAATATTCCAGCTCATGGGTCTCCTGAATGGTTCTTGTTGAGTTTTAATCACTCATTTTATATTCTGTTGCAGTGTCTACTGCACCAGCCTTGGGCTAGGTTGGATTTTTGTCTTTATTTTATTTATTTATTTATTTTTGAGACGGAGTCTTGCTCTGTCGCCCAAGCTGGAGTGCAGTGGCACAATCTCGGCTCACTGCAACCTCTGCTTCCCAGGTTCAAGTGATACTTCTGCCTCAGCCTCCCTAGTAGCTGAGACTACAGGCTTTTGGTTTCACGTGACTAGATTGTCTCTAGGATCAAATGTTTATCCTAACTACAGCTCAAAGAATTACAAGTGTATTTTCTGTTAGAGTCTTGTGGAGTCATTTTGCTTTCTTCCAAACACATCTTTTTCATTAAAGCCTCTTGAAAATGTTTGCTTAGTGGTTGCAAAAGCAACCTGTAGCACAAAAAATATCAAGTAAAAATAGTGAACAGAATCTGTGGGTGTATTTTCCCTGTGCCGAATTCCCCTTTCTTCCCCCTCCCCCATTCCCTGCTTCAACAGCTCCAGATCAGTAGGAAAAAATCCAATCGCTATATGCCCTACAAAGGGTGGTTTCTCCTCCCTCTTGCCAACATGATTTAGTTATGTAAAAAACATCAACTCTGAAAAGCATAATGCATTCATTCCCACCAAAAATAGTGCATTTAGGTTTATTAATGTTTGGGAACTTCAAGTAATGGAAAAACTGAGCCACATAAAAAGAGATGCATGATAAGTTGCTCTGAATTTAGCTCCATTTTATGATTAAGAACCCAGCACAACCAGTTGACAAGTCAGCCAGGCCTGTTGACCTTGCTTAACTTCCTTCTGAAAGCTCAGATGAAAACAAAAAGTTCCCTAAGCAGATGAAAATAGCTGCAAAAATAAATACGATATCTTGCTACAGGTTAAATAGGCTCTAATGGGGCTTCAGAAGATATTAAATGTTTTAAACAGAAGAGTGGTTAAAAATAGAGAGCAAATGTAAATAATCCAGGGGTTTTTTTTTTCCTCCAAGTTATTTTGGGGCTGAAAATTGCAGGTGGAGGAAGATGAGTAAGTGATACTTAAAACCAGTCTTTCCCTTGATCTTGTTTCATTACAGTCTTCATCTAAAGCTCTTGCAAAACAGTGACTGCTCCAGGTTGTTGGGGTGGATGGTCTAAAAGATAACTTTGGGGATTGGGTGAGTGAATGTGGCCCAACCTCAGGCAAACTTGTGAAGGGGCAAAATTTACCCTGTGCTGCTGGCTTTCTATTACTATTTTTTCTCTCATTTCTCCCACCCTCAAGGTGTGTGGAACAAACTTTGCTTTTGGCGGGGCGGGGGGAGGTGGGGGGGTCTTCATGATCCCTGTTCTTTTGTGGGATTCTGGCCTTCTGGCCTCTTAAGTGTGGGTAGGACGTATGTTTTGCTTCTTTTTTTTTTTTTTTTTTTTGACAGAGTCTTGCTCCGTCTCACCCAGTCTGGAGTGCAGTGGAGTGATCTCTGCTCACTGCAGCCTCTGCCTCCTGGGTTCAAGCGATTCTCCTGCCTCAGCCTCCCAAGTAGCTGGGACTAAAGGCGTGTGCCACCACGCTCGGCTAATTTTTTTGTATTTTTAGTAGAGACAGGGTTTCACCATGTTGGCCAGGCTGGTCTCGAACTCCTGACCTCAAGTGATCCACCCACCTTGGCCTCCCAAAGTGCTGGGATCACAGGCGTGAGCCACCGTGCCCAGCCTGTTTTGCTTCTAACCAGGAGAATATGGCAGAGGAGATGGGATGCCACACCAGTGACGAGGTTCCCTGATGCACAGTCTTGAAGAAGCAAGCAGCCATGGGGCAAGGAACCAAGGGCAGCCCCCCCAGGACCGCCCCCCAGCCAGCAGCCTGCAAGAAGCCAGTGCCCTGAGTCATGAAACCATTTTTTTTTTGGAGACAGAGTCTTACTCTGTTATCCAAGCAGGACTGCAGTGGTGCAGTTACAGCTTACTGCAGCCTCGACCTCCAGGGCCCAAGTGATCCTCCCACCATAGCCTCCTGAGTAGCTTGGATTACAGGTGTACATCACCATACCTGGCTAATTTTTCAAATTTTTAAATTTTTTCTAGGGATGGGGTCTCACTATGTTGCCCAGGCTGGTCGCAAACTCATGGGCTCAAGGGATTATCCTGCCTCAACCTCCCAAAGTGTTGGGATTACAGGCATGAGTCACCACACCCAGCCTGAGGGATCTTGATGGTGGATTCTTTTCCATCCAAGCCTCTAGATGAGAATGCAGTTCTGCTGACACATTGACTACAGCCTTGTGAAACCCTGAGCAAAAGGCACAGTTAAGCTGAGCTCAAATTCCCAACCCATGGAGATTCTGAGATAACAAACGTGTGTTATTTTAAGCCACTGCATTTGTGGCAGTTTGTTACTCAGCAATGGGCAAGTGTTATGGACTGAATTATGCTCCCCCCACAAATGCATATGTTGAAGCCCTAAGCCCTGGTACTTCAGAATGTGAATGTATTTGGAAATAGGATCTCCAAAGAGGCAATTAAGATAAAATGAAATCACTAGGGTGGGCCCTAAACCAATACGACTAGAATTCTTATAAGAATAGTAGATGAGGACACAGATGCACATAGAGGGACCACCATGTGAGGACACAGGGAGAAGACAGCATCTACAGGCCAAGGAGAGGTCCCAGTAGGAACCAGCCGTGCTCACACCTTGATCTTGGACTTCCGGCCTCCAGGACTGTTGGATAATAAATCGATGTTGGTTAAGCCACCCTGTCTATGCTACTTTGTCATAGCAGTCTAAACAGACTTAATACAGTAATTAATACACAAATGCTTGTGTTTTATTTCTACAGGACCTATTCTTACTATCCATCGACTGATTCCATCCATCGCTACCCATCTGCCACCCATCTGTAACCATCTTTCTTGCTCTGAAAATAATACGGTAAGGATTTATAGCTTTACTTCTCCATTTTATTAGGGGCATTCTGCAAATGGAAATGTTTTAAGGCCCTAAAGGAATCAGCCAGTCCCCAGCGGAGACCTCTGAGGAGGAGGAAGATGCAGTTCTTCCTCTTTCCCTCAGTTTTCATGGTGCTCAGGCATTAGGTGACAATGTCTATCATTGGGGACTAGGAGGCAGGAGGCAGAATGGCCCATGTATGTGTCAGGGTTTGCTTAGGGACCCCCAAACATGATCATGGTGCCACACCCAATGTCAGAGAGATGGTCAATGAGTGCCTGAAATGCTGTGGAGGTTAGAGTGGAAGAGAAGGGTGGGCTTGGAAGGCTCCGGGGAGGGAGTTCAGGTGGGAGAGGGTGACATGAAGGCAGGCAGAGAAAGCTGATTCCAGGACCAGCTGGATGGAGCAGGGAGCTTGGAGCAGAGTAGAAAGGCCCCGCAGCTTTCACAGGGTGCCAGATTGACAGCGATAAGGAAGGCCTTGAAGTGCTTTTGGCATGGTCTGCTCTGTTCCTTAAAGAGGCGTGGGTCTTCCCCCAGAACAAAAGAGTACGCTTTGCTAATAAGCCTGCAGGACAAACACATTTCGTGGTTAAACAATTCAGCAAGAAGAACCCATTTGTTGCTCTTGCAAGCTTGACTGGTGGCACTTCGTGCTAGCTCCATCAAGCTGCTTTTTGTTGCAAAATACTTGGATGCCCTAAAAGATTGGTGCCTATTGTAAGACAGAGTCTAAGGTTCCAAGACTATTTAGTCTGGGGTCACAAACACCAACTTTGAAGCAAGACACTCCAGCCTGGGTGAGAGAGTGAGATCCTGTCTCAAACAAACAACCCCCCCAAAAATACAAAGGGAATGTGTCCTAACTGTTCTTTCATGCTAGCAACTTTTTGTTGGGGGGCGGGGGGAATCTCACAACTTTATTGAAAAAAAGTGCAATGAGATTTGTCAACAGCTTAAAAGAAAGACGAAACTTAGATACCTTCCCTCAAGCACAGGACCAAAGGCAGACTGGACTCTTTCTGGATATTGTAGTCAGACAGGGTGTGTCCATCTTCCACCTCCTAGCAATTTTTAAAAGTTTGTAAAAATATATTAAAATGGTGACAGACTGAGGATGTTTTCCCTTGGTGGACTGGTGTGATGGTTAATGTTATTTATCCACTTGACTAGGTCATGGGGTGCTCAGACATTTGGTCAGACATTCTGGGTTTGTGTGAGGGTGATTTTGAGTTGCAAGTGCAGCATGACCTGCTATGGGAACATACACACGTCACTTAAACAGCTGTGTTCAGATTCTGCCTCTGAGAACTGGGGCTAGCATTACCTCTCTCACAGGGTGGATTTGAGGGCAAGGTAATTTCTGTATTCAATACTAGGCTTGGTATACAGTATTTGCTCAACACATTGAAGCTATGATGATTCACTGAAACATGGATCTCAATTAGTACAAGTGTGAGCAGGCACAATATTACTTAGATGACTTTGCAGAATTCAGTGCAAAATACGAAATAAAACAACTACCAAGAAATTGGGGGGAAGAGACCTGAGAATTATGAAGGGGCTGATTGACCCAAAATACAAACCATTAGGCTAGAGCAGTGACTCTCTGACTTGCACACACATCAGAACCTTCCAGAGGGGTTATGGAACCCAGATGGCTGGGCCCCAGTCATTGAGCTTCTGATTTAGCAGGTGTGAGGGAGGCCCAAGTATCCGTTTTTTTTTTTTTTTTTTTTTTTGAGACAGAGTCTTGCTCTGTCACCAGGCTGGAGTGCAGTGGCGTGATTCAGCTCACTGCAACCTCCGCCTCCCGGATTCAAGCGATTCTCCTGCCTCAGCCTCCCGAGTAGCTGGGACGACAGGCACATGCCACACCCAGCTAATTTTTGTATTTTTTTGTAGAGATGGGGTTTCACTATGTTGGCCAGGCTGGTCTGGAACTCCTGGGCTCAAGTGATCTGCCTGCCTCGGCCTCCCAAAGTGCTGGGATTACAGGCGTGAACCACTGCGCCTGGCCATATCTGCATTTCTAACAAGTTCCCAGCAGATGTGAATGTTTGTCCGAGGAACACACTTGGAGAATGAATTGCTGTGCAATGGAAAGTTGCTATTGGAATGCTTGTTTTTTTTTTTTTTTTGTTTTTTGTTTTTTTAGACAGAGTCTCACTCTGTCGCCCAGAGCTGGACTGCAGTGGTGTGATCTCGGCTCACTGTAACCTCCACCTCCCGGGTTCAAGCGATTCTTGTGCCTCAGCCTTCCGAGTAGCTAATTTTTGTATTTTTAGTAGAGACAGAGTTTCACCATGTTGGTCAGGCTGGTCTTGAACTCCTGACCTCAAGTGATCTGCCTGTCTCGGCCTCCCAAAGTGTTGGGATTACAGGTATGAGCCACCGCGCCTGGCGTGGATGGAATGCTATTAATAGTGCATGCACTTAACCAACATTGGAGGATTGCAAGTGCCCACTGCTAAGTGCTCAGGAAAACCCAGAACACTGAAGACATGACTCCTGCCCTGGAAAAGCATGAAGCCTATGGAAGGACATAAGCCCACCCTACATCAGACTATAATGAGTGCTGTAACGGGTGGGCAGAGGTGCCTGGGGGCTCTCAGAGCAGGGACCCTGCCCTTCCTTGGAATAAGGAGCTGCTGTGCTTCCCCGATCTCAGGGAGTGCAGGGGGCCCCAGAAGTCTGGGGTTGGAATTCAGGTACCTGAAAACCTTGCAGTGAACTTCATAACTCTTAAAATAAAACAGCCACTTCATTATGCTAGAAAGTAATATTAAAGGCCTTCCTCCAGGACACTGAGTTCTCTTTGGCCAATCCCCGCTTCATTGAAGTCACACAAATAACTACAAAGTGTCCAGGTGTGGTAGCTCATGCCTGTAATCCCAGCACTTTGTGGGGTGGAGGCAGGCGGATCGTTAGAGGCCAGGAGTATCTGGCTTTCAGTAACCTTCAGCTGATGGGACGAGTCCTACTCACAGTAGAGAGGGCAATTTGCTTCACTCACTCTACAGTGCAAATGTGAATCTCATCCAAGATCACTCTCCAGGCTGGGCGCAGTGGCTCATGCCTATAATCCCAGCACTTTGAGAGGCTGAGATGGGAGGATCCCTTGAGACTAGGAGTTCAAGACTAGCCTGGGCAACATGGTCTACAAAAATTAGCCAGGAGTGGTGGTGCATGCCTGTGGTCCCAAGTGGTGGTGCATGCCTGTGGTTCCAGTTACTCAGGAGACTGAGATGGGAGAATCACTTGAGCCCAGGAGGTCGAGGCTGCAGTAAGCTCTGATTGCACCACTGCACTCCAGCCTGGGTGACAGAGTGAGATCCTATCTCAAAAACAACCAAAAAGCCCCCCAAAAAAACTATAAAGGGAGTATGGCCCAACTGTTCTTTTCATGCTAGCAGTTTTTTTCGGGGATGGGGGTATGCCACAACTTTACTGAAAAAAAAGTGCAATGAGATTTGTCAACAGCTTAAAAGAAAGAGGAAACTTAGATACCTCCCCTCAAGCACAGGACCAAAGGCAGACTGGACTCTTTCTGGATGTAGTCAGACAGTGGGCGTCCATCTTCCACATGCTAGCAAGTTTTAAAAGTTTGTAAAAGGCCGGGTGTGGTGGCTCACGCCTGTAATCCTAGCATTTTGGGAGGCCGAGGTGGGCGGATCACCTGAGGTCACAAGTTCGAGACCAGCCTGACCAACATGGAGAAACCCTGTCTCTACCAAAAACACAAAATTAGCCGGATGTGGTGGTGCATGCCTGTAATCCCAGCTACTCGGGAGGCTGAGGCAGGAGAATCACTTGAACCCTGGAGGCGGAGGTTGTGGTGAGCCAAGATCATGCCATTGTACTCCAGCCTGGGCAACAAGAGTGAAACTCCATCTCAAAATAAATAAATAAATAAATAAATAAAAGTTTGTAAAAATATATTAAAATGGTGACAGACTGAGGAAGTTTTCCTTGGTGGACTGGTGTGACAGTTAATGTTATTTGTCCATTTGACTGGGCCACAGGGTGCCCAGACATTTTGTCAGACATTCTGGGTGTGTGTGAGGGTGATTTTGGATGAGATCACATTTGCACTGTACACTGAGTGAAGCAGATTACCCTCCCAGTACAGGTGGGCCTTGTCCAATCAGTTGAAGCCTTAAATAGAACACAAAGGCTGAGTAAGAGGGAGCTCCTGCTGCCTGACTGCTTGAGCTGACATCAGTCTTCCTGCCTTTGGAATTGAGCTGAAACATCAGCAGCCTGCTGACTTTCCAACTGGAACTTAACGCCATTGGTTCTCCTGGTTCTCAGGACTTTGGACTCACCTAGAACTTATACTGTTGGCTCTCCTGGGTCTCCATCTTGCCAACTGCAGTTCTTAGGATTTCTCGGCCTCTATAATCACGTGAGCCAATTCCTTATAACAAATAATAAATCATATACATATGACTATGATATATAATATATATTATATATGAACTTAGAAGCTTCACACATTTACTACCTTATACTTTACCTTGGTCAGAATTCTGGGCACAGCACAACCAGATCCTCTGCTCAGGGTTCACCAGGATGAAATCAAGGTGTCAGTTGGGTCTGGATCTCATCCCAGGCTTGGAGTTCTTTTTCCAGCTCATTGAATTTTGGCAGAATTCAGTTTTTTGTGGTTGTAGGGCTGTGGCCCCTCCTCTCCTAGAGGCTGTTCCTTCCCACAAACAGTTCACACTGTGGCTGTTTGCTTCATCTCTGAAGCCAACGGAAAAGTCTCTGTGTTTTTTAAGGGCTCACTTGATTAGGTCAGACTCACCCAGGATAATCTCCTGTTTGGTTGACTCAGAGGCAACCAATCAGTCCCCTAATGATGGGAATGGCATCTCGTAATGGTCACGGGTCCTGCCCACACTCAAGTGGAGGGGATTATATGGGGCGTATACACCGGCGTGAGCACCTTTGGGCTGTAGTAGCATTCTGCCCACACACTTACTCTTTCCAGATCCCTCCCACCACATTGCTTTCACCTCCACATTGCCCCCCTTTGCATCCCCTCCCCCAGCAGTGTTATCAAATCTAGACCACCTAGACTGGAAGAGGAGGGGCAGATGGGTTAATTATGCCGACTCCTGAGCCCCTAATCAAAGTCTCAATGGATGGTGATTGGAATTCCCCTCAATGAGTTTTGGGGACTCTAAACTTTACAGCTCCTTTCCTGCTGGCCCCAACATCTGCCTGCCAGCGGGGTTCCACCAGCTCTGCCTCTCCTTCTTCCTGATGCCTCGTCCGCTTCTTCTGCCCCTGCCCAATGACTGGATCCATGCTGGGTTCTCTGTGTCGTTGTCTTTCAGGGACAGGCTTGTCTCTGGCCTCCAGGGATGGGGACACAGCCCAAGGATGGATCTTCTTTCAGATGGGTGTCTCTGTCCCTGGCTACTTGCTTGGACTTCTGGCAAAAATGACCCACCCCTCCCATCTTCCCTTCCTCTTCCTCCCTCCCTTCCTTCCTTCCTGTCACTGAAACTGGAGGGCAGTGGTGCAGTCATAACTCACTGCAGCCTCAAACTCCTGGGCTCGAGCAATCCTCCCTCCTCAGCCCCCCAAAGCACTGGGATTACAGACATGAGCCACCTCGCCCTACCAAGAATGGCTTCCAGTTGCTAGGGTATACACACTCCAGGGGTGCCTACCCTCTAGTGCCATATTGAATTCTTCCCTGCCGCTGCCCTCCTTACCCCTAATCCTGCAAGTTTCCCAGAATTACCACCTTTTATCTACGTGTAGGCCCTGCCCCCTGACTCCTACAGCTGGATCTTTCTCAAACATCTCCTGCCTCGCTTCTTTGAATGGTTCTCACACTGTGATCCTGGGATCAGCAGCCCTAGCAGCACCTGAGAAACTGTTAGAACTGCACAGGAATTCTGGGAGTGGGTCCCCACCATTCATATTGTAACAAGCCCTCCAGTTGCTACTGATGCATGCTGAAGTTTGAGAACCATGGCTTTATTTATTTATTTATTTTTTTGAGACAGAGTCTCACTCTGTTGTCCAGGCAGTGGCACCTCGACTCACCGCAACCTCATCTCCTTGGTAGCTGGGGCTACAGGCCTGTGCCACCGCACCAGGCTAATTTTTGTATATTTTGTAGAGACGGGGTATCGCCATGTTGGCCAGGCCGGTCTTGAACTCTTAGGCTCAACCGATCTGTCCACCTCAGCCTCCCAAAGTGTTGGGATTACAGGCGTGAGCCACCATGCCCGGCCGAGAACCACGGCTTTAGATCAGCCATTCTCAACGTCGGCTATACATTGAAAGTGCTTGAAGAGCTTTTAAAAATCCCAAAAGCCCAGCCGGGCGCGGTGGCTCACGCCTGTAATCCCAGCACTTTGGGAGGCCGAGGTGGGCGGATCACCTGAGATCAGGAGTTTGAGACCAGCCTGACCAACATGGTGAAACCCGTCTTTACTAAAAATACAAAATTAGCCGGGCATGGTGGCTTATGCCTGTAATCCCAGCTACTCAGGCGGTTGAGGCAGGAGAATCGTTTGAACCCGGGAGGCGGAGGTTGCAGTGAGCCGAGATCACACCATTGCATTCCAGCCTGGGCAACAAGAGCAAAAAACTCCGTCAAAAAAAAAAAAAAAATTCCCAAAAGCCTAGGCCCCATCCCAGGACAATGAATCAAATTAATGTTGCTGGGGGTGGGACCCAGGCTGCACTTGTTTTTAAAGCTCAGAGCGTGTCATCAGGTTCTGCAGGATTCTCTGATTTTGAGGGCAGTGCCTACTTTCCCCCTCACTTCTTGGTGGGCGCAGTCCACGTGTGACATGATGAAATGGCCTCACAGGACATTTCTCCTGAGTCCCTTTACCGTCTGAGGTTGGGAACCTTTCTCCATTTTCTCTCAGGAATTACATATACTTGTTTACTCCTGCCTACAATGCTTTTCCCATGCCCTGTTTGCATGTGTCAACCTGTTAAATCTCACCTTTGCTATTGCTTCCCCTGGCTGGGCGTGGTGGCTCATGGCTGTAATTCCAGCAATTTGAGAGGCCCAGGCAGCAGGATCACTTGAGCCCAGGAGTTTGAGACCAGTCTGGGCAACATAGCAAGATCCTATCTCTAAAAAAAGAAAATTAGCCAGGTGTGGTGACATGCACCTGTAGTCCCAGCTACTCGGGAGGCCAAGGTGAGAGGATTGCTTGAACCTAGGAGTTCAAAGCTGCCTTGAGTTATGATTACACCACTTCACTGCAGCCTGGGCAATAGAACAAGACCACCTCTCTCTCTCTTTCTCTCTGTCTCTGTCTCTGTCTTTCTATTATCTATCTATCTATCTATCTATCTATCTATCTATCTATCTATCTATCTACCTATCTATGTGTATATTTCTTCTCCAGCAATGCCTTCCCTTACTCTGTGTGTTAGTCTAGGTCCTCCTGTTTAAGACTCTGTATTTCTCCCATATAGGATCCTAATTTAAAATGTTAGAAAATCAAATTTCTCGTTAGATTTTATCTCAAAGAAAAAACAAAGATGAGGTCAGACTGCCACCAAGACAAATGAGAAAATCCATTTTCTTGCCACTGTCCAGCATAAACTGTGCAGACACTCCAACAAGGTGATGGGTAAATGACTTTGCCTGGAAAAGGCCCCAGTCATCCTGCATTCTCACCCCCGCCCCCCCAGCCCCGTATTTCATGTATTTATTGCATCTCTTGGGGGAGGAGCCACTTGCACACACATGCACAGCTGGAAGTATTTACTGGTGCATATTTATTAAAGTGTGCACTACGCATATCTGCAGAGTGCGAGGGTGGGTTCCTGACTTTAAGAAATTCACAGAGGGTTGAGGAATGTCCTCAGGCTTGTAAGGACAGACCTCCTGGGGGGCACCACTGTAACATGCAGGGCACCACTGTTCTGCCCGCCTCCTTGGGCACTACCCCAGCTATACTGCAAGCCCTCACAAGTCAAAGCTGAGGGTGGTCTTGTATGTGTGGCCTGCTAAAAGGGGACCACATTGCCCTGGCTTGGCAATGTATCCCAGAATATTTCTGAGTCCTTCATGTGATCCCTTGTTATTTCTCCTTTTGTTATGGCACCAGAATATGGATCCAGTGAAAAACCTGGTTAGGAGACAAATTTGAGTGTCAGCATGATGCTCTCTCTGTTCAGAGCCCTCTCTTCACTCCTTTCCCCTCATTCAGCTTGTGGTGTTTGCCTCTTAGCCACACAGCTTGAAGTCTCTTGTCCTCAGCCCTTCATGGAAATGAATCTCCCTGCATTTCTCCCTCCATGCTCTCCTGTGTGGCTCTTCTCAGTTTGCCCCCACATCCGTTCTCGGCTCTTCTTTGCCCTGCTGTGTCATGGAGGCTGGTCCCTGCAGGCTGTACCATCCGGTTTGTCCGGTGTGCTTTTGCTTCTGCAGGAAACATTTAGTTCTTGTTCATAAGGCATGCAGGCTGTGCATCAGCTTTGCCTTTGCTGAGTTCTAACAGACTAGACTTGGCTCAGTTCCATGCACTCTTCCCATATCTGGAGCCAGATCCTATCTGGCACCTGCTCTTCTCAAGGCCAAAAGCAGACACTCAAGTGCATGCCAACCACACCAGTGCATTTCAAGTTCTGTTAGAAGTAGTGTTTGTCGGCCGGGCGCGGTGGCTTACGCCTGTAATCCCAACACTTTGGGAGGCCGAGGTGGGCAGATCACGAGGTCAGGAGATCGAGACCATCCTGGCTAACACCGTGAAACCCCATCTCTACTAAAAATACAAAAAATTAGCCGGGCATGGTGGCGGGTGCCTGTAGTCCCAGCTACTCGGGAGGCTGAGGCAGGAGAATGGCATGAACCCAGGAGGCGGAGCTTGCAGTGAGCCGAGATCACGCCACTGCACTCCAGCCTGGGCAACAGAAAGAGACTCCGTCTCAAAAAAAAAAATAAAAATAAAAATAAAAAGTGGTGTTTGTCACATCTGCTTGCATTCCATTGACCAAAGCAAGTCATATGGCTAAGCTCAAGGTCAAAGGGGCAAGGAAGTATATTCTGCCTACAGGAGCACGTGACATTGGCTGGGAGGAATGGGTCAATTGAGAAGAAACAGTACAGTCTTCCACACCTAGCTCCCTTCCCCTCCAGCTTCTAGTTGGGTTCCCTTAACTCTATCCACCTTTCTCTGTAAATAGCTTCTGCATTTAACTGTCTTTACTTAACCCTTCTGTGTATGCCATCTGCTTCCTGCAGAGACCCTACCTGATACACCAGGACTGAATTGGGATCTGCCTACTTCTTTGACTCTTAATTCAAAGGCTGTATTTACACAGCTAACAATTTATTATAGGTAGATCTCCACTTTACTCTAATGAAGTATATCTGTAATGAACATGAGTACACACAGAAATAATTCTTTCACTGTGAAGAGCTCTTGTTTATACTGTAAGTGCACTTAGATTTTTAGTGTGGTTGATAATCTTTGGTTTTAGTTATAACCTTTATGATAATTTTTAGTTCAGTTTGTGATATAATTTAATAACTTAGTTATTTTAATACCAAAGAAGAGAGAAAAATTACAGATGAATATTTATGTTATTAAGCTAGATTAATTTCTTGTAAGTAATCCAATGTCAAACATATTGAGCCAGCCTATAATATCCCTCAGGTACAAGTGACAGTAAAGCTTATAGACTTATGAGAGATATAGTGATATGTAATGCATACAGTTCATAATAAAGTCCATTGAATTGACATGGGTGATCTTCCTATGTATTTCTTTTTTTTAAATTTATTTTTTATTTTTTTAGACGGAGTCTCACTCTGTTGCCCAGGCTGGAGCGCAGTGGAGTGATCTCGGCTTACTGCAAGCTCCGCCTCCTGGGTTCACGCCATTCTCCTGCCTCAGCCTCCTGAGTAGCTGGGACTACAGGCGCCCACCACCACTCCCGGCTAATTGTTTTTTTGTATTTTTAGTAGAGATGGGGTTTCACCATGTTAGCCAGGATGGTCTCTATCTCCTGACCTCGTGATCCGCCCACCTTGGCCTCCCAAAGTGTTGGGATTACAGGCGTGAGCCACCGCGCCCAGTCTACTTTCCTATGTATTTCTGCATGTGATGATTGAAAAAAGAAATCACAAAGAAGATCTGTTTTGCAAAAAGTGTTTTGTTTTGTTTTTTTTTGAGACAAAGTTTTCGCTCTTGTTGGCCAGGCTGGAGTGCAGTGGCACAATCTCGGCTCACTGCAACTTCTGCCTCTCTGGTTCAAGTGATTCTCCTGCCTCAGCCTCCCAAGTAGCTGAGATTACAGGCGTCACCACCACGCCTGTCTAATTTTTTGTATTTTTAATAGAGACAGGGTTTCACCATGTTGGCCAGGCTGGTCTCGAATTCCTGACCTCAGGTGATCCACCTGCCTCGGCCTCCCAAAGTGCTGGGATTACAGGCCTGAGCCACCGCGCCTGGCCACAAAAAGTGTTTTTTGAACAGTTTTATTGAGACCAGGCGTGGTGGCTCACACCTGTAATCCCAACACTTTGGGAGGCCGAGGCAGGTGGATCTCTTGAGGCCAGGAGTTTGAGACCAGCCTGGCCAACATGGTGAAACCCCATCACTACTAAAAATACAAAAATTAGCTGGGAGTGGTTGCACATGACCGTAATCCCAGTTACTCAGGACGCTGAGGTTGCAATGAGCCGAACCTGGGAGGCGGAGGTGAGCTGAGTGAGCTGAATTCGTGCCACTGGACTTCAGCCTGGGTGACAGAATGAGACTCTGTCTCAAAAAAAAAAAAAAAAATCATAATTTAAAAAAACAGCTTTAATGAGATATCCATTGACATAAAATAAACCATGCATATGGACAATTATAATTTGATAAGTTTTGTTATATGTATATATCTGTGAAACCATCACCACATTAGAAATAATGAGTGGAGCAGTATGAGTTCCCTATGACTGCTTTAACAAATTACCACAAACTTAGTGGCTTAAAACAACATAAATTTTTTTTTTTTTTTTAGACAGAGCCTTGCTCTGTCGGTCACGCTGAAATCACTACAGCCTCAAATTCCTGGGCTCAGGTGTGCACCACCATGTTTGGTTAATTGTTTTTTTTTTTTTAATTTATTTTTTATTTATTTAGACAGAGTCTCACTTTGTCGCCCAGGCTGGAGTGTAGTGGCGCAATCTCGGCTCACTGCAACCTCCGCCTCCCAGGTTCAAACGATTCTCCTGCCTCAGCCTCCCAAGTAGCTGGGATTACAGGCGCCCACCACCACGCCCTGCTAATTTTTGCTTTTTTAGTGGAGATGAGTTTCCACTATGTTGGCTAGGCTGGTCTCGAACTCCTGACCTCAAGTGATCCGCCCACCTTGGCCTCCCAAAGTGCTGAGATTACAGGCGTGAGCCACCTTGCCTGGCCTATTGTTTTTATTTTTTAAGAGATAGTCTTGATATGTTGTCCAGGTTGGTCTTAAACTCCTGGCCTTAAAGAAGCCTCCCTAGTAGCTAGGATTACATGTGCATCCCACCACACCCAGCTGAAACAACACAATTTTATCATCTTACAGTTCTGAAGGTCAGAAGTCTGCAAGGGGTCTTGGAGGGCCAAAATCAAGATATCAGCAGGGCTGTACTCCTTTCTGGAGACTCTAGGGGATAATCTATTTCCTTGCCTTTTCCAGCTTCTAGAGGTTTCTTGTATTCCTTGGCTCATGGCCCCTTCCTCCATCTTCAAAGCCAGCAATGTTGCGTCTCTCTGACCATTTGCTATGGTTTACACATGGTTTGTTCCAGTCCAAAACTTATGTTGTGAGTTGATTTTCAATGTGGCTATGTGGGAGGTGGGGGCTAGTGGGAGGTGTTTAGGTCATGGGGAAGATCCCTCATGAATAGATTAATGCTGTCCCTCAGGGGTGAGTGAGTTCTTGCTCTCACTGGAATGGATTAGTTCCTGAGAGAGCAGGTTGTTAAAAAGAGTCTGGCTTCCTCAGTTTCTCTCTTGCTTCCTTTCTCACGATGGGGTCTCTTTGCACACACCCACTCTCCTGTTTTCCACCATGAGTGGAAGCAGACTGAGGCCCTCACCAGATGCAGTTGCCCAATTTTGGAATTTCCAGCCACAGAAACATGAGCCAAATGAAACTCTTTTCTTTATAAATTACCTAGCCTCAGGTATTCTGTTACAGTAACTCAATATTGGCCAACACACCATTCTTCTGTAGTCATACTTCCTTCTGACTCTGAATGCTTTTGCCTCCCTCTTCCGTTTTTAAGGAGTTTTGTCATTACATTGTCCCAGCCGGATAATCTAAGATAATCTTAAAGTCAGCCGGCTAGCAACTTTAATTCCATCTACATCCTTAACTCCCCTTTGCCATGTAAAGTAACATATTCACAGGTTCTGGGGATTAGGACATGGAAGTCTTTGGGGAACCATGATTCTGTCCATTACTATTCTTATCACTTCTAAACATTTCCTCAAGCCCTTTGTAACCCCTCCCTCCAGCCCTTCCCCATTCTTCTATTCCCAAGTAACCACTGGTCTGCTTCCTGCCACATTATCTTGAGTTTATATGAATGGAGTTAGACAGTCTGTATTCTTTTTTGTCTGGATTTTTTCTTTCACTAAGGGTGATAATTTTGAGATTCATTCATGCTGTTTCATGTATCGGTCATCGATTCCTTTTTATTGCTGAGTAGTATTCCACTGTATGTTGCATTATGGTTTGTTTCTCTGTTCATCTATTGATGGACATTTGGATTGTTTATGGTTTTTACAGTTTCCAGCTATTACAAATAGAGCTGCTATGAGCATTTGCTTATCAGTTTTTGTATGGAACTATGCTATTTCTCTTGGATAAGTATCTATAACTGGAAAGGCTGGATCCTATTATAGATATATGTTTTAACTCTTTCAGAAACAAACTTTGTGAAGCGATAAAAAAAAACCAACAAAATGGTTGTATCATTTTACATTTGTACTAACTGTGTATGAGATTTCCAGTTTCCCCACATCCTCACCAACACTTGGTGTGGTTGGTTTTTAACATTTCAACCACACAATATATCATTTTAAAGATCAGGCTCTGATGTTTACCCCCTGGGTGACTTTTGTTTGTTTAAGACAGGGTCTTGCTCTGTCCAGGCTAGAGAGCAGTGGCACAATCACAGCTCACTGCAGCCTCAGCCTCCTGGACTCAAGTGATCCTCTCACCTCAGCCTCCTGAGTAGCTTGGATTACAGGCCTGTGCCACCATACCTGACTAATTTTGTAGTTTTTGTAAAGGTGGAGTTTTGCCATTTTGCCCAGGCTGGTCTTGAACTCCCGGACTCAGGCAATCCTCCCACCTCAGGCTCCCAGGTAGCTGGGACTACAGGCATGCATCATCATGCTTACCTAATTTTTAAGTTGTTTTGTAGAGATGGGGTCTCCCTATGTTGCCTAGGCTTGTCTCTAACTCCTGAGCTCAAGCCATCTTCCCAGATCGGCCTCTCAAAGTGCTGGGAATATAGGCATGGGCCACTGTGTCTGGCCCAGTTATGTGTTTTTTATCATAAACACACAAATATAATGAAAAATACCCAAATCCCCTTGATTTTTTTTCTATTTATATGTCTTAAAGATATAAAAGTGTTTATCATTTAATTGTCTATTGTAGTAACAAAGGAAAAAGACCACTAGGTAAATATCCTCAATGGTGACTACATGTGATACACAACATGCTATGCAGTATACTACACCTATTTTTTTTTTTTAAACTTGGATGTTTCTGGCTACAGGTTGAACAAGTTTGTAGGAACAGTATTCCTAATGAATTTACGGCCCCCTGTGTTGCTCAGAGACTAGGGCTTATCGGATAGTAATGTCAGTTAAGCAGAAAATAGCCTTTTTCCCTCTGAGTTATCTTGCTCTACTCAGAGCATTGTAAGGTGAAAGAGATCCACATGTGCATTTCTTCCTGTTGGTATATAGACCCTGATTGAGGGATATAGGCCAGGCCTCCATATTCTGGAAAGGCTAATGATAACATAAACCCAGTGCACAGTTTATGATCCCTGTCCCATGTCATTTTCCTTCTAACCCCTCACTTCTCTACTCCTCCTTCCCAGAGGCTTCTTTTGCTTCCTAATCACCCAGTCCCCCTGTTCTCTGCAGCACCAAAATTAGATCTTCAATGTGTTTTTCTATCAAGAGTGAGTGTTGCTCATTCCTACTAGGATGGCTAAAATTAAACAACCAACCAAACAACCAACAGAAAATAACAAGTGTTGGTGAGGATGTGGAGAAATTGGAACACTCACACATGGCCAATTGCAATGTAACACAGTGCAGCAGCTGCTGAAAGAGCTGGGCAGTTCCTCAAGGAGTTAAACGTAGAATTACCAAATGATCCAGCAATTCGTCTTTGTAGTATACACTGCAGGATTGAACGCAAGAACCCAAACACATACTTACACACCAGTGTTCATCGCAGGGTCGTTTACCATAGCCAAAAGGTAGAAGCAGCCCAAGTGAATGGATAAACAAAAGGTGGCATATCCATACAATGGAATATTATTCAGCCTTAAAAAAGAATGAAGTTCTGAGTCATATTGCAACATGGATGAACTTTGAAAGTATTGGGTTAGATGAAATAAGCCAGATGCAAAAGGACAGATAGCGTATGATTGCACTTCTATGAAATATCTAGAATGGGCAGAATCAGAGACAGAAAATGCATTAGAGGTTACCAGAGGCTGCAGGAGGAAGGCATGAGGAGTTATTGCTTAGCGGGGACAGAGTTTCAGTTTGGGAAAAGGAGAAAGTTCTGGAGACAGGTGGTGGTGATAATTGTACAACATCATAAATGTGATCAACATCATGAACAGAACATTTAGAAATGGCCAAAAGGGCAATTTTTATGTTATATATATTTTATCACAATAAAAAAATTCAGAAAAATAGAGAATGGCTGGGTGTGATGGTTCATACCTGTAATCCCAACACTTTGGGAGGCTGAAGCAGGAGGATTGCTTGAGCCCAGGAGTTCGAGACCAGTATGGGCAACATAGCAAGACCCCGTATCTACAAAATAAATAAATAAATAAATAAAAAATTAGCTGAGTGTGGTGGCACATGGCTGTAGTCTTAGCTATACAGGAGGCTGAGGTGGAGGATCTCTTGGTCCTGGGAGGTCGAGGCTGCAGTGAGCTGTGATTGCACCACTGCGCTCCAGCCTGGGTGACAGAGCAAGACCCTGTCTCAATAAATAAATAAATAAATAAAATATTTAAAGAAAAATTGTAGTGTTTTTTTTTCTTTTTTTTTTTCGACAGGGTCTTACTGTGTCACCCAGGCTGGAATGCAGTGGTATGATCACAGCTCACTGCAGCCTTGAAGAGTCTCAAACTCCTGTCCTCAAGTGATCTGCCTACCTCAGCCTCCCAAAGTGCTGGGATTACAGGCATGAGCCACCTGGGCTGCCTGGCCCAATTTTTAAATTTTTTTGAAGAGATGGGGGTCTCGCTATGTTGCCCATGCCGTTCTCGAACTCCTGGACTCAAGCAATCCTCCCACCTCAGTCTCCTGAGTAGCTGGGACTACAGGTGCTCTACCATGCTCAGCTAATTTTTTTTTATTTTTAGTAGAGATGGGGTTTTGCTGTGTTCCCCAGGCTGGTCTCCAACTCCTGGGCTTGAGCAATCCACCCTCCTTGGCCTCTCACAGTGTTGGGATTACAGGTGTGAGCCACTGTGCCTGGCCTAATTATACTTTTATTAAGCTGGGAACATATAATAATCTGGTTTCGGTTAATAAATCATGATCTTAAGGATATCTTTTGAGGGCTTGCTTTAATGAACAAATGAGAATAATTCCTAATTAGTATAGCACTTTTCGGGGGAAGCTTGGAGGAAAAAAAAACAACCCAGTAAAATGAGATAATAATTACTATGCTAGAATCCAACAATATATCTGGAATATCCAAGGTCACATTTTTGGATGCATGCTAACAATATCAGCACCACAGTAAGGGAAGACACAATTTCTAGTTATGTAATATTTACTAATGCATGAAAAACGATTCATTAGCTTTGTCGAAGGAGAATTTGTGCCAATTAATTGATCAGAGCTATATATATATATATATATTTTTTTTTTTTTTTTTTTTGAGACGGAGTCTCGCTTTGTTTCCCAGGCTGGAGTGCAATGGCGTGATATCAGCTCACTGTGAGCTCCACCTCCCAGGTTCATGCCATTCTCCTGCCTCAGCCTCCCGAGTAGCTGGGACTACAGGCTCCCACCACCACGCCCGGCTAATTTTTTGTATTTTTAGTAGAGACGGGGTTTCACCATGTTAGCCAGGATGGTCTTGATCTCCTGACCTCGTGATCTGCCCGCCTCGGCCTCCCAAAGTGCTGGGATTACAGGCATGAGCCACCATGCCCCGCCCGATCAGAGCTATATTTTAATACACTTTTGAAAACACTTGTCCTGAATCAGCTAATTATTCGTAGATGGTTATTGAAACATTATACTAAAACTCAAAAGCCACATTCCGTTATTTATTTATTTCCTGACAGTTAGTTCAAAGGTGATTGCAGTGTCATTGCATGGGGACTCCCCTCACAGCTCATGTACAGATTGGCAATTACCAGTTCTTTTTCTCTGACTGGAATATGTATTCCTAGTGCTGGAGGCTTTGCCTCAAATGTCCCTGTTTCCAAGTTGGGAGTATGTATTTATCCTGTCTGTGCCATCTTTAGGAAATTCACAGCAAGGTTTTGCTCATTGATTCAGAAAACCTTTTTCCTGTTTTAGCAGTCTCTCCACCTAGGGTTGGTTGTTACATAAAGGATCTAACATCGCGCAGCTTCTGAAATGCCAGACGCGTAGGGTTTTAAGAGACGAAAACAGAACATATTTACCCATTCTCGGGTCGGTGTGGCCTGCAAGATGCTTTCTGGGACACAATAACAGGTCAAATGCAAATGTAACAACAAAGCAAAAAGCAAAAGGACACTCAAGTTACCCAAGGATGAGGTAGCTGCACTGAGAGTCCCGAAAACCGAAGAGCAGATACTGTGTACAAAAGAGCAAGTAGAAAACAGCATGAACTGTTTACATGTATGTAAACAATCACATGGCTCCATGACCTGCCATGTTTACGCCATTAAAATGATTAGCAAGCCTTTTTTTCGTGCAGCAAAGGTTCGATATTGCCAGCTTCTGTCAAAACCATCCCGTAATGCAAATTAGTGGAGTCCAAATTCCTTAGATCTCATTAGTTATGAGCTTGCTGGCACCTAGCAAGAAACATGCACAGGTTTGAAATTCAAACCCTGAAAGCAGGAAAGTTGAGTAAGGCAGGAAGGAAAAAATAAAATGTGTTCACAGTTGAAAGACAGGATGGACTAAAATGTAATGGCAACATAATTAAGTGGGAGTTTCACATTTGAAGGTGTTACTGGACAGAGGTTAGATATGTTCTCCTGCCTTTGGCTGACTTTCCCTGGGGGTACTGGCGGGGTGGGGGTGAGTGAAGGGAACTAGACTCAGGGTGATTACGGCAGGGGGCTGGGGGCCGGTCTCAGCACCAGGCTTTCATTTCTGGTCAGGATGGAAGCTGGCAGGAGCATTTAGAACTAAGAACTTGCTCTCAATCTCTGGTTTAAATCCACTCTGCGAAAGTCTGGATTTAAATCCACTCTGCAAAATTCAGTCCAACACCCACAGACTTTCTTTATTTCAGAGTAAACCATTTCATGGCAAAACGCCCAAACATGTCTGACTCTGCCCCTAATTGTGCAGGCACCCCACAGAGACAGGAAGCTGCCACTCACGGTGAGAGCATGAAGTTTGGAACCGCCCCCAGGGACACAACCTGGCTACCCCCTGACCGTCCCTGGGCCTCAGTTTCCTCATCTGTAAAATAGGGACAGAAACAATGTCTTCTTTAGGGTTGTTACGGGGAGTCAATGAGGTCATTCTTGTAGAAGGGTGTGGAAGTGTCCAGCTGATGGCAAACGCTATTTGACAAATGCATAGGGGGCATGCTCTTGGCTGTTGTTTTAAGATGACAAATACGAGGGAGGAATCTTTTGCCTCCTAAGCAGACGTAAAGGGATTATATTCTCCTTAAGCCTCCTGGGAACCTGGAAGAGAGAGACGTTGGTGGGAGAGGGGGATGAAGGGAAGGAGGGGCATGAGGAGAGAGAGAGAGAGAGAGTCCTTGATGTCTTCAGCGACATGGGAAAGAGACAAGGTGTGCCCTGTATTCCTCTCTCCTCACCCTCTGTCTCTCCAATCCCTCTCCCTGCCTGAGCCCAGTTCCCCACGCCTGAGGCCCACTGAGGCAAGGTCTCGTCTCTGCTGGCTGTAAGCCAGTCTTCTTCTTATTTATTTATTTTTGTAGAGACAGGGTCTCACTATATTGCCCACGCTGGTCTCATACTCTAAGCGCTCAAGCAGTCCTCCCGCCTCGGCCTCCCAAAGTGCTGGGATTACAGGCATGTGCCACTGCACCTGGCCCACCAGTTTTCTTTTTGCACGTTGCTCAATAAAGGCTGAAGCGTCGCCCCTTCCAGGAATTGTTGGTTCTTTAGCAGGAAATGTTGAAACCCTAAGAAATCCTGCAGGATTCCAAGAATCTCAGGCCATGCCCTGGGGACCTGAGAAATCCTCGGCAGTGACATGACCTGGTGTGACCGACACCTGCTGGGAAGGTTGGCGGGCTGCAGTCCTTAAGTCCCTCTTCTGCACTCGAGCACTTGAGCACCAGGACTCTTGTGGCTTTAGGTGTGACAAGGTGTGTGGGAACCCCAAATGCCCATGGCGTTCAGAAGCCGTGGCCTCACCAGGAGGACCTCTGGTCCCAGAGGGGGACTTTAGCAATGACGGCATAGGAGGCATGATTCTGGAAAGATTCTGGAGGGACACAGCACAAGCACAAGCACAGAGATTAAATGCCAATGAGGACCACTGTGGGCACCCCAGAGCACCAGGGATGGACAGAAGGCTGTAGAACTACACAGTCATGTAGCGGCTGTCGGCTCCAGTGGCTGTGGAGCTCTGAGCACATGACAGGTCCACACTGAGACGTGCTGAGAGTGTGAAATACACTCATGATAACAAAGGCACAGTAAAATGTCTCACCGAAAATTTTCATATTGATTGCAGCTTGAAATGATAGCATTTTTAAATATACTGGATTAAATAAAATACATTATTAAAACGAATTCCACTTCTTTCTTTTTACCATTTAAATTATGTCTATTAGAAAATTGAGGATGGGGCCGGGCGCGGTGACTCACGCCTGTAATCCCAGCACTTTGGGAGGCCGAGGCGGGCAGATCACAAGGTCAGGAGATCGAGACCATCCTGGCTAACATGGTGAAACCCCGTCTCTACTAAAAAATACAAAAAATTAGCCGGGCGTGGTGGCAGGCGCCTGTAGTCCCAGCTACTCAGGAGGCTGAGGCAGGAGAATGGCGTGAACCCGGGAGGCAGAGCTTTCAGTGAGCCTAGATCGTGCCACTGCACTCCAGCCTGGGCGACAAAGCGAGACTCAGTCTCCAAAAAAAAAAAAAAAAAAGAAAGAAAGAAAGAAAAATTGAGGACAGGTGCGGTGGCTCACGTCTGTAATCCCAGCACTTTGGGAGGCTGATCGGAAAGTATCACTTAAGCCCAGGAATTTCAGACCAGCCTGGGCAACAAAAAAAAAATTGTTTTTTAATTAGCTAGATGTGGCGGCATGCACCTGCAGTCCCCACTACCCAGGAGACTGAGGTGGGAGGATCACTTGAACCCAGGATGTGGAGGCTGCAGTGAGCCGTGATCGCATCACTGCACTCCAGCCTGGATGACAGAGTGAGATCCTGCTTCACACACACACCCAAAGAAAAAATAAGTTGGGGAAACGTGGAAATGAAAGAAAAATTTTAAGTTAAAAAAAAAAAGAAAGAAAATTGCGATTGACTTTGGTCAGCACTAGGCTAAAAGTTTCTACAGAGGCAAACAGGCCACACCTGACAGTTCAAAGGCGGCAGGTTCCTTAGGGCTAATACTGCGGGGGAAGTGGAGCAATGGTAAATTTCTGAGGAGGGTGCAGTGCAGAGAGCACTCACTCGGGCAGAGTGATGAGGGCAAAGTTAACAGGTTGTTAAATGTGCAAGGATGAAAAATATATCTCTCCTGTACACGTCTCTGTAGGAGCTACTAGGGAATGTATTTCAGCAACACAAAATAGTAAACCAGGAAGGGAGGAAGACAAGGAAACCAGGAGACAAGGTCCCATGCTGGAAAGAGGTTGGGGTATTTTAGGACACTAGCCGTGTGCTGGGTTTAAAGCTAAACTGGTATATTGCAGAGCAGGAGGACACATGGCTCTCAGTGGCAGTGTTTGGGTGGAGACATGGGCGAGTTAGGTTATTTAATGTGTGTGAGCATTTGGGGAAAGCATTTGGAAAAAAATCAGAGAACATCTCTAGAAAACTAAGCAATTACATGAGACAGTTATTAATCCCAGAAAATACTCAGAGTTGTACAAGAAAGGAAATGCAGTCATAGTTTGCCACGTGGATCAACAGAGAGCATATTAAGCTATAATAACAGAAAGACTGTATTAGGGGCCAGGTGTGGTGGGTCATGCCTGTAATCCTAGTGCTTTGGGAGGCCTAGGTGGGAGGATTGCTTGAGGCCAGGAGTTCAAGACCAGATTGGGCAACAAAGTGAGACCCCTTCTCTATAAAGTTTTAAAAATTAGCTGAGTTTGGTGGAGTGTGTCTTTAGTCCTAGCTACTTGGGAGGCTGAGGTGGGAGGATCACTTGGGCCCAGGAGGTTGAAGCTGCAGCGAGCCGTGATTGTGCCACTGTACTTCAGCCTGGGCAGTGAAGTGAGACCCTGTCTTTAAAAAAAAAAAAAAAGACGATTAATTTTTTTTTTAACTCATAGTATCCAAATTGAGGGGATGGGTCAAGGCAAACTGGGGTAGTTAGGCCAGAAAAACCCTCCAGTATCATAACAGAAGTTGATAAAAATGACTAAAATTAATAAATTGAGAAATAACAGTATATGAAAATTATTTAGAAATATAGAGGAAAATTCTAGAAGGAACAGAATGGAGTGGAAAGTTGTTGCTCCTGGGGTGGAGGATGGGGGTGAAGAAAGATGGAACAAGGATTGCTAGTACCTCAGATTCAATTATGTACATGCTTTAGTTGGATTTAATAATAATTATTTTTTAAAGCACATGGCAATTTCTCACCCCATGAGCTTCTTTGGTGACATTTCAATTCAATTCTGGTGACATTTCAATGGGGTAATGCATTTTCTGTGAGTCACTTGCTACACCCAGTCCTGCCCTCTCTGCTGAGGGGCTGATGCCAAGTACCCACCCCTTACCACGGAGCCAGCAAGCTGTGCCTTGCCCTCAGGGCCCCCATGCACGTCGCCTTGCAATCTTTCTCCTGTCATTCTACAGCTATTCAGGCCACTGTAGATTATTTTAGAGACAGTGGATAAGACGCTAATGAATACTTGGAGTAGCATTTGTTGAAAATGAAATGCTGGCATGCATATTTTAACAGTAATCAGTTTGGATCAGCAAATAAACACAGAGATGGGGAAGACATGCAAGGGGACCTCTTCTCTCCTCTAGTGTTTCATCAACTCAAGGAAACTTGTTTTTCAAGGCAGCTATTTCTCCACCTAACTGCATCATTTTTCCCCGGCTACGTTTTCAGAGAAAGAGTTCCCCATCTTGTATTTCACAACTGACAGTATTTGCCAAGAATTCACTAGGAAAAACACAAAACATGTCTTTTCTGTATGGATGTGAGCACATGTAAAAAGCTGAGTTCTGACTGTGTGGTGGATTTTTAGAACCACCATTTTTAATGGCTAGAGTTGAGGTCTCCCATTTGTACTTTCTCTCTCTCCCCCTCTTGTCCCCTCCTTCCCTCCTCCACCTTTTCCTTTTTTTTTTTTTCTCTCTCTCTCTCTGTCTCCTTCATTTGCAAGCTCACATAACCTTGTACAATTGAATCCTTACCCTGGAGATTGTCATAGCAGAACCAATTGTGCCCTAGGGAATAAAAAGATACGAGAATTGAAACACAGTGTCAACATATGGTAGAAAAATTGTCAATAATGTTTTGAAAAAGTGGGGAGATTGGAGGCTATTACCCTGGGAGGAGGAAGCAATTGTTTAATAAATGTAAAAGTCACAGAAATGCAACAACGTCTTGTCTGGCAAATATTTCATTTGTGGGAACCACTGACTGAAGTCATTTGAAAATGTAGCAGAAGCATCCCAAACAAATTAGAGGATCAGAACTGGCCATGTCATTGCATCAAGGTAGCCAACTTCTACTGCAGAAGCATCTTTCTGAAAGAGGGACTTTTTGTCATGCCCATTGTGGAATGCTTTTTTGTGTGTGCGTGTGTAAGAAATATTAGTTTTATTTAACCAGTTTTCACAGGTGAATATTTATTATATAAAAACTTTACAGATCGTACAGTTTATGTATAGTTCAAACTAATGAACGAAAAGGTAGGTCCCACAGATGCAAAAACACTGCATGAATCAAGGTAAAGGCGGCTTTACACACGATACAGCTCTCCATGGGGCCAGGGAGGTGGTCAGTTCTAAGTATATATTTCAAAAATGTACAAAAATAAGGTTTTGATTTTATTTTGCTCATCATACATTCAATATGATTGCAAGCTCAGAAGCCTAACTAGAAATAGGGATCTGGAGTCTGGAGTCAGTACCCACTCCTGGAAGGAAGGCACGTGTCTATCAACGCAGGGCACACTTGGACACCATACTGAATTCACCATATTATATAAACATAAAAGCACAGACCAAGAACATTCAATGACGAATATAAGGTAGTTCTTTTTTGTTTGGAAAGGAGATTTTGCATTTAATAGTGTACCGAAATAATTTTAATTTATTAAATAAAATGTATTCTAAGTGAACCTAAAAATTACACTATGTAAACATAAAAATACTTTATTGTGGTGTAATACATCAATCATATCTGCAAAACGAAAACCAAAACTGTATATAAAGTAGCATTTCTCACCCAGCAACAAGAAGCACTCATATAGTTATATTTCAAAAGGGTCAAAAAACTATTTAAAACCCGCCAAAGACTAACTTGTAACCTAGATATTCAAACTTAAGCTATTCAGTGCTTCACTAATACTGCAAAGAAAGCTTTCTTCTAGAGACATTGCTTTGCTTATAGTAACTGGGTAAGAACTGGATGTATTTTAAAAGGAAGGGGAAACCAACTGATATCTCAGCATGAATCTTAAACATATGTCTGGTTTAGGAGTATGCTCCTCAGTGAATGTTTCATCAGAAGTATTTGTTGTAGAAGCTAAGTCTTATTTTTGATTTGGAATTTCCCGAATCTGAGGTATCGGTACCTACTTGGAGAAAAAGCCAATGCCTCAGATGACTCTGTGTCTCTATGTAGGACAGGGGAGGTGAGGCGGGCTAATACCCCTTTAGATTCTCTGTTCTAGAAGGAAAACATGACCAAAACAAACATTATTTCAGATTTTTCTGTCACCAAAATCAATAAAACACACTTCTGGTTTTATACAGTACTAGCCAAAGACAAGAGAAATTAGAGCTTCTAAGAGCAATCCTGTGATCACCATTAAACTGTTATAGTTGTGTGTATATGACTATAAAATACTGATGCTTAGACAGAAAAGCATTGTAGTATTTCATTTTATTTTAAGTGATTTTATTTTATTTTAAAGCTACAGTACTTTCAAACTACTCGATAATACATAGCGTGGATTTTCCGAGTCCTGCTTCCACACGTGAGCTACCAGCGAGCATGACTCAGGCTGTGACAATGGATAAGGACAGCTGGAAGCAATGGTGTTCTTCTCAGCCGGAACCCGGTGCGGTCAGTGTGCAGCCTGACACTCGAAACTCATTCATCTTCCTGTGTAAGTACTTTCACATGGAGTCCAACCCTTGAGCAGAGCCCCAGATTTTCTGCAGTACTTCACATGTTCTCTCGTTGGCCTGTTCCAGATCCCTCTTCATGTTGCAGCACACCAAGGCTTTGGATTCCTTCAGCACTATTCGATTACATGAGACAAGCTTCTTGATCTGAGCCACCAATTTCCTGAGTGAAGGTCCAGGACTCAAACAGCTGGGAGAGAAGGCCGTTGCCAAATGCCTCCTGAGTGATCAGTTTCAACCCACTGAGCATCGTCTCGCTTGCAGCTGGTCGTCCCATGATTTCGGAAACGTAATGGTAGATCAGCTATCTGGGATCTGCTCAGAGGTAGAAGAGGGTGTTGGAAACCAAGTCTTTTCATTAGCCTAAACCATATCACAAAGAGGCAATACGGATGCTCCTAGTCGAATGGCTGGGCAGCTGACTGGTTTAGTAATAGACAGCTTAAGTTAAATGATAGCATTCACAAAGTTCCTTCCATTCAACTATGAAACAGGCCCCTACCTGGGCCCAATCTCCTCTACTCTGTACTTCAGAGGCCAGACGAGATTGGGAGCGTTCACGGTGGTATGGCTGTAGATTGTTCACGATGTTTCTGGTAGCTTTTGCCCTTTTAATGCTTGCTCTCTTTCTGTCCTCTGTCAAACGTTGTAAAACATAAATAAGGTCAAGTGCGCCACAGAAGACCCTACCTAAGGCCCTGAGCAGTACAAGGTTGTTGTACTTTCTGGAGTTCAATGATCGCATTCACGAAGTTCCTTCCATCCAATACCCTCTTCTACCTCCAGGAACATTCCAGATACCTGACCTAGCATTACATTTCCGAAATAATGGGACGATTTATCCAGAGTACTCCCGAATAAATAGCGTGAATGTTCTCGGTCCTGCTTGCAAGCATAAGCTACCAGTGAGCTTGTTTCAGGCTGTGAGAATGGATAAGGACAGCCGGAAGCAATGGTGTTCTTCTCAGCTGGAACCCGATGTGGTCAGTGTGCAGCCTGACACTCGAAACTCATTCATCTTCCTTTCTAAGTCCTTTCACATGGAGTCCAACCCTTGGGCAGAACCCCAGATTTTCTTCAGTACTTCACATGTTCTCTCGTTGGCCTGTTCCAGATCCCTCTTCATGTTGCAGCACACCAAGGCTTTGGATTCCTCCAGCACTATTCGATTACATGAGACAAGCTTCTTGATCTGAGCCACCAATTTCCTGATTGAAGGTCCAGGATCCAAACAGCTGGGAGAGAAGGCCGTTGCCAAATGCCTCCTGTGTGATCAGTTTCAACCCACTGAGCATCGTCTCGCTTGCAGCTGGTCGTCCCATGATTTCGGAAACGTAATGGTAGATCAGCTATCTGGAATCTGCCCAGAGGTAGAAGAGGGTGTTGGAAACCAAGTCTTTTCATTAGCCAAAACCATATCACAAAGAGGCAATATGGGTGCTCCTAGTCGAACGGCTGGGCTGTTGACTGCTTTAGTAATAGACAGCTTAAGTTAAATGATAGCATTCACAAAGTTCCTTCCATCCAACTATGAAACAGGCCCCTACCTGGGCCCAATCTCCTCTACTCTGTACATCAGAGGCCAGACGAGATTGGGAGCGTTCACAGTGGTATGGGTGTAGGTTGTTCACGATGTTTCTGGTAGCTTTTGCCCTTTTAATGCTTGTTCTCTTTCTGTCCTCTGACAAACGTTGTAAAACATAAATAAGGTCAAGTGCACCACAGAAGACCCTACCTAAGGCCCTGAGCAGTACAAGGTTGGTGTACTTTCTGGAGTTCAATGATCGCATTCATGAAGTTCCTTCCATCCAATACCCTCTTCTACCTCCAGGAAGATTCCAGATACCTGACCTAGCATTACATTTCCGAAATAATGGGACGATTTATCCAGAGTACTCCCGAATAAATAGCGTGAATGTTCCTAGTCCTGCTTGGAAGCATAAGCTACCAGTGAGCTTGTCTCAGGCTGTGAGAATGGATAAGGACAGGTGGAAGCAATGGTGTTCTTCTCAGCCGGAACCCCGTGTGGTCAGTGTGCAGCCTGACACTCGAAACTCGTTCATCTTCCTTTCTAAGTCCTTTCACATGGAGTCCAACCCTCGGGCAGAACCCCAGATTTTCTTCAGTACTTCACATGTTCTCTCGTTGGCCTGTTCCAGATCCCTCTTCATGTTGCAGCACACCAAGGCTTTGGATTCCTCCAGCAATATTCGATTACATGAGACAAGCTTCTTGATCTGAGCCACCAATTTCCTGAGTGAAGGTCCAGGATCCAAACAGCTGGGAGAGAAGGCCGTTGCCAAATGCCTCCTGAGTGATCAGTTTCAACCCACTGAGCATCGTCTCACTTGCAGCTGGTCGTCCCATGATTTCGGAAACGTAATGGTAGATCAGCTATCTGGAATCTGCCCAGAGGTAGAAGAGGGTGTTGGAAACCAAGTCTTTTCATTAGCCTAAACCATATCACAAAGAGGCAATACGGATGCTCCTAGTCGAATGGCTGGGCCATTGAGTGCTTCAACAATACGCAGCTTAAGCTGAACAATAGCATTCAGGAAGTTCCTTCTATCCAACAATGAAACAGGCCCGAACCTGGACCCAATCGCATCTACTCTGTACTTCAGAGACCAGACAAGATTGGGAGCGTTCACGGTGGTATGACTGTAGATTGTTCACGACGTTTCCAGTAGCTTCTGCCGTTTTAATGCTTGCTCTCTCTCTGTCCTCTGTCAAATGTCGTAAAAAATAAATAAGGCCAAGTGCACCACGGAAGACCGTACCAATGGCGCTGAGCAGTCCAAGGTTGCTGTACTTTCTGGAGTCAGTACTCCCGAATAAATAGCGTGAATGTTCCCAGTCCTGCTTGCAAGCATAAGCTACCAGTGAGCTTGTCTCAGGCTGTGAGAATGGATAAGGACAGATGGAAGCAATGGTGTTCTTCTCAGCCGGAACCCGATGTGGTCAGTGTGCAGCCTGACACTCGAAACTCGTTCATCTTCCTTTCTAAGTCCTTTCACATGGAGTCCAACCCTTGGGCAGAACCCCAGATTTTCTTCAGTACTTCACATGTTCTCTCGTTGGCCTGTTCCAGATCCGTCTTCATGTTGCAGCACACCAAGGCTTTGGATTCCTCCAGCACTATTCGATTACATGAGACAAGCTTCTTGATCTGAGCCACCAATTTCCTGAGTGAAGGTCCAGGATCCAAACAGCTGGGAGAGAAGGCCGTTGCCAAATGCCTCCTGAGTGATCAGTTTCAACCCACTGAGCATCGTCTCACTTGCAGCTGGTCGTCCCATGATTTCGGAAACGTAATGGTAGATCAGCTATCTGGAATCTGCCCAGAGGTAGAAGAGGGTGTTGGAAACCAAGTCTTTTCATTAGCCTAAACCATATCACAAAGAGGCAATACGGATGCTCCTAGTCGAATGGCTGGGCGGCTGACTGGTTTAGTAATAGACAGCTTAAGTTAAATGATAGCATTCACAAAGTTCCTTCCATCCAACTATGAAACAGGCCCCTACCTGGGCCCAATCTCCTCTACTCTGTACTTCAGAGGCCAGACGAGATTGGGAGCGTTCACGGTGGTATGGCTGTAGATTGTTCACGATGTTTCTGGTAGCTTTTGCCCTTTTAATGCTTGCTCTCTTTCTGTCCTCTGTCAAACGTTGTAAAACATAAATAAGGTCAAGTGCGCCACAGAAGACCCTACCTAAGGCCCCGAGCAGTACAAGCTTGGTGTACTTTCTGGAGTTCAATGATCGCATTCACGAAGTTCCTTCCATCCAATACGCTCTTCTACCTCCAGGAAGATTCCAGATACCTGACCTAGCATTACATTTCCGAAATAATGGAACGATTTATCCAGAGTACTCCCGAATAAATAGCGTGAATGTTCCCGGTCCTGCTTACAAGCATAAGCTACCAGTGAGCTTGTTTCAGGCTGTGAGAATGGATAAGGACACCCGGAAGGAATGGTGTTCTTCTCAGCTGGAACCCGATGTGGTCACTGTGCAGCCTGACACTCGAAACTCGTTCATCTTCCTTTCTAAATCCTTTCACATGGAGTCCAACCCTTGGGCAGAACCCCAGATTTTCTTCAGTACTTCACATGTTCTCTCGTTGGCCTGTTCCAGATCCCTCTTCATGTTGCAGCACACCAAGGCTTTGGATTCCTCCAGCACTATTCGATTACATGAGACAAGCTTCTTGATCTGAGCCACCAATTTCCTGAGTGAAGGTCCAGGATCCAAACAGCTGGGAGAGAAAGCCGTTGCCAAATGCCTCCTGTGTGATCAGTTTCAACCCACTGAGCATCGTCTCGCTTGCAGCTGGTCGTCCCATGATTTCGGAAACGTAATGGTAGATCAGCTATCTGGAATCTGCCCAGAGGTAGAAGAGGGTGTTGGAAACCAAGTCTTTTCATTAGCCTAAACCATATCACAAAGAGGCAATACGGATGCTCCTAGTCGAATGGCTGGGCCATTGAGTGCTTCAACAATACACAGCTTAAGCGGAACAAAGCATTCAGAAAGTTCCTTCTATCCAACAATGAAACAGGCCCGAACCTGGGCCCAATCGCATCTACTCTGTACTTCAGAGACCAGACAAGATTGGGAGCGTTCACGGTGGTATGACTGTAGATTGCTCACGACGTTTCCAGTAGCTTCTGCCGTTTTAATGCTTGCTCTCTCTCTGCCCTCTGTCAAATGTCGTAAAAAATAAATAAGGCCAAGTACACCACGGAAGACCCTACCAATGGCGCCGAGCAGTCCAAGCTTCCTGTACTTTCTGGAGTCAGTACTCCCGAATAAATAGCGTGAATGTTCCTAGTCCTGCTTGGAAGCATAAGCTACCAGTGAGCTTGTCTCAGGCTGTGAGAATGGATAAGGACAGGTGGAAGCAATGGTGTTCTTCTCAGCCGGAACCCCATGTGGTCAGTGTGCAGCCTGACACTCGAAACTCGTTCATCTTCCTTTCTAAGTCCTTTCACATGGAGTCCAACCCTTGGGCAGAACCCCAGATTTTCTTCAGTACTTCACATGTTCTCTCGTTGGCCTGTTCCAGATCCCTCTTCATGTTGCAGCACACGAAGGCTTTGGATTCCTCCAGCACTATTCGATTACATGAGACAAGCTTCTTGATCTGAGCCACCAATTTCCTGAGTGAAGGTCCAGGATCCAAACAGCTGGGAGAGAAGGCCGTTGCCAAATGCCTCCTGTGTGATCAGTTTCAACCCACTGAGCATCATCTCGCTTGCAGCTGGTCGTCCCATGATTTCGGAAACGTAATGGTAGATCAGCTATGTGGGATCTGCTCAGAGGTAGAAGAGGGTGTTGGAAACCAAGTCTTTTCATTAGCCTAAACCATATCACAAAGAGGCAATACGGATGCTCCTAGTCGAATGGCTGGGCCATTGAGTGCTTCAACAATACGCAGCTTAAGCTGAACAAAGCATTCAGGAAGTTCCTTCTATCCAACAATGAAACAGGCCCGAACCTGGGCCCAATCGCATCTACTCTGTACTTCAGAGACCAGACAAGATTGGGAGCGTTCACGGTGGTATGACTGTTGATTGCTCACGACGTTTCCAGTAGCTTCTGCCGTTTTAATGCTTGCTCTCTCTCTGCCCTCTGTCAAATGTCGTAAAAAATAAATAAGGCCAAGTGCACCACGGAAGACCCTACCAATGGCGCCGAGTAGTCCAACCTTCCTGTACTTTCTGGAGTCAGTACTCCCGAATAAATAGCGTGAATGTTCCTAGTCCTGCTTGGAAGCATAAGCTACCAGTGAGCTTGTCTCAGGCTGTGAGAATGGATAAGGACAGTTGGAAGCAATGGTGTTCTTCTCAGCCGGAACCCCATGTGGTCAGTGTGCAGCCTGACACTCGAAACTCGTTCATCTTCCTTTCTAAGTCCTTTCACATGGAGTCCAACCCTCGGGCAGAACCCCAGATTTTCTTCAGTACTTCACATGTTCTCTCGTTGGCCTGTTCCAGATCCCTCTTCATGTTGCAGCACACCAAGGCTTTGGATTCCTCCAGCAATATTCGATTACATGAGACAAGCTTCTTGATCTGAGCCACCAATTTCCTGAGTGAAGGTCCAGGTTCCAAACAGCTGGGAGAGAAGGCCGTTGCCAAATGCCCCCTGTGTGATCAGTTTCAACCCACTGAGCATCGTCTCACTTGCAGCTGGTCGTCCCATGATTTCGGAAACGTAATGGTAGATCAGCTATCTGGAATCTGCCCAGAGGTAGAAGAGGGTGTTGGAAACCAAGTATTTTCATTAGCCTAAACCATATCACAAAGAGGCAATACGGATGCTCCTATTCGAATGGCTGGGCCATTGAGTGCTTCAACAATACGCAGCTTAAGCTGAACAATAGCATTCAGGAAGTTCCTTCTATCCAACAATGAAACAGGCCCGAACCTGGGCCCAATCGCATCTACTCTGTACTTCAGAGACCAGACAAGATTGGGAGCGTTCACGGTGGTATGACTATAGATTGTTCACGACGTTTCCAGTAGCTTCTGCCGTTTGAATGCTTGCTCTCTCTCTGTCCTCTGTCAAATGTCGTAAAAAATAAATAACCCAAGTGCACCACGGAAGACCCTACCAATGGCGCCGAGCAGTCCAAGCTTCCTGTATTTTCTGGAGTCAGTACTCCCGAATAAATAGCGTGAATGTTCCTAGTCCTGCTTGCAAGCATAAGCTACCAGTGAGCTTGTCTCAGGCTGTGAGAATGGATAAGGACAGGTGGAAGCAATGGTGTTCTTCTCAGCCGGAACCCCATGTGGTCATTGTGCAGCCTGACACTCGAAACTCGTTCATCTTCCTTTCTAAGTCCTTTCACATGGAGTCCAACCCTCGGGCAGAACCCCAGATTTTCTTCAGTACTTCACATGTTCTCTCGTTGGCCTGTTCCAGATCCCTCTTCATGTTGCAGCACACCAAGGCTTTGGATTCCTCCAGCACTATTCGATTACATGAGACAAGCTTCTTGATCTGAGCCACCAATTTCCTGAGTGAAGGTCCAGGATCCAAACAGCTGGGAGAGAAGGCCGTTGCCAAATGCCTCCTGTGTGATCAGTTTCAACCCACTGAGCATCGTCTCACTTGCAGCTGGTCGTCCCATGATTTCGGAAACGTAATGGTAGATCAGCTATCTGGAATCTGCCCAGAGGTAGAAGAGGGTGTTGGAAACCAAGTCTTTTCATTAGCCTAAACCATAACACAAAGAGGCAATACGGATGCTCCTGGTCGAATGGCTGGGCCATTGAGTGCTTCAACAATACGCAGCTTAAGCGGAACAAAGCATTCAGGAAGTTCCTTCTATCCAACAATGAAACAGGCCCCAACCTGGGCCCAATCGCATCTACTCTGTACTTCAGAGACCAAACAATATTGGGAGCGTTCACGGTGGTATGACTGTAGATTGTTCAGGACGTTTCCAGTAGCTTCTGCCGTTTTTATGCTTGCTCTCTCTCTGCACTCTGTCAAATGTCGTAAAAAATAAATAAGGCCAAGTGCACCACGGAAGACCGTACCAATGGCGCTGAGCAGTCCAAGGTTGCTGTACTTTCTGGAGTCAGTACTCCCGAATAAATAGCGTGAATGTTCCCAGTCCTGCTGGCAAGCATAAGCTACCAGTGAGCTTGTTTCAGGCTGTGAGAATGGATAAGGACAGATGGAAGCAATGGTGTTCTTCTCAGCCGGAACCCGATGTGGTCAGTGTGCAGCCTGACAATGGAAACTCATTCATCTTCCTTTCTAAGTCCTTTCACATGGAGTCCAACCCTTGGGCACAACCCCAGATTTTCTTCAGTACTTCACATGTTCTCTCGTTGGCCTGTTCCAGATGCCTCTTCATGTTGCAGCACACCAAGGCTTTGGATTCCTCCAGCACTATTCGATTACATGAGACAAGCTTCTTGATCTGAGCCACCAATTTCCTAAGTGAAGGTCCAGGACTCAAACAGCTGGGAGAGAAGGCCGTTGCCAACTGCCTCCTGAGTGATCAGTTTCAACCCAGTGAGCATCGTCTCGCTTGCAGCTGGTCGTCCCATGATTTCGGAAACGTAATGGTAGATCAGCTATGTGGGATCTGCTCAGAGGTAGAAGAGGGTGTTGGAAACCAAGTCTTTTCATTAGCCTAAACCATATCACAAAGAGGCAATACGGATGCTCCTAGTCGAATGGCTGGGCGGCTGACTTGTTTAGTAATAGACAGCTTAAGTTAAATGATAGCATTCACAAAGTTCCTTCCATCCAACTATGAAACAGGCCCCTACCTGGGCCCAATCTCCTCTACTCTGTACTTCAGAGGCCAGACGAGATTGGGAGCGTTCACGGTGGTATGGCTGTAGATTGTTCACGATGTTTCTGGTAGCTTTTGCCCTTTTAATGCTTGCTCTCTTTCTGTCCTCTGTCAAACGTTGTAAAACATAAATAAGGTCAAGTGCGCCACAGAAGACCCTACCTAAGGCCCTGAGCAGTACAAGGTTGGTGTACTTTCTGGAGTTCAATGATCGCATTCACGAAGTTCCTTCCATCCAATACCCTCTTCTACCTCCAGGAAGATTCCAGATACCTGACCTAGCATTACATTTCCAAAATAATGGGATGATTTATCCAGAGTACTCCCGAATAAATAGCGTGAATGTTCCCGGTCCTGCTTGCAAGCATAAGCTACCAGTGAGCTTGTTTCAGGCTGTGAGAATGAAGAAGGACAGCCGGAAGCAATGGTGTTCTTCTCAGCTGGATCCCGATGTGGTCAGTGTGCAGCCTGACACTCGAAACTCATTCATCTTCCTTTCTAAGTCCTTTCACATGGAGTCCAACCCTTGGGCAGAACCCCAGATTTTCTTCAGTACTTCACATGTTCTCTCGTTGGCCTGTTCCAGATCCCTCTTCATGTTGCAGCACACCAAGGCTTTGGATTCCTCCAGCACTATTCGATTACATGAGACAAGCTTCTTGATCTGAGCCACCAATTTCCTGATTGAAGGTCCAGGATCCAAACAGCTGGGAGAGAAGGCTGTTGCCAAATGCCTCCTGTGTGATCAGTTTCAACCCAGTGAGCATCGTCTCGCTTGCAGCTGGTCGTCCCATGATTTCGGAAACGTAATGGTAGATCAGCTATCTGGAATCTGCCCAGAGGTAGAAGAGGGTGTTGGAAACCAAGTCTTTTCATTAGCCTAAACCATATCACAAAGAGGCAATACGGATGCTCCTAGTCGAATGGCTGGGCCATTGAGTGCTTCAACAATACGCAGCTTAAGCGGAACAAAGCATTCAGGAAGTTCCTTCTATCCAACAATGAAACAGGCCCCAACCTGGGCCCAATCGCATCTACTCTGTACTTCAGAGACCAGACAAGATTGGGAGCGTTCACGGTGGTATGACTGTAGATTGCTCACGACGTTTCCAGTAGCTTCTGCCGTTTTAATGCTTGCTCTCTCTCTGTCCTCTGTCAAATGTCGTAAAAAATAAATAAGGCCAAGTGCACCACGGAAGACCCTACCAATGGCGCTGAGCAGTCCAAGGTTGCTGTACTTTCTGGAGTCAGTACTCCCGAATAAATAGCGTGAATGTTCCCAGTCCTGCTTGCAAGCATAAGCTACCAGTGAGCTTGTTTCAGGCTGTGAGAATGGATAAGGACAGATGGAAGCAATGGTGTTCTTCTCAGCTGGAACCCGATGTGGTCCGTGTGCAGCCTGACACTCGAAACTCATTCATCTTCCTTTCTAAGTCCTTTCACATGGAGTCCAACCCTTGGGCAGAACCCCAGATTTTCTTCAGTACTTCACATGTTCTCTCGTTGGCCTGTTCCAGATCCCTCTTCATGTTGCAGCACACCAAGGCTTTGGATTCCTCCAGCACTATTCGATTACATGAGACAAGCTTCTTGATCTGAGCCACCAATTTCCTGAGTGAAGGTCCAGGACCCAAACAGCTGGGAGAGAAGGCCGTTGCCAAATGCCTTCTGTGTGATCAGTTTCAACCCACTGAGCATCGTCTCGCTTGCAGCTGGTCGTCCCATGATTTCGGAAACGTAATGGTAAATCAGCTGTCTGGAATCTGCTCAGAGGTAGAAGAGGTTGTTGGAAACCAAGTCTTTTGATTAGCCTAAACCATATCATAAAGGGGCAATACGGATGCTTCTAGTCGAATGGCTGGGATAGTGACTGCTTCAATAATATTCAGTTTGAGTGAAATGATAGCCTTCACGAAGTTCCTCCCATCCAAGTACTGAAGAGGCCGTACCCTGGGCGCAATCTCGTGTACTCTGTACTTCAGTGACCAGATGAGATTGGAGCGTTCACTGTGCTATGGCCGTAGATTATGTACGACGTTTCTGGTAGCTTCTCTTCTGCCATTTTAATGCTTTCTCTTTTTGTATCATATTCAGGGTCGTATGGTCATAGATTATTCATGATGTTTCAGATAACTTCTTTTACTTCAGTAACAGGTTTTTTGAACGGAGTAATAGTATTCACAAAGTTCCTTGTGTCCATGCACTATACAGGGCAGATACTGCTTAGCTTCTGATATCCGAAGAAATCGTGCCTATTTCGGGTGGTATGGCCAGGGATTATTCACGAAGTTTCTGTTAGCTTCTGCCTATTTAACACTTTCTTTTTTTCTGTCACTTTCAGAGTGATATGGCCATAGATTATTCACGACGTTTCTGATAGGTTCTCCCATTTTAATGCTTTCTCTTTTTCTGTCATCTGTCAAACACTGCATAAAATAAATAAAGTCAAGTCCACAACAGAAGACACTGTTAAAGGCGCTGAGCAGTACAAGCTTGCTGTAATCAGCAGTGGTTGTCAGAGCTGGTAGACTTTTTTCATTACAGCTGTATTTACTGAGTTATTCCCTGTTGATCTAGTGAATAAGATGTGGGTGAAGCCATCTTTTGTCCCGGCCACAATAACTCTGTATCCTTAGGCACTTTCTGTTTGCCTCACACTGAAATGCAATCGTTTGTTAAAAGGCTGTTCTCTTCTGTTGTCAATAAATTTCCTTTTGCTGACAGTTACTGCTGTAACAGATGTCTGTATGTTGGTTGTCCCACTGGCTGTTAATGCATCCATGAATGTAGATGTAGCTTTCCTGTTAACGAGTAGGCCTGTGGCCATGGCTGCACTTACGGGGCCATGCACCTGAGGCACTAGCAGGTGTATCCAGGCTTGCTCCCCATCCTGGCCTGCTCAGTACCAGGGCCCAATAAAGCTTTGTCTGGCTTTTCCGCTGCCACTTTGGGTACTACCATTCCTCCTGACCCTGCTCTGTGGGGTCCAGTTTTTTGGAGCTCTCACTCTGAAAGCCATTCACTGCGTCCTGCTTAATGGGGCTCTTAGGCATGAGGATCTTGATACCTGACTTCACTAGGTCCATTTTCATCTGGCTGCAGAGAGACGGAGCTGTGTTCTTCCTGAACTGCTGGCTGGCAGCAAACAGCTGGCTGTTTTTGGATTCGTGATCTCTCCCAATCACTGGTGCCTTAGGAGAGGACTTAGAAAAGCTGCTGTTTGTGGATCTGGAGATTTGTTTCCTAGCATTGTTGGGAGAGGACCTGTTTGTTCTGGTCAATGTGCTCTCTTTCTGCCTTTCCGTGTGGTGTCTGTTGAAGTCGTGGATGTATTCCTGACAGTTCACGAGGTGCTGCTCTGGTTCCCAAGTGTCGTCCTCGCTGTTGTAGCCTTTTCACTGAACCAAATACTCTGTCTTCCCTTTTTAATTTTTCCTTTTGTCAACAATCTTTTCAATCTAACCTGCCTTAGTTGGCATAGACCAATGTAATTCAGTTCGCTCCTCCTCAAATTTAAACAATTCGTCATTGATGGCAAGTAGTACCCAAGATAAGACTCTTCAGATGAAGAATCACAGCCTTTTCCCATCTCAGGAGAACAATGACTAAAATTTTAAGTTTGCAGTCCTACGCTTTTCCGAATTTAAATGATTTTGCTAATAATCATATCACCTCTATCAAAAATCTTTCTGAATTTTATTGTTATGCATAATCCTTTAATTATTATTATTAATTAATATTTTTAGAGATCGGGTCTCACTATGTTGCCCAGGCTGGAGTGCAGTGGTTATTCACAGGTGCTCTCCCACTATTGATCAACACAGGAGGTTTGACCTGTTTCATTTCCATCCTGGGACAGTTCACCCCTCCTTAGGCAACCCGGTGGTCCCCTGCTCCTGGCAGGTCACTATCTATCTATCTATCTATCTATCTATCTATCTATCTATATTTTATTTATTTATTTTTTGAGTTGGAGTTTCGCTCTTGTCGCCCAGGCTGGAGTTCAGTGGCACCATCTCAGCTCACTGCAACCTCCACCTCCTGAGTTCAAGCGATTCTCCTGCCTCAGCCTCCCAAGTAGCTGCGATTACAGGCACCCGCCACCACGTCAGGCTAATTTTTCTATTTTTTGTAGAGATGGGGTTTTGCCATGTTGACCTGGCTGGTCACGAACTCCTGACCTCAGGTGATCTACATGCCTTTGCCTCCCAAAGTGCTGGGATTACAAGCATGAGCCACTGTGTCAGCCCAAAACCACCATGTTGATACCAAACTTAGTGCAGACACTTGATCGGCATAATATGCTACAGCCCAGAACCCCTGGGCTCAAGTGATTCTCCCACCTCAGCTTCCTGATAGCTGGGACTACACGCGTGGCCCACGCTGCCCTGCAGCACTCTTTCATTTTTATTACATAACTGTTTTCTGTCTATTAGAATAAGTTTGGCGAGGGTTTGGTATCAGTGTTTATAAGGCAGTTTCACTCTGTAGCTGCTGCATTGCCCTGCTCAGCTCACCCAGTCCCTTATTGGTGGACATTTCCTTTATTTCTTGACTTTTGTTACTCAAACAATGGCATAATGAATGTCTCTACATATGTGTTATTTTGCACATAGGTATTACTGTAGGAGGATTCTCAAAGAAGGATAGTTGGATCAGAGGAGTATAAGCTTTAAACTGTTGTCAGATATTGCCAAATACCTTCCCGGGTTTGTGTCATTGGCATTTACCTTCCCCTTGGGGATTTTTCACTGGATACTGGATACTGTTGCCCCATCCACATCGCCTAAGAGACACTCTGGCCAACAATGGAAGCGTGGACCTTTCGCTAATATCCCACAGCACACATAACATGGCTGAGACGGAGTGGCATTTGAAACCACATTTCATTAAAGGGAAACAGAGAAACTGTGTGCAACAAGAACATCTTGATTCTACTCCACGGCTCTCTCCCCATCTGCCCAGTCTTTGGCTTGCCTCCATGTGGTGGGCACTATCTTAATGTCTACCATCTGGGATCTATGCCTGTTATTGTTTTTATTTTATTTTACTTTTTTTAGAGACAGGGTCTCACTCTGTTGCCCAGGCTAGAGTGCAATGGGGTGAACATAGCTCACTGCAGCCTTTACCTGCGAGGCTCAAGCAATCCTCCTGCCTCAGCCTTCCCTGCAGCTGGGACTACAGGTGCACACCACCACACCTGGCTCTTTTTAAATTTTTTATAGAGACAGGGTCTCACTAGGTTGCCCAGGCTGGTCTGGAACTCTTGGACTCAAGTGATCCTCCCACCTTGGCCTCCCAAAGCTCTGGGATTACAGGTGTGAACCATCATGACTGGCTTGTTATTATTATTATTATTGAGATAGAGTTTTGCTCTTGTCGTCCAGGCTGGAGTGCAATGGCTCGATCTCTGCTCACTGCAACCTCTGCCTCCTGGGTTCAAGTGATTCTCCTGCCTCAGCTTCCCGAGTAGCTGGGATTACAGGTGTGCACCCCCATGCCCAGCTAATTTTTGTATTCTTAGTAGAGACAGGGTTTCACCATGTTGGCCAGGCTGGTCTTGAACTCCTGAACTCCGGTGGTCCTCCCACCTCGGCCCCCCAAAGTGCTGGGATTACAGGCATGAGCCATTGTGCACTGCTTGGCTTGTTATTTTTTTTAAAGCACTGACTGACATTTACTCTGGGCCACGTACTGTGTCATTTTGTATCATTGCTCCGTTTTTGTGAATGATTTTTGTATCACTTAGAATGCTTTTGAGTGTTAGTGACAGGACCTCAATCCATACTGGCTTAAACAATGACACTTTTCTATAACTAGAGCACTGTGCTGTGGTTTAGATACATATGGCAGCTCTACTCTTGGAAGCCTAGAGGAAGGTGGGTGTAGGCACCACCAATGGTGCCAATCAAGGGTCCAGACCCTTTCCATCTCTCCTATCTGCCCTTCTCTGTGGCTTGGCTCTGCTTTCTGGGCGGGCTCCCCGCATGGTGCCAGATTCCCAAAGCTGTTCTGGGTATTGCATCCAGACATTGTTAAATCCTGAGACAGAAGAGGGACTATTTTTTTTTTTCCTGTTTTCTTCTTAATAGACAGGAGGCTTTTTTCAGAAGCCCCCCGCCCAGCGAACATCCCTTCCCAGCTTCAAGGTCAGAACTGAGTCATGGGCTCACGTTTAAGTCAATCATAGGCAAAGGAAATGGGACTGTTATGAGTGACTGGGACCACTCAAGGTTCACCTTTGAACTGGGGGTTGGCTTGGCATCCTTTGACCCATGATGAGACGGAATGGGCCCCTGAGTACAGTCAGGGTCCTGCTGGCCTGGGGGGCAGTGTTGAGGGGGGAGATGGGAGTTGGGGGCAGCAACAGGGTGTGCTTAGCTAGACATAATAGCAGCGAATTCCATCCTTGCAATAATCCCACAAGGACGGCGTGTTCATTTCCTGTGACTGCTGTAACAGCCACAAACCAAAAACGTATTTTCTCACAATTCTGGAGGATAGAAGTCCAAAATCAAGGGCCACGCTCTGTGCGGAACGCTTCCTTGCCTCTTCCTATCTTCTGACGCTTCTGGGCATTCCTCGGCCTGTGACAGCATAGCTCAAATCTCTGTCTCCGTCTTCACTCCCTGTGTGTATGTCTGGCTCCTCTGTTTCTGTGTCCACATTTCCTTCTTATAAGGATACCAGCCATAGGATGAGGGCCCACTCTAATCCAGTACATCACCTGCATTTCATTCCATTGGCAAAGACCTTTGTTGGCAAATAAAGGTACATTCACAGGTACTGGGGGTTGGGACTTGGACATAACATATTTTTGGAAGGGATCCAATTTAACCCAGTACAGAAGGTCCTATTTATATCCCTGATTTGCTGTTAGGAAGTTATAGTGCAAGAGCCTAAGTAGCTAGTATGTGGTAGAGATGTCTTTGGACCCAGCTAGTTTTATCCCTCCGTTCTGTGCTCATAGCCATTTCACCACACTTATAAGGCGAATGGCAGAGTAACAAAGATCTGTGAGATCATTATATTTTTTGTTGTTGTCAAATGACTGCAGAATGCATGTCACAAATATTTATTGAACACCTACTATGTAACAGTGACTTTCTTTTTTTTTTTTTTTTTTTTTTTGAGGCAGAGTCTTACTCTGTCGCCCAGGCTGGAGTGCAGTGGTGTGATCTCGGCTCACTGGAAGCTTCATCTCCTGGGTTCACGCCATTCTCCTGCCTCAGCCTCCCGAGTAGCTGGGACTACAGGCACCCGCCACCACACCCAGCTAATTTTTTTGTATTTTTAGTGGAGACAGGGTTTTACCATGTTAACCAGGATGGTCTCGATCTCCTGACCTCGTGATCCGCCCGCCTCGGCCTCCCGAAGGCTAGGATTACAGGCGTGAACCACTGCACCCGGACCTACCTACCTACCTTCCTTCTTTCCATCCTTCCTTCCTTCCTTCCTTTATTTTTTAGACAGAGTCTCGCTCTGTCACCCAGGCTGGAATGCAGTGGCGTGATCTCGGCTCACTGCAACCTTTGCCACCTGGGTTCAAGCAATTCTCTGCCTCAGCCTCCCGAGTAGCTGGGATTACAGGCGCCCGCCACCATGCCCAGCTAACTTTTGTATTTTCAGTAGAGACGGGGTTTCACCATCTTGGCCAGGCCGGTCTTGAACTCCTGACCTCGTGATCCACCTGCCTCGGCCTCCCAAAGTGCTGGGATTGCAGGTGTGAACCACCGTGCCCGGCCTTAACAGTGACTTTCTTGTACATGGGGCTACAGCATAATCAAAACAGAGTTCTTGTTTTCTGCATTTGAGAGAAAAAATGAAATTGTGCCTGTTGAGCACTGAAAACAGGGCCCTCGATATGTTTCTGCCCATTCGGGTGGGGAAATGGAGAATGTGGTGAGTGTTGTTTCTGCCGTGCCCTGTCCTGCTCCTCGCCAGACTTCTTGCTGGGGAGATGCACACAGCAATTACATAGACCAGGTTAATCTCCCTCCTGCCTCCAGGAGCATGGGACACAATATTTCTTGCTAGCAAGAAGCAAGTCATTAAAAGCACACTTTCGGCCGGGCGCAGTGGCTCACGCCTGTAATCCCAGCACTTTGGGGGGCCGAGGAGGGCGGATCATGAGGTCAGGATATCGAGAGCATCCCGGCTAACACGGTGAAACCCCATCTCTACTAAAAATACAAAAATTAGCCGGGCGTGGTGGCAGGCGCCTGTAGTCCCAGCTACTCGGGAGGCTGAGGCAGGAGAATGGCGTGAACCCGGGAGGCGGAGCTTGCAGTGAGCCGAGATTGCGCCACTGCACTCCAGCCTGGGCGACAGAGCGAGACTCCGTCTCAAAAAAAAAAAATAAAATAAAATAAAAGCACACTTTCTTACTCAGCATTGTTTTCCCCCTGGAGTGTAAAAATCGTTGCTAAATTTCTACTGCAGGCAATGAAAACCAGCAATGAATGAAAACGTAGTGCAAAATTAACCTTGAGGGCATACCTGCGTTTTTTTCCCCTACTCATCATGAAGGAAGAGTTGATGTCAAAAGAACCCAAGCAAGGCTGGGTGCAGTGGCTCGCCTGTAATCCCAGCACTTTGGGAGGCCAAGGTGGGAGGATCACTTGAGCCCAGGAGTTTGAGACCAGCCTGGGCAACATAGTGAGATCCTGTCTCTGCAAAAAATACATATAAAAATTATGTGTGTGGCGTGCATTATCGGTGTGATGGTGCATACCTGTAGTCCCAGCTACTCAGAAGTCTGAGGCAGGGAGGATCCCTTGAGCCCAGGAGTTTGGAGGCTACAGCGAGCTATGATCACACCACTGCACTCCAGCCTGGGCAGCAGAAGGAGGGACCCTGTCTCTAAGAAAAACAGAAAGAAAAACAACCCAAACAAATGTGACTAAGGGTCATGAGAGAGAGGAGCTGGGAGGGAGGGAGCCACGCTCTTTGGCCAGTCTTAACAGATGCCGCAGCCCAAGCCACAAGTCTCAGATCTGAGGCCAACATAAAGAGATTGGACAGGAAACACTGCTGTCTATACAAATGTTGATTCTCATTAGTGATTCTGAGTTCCAGCAGGCTCTGCAAAGAAATCCCATAAATAAAGGCATCCAGTCCCACCTTATCCACGCCTGCTTGGGAAATTCTTGCTCACCAGAGCTCTGCCAAATGAAAGCTCACATTGTTTTCTGGACTTTGACTCTTGACAAATACCTCTTAGAAGTTCTCTCTCTCTCTCGCTCTTTCTCTCTCATTTTCTTCCACCAGTCACCTATTATTTCTAATTCAGGATTTCTGTGTAGAATAAGTGAATTGTTTAATGTTCAATCACTTAAGCCAAGGTGTTCCAAGATTTTTGAGGCTACTGATAGATCTCATCAGAATCCCAAATAGTAGATATGCAAATATAGTTTTCTTTGGAACTCAAATAGGGGGATAAAAATAAAACTGTTAAAAGTTAGTTGCATCTTCTCTGGAAACCTGGAAAACAGCACTGTGACCCAGAAGTCACACTTGGGCATTTATAGTAGAGAAATGAACACTTAGGTTAACATGAACTCCTGCCCATGAATGTCCATAGCAGCTGAAGTTTTAATAGCCAAAAAAATGCCACCAGCCCTGATGTCCTTCCATGGGCAAATGGTGGTACATTTGCAGCATGAAAAAGAAACATACTATTTATTTTTACACACAACTTGGATGAATCTCCAGGGAATTACACTGAGTATAAAAAGCCAGTCTCCTCAAAGGTCATATATTGTATGATTCCATTTATATAACATCCTTGAAATAACAGAATTATAGAGATGGAGAACAGATAGTTGATTGCCTGGGGTTGGGAAAAGACAAGGAGGATGCGGCCATAAGGGGTGACATGGGAGGCTTCCTTTGTGGTTAGAAAATGGTTCTGTGTCTTTTTTTTTTTTTTTTTTTTTTTTGAGACGGAGTCTTGCTCTGTTGCCCAGGCTGGAGTGCAGTGGTGCAATCTTGGGTCAGTGCAACCTCCGCCTCCTGGGTTCAATTGATTCTCCTGCCTCAGTCTCCTCAGTAGCTGGGACTACAGGCGCGCGCCACCACGCCCAGCTAATTTTTGTATTTTTAGTAGAGACGGGGTTTCACCATGTTGGCCAGGCTGGTCTCAAACTCCTGACCTCAAGTGATCCACTCGCTTCAGCCTCCCAAAGTGCTGGGATTGGTTCTGTGTCTTGATAGTGGTGGGGGATTATTTGAATCTATATCTGCAGTGACATTTCATAAAATTGTACACAAAGACATACGCATATCATGAGTGTATGAAAAGATGTGAAATCCATATGATGTCTGTAGACTAATTGTATTAAGCCTTTGTTGATTTCCTGGGTTTGAAATGCCCTATAGTTATGAGATACCACCATTGCAGGAAGTTGGGTGATGGGCACAAGAGGCTTCTCTGTATCATTTTTTGCAACTTCCTATGAGTCTATAATTATTTCAAAATGAAAAGTTTTTAAAAATTTGGTAGAAAAACATTGATGCCTAAGGAAATCATCAAAGACATTCATTGAATAAGTTCATAGATGCACTCTGCAAAAACTTTACCAGGGGCCGGGCGTAGTGGCTCAGGCCTGTAATCCCAGCACTTCTGGAGGCCGAGGCAGGTGGATCACCTGAGATTAGGAGTTCGAGACCAGCCTGGTCAACATAGTGAAACCCTGTCTCTACTAAAAAATACAAAAAAATTAGCCACACGTGGTGGCGGGCACCTGTAATCCCAGCTACTTGGGGGTTGAGGCAGGAGAATAGCTTGAACCCGGGAGGCGGAGGCTGCAGTGAGCTGAGGCCATGCCATGGCACTCCAGCCTGAGCGACAAGAGCAAGTCTCTGTCTAAAAAAAAAAAAAAGTTTACCGGGCAGTGGGTATCATTTTCTGCTCCTTCCAGCTTCTCAGAAAAAGGTCCAGCGGGCCATATTAATATAAGCTAGTGCCTAATGTAGCTTTGTCTAAAAATTACATTTTCTGGCTGGGCATGGTGGCTAATGCCTGTAATCCCAGCACTCTGGGAGGCTGAGGTGGGAGGATTGGTTGAAGCCAGGAGCTGAAGACCAGCCTGGGCAACAAAGTAAGACACCTGTCTCTACGAAAAATGAAAAAATTAGCCAGGCATGGTGGTCCCAACTACTCCGGAGGCTGAGGCAGGAAGATTGCTTGAGCCCAGAGGTTGAGGCTGCAGTGAGCCGTGTTCAAACCACTGCATTCCAGTCTGGGTGACAGGATGAGACCCTGTCCCAAAAAATAAGTAAATAAAATAAAAATCGCATTTTCTCAAAGCCTCCATTATTACAGAGGAAAACCAAAAGCCTAACGTACAATGAAGACTTGATCACTCAGAGTCTTGGTCTGCAAACAGCAAGGGGCATTTACATTCACATAGTTGATGAATTTTCTATCTTTTCTATTCACCCCCCTTCTCTCTGGAAACACACAGTGGTTGAGTGTGCCCCACTCTCCAGGCTCATTCCCAGGCCTGACCAGCATTAGGAAGCTCAGATACTTGCTTTATTGCATCTGAATTCCACGGCAATAGCTTGGCCTGCTTTCCTCTGTATGGCCAGAAATGCTTCTGGTGAACTCTCATTGAATAATTAATTTCTAGTTTTAAATAATTCACGAGTCCTGGCTGGTATAATTGCTGAGGACCAAAGAATTAATTTGTTGGATGGTTTTCCTTTCTTCTCCTTTGCCTGGAGGCAGGGCTGCACACTGTTGTCTGGAACGGAAGTGAGCAGCCTCTAACCAGGCTGGTTCCTCGGTGATATTTGATCACTCAATGGCAGGACAGTCGTGATCATAACGCTGCCGTGGAGCAAAGCAGGGATTGCGATCTTGGCCCCGACCCACAGCTATTTCCTCAGCAACCACTCAGTGCTCCGGGATAATGTTGGTAGTGAGGACCAGGCAGACCGTTGATGAATAAAATCCATCCATGCACGGTGGCTCACGCCTGTAATCCCAACATTTTGGAAGGCCGAGGCGAGTGGATCACTTGAGCCCGGGAATTCAAGACCAGCCTGGGCAACATAGTGAGACCTCAGCTCTACAAAAGTTTTAAAATTAGCTGGGTGTGGTGGCGCGTGTCTGTAGTCCCAGCTACTCAGGAGGCTGAGGTGGAAAAATCTCTTGAACCCAGGAGCTGAAGGCAGCAGTGAGCTATGATCGTGCCACTGCACTCTAGCCTGGGTGACAGAGTGAGAACTTGTCTCTAAGAAAATAAAATAAAATTTTAAAAAATCAAAACACGATCCCAAACCCTTGGTTTAGAAGAGGTTGGCCAGCTACTGCCCATGGGTCAAATCCAGCTCGCTGCCTATTTTTGTAAATAAAATGTTATTGGCACATACCCACATCCATTCTTGTAACAGATTGTCTGTGGTTGCTTTCGGCTACAATGACAAAATTGGGTAGTTGCAACAGAGACTGCATGGACAGCAAAGCCTAAAATGTTTATTCTCTGGTCCTTTACAGAACAGGTTTGCAGCTCCCTGACTTGGGACGTTATGAAGCTCTAGGGAGCCTCCAGGTTGAATGGGGCTTTTCTCTCAGCTCTTGTTTACCTTAAGGAGAGGAGTGAGGGAAGAGAAATAAATAAGCAAAAGATGATAATTCCTTACAGGGTTCTGGCCCTTTTTAAAAATTTTTATTAATTTTTTAAGAGACAGGGCCTCGCTGTGTTGCCCAGTCTGGAGTGCACTGGTGTGATCGTGGCTCACTGCAGCTTTGAACTCCTGGGCTCAGCGATCCTCCCACCTCAGCCTCCTGAGTAGCCTCCTGAGACTACAGGCACACCACCACTCCTGGCTTATTTATTGATTTATTTTGAGATGGAGTCTTGTTCTGTCGCCCAGGCTGGAGTGCAGTGGCACAATCTTGGCTCACTGCAACCTCTGCCTCCCGGGTTCAAGTGATTCTCCTGCCTCAGCCTCCCGAGTAGCTGGGACTACAGGCGCGTGCCACCATGCCCAGCTAATTTTTGTATTTTTAGTAGAGACGAGGTTTCACCATGTTGGCCAGGCTGGTCTGGAACTCCTGACCTCAGGTGATCCGCCTGCCTCGGCCTCCCAAAGTGTTGGGATTATAGGCATCAGCCACTGCACCCAGCCACATTTTTTAATTTTTATTATTTGTAGAGACAAGGTCTCACTATGTTGTTCAGGTTGGTCTCCAACTCCTGGGCTCCAGTGATCTTTCCACCTCAGCCTCCCAAAGGGTTGGAATTACAGGCATGAGCCACCGCACCAGGTCAGCTTTGGGCCTCTGAAAATCTGAGATTAGGATCTGATCAAGCAGAAATCAGCTCCTGCAATTCAGGTGGGTCTAACCTGTCTTCTACCCAGCAGAACAAGGAGGTGATGAATACGAGCTTCGGAGTCAGAAGTACGCTCAAACTCCCACCCTGGCTCTTATTTGCTGTGGGTGTATCTGAACCCCTTGGTTTCCTCAGCTTATCAAACATAAGAATTCTCCCTTCTCCACTGGCTTATTAGCGTGTCCTGTGGGCTAACTGCTGTAAAGTGCTTACCGTGGGATCTGACACAGAGTGAATCATGGGGCACTTTGGTTGATTTTATATGACTGTTTCCCACAAGATAAATTTTAAAGGTATGGAAAAATTGTAACTTTCACTGGAAATTACAATCCTAAACATGTGTAGACCTGGAAAAGTTCAGTGTGTGTCAGCATGGGGTGAGGGTTGCCCAAAGGGTAGCCCAGCTTTTTGGACTGGTTGATACAAGTTTTTCCATATGGACTCAACCCCTGTCTCCATCAGCAGAAAGCCAGAGCACTTGGGATACACAGTTAAGTACAAAGTGGAATCTATACTGCCCAAGAGTAAGATGCACACTTGCTGGTTTAAAGAGGGAAAAGAGATGTGAAAAAAGCAAAGTCATTTCTTTTTCTTCATCTAGAGACAGGATCTCGCTCTGTTGCCCAGGCTGGAGTTCAGTGGCGTTATCACGGCTCACTGCAGCCTCGATTTCCTGGGCTCAAGTGATCCTCCCACTTCAGCCTCCCAAGTAGCTGGGACTGCAGGGACGCACCACCATACCCAGTAACTAAGCCCTGTCATAGCTTCTAGATGTTACTTCCAACTGTGAACTTCCTCCCACCACTAACTACTATTCTGCTATTGTTTTCCCCAGAATTAAATGGTCTTAACTGCACTTTCTGACTCTAGTCTTATAGCCCCTAATTCCCTGTGATGTAAAAACACAAATCTCATTTAAAAATTATGGTACAACATACACAACAGAAAACTAATTGACAGTGACGTTTAGTACATTCCCAATGTTGTGCTAGTATCAATTGTCTATTTACAGAATATTTTCATCACCTCCAAAGGGAACGCCATCCCCATTAACCAGTCACTCCCCGTTGCCCTCCACCCACAGCCCCTGGCAACCACGAATCCACTTTTCTGTCTCCATGGATTTGCTGACTCTGAATAGTTCACATAAATGGAGTTTTGCAATGTGTTTTCCAGTGTGGCTTCTTTTACTTAGCATAATATTTTTGAGGTTTATCCACATTGTAGCATATATCAGTACTTTATTCCTTTTATACCAGAATAATATTCCATTGTAATACCACATTGTGTTTATCTATTCACCTACTGATGGACATTTGGGTTGTTTCCCGTTTGGGGCTATTGTAGATAGTGCTGCTACAAACATTTGTGTATCCATATTTGTTTGAGTACTGGTGCTCAGTTCTTTTGGGTACATACCCAGGAGTGGAATTGCTGGGTCGTATGGTAGTTCTATGTTTAACAAATCAAGGAACTGCCAAACCGTTTTCCAGAGCAGCTGCACCATTTTATGATGCCACTCACATTCTTTCATAAATCCAAACAGTGGCTTCCCATTGTCCTCTGGGTAATGTCCGGGTTTTTAACACATCTGACAAGATCTTCAAGATCAGCCCTGCCCACCACAGATATGGTACTCCTTGCTCCTGATATAATACAGCCATGCGTCACTTAATGATGAGGATATGTTCTGAGAAATGAGTCACTGGGCGATCTTGTCATTGTGTGAACATCACAGAGTGGACTTAGACAAACCTAGTTGGTAGGGCCTACTGCACACATAGGCTCTCTGGTCTAGCCTGTTGCTCCTAGACTAGTAACCTGGACAGCCTGTGACTGTACTGAACACTGTAGGCAACTGCAACACAACGGCGAGTATTTGTGAATCTAAATGTAGCTAAATATAGTAAAATATGCTGTTATAGTCTTATGGGAACACTGGCCTATGTGACGGAAATGTTGTTATGCATTGTTACACCACATCCTCTCACTTGGCTTATGTGCTGTGTTCTCCCTACGGAACACTATATTTTTTCATGTAAGCCACTCGCCCTCTTGGATTTTCTCTAGGAAGCCTCTTCTGACCCCTAATGTCCCACATAGGTCCCTCTTTGCACTGCCCTGATCACAGCCTCCACTGCACTGTCCTGGAATTCCTTATTATTTGTCCTGTTTCTCCCACTAAACTGTAATCTCTATGAAGGCAGGAACAGTATCTGTCTTGTTGGTCAGCATATTCCCAATTGACAGCACAAGGTAAGGGCTTAATAAGTATTTGAATGAACTAAATTACCAGGTGCAACCTTCACGCCATGACTAAAGCAAGACAGTAGAAGATAAAGAGGCTTAACACACATTTAATCCTGGATTAATGTACACTGACTAATCAGTGATCTATTTTCTGGTCTTTACTCCTCCTCCCTCTCCCCAACATCCCCATTTCTGTCTATTTTTTATTTATACATGTCCCAGTGGTGCTTAGTCTTGTGCTGGAATACTTAGAAGCCATGTTGCACTGAGATAAGATGCACAGGTTTGCCACATAACTATTTAAAAATGTGATGTGGTTAGATGCATACTTGTGTTAAGAACTAGATTCTCAGCTGGATGCGGTGGTTCATGCCTGTAATCCTAGCACTTTGGGAGGCTGAGGTGGGAGGATAGCTTGAGGCCAGGAGTTCAAGACAAGCCTGACAATTATGATCCAAACAATCATTTATCCTGACAGTTATTTATCCAGAATCATTATTGTTTGGTGAAATGAGTGTTACTTAACCCTTATGCAAAAGAAACACCTTTAAAAGGACTTTTTCAGACCATAGTGAAATACCAGTACACATGCATGGCCTGGCTGATGTTATTGACCATGCCCAAGGAAGGCCAAGGGGTAGAACAACCAGAATTCACATACACTGCAGAAGGAATTTATAGAGGGCAACCACATTGGAAAACTGGAAGTATGTTGAAAAGTTTGACGTACATCAATCCTATGCCCCAAAATTTTACCCCTGGGTAATTACCTAAGAGAAATTAAAGTATATGGCTAGAACAGCCTGAGGAAAGCATGTTAATAGCAGTTTTATTCATAGTCACCAAAAGCTGGAAGCAGTCCAGGTAGTCTACCAATAGGAGAACGGTGACATCAGCCATAGAGTGGAATATCACTCAGCAATAAAAAGGAATAAGCTATCTACACATGCAATGACACACAGGGATAGATTTCCAAAGCTTCTGGCTGAGTGAAAGAAGCCAATCACAAAATAGTACGCACAATTTGATTATATGAAATTCTGGGAAAAAAATGTTTAGTGACAGAAGGCAGATCAGTGGTTGCTTCTGGATAGAGAGAGGATTGACTAAAAAAGGGTACAGGAGAACTGTGTGGGTGATGGAAATGTTCTGTTTTGGTGGAAGTGTGGGTTACGTGGGTGTACACATTGTCAAAACTGATCCAAGTGTCCATTTATTTATTTATTGTAGAGACAACATTTTACCATATTGCCCAGGCTGGTCTTGAACTCTCAGGTTCAAGCAATTCTCCTGCCTTTGCCTCCCAAAGTGCTAAGATTACAGGCATGAGCCACTGTGCCCAGCCTAAATGTCCATTTACACATATGCATTTTACCATAGGTAAACTAAACATCAATTTTTTAATTTTATTTTTTATTTTTTTATGTTTATTTTTTGAGACAGAGTCTCGCTCTGTCATCCAGGCTGGAGCGCAGTGGCACGATCTCAGCTCACTGCAACCTCTGCCTCCCGGGTTCAAGTGATTCTCCTGCCTCAGCCTCCTGAGTAGCTGGGACTACAGGCATGTGCCACCATGCCCGGCTAATGTTTGTATTTTTAGTAGAGGCGGGGTTTTGCCATGTTGGCCAGGCTGGTCTCGAGCTCCTGACCTCAGGTGGTCCACCCACCTCAGCCTCCCAAGGTGCTAGGATTACAGGAGTGAGCCACCACACCCAGCTGATTAAATTTTTTTAAATTAAAAATGCTACTGGTTTTGAATAGTTGAGAAATAATTTTCAGAGCACCATTATTGAATACACAGTAAAATTAAAATTTTTAAAAGTATTTCCATCAGTCAGCTCTTGCTTTTTAAACAAATGGTTCCAAAATTTTATGATGCAAAACAATCACCTTTATTTAGCTTGTAATTCCGTGGGTCAGCAATTTGGGCTGGGCTCAGTCAGGTGGCTCTTCTGGCCTTGCCTGAGCTCAGTTCTGCATTAGCAGTTACTTTCTTCCTTGTGCTGATTGAGTTATAAACCATGCCATTAGCAACAGCTATGGCACCCAATAAAGGGTCAAGGTTCTGGATTATTTTTCATTTTCAAGAGGGATGCAGATTTCATTATAATCTCAAATAGGCATGACTAAAAGGCAGAAATCAAGATGTTAACTTTATTCTCCTCTCCAACGCCATACTTTCTGTCTTAAAAAGGAATCTCTTTTCAACTTGGCTTCTTCTATAAAGTAGGATTGGAAAGTCTCCTCATAATAAAAGTTAGCTGCTTTGTCCTCCTTTGAATTTATGATTAACAGTAGAGAAAGCTTGATACACTTCTGCAAATATGCAAAAAGAAAAGAAAATCCCTGTGGAAATTCATGCCCGGAACTAACATTATTGCAGGAAACATCTGATGATGCTGAAAACATCACCCTCAACTTCAGTATAAAAATCTATATTTTTTAGTATGAATATGGATTAGGGTTTGACAATTACTTAACAAAAGTGAATAGAAAGATTAAAATGGCTGAAATGAACCACCATTGCCTAATTTTATATTTTAAGAAGTCATAACAAGAAATGGATATGCTTCCTTGTTAAAAATGAAAATTATCTGCCTGAACACTCAGAAGAAAAGCATAATGAGAAGCACATTTTTGAAGTACCTTTTAAAATCTAGCTGATTTTGCTTTTTATCATTTATCTAATGTATATAATAGTGACTTCCCCATCTGTTACAATAGACACAAATCATGTTTCAAAAAAAATCCACCCGAGACTACAAGAGATTGTAAAAGTCATTTCAACTCTGAACATGTGCATTAAGTTTTAATGCTAACAGCTGATAATCCTGACATTCACATTTCATTTGCACTTATGTAAAGATATATTTTCTCTGCAGGGGGGCCATGGTAATTTTTTTTCAGTGTCAAGGCAAATGATCTCAGTAAGATGGTTTTTCTAAAAATCATTTATTCTGTAAGAGGTGGAAAGTTGTCATGGACATGGCAGGGGAGTTGAAAATTCCCCCTATATAGAGGATAAAAATGCAGATTCAGGGAAAAGGGAAGCAGAAACACAGAGGGTTCTCTCCCTGCCCCCACTGAGGATCAATACTTAATCTTTTCTGCTTGAGAACTCTGATCCAGTTAGCTAGGTAATCGAGACTGTGCTATGCTGTCCTATGCCCGTTCCCTTCTCTTCTCTCAGTTTTTTTCCACAAAGACATTATTTTCAGAAGGGTCAGATTGCTGTTTTGTAGAGCAATTGATTTAGCTTTCACATGTTACATTTATGAACCAAATAGGAAAAAAATACACCTTAATTATATCTACTTTGGTGCCTCTATTTTACCATCTAGAGTTTCTCTGTGCTTGTCAAAGCTGCACCCTCTTTTTAGACCATAAGAGAAAAAAGTCTGTTACATTCTGCAGCAATGAGCAAAAATGCCCACACTCTGTCTTGCTGAATTATCATTATTTTAAAATATTAATCTATGCAAGTTTTCTTTATGCCTCAGCTGGGTTCTTAGTTTGATACTATCTAGATTTAGGTTTTCCCAAAAGCAGACCAGAGACAGGATTTGAGTGCAAGTAGTATATGTGTGAGCTAATCCCAGGAGACACCCATAAGGGAGTTGGGAAGTGAGACAGGGAAGGGAATACAGCCAATGAAGAGGGATTCCCAAGCCTGTGACCACTGCTGGCAACAGGAGCCCAATCTGCTGGGGACTTCTGGGGATAATGTAGAACATGCCTCAGAGTCATCCCACCTGAAGGGCAAGGGAGCTGGGGTATTTATACCCCAACTGCCAAGGGTCATTTGTTGAGTGCTGTTTCTAGGAGCCCAACTTTTCAGCCTTTGTGGCTTGTCTTGCACACAGCTAGGCATGTTCCTTGGTGTGTCAAGGTTGGGGGCGACATAATACAGACAGGACTCAATAGCATCAGTTACTACACAGCACTACGAGACTGTTCTGCGTAGAAGCCCTAAGGAAGAAATACTTCCTTGTGGTTCTTTCAGGACAAAGATGACCAATTGAAGAATAACACAGAGGGATAAAACTGGAGTGCCTTTCAATAATCGCAAATGAAAAAATGAGTATTTATTGGCAAGCCTGGCTGTGTAACTGCAGAGTCCAGTGCAAAACACAAAAGAAAGGTTTCTTGTTCCAAAAGCAAGAAAAAGTGTGAGGTATCTGGATCAGGGTGGGGGAAAGGCTCACCCTTGCCACACCCCACCAAGTTGTCCATTGAGTGTACCCATGGCCTGTGCAACTGTAGTGGCCCACAGAGCTGGCCCTATTTATTGGATACATTATCAAGATTTGTGCTATGGCTTAGTGAGAGAGTTAATCGAGTTGGAAGATGCTAACTGCGCTCAACCTGGGAATTGAGATACTCTGACTTGTGAATGTTTTGATGGTATAGGACAGGGGTCAGCAGACCTGTTCTGTCAAGCACCAGGTAGTAAATATGTTAGGTTTTGAGAACCAGATGGCCTCTGTCCAGAAACAAGAACTAAATGAGCCAGCATGTTTGCATTCCCATAGAACTTTATTTATAGATGCTGAAATTTGAATTTCAGAAAATTTTCCTGTGTCATGAAATAGTATTCTTCTTCTGATTTTTAACCCTTTAAAAAAAGGCCAGGTGCAGTGGCTCACACCTGGAATCCCAGTACTTTGGGAGGCCAAGGCAGGAAGATCTCTTGAGCCCAGGAGTTTGAGACCAGCCTGGGCAACATAGGGAGACCTCATCTCTACAAAAAAATAATAATACATTAGCTGGGCATGGTGGTTCATGCCTGTAGTTCCAGCTACTCAAGAGGCTGAGGCAGGAGGATTACTTGAGCCCAGGAGGTGGAGTCTGCAGTGAGCCGTGATCAAACCACTGCACTGCAGCCTGGGCAACAGAGTGAGACACTGCCTGAAAAAATAATAATAATTTAATTTAATTTAAAAATGTAAAAATAACTCATAGCTCATGAGCTGTACAAAAACAGACAGTGGGCTGGGGTTTGGGCTCCAGGCTGCAGTTTGCTGACCCCTGGAATCAGAGATTCACAGCATTTATGGATTTAGTGATTGAAGAATCAATAATCTGGGAGTGGCCCTGGGTTCCGAGCAGCTGAAGTGTTGTTTTTGCTGCAGTCAGTTATATTGCGGGCACAGTGGGACAGTGTGCTGCAGTGAGCCACTCAGCAGATGACTGAGACCAGCCATGTGTGGGCATCACTATTGCAACTTGACTTTGCGCTCCTTCTCTTGTCACAAATGCAGTTAAGTCTTGAGAAGTCATACAGTCTTGCATTGCAAGGGGAAAAACATTATGCTTTGGAGACATCTGTAAACCTGAAGACATCTGAAGGCGTGGGGCCCAATTCCTTTCAGAGGTCAAGGTTCTGCCACGGCAGTCAGGAAGACAACCCTGCTTCAGTCCCGTTCCACAGGCAGCCTCATCCTTTTTTCCTCACCTGCCCCGAGTGACCTCTTCTCAGGTCAGGCAAGTGAACTTGGGTTCCCCTAAATACAGTGAAATTGATTCATTTTGGCTGCAAGATACAGAGGCCCCAAATTTGCATAAGCCAGGCAGAAGCTCATTTCTCTCTCAGGTTAAAGTTGGGGCGGAGGTTCAGAGCTGCTGCAGTGTTCTGGCAAGCAGCAGAGAGCCAGGCTCTTTCTTTTTCTTTTCCTTTCTTTTCTTTTGTTTTGTTTTGTTTTTTTTTTTTTTGAGACGGAGTCTCGCTCTGTCGCCCAGGCTGGAGTGCAGTGGCGCGATCTCGGCTCACTGCAAGCTCCGCCTCCCGGGTTCACCCCCATTCTCCTGCCTCAGCCTCCCGAGTAGCTGGGACTACAGGCGCCCGCCACCACGCCCGGCTTATTTTTTTGTATTTTTAGTAGAGACGGGGTTTCACCATGATAGCCGGGATGGTCTCGATCTCCTGACCTCCTGATCCGCCCGCCTTGGCCTCCCAAAGTGCTGGGATTACAGGCGTGAGCCACCGCGCCCAGCCATGAGCCAGGCTCTTTCTACTCGGTGGCTCTTTCTTGGTTCGGCAGTGTCCAACTTGTGGTCTAAGACCGCTGTTCCGTGTCCAATCATAACGTTGTGATCCAGAGGAGAAAAGGAGAAAGGGGAGCTGTTACAGACTGCATGCTTGCGTCATGCCCAAATTCATATGTTGAAACTCTAACCTCCAATGGGATGGTGTCAGGAGATGAAGCCTTTGGGACGTGATGAGGTTATGAGGTTGTGGACCTCGCGATGGGTTTAGTGCCCTTATAAGAGGAGAAACCAGAGAGCTTCTGCTTCTCTCTCGCATCTCCACCAAGTAAGGAAACAATGAGGAGACAGCTGTCTATGAACCAAGAAGCCAGCCCTCCGCAGACATTGGACCTGCTGACACCTTGATTTTGGACCTCCCAGCCTCCAGAATAGGGAGAAATAAATGTCAGTTGTCTAAGTCCCGCAGTCTACGGTAATTTGAGCAGCTGAACCGATGAAGACAGGAGGGCATGCTTCTTTCCTCTGAGTTGCACACATCATTTCTGTCCATATCCCAGTGGTGAGAGCTTACTCATATAGATGCATATAGCTGCAAATGAGGCTGGGAAATGTGATCTGGATTCTGGGTGGCCAGGGACTCAGCTAAAAATTGCAGGTTTTATTACTGCAGAGTGGGGTTTCTCCACCATAGCACTACAGACATTCTTGTTCTGTTACTTCTTTGCTGTGGGACACTATCTTGCACCTTCCTTGCAGGGTGGGTAGCCACATCCTTGACCTCCACCCACTAGATGCCAGGAGCATCACCCCACCCCTAGTTATGACAAGAAAACTGTCTTCAGACATTGCCTTATGTCCCCTGGGGGTAAAATCAAACCAAGTTGAGAACCACTGCTAAGGCAAGAGGGGAGGATGGATAGTCAGAGATACATCTTAACACCATCCCTTGCCTGGAAAACACATTCTTTTTCTTGTGTCTACTAGGCAAACCCTACTCTCTTGTTCAAGGTCAAGCTATGGTGTCATTTTCAGGTTTGGCCTCAGTCTGGTCTTTGCTGGAGCTGTTTTGTGATGTCGCCACATCATTCCTGACCTCGTTGCCTTTATGTCTGATGTATCCTCTTGGAGATTCTGTGAACTACTAATTATTCCTGAATAAATTCATTTTCTGTTTCGATTAGCTAGAGTTGAGTACTATTGTTTACGACCAGGACACCAGACTAATACAATTGGCCTCATTAGGATTCATCCAGGATCCCCTTTGAAAACCTTGGTCTTTTGTTCCTAGGGTTAAGAAGCCAGGCAAATATTGTAGGAGTAACTCAACAAGGCAAATTCCCATGCCTGGAACCCACGGGAACACGCTAATCTCCACACGAGTTTATCGGTTTAAATTCTGTCTTGATTCTTTTTTTCTTTTTTCTCCTTGTAGGACTAGTGGGAAGGTTTGTAGAAATCAAAATTCCACCTGAATCTCTATACATTTATTTATGCTTTCCTAGCCTCTCACTTTCAAATAAAATCCATGCGTAATTCCCTCCACATGTCTCTTCCTTTCCTTTCTACCGTGGCGATTCAGTTTTTTCCCCTTGTCTCTCTGCCTCCTTTTTCTTTTGGCCTGACCTCTTCCCCACTTAATTTTATCTGCTTTTCCTCTTGCTGTATCTTTCTTTTCCATCCTTGCTACTGGCTTAAATTCCTTCAACCCTCAATTTTTTTTTTTTTTCCTGGGTGGCAGGAGAGCGCTCTCTAAAGAATACACAGGAAGCTGCTTTATGAATTCTGCATTAAGCAGAAGAGCGGGAGGGCTGAAGAGGGAGGCAGGTTGGCCTGAGTAATGATTTGGTCCTGCCCAGGCATCTGGCTGCCTGGGGGAGGGGGCATTGGGCCCAGCACTGTGTCAGGGGATTGGATTTAGACAGACTCCAGGACTGCTCCCTCAGGGGCTTAGGCAAGTAGCAAGATGTAGGTGTGCAAGGGTGTAGATGTCTCCAGCTTCAGTAGCATCCAAGGAGTTTGAGCATCTCTGGGTGTTGGTGGCCCTGGACTTTGGTCGGGACCCATCCAGACTCAGGGAGACAATGCTGGAAGTTCTCATCAAGAGTGCCTGGGTGGGGCAACCCCCATGTCCAGAACTTGAGTACAAAATAGAAAACCAAGTGGGAGCCTAGACATTGAACCTGGGCTATGAGAGGGAAGTGGGCCAAGATCACAGTGAGGCGGCCGCACCTGGGAGGCCAGAGCTTTCCAAGGATGCATGCACTCCCACTTAGCAAGACCCGTCAAGAGCCATGGGTGAGTGGGTTGAACACAGGCAGGCTGGGGCTTAGAGCAGAGGTAAGCAGAGCCTGTGATAACTGAATAGAGCCAGAGAACAGCCCCTCTAGCAGCCAATCAAAAACTTTTTTTTTTTTTTTTGAGACGGACTCTTGCCCTGTCACCAGGCTGGAGTGCAGTGGTGAGATCTCCAGCTCACTGCAACCTCCGCCTCCTGGGTTCAAGCGAGCGATTCTCCTGCCTCAGCCTCCCGAGCAGCTAGGACTACAGGCGCACGCCACCACGCCCAGCTAATTTTGTATTTTTAGTAGAGACGGGGTTTCACCACTTTGGCCAGGATTGTCTCGATCTCTTGACCTTGTGACCCACCTGCCTCAGCCTCCCAAAGTGTTGGGATTACAGGCATGAACCACCGCACCAGACTGCCAATGAAAAACTTGAACATGCGCCACAATCACCTGAAAGCCTTTAGTGCTTCTCATTCAATAGATCTAGGAATGTGCATTTCTAACAAGTTTGTAGTGAGGCTGACTTGCTGGCTGGGAGCCACATTTGGAGAGCCCCTGGCCCACGCATTTCCTTCAACAGAGCTTCCCAGCACTGGTTGCCTGTGAGAGGCAGCCGGGGAGATGGAAAAAACATTGATTTCTGCTTTGGGTTAGGGGCAGGCTGCTGCTTCTACAACTAGAACAAAATGGACAAATTAGACAAAGTCATGTTTGTATTTTTATTTATTTTTATTTTATTTTTTTGAGACAGAACTCACTCTGTAGCCCAGGCTGGAGTGCAGTAGTGTGATCTCGGCTCACTGTAACCTCCCACTCCCGGGTTCAAGGGATCTTCCTGCCTCAGCCTCCTGAGTAGCTGGGATTGCAGGCACCCACTGCCACACGTGGCTAATTTTCTTTCTTTCTTTTTTCTTTCTTTCTTTCTTTTTTTTGTATTTTTATTAGAGATGGGATTTCATCATGTTGGCCAGGCTGGTCTTGAACTCCTGACCTCAGGTGATCTGCCCACCTAGGCCTCCCAAAGCGCTGGGATTACAGGTGTGAGCCACTGTGACTGGCCCCAAAGTCATGTTTTTAAAGGCATCGGAGAGATGTAGGGGCAAAGAGGACAAGTAGACCTGAAATCCTAGAGCGGGAGGAGCACTTCCAGCAGTGATTCAAAAACTGGTGCACAGATCTCATGCCCCACACAGGATTACTTGACCGTATATCTGGGATCTTCTGAAGTGAGGGGCTCTGATTATGCATAAATTGCTGTAGAGGAGGAGGAGGGAGCAGGCATTCCCCAGTGTGCAGTGCTGCCAGAGGAAGGTGTGAAGGGAAGCATGTTAGGGCGTCTGTGCCCACTCTGGCTGTGGTTCCTGACTCTTTCTGTCCCAAGCAGATTGAATCCTTGCCTGCCTCCCACTTGATTATGGGAGAGTAACCACGTGATATTACTATTCATTATTTACAGGTCTTTCCCCCTTAGTATCCCTGTACTCTCAGATTCTAGCACAGGGCTTAGCAAATGATAGGTGCTTAGGAAGTGTTTGTTGACAGAATAGTTGTGATCTCAGTTCTGGCTCCATGCCTCTAGCTCAGCGGTTCTCAACTGAGGGTATTTTGACCCTCGTCCCTCAGAGAATACTCGACAATATCTGTAGACATCGCTGATTGTCACAGCTGTGGGGAGTAGGGGAGGTACTACTGGCATATAGAGGATGGAGTCAAGGATGCTGCTTAACATCCTACATGCGCAGGACAGCCCTCACAGCAAATAGTAAGCTGGCCCCCAGTGTCTGCAGTGCCAAGGGTGAGAAATCCTGTCCTGGCTGGTCTCCATGCAAGCCATACCTGAGGGGTCCCACCCCTGCTGCCTCCTCTGGTCACGAGGTTGGAGGTTCCTGTAGCTCAGGCCAGTGCAGCATCTTCCATTCCCTTGACCCCTTTATAAGAGTTTTCCTGTGGCTCCTCGGGTGAGGTTTGGGGTATCAGTTAGTGCTCTCAACAATGGCCACCTGCATGCGCGGGGAGTGACGGGGTTGGCCCTGAGCACAGGTGGAGAGCTGGGCTGTGGGTGATTTGAATGAGCCCTGCATGCTCTGAAGGTCTGGGTTGCCTCAAAGCTCTACCTGGTTTTTCAGAGAAATTGTTCTCCCGTTCACAGAAGCCTTCCTCTGCTACCCAGCTTGTAACAGCCTGCCCATCCCCTCATCCCTTGTCTGAGTTGTTCATCATGACTCATTCCCCAGGATGAGACAAAAGGAGCCTTTGACTCCAATAAATGTTTAAAACAAACAAAAATAACAAACCACTTGTTTCCAGGAAGGGCGGAGGCGGTAAGGTGGAGGTAGCATTTTCCCACTATTGTGCTAACATGGATGAATTAGATCAGCTACTTAACACCTGGAAAGGTGTGGAAAGGCATGAGAGGATGAAGCTGAGTACAGTGAAGGACAAGGAAGTCTGGAACATTGTGGAGTGCGTGGGCCAGGGAAAGCAGCCCTGCAGAGGAGGCTGGAGGGGCAACTGCATATTCCGAGAGGAAGTTCAAAGGCTCTGTGAACAAGCTCCAGCACCAGACAGTGCTTTAAATGTGCTACATACATTATCTCATGCAATCCTCACAACCCTATGAAATAGGTTCTATCATTGATATCTCTGTCAGTCAGCTAGCACCTCAATAATGCCATATAAGAAGCATCCCCAAACAATTTCTATGGCTGAACACAGCAATCATTTAATCTCCCCAATGTGGCCACAGCTTGGCTGAGAGCCAGCAAGATTTAGTCTGAGCTTATCTGCACATAGCTCCAAGCTGCACACTGGATTCAGGTTTGCTCCAGGCATCTTTCTCCTTAAACTAGCAGGCAAACTGCAGCTGTTTCTTTCCCATAGTCATGGGAGACGTTCAAGAGGGAAAGCAAAACTGCACAATTCGTTTCAAGCTTCCACTTGTGTCTCATCTTCTCATATTGGCCATAGTGAGGCACATTGCTGAGCCTCAAATAAAGAGATGGGGATGTACACTCTGCCCAGCATGAGTTCGAAGCAACTTATAGTGTCAAGCCAACACGGATGGAGTGGGTAAGTATACTCCTTCCACGAAGGTTGGGAGGAAGTGGTGTCAGGAATGAGTACTTGCCTAACAATGATCTAATCTACTACATTTTAAATATGTTGAAACTGGGGCACACAAAAGGATTGAGCAATTTGCTTTAGGCTGCAGAGTAAATGAGTGGCTTGGATGTGAACCCAAATGATGTGGTTTGACAGTGTACGTTACACAGTACTACGCTGTACTGTAGTATACTGTACTATACCTGCCATGCCATACCACTATGCCAAAAGACTCTTTGCTGTGTTTTGTTGCCTGTGGTAGCAAGTGTTCAAGATAGTCTCCAATGATCCTCACCTCCTGTATTCACATCCGCTGTGGACTAAAAGCTTGATTGCCCCTTACATTCATATGTTGAACCCCTAATCCATAATGTGATGGTATTTGAAGGTGAGGCTTTGGGAAATAATAAAGGATAGATGAGTTCATAAGGGTAGAGCCCTCTGACAGGATTAATGCTCTTATGAGAAGAAGAAGAGAGCAGCCCTCTCTCCTTTATCTCTGTGTCATGTGAGAATTCTGTAAGAAGGTAGCCCTCTGCAAACCAGGAGGAGAGCCCTCACCAGGAAATGAATTGGCTGACATCTTGATCTTGGACTTCCCAGCCCCCAGCACGGTGAGCTATAAGCCATCCAGTTTTATGGTATTTTGTTATGGCAGCCTGAGCAGACTAAGACAACACTCTTGCATAGTCTCCTCCCATGTTGAATATGGTTGACCTTTGTGACCAATAGAATATTAAGGACATGATGGTGGGTGACTTCTGAGGCCATCACAGGCATTTCAGGTTCCTTTTTGGTGTCTTGTATCACTCATCTGGGAGAACCAGACAGCATGTTGTGAGGATGCCCAAGCAGTCCTACGGAGGGGCCCACAGGAACAGAGGCCTCCCTCCAACAGCCAATACCAGCTTACCAGCCCTGGATCCTCCAGCACATCGTCTTCAGATGCTTCCAGTCCCCATTTAGTCTGCCAGTTGAAGTGCCAGATATCATTAATCAAGAATGTCATCCATTCTGTGCTCTGCCTGGATTCCTGACCCAAAGAAATGTGAGATGGAATACATGATTATGGTTGTTTTAAGCCACTTAATTTGGTAAATTCGGGCAAAAATTTATTGACAAAGATGCCAAAAGCATGGCAACAAAAGTAAACATTGACAAATGGGATATAATTATAAGAGCTTCTGCACAGCAAAAGAAACTATCAACAGAATAAACAGACAACCTACAGAATGGGAGAAAATATTTGCAAACCATGCATCTGACAAAGGTCTAATATCCAGCATGTATTAAGGAACTTAAACATATTTACAAGAGAAAAACAACCCCATTAAACAGTGTGCAAAGGACATAGACACTTTTCAAAAGAAGACATACATGTGACCAAAAAGCATATAAAAAAAAGTTCAGTATCACTGATCATTAGAGAAATGCAAATCGAAACCACAAGGAGATACCATCTCATACCAGTCAAAATGGCTATTACTACAAAGTCAAAAAATAACAGATGCTGGCGAGGTTGTGGAGAAAAGGGAACACGTATACACTGTTGGTGGGAATGTAAATTAGTTCAACCATTGTGGAAAGCAGTATGGCGATTCCTCAAAGAACTAAAAACAGAACTACCATTCCACCCAGCAATCCCATTACTGGGTATATACTCAGGAATATGAATCATTCTACCATAAGGACACATGCATGTGAATGTTCACTGCAGCATTATTCACAATAGCAAAGACGTGGAATCAATCTAAATGTCCATCAGTAACAGGTTGGATAAAGAAAATGTCGTACATGTACACCATGGAATACTATGCAGCCATAAAAAAGGAATGAGATCATGTCTTTTGCAGGAACGTGGATGGAGCTGGAGGCCATTATCCTTAGCAGACTAATGCAGGAACATAAAACCAAGTACTGCATGTTCTCACTTATAAGAGGGAGCTAAATGATGAGAACTCATGAACATAAAGAAGGGACCAACAGACACTGGGGTCTACCTGAGGGTGGGGGGTGGGAGGAGGGAGAGGAGCAGAAAAAATAACTATCGGGTACTAGGCTTAGTACTTGGGTGATGAAATAATCTGTACAATAAACTCCCGTGACATGAGTTTACCTATATAACCAACCTGCACATGTACCCCTAAACCTAAAATAATAGTTCAAGAAAAGCCACTAAATTTCAGAATGATTTATCGTGCAGCAACTAATAATGAATACACAGCCTTTCTTTAGTACTGGAGATGGCATGCAGTACTAAATAGTAGAGCTTGAGCTTGCACTGCAATGGGCTGCCCTCTAACCCAGTGGAGTCCTGTACTACACTGCTGCATGAGTGAGGATGAAGACCGAGGAGGTGGTAAGAGGAGGTGAATGATGAGTGCTGGGTAGTCCGTGCATGGTAGATCTGAAATAGATAAGGAATATTGAAAGGTTATCTCCAGCTTAAGAGGCTGAAAGTTTCAAACCCAAGTTTAGTGATATAGTTTGGATGTGTGTCCCCGCCCAAATCTCACATTGGAATGTAATCCTCAATGTTGGAGGTGGGGCCTGGTGGGAGGTGATTGGATCATGGGGGCAGATTTCTCATGAATGGCTTAGCTCCATCCCTCTTGGTACTGTCCTCGCAATAGGAGTGAGTTCTCGTGCGATCTGGTCATTTAAAAGTGTGTAGCACCTCCCCTATCTCTCTCTCTCTTGCTCCTGCTTCTGCCATGTGACGTGCCTGCTCCTCCTTTGCCTTCCACCATGATTGGAAGTTCCCTGAGGCCTCCCTAGAAGCAGATGCCACTATGTGTCTTCTACAGCTGTAGAACTGTGAAGCCAATGAAACATCTTTTCTTATAAATTACCCAGGCTCGGGTATTTCTTTACAGCAATGTGCGAATGGACTAATACAGTTAGAGAATTGCAGCAACACTTTGAGGATGTCTCTGGTAGAAAACATCATGACTTCCTACTATAATACTTCCTTCTACAGACGGCCTCCCAGTATGTAGGGATAAATAGTTAAAGTCTGACATATACTTTTCCTCTCTGCAGAGCGTACTTCCCAGACTCAGAAATAGTTCTGATTCCATTTATTTATGTTGCCTCAAATAAGATTTTCAGGTTTCATCTTCCATTTGAATTTGACCTTTGCTTTACCGAGGTACATCTCTCCCCTCACTAGCTCTTGGACACATTTGCAATTTCCACTTACCAGACGGTTCTTGCCATTACAACCATTAATAGACAATATAGAAACAAGAAGATACCACCTTCTCTGCCCCCACACCCACATAACAAGAGAAAGATAAGAACAACCCATCAGCTTTCAAAATAATTTTTAATAGAGTAAACCAATACCTGCCCACAATGAATGTGGGAACCTCACAGTCTTCCCAAGGATTCTGGAAGCTGGGGAGGTGGACTATTCTATATGTATTATGTAGAGACAAGGTCTCACTATGTTGCCTGGGCTGGTCTTGAACTCCTGGCCTCAAGCGATCCTCCCACATCGGCCTCCCAAAATGCTGGGATTATAGGCCTGAGCCACCAGGCTGGGCCTGGCTATTCTAAATATATCATCATTTTAAGAAGCATTCATCACTTGGATCACTCTCTCACCATTTACTTCTATTTCCCAGTGATTGTTCTGATAAGCTGGGTCAGGCACAGCTCACTAGACATATAATAGATGCAGGATGAAAGTTCCCCTGGAAGTATCATTTGGATGCTGGAGTTGCTAAGTGGTCCAGGGACAGAGTGGAAGATGGCTTCCTTGATTCAAGAGATCAGGTTGGGGAAAAATCAGTCTTGGCCACGCTATTGGTGAGACTTATCAGGGGCTTAATCATTTTTGGAAGAAATGGTTTAAACCAACAGATTCTCATGTCTGTGATTTTTCTTGCCCTCAAGACCCAGAGAGGGGAACAGGATTTCTCTCGAATATGCAATGTTCCTCCCGCAGAATCAGTGAGGACATACGATCTCTATGTGTGTTCTTTTAACAGAAGAGGGGAAAAAACCCACAGCACACGTGATGTACACACGCACTCCACACACATGGTTAGAATGTTTTCTGTTTTAGATACACATTGCCATGATAAATGTTTAATACATTTAGATTTAATGTAAGACACTATGGAGGGTCCTAAATGAAATTCAGGAGTTTCCCAGGGGTTCACAGCTGAGAAAACCAACCTTAAAACATTCACACCTGAAATATTTGAAAAAAGCATATCTCTGTGTGGGTATCATTTAGTGTGTTATTTTAGCAGTCATTTTAATACTAAACATACACTCTTGTTGTGTAATAAAATCATGAGTTTACACTTAGGGACACTTATCATGAACTAACAACTTCACGTTCATTGACTCACCTAATTCTCACAAATACCAGATAATATGGATATTACCAGATAATACAGATATTACTGTATGTACTCACAAGAAAGATCACAGAACTTGCCCATTGCAACATAACCAATAACAATCCCCAAGAACTGGCCGCGTGCCATGGCACACGCCTATAATCCCAGCACGTTGAGAGGCTGAGGCAGGTTGATCACTTGAGCCCAGGAATTTGAGACCAGCCTGGGCAACATGGAGAAACCCCATCTCTATAAAAATTACCCAGGCATGGTGGCGCATGCCTGTAGTCCCAACTACTGAGGAGGCTGAGGTGGGAGGGTGGCTTGAGCTCAAGAGGTGGAGGTTGCAGTGAGCCAAGATCGTGCCACTGCGCTCCAGCCTGGACAACAGACGCAGACCCTGTCTCATAATAATAATATTAACAACAAAAGAAGTTACTGTTAAAATTTTTTAAAATCTCCAAGAATTGTCCCGTTCCAAAGCCCAAATTCTTCCATACAGCCGGATGCTGTCTCTTTCATAGAAATATACTTGTGTATATTTGTATAATACATTAAAATGCATTGCAATGGATGTGTTTGAACTTTTAATGCAATGAGTCATCTGAAAATTAGAGTTCCTGCTTTTTTTGGCAGTTTTGTTTCCAATATATTTATTCTTCAAGGTCCATTTCAAGTATCACTGCCTGTGAGAAGCTTTCTCCAAACCCCAACCAGGACTCAGCCCCGCCTTGTTTATTCTGCACCTTATATTCCCACTTCTTGTTGGGTTCCTTTGTATTTATTTGCTTGTGTGAACTCCTTTAGGGCAGGCCAACATCTCTTTACTTTTGTCTGCTAGAATCTTCCTTTAAAAAAAATCCCAACTTAAGGAAGTATATAATTTATGTGCAATAAAATGCATAGCTCTTAGGTGTGCCCTTGGGTGCGTTTGGACAAAGGTACATATTACATATTTGTCTGCCCACCATCCAAGTCAAGATGTGAGACATTTCCATCACCTCTTCTGTCCCTTCGCAGTCAACGCCCTTCAGGCAGCCACCAATCTGGACCCCAACAGCATGTGGTAAAAACGTTTCGGACTCAATGCGTCTGACGGATTCTGCATCTGTCTTCCCTATTCTGGTTAATGCACTGGGCTCCTCCTGGCCGCTCAGGTTCTAAAGTACAAAGCCTTTTTTTTTTCTGTCATACCTCTCCCCTATCTTCAACACGTAATTCCTCATCCCGCAAACTTCTCCAGCACCTATGTTCGAAGCTGAGGCCCCATGCCAGGGATTGAGTCATTTTTCCAAAGCTTGTCAGTGCCCCCTCTCCAGAGCTCTTCATGCATACTCCTCGTTTCCTCCGCCTGCCACCCCCTTCGTCTTGGCATCTGTAGACTACTACTCCCCAGCCATAGGTCTGGTCTTCCACCTCCTCCTCTCCCCATAACCTCAACCCCAGGGTTCCCTGCTTCCATCATAAACCTCCCATGCCTCCCTGCTTGATCCAGAACATAGCTCATGAAATAACGCCTCACCTCCTCAGCCTGCCTTCAGGAAATTTTCCAATCTGCCTTTTCCAACCTATCTTCCTTTACTTGCTCCCATGAGACCTACACTCCAGCCACCCCAGCAACGTGCCTGTATCAAAAGATGTTTTGTTTCCTTCTAACTGCATGTCTTTTCCAGGCTGTGCCCTCTGCTTGGAGCGTCGTTCTTTTTTCTCTCCTTGGAAATCTCACCCAACGCTCAGGACCTTTTCCGCAAGGTCTCCCGAGGCCTCTTTCCACTGCTTTCCTATCTGTTTGTGCGCACATTACCCTTGCACCCGCGGGTTTGTATTCACAGGTACTGAACTTTGTTTCTTGTTTGTGTTCTGGCTACACAGTTAGCTCCACACCATGGAGACGTCCATGTTAGAGAAAAAGCAGAGAACATTCTGTCAGGACGAAGAGCAGAATTTGTTCTCAAGTGCTTGCTCTGTTTTTTTTTTTTTTTTAATATTGTGGACACATAGGTGATCATGATTCCCTTTTTACATAGGCTGTTGGGAAGCTTGAGGCCAAATATAGGGCCCTTCCCTAACAAGCAGATAGAGCCGATAGGATGAATTCTGGGTGCTGATGGTTTTGTCGTGTGTTTCCTCTCCTATTTTCTCAACTGTTTTTGTCTTCTGCATGGGGTTGACTACCGTTTCAGATCATAGTAGGCACTCAGTGTAGTTTATTTATTTATTTTTTTGAGACAGGTCTCACTCTGTCACCTAGGCTGGAGTGCGGTGGCTGGATCACCGTTTACTGCAGCCTCAAACTCCTGGGCTCAAGCAATTCTCCAACGTCAGCTTCCTGAGTAGCTAGGACCACAGGCATGTGCCACCATGCCCAGCTAATTTTCCTTTTCTTTTCTTTCTTTCTTTCTTTCTTTCTTTCTTTCTTTCTTTCTTTCTTTCTTTCTTTCTTTCTTTCTTTCTTTCTTTTCTTTCTTTCTTTTTGAGACAGAGTCTTGCTCTGTCTCCCAGGCTGGAGTGCAGTGGTGTGATCTCGGCTCACTGCAACCTCTGCCTCTCAGGTTCAAGTGATTCTCATGCAGCAGCCTCCCGAGTAGCTGAGACTACAGGTGCCCACCACCACACCCAGCTAATTTTCGTATTTTTAGTAAAGATGGGGTTTCACCATGTTGGCCAGGCTGGTCTTGAACTCCTGACCTCAGGTGATCCGCCTGCCTCGGCCTCCCAAAGTGTTGGGGTTACACGTGTGAGCCACCGCCTCCAGCCTAATTTTTGTATTTTTAATAGAGGTGGGTTTCACCATGTTGGCCAGGCTGGTCTTGAACTCTTGACCTCAGGTGATCTGCCCACCTCAGCCTCCCAAAGTGCTGGGATTACAGGCGTGAGCCACCATGCCTGGCCTAATTTTCTTATTTTATTTTTATTTTTGTAGAGATGGGGGCCTTACTATGTTGCCCAGGCTCGTCTCAAACTCCTGGCTTCAAGTGATCCTCCCACCTTGGCCTCCCAAAGCACTGGGATTATAGATGTGAGCCACCATGCCCAGCCTTATTTGCTTAATGAAAAAAATTCATTGATTTCATTTAATGAATGAATGAAGCAGAGAGAAAAACAAATTTAAAAAGTTCTTCCAGGGCACGTGTTTGTTTGGTTCATCTTTATGCCTGACCCCAACTTCCATAACCCAGCACCAAGCTTGGCACAGCAGGAACACAGGAAATATTACGTTTCATTGAATTTTATTAAAAAGAGGCTGGGTGCAGTGGCTCACGCCTGTAATCCTAGCACTTTGGGAATCTGAGGTGGGTGGATCGCCTGAGCTCAGGAGTTCGAGACCAACTTAGGCAACATGGGGAAACCCTGTCTCCACTAAAATACAAAAAATTTGCCGGGCATGGTGGCACGTGCCTGTAATCCCAGCTCCTCGGGAGGCTGAGGCATGGGAATTGCTTGAACCTGGGAGGCGGAGGTTGCAGTGAACTGAGATTGCACCACTATACTCCAGCCTGGGCGACAGAGAGAGACTCCATCTTAAAATAAAAAATAAAATAAAAAATAGAAGGGCATATGAGAGCTCAAAATCATCTGTGAATGGTTGTAATACATTTCTGGAAATAAATTTGCTCCTATTGTAGGATTAGTATAAAATTATGGGTATTGAACAAACATTAAGAAATAGAAGAGACTTATTTTGGCCTTTAAGAAGTGCTGTTGCATTCAGAGCATTAGTAAGCTACGCAAACGCCTGCCAAGAAAGGAACTGTGGCTACAAGCACTGGGGCATGCAAACGCGGAAGGAATGAGTGCCTTGGGAGCCTTCAGTTTCTGGGGATCTGTCGAAAGGTTGGTTGCTTCTGTCACAACAGAAGGAATAGACAAGATGAAATTAATGACTCTTTATCTGCCTCTTTATATGCTCATATCAGTCCTGTCATATGGAAATTTCAGATGTATGCACTCATAAAGAAAGCAGAGAACAAGGAAAGTGCAGAACAGTTCAATACTCATAGAGGGAATTTCTTTTTTGTGCCATGAAGGTTGTTTTCTCTGATTATGGTAGTTGCTTTCATTTCCTGTTTCTCACCTGGAAAGAGACCCCGGCCATCCTCTCCCACTGAATCTCTCTGACTCCGTGTGGCTATGCATCTCCTGCATCTCTTGGGGTGTCTCTGTGTGTGTCTTAGGAGCCCACATCCCCTCTTGAGACTCCACAGGGCATGATTTCCTGGCTTAGGGATGGAGAGAACCCTCAGCTTTCCCTTGTTCTGAAACTCGCCCCTGCTGTGGGTGCTGAGACAGTGAGAGGCTCACCCATCGGCTCAAGAGCACCCCCGAAAATAAATCCCTCGGTTCCTCTCCCCAGCATCTCAGGGGCTTTGAAGCCACTTAGGTAGACAGGTTTTGGCTGGAACCTCATTCATGGTGGGCCTATGCGTCCTCTGTCTTCTGGCAGCCCTTCTCCCTCATGTCCCCACTGATGACATCCCTCCTTCTCGTAGAACCTCCTAGAAGGAGAGCTCACGGCGTTCTCTTTGGTGCCCAGTTCTGGGGCCTAAGCCCACACACCCCACCTCTCAGAAGGGCGTAGCCATCCGGGCCTCCTGCAAGCCCAACCAGGCCAGTGAGATGTGCAGACCCCCGGGCAGAGTCATTGAGACTCATCTCACCACCTGGCAGCCTTACTAAGGCTTCCCAGACCAGCTGGCAGCTTTCTGTTGCTGTACGGCTTCTTGTTGGCCAGCTAAACAAGATAACTCTGTCATTATGTGGTTTTCATTTCCGTAATCTTTTCTACCCTGAGAAATAATTATTTTTTTTCTTTTCCCAGAAAAAGCATCAAATGTACAAAACATAAGAACCCGCCCATGGGAGCTGATGCATTTGGCTTCCCTCAGTTTCTTTCGGAGCCTTTGGTCTGCGGTCCTTGCCCACAGAGGGCGGCACAGCAGGATTTCTCCACCGCAACACTATTGACATTTGGGGTTCCATCATTCTTTGCTATGGGGCTGTCCTAGGCATTGTGGGTTTCGCAGCATACTAGGCGTCAAGTCACCAGATGCTGATAGCAACCCTCCTCCTCCAGGGATGACAGCTAAAAACATCTCCAGACATTGCTGAATGTTCCCTGGGGGGTATAATCACCCCCTATTCACCATTACTGCTATGAAAGAAAGAGGCTGGAAGAACTGGGGCAAGTAGTCATTTCAGCCACAAAGCTTTACACAAAAGTGTGAATATATCTGCCTCTCTTAGAGTCCCCAGTTCTCCATTCTCCTCTATGCTCCCAGGGAAGGTGTGAGCCCCCATACAGCACTAGAAGCTAGAAGGAGTCAGGCATTTTTAATGTCGTCTTGTGTATATGGATCTTCAGGAAATTTTCCCAGATCTGAGTCCTCAAGGAGGGAGCAAGGAAGAACCAAGAAAAAAAGAGAAGGATGGGAAAACTGAACCAGTTTTCAGCTTCCCCCAGTGGAGTCTGGGAATGCTGGTCGGGCCTGTGTAAAGGTGCACCTTTCGTGACCACAGGCAGTGCCTTTTCCCTGTGAGATCACTTTAAAAGAACACATCAGTCTGGCATCCAAAAAATCACTTCAGGTGACTTGAATCTGTACTGCACTGAGAATGCCCAAACTGGGGCTTCATTCATAGTTCACTGTGGTGGGACTTGTTAAAATCTCTTTCTTCCTTCTCTCTCTGTCTTTTTTTGGAGACAGGGTACTGCTCTGTCACCCAGGCTGGAGTGCAGCAGTGCGATCATAGCTCCCTGCAGCCTCGACCTCCTGGGCTCAAGCGATCCTCTTGCCTCAGTCTCCTGAGTAGCTGGGACTACAGGTGTGTGCCACCACCCCCGGCTAATGTTTTTAATTTTGTAGAGATAGTGTCTCTTTATGTGGCCTGAGCTGGTCTCGAACTCCTGGCCTCCAGTGATCCTCTTGCCCTGGCCTCCCAAATCTCTTTCTTATTGTCACATACAAATGGTTAATGCCCCCAAAGTCTCTTCTTTCCCACCCCCTAGCCTCTCTCCAGTTTGCCCAGCACTGCACCCTAGTCTCCTTTCTCCACTCTGTCCTGGTCATTTCTATCTGCCCGCTTTCTCCCTCTTTTTGGTCTTTGTCTTACATAAATCTCTCACTTTCCTGGTGGCGTTGCTCTTACCGTCATTAACATAACAAAAATTTCTGGCTGATAGCTGAGGGATAAATGTTCCTTCTGCTTGGTGGGAGACTGAGAAAATAATACCACACTAAGTGTGAGGCTGAATGCATTTCTAAGGCACTTGGTTAGATGTGATCCAAAACCTTTTTCCATTAATATGAGAGTGAACTCTGTGGTCCACTTATTGAATTACTGTGTTGTTTTGAACTCTGTATTAGTTTTTCTATTGCCACATCACAAATTATCACAAATGCATTGGCTTAAAACAACACCCACGTATTAGCTCACAGTTCTACGGGCCAGAAGTCCAGGTACGGTGTGGCCAAGCTCTCTGCTCAGGGTCTCACCAGGCTACAGTCAAGCTGTTGACAGCGCTGTGGCGGCTGCCTGTGTTCTCATCTGGAGGTCGGGTTCTTTTCCAAGCTCAGGTGGCTGGGGTAGAATTCAGTTCCTTGCAGTTATAGGGCTGAAGGCCCTGTTTCCTGGCTGGCTGTCAGCTGGGGTTTTTCAGCTCCCAGAGGCCACAGGACTCCCTTCATCTTCAAAGCCAATGGCGGAGAATAGCCCTCTCATGCTTCCAATCTCGTTCCAGGAAAACTCTCTCCCCTTTCAAGGCTCTGGTGATTAGCTCAGACCCACTGAGGTCGATACCCCTTTCCTAAAGGCAGTTAATCTGAGACGTAATTACATCTGCAAAATCCCCTTCACTGGAGCCCCTCGATGGGTGTTTGATTGAATAACTTGGAGAAGGTGTTTGAAATCCAGGGATAAGGAATGTTGGGGACCATCTTAGAATTCTGCTGACCACAACCTTGAATATGAACCTGATGGCCTCCTTGTCACTGGAGAGCTATCCCTTTATCAAGGAATCCTTGATTGAGCCATTAGTTCAGTCTGCTTAAACCACCACTGAACTTGCAAAACATGCTTAATTAATATTGATTGATGTAATGTTTTTGAGAAGTAAATTATTTCATTCAATAAATATTTATTATCAATGATATTTCAGACACTCTTCTAGGTGCAGAAAACACAATTATTAACTGTCAGACAAGATCTCTGACTGAATGGGTCTTCTGTTCCAAGGGGTGATGCAATGAATAAGCACACAAGGATTTTTTTTTTTTTTTTCTTTAGACACGTTCTTGCTCTGTTGCCTAGGCTGGAGTACAGTGGCATGATCATGGCTCACTGCAGCCTTGACCTCCTGGGCTCAAGAGATTCTCCTACCTCAGCCTTCCGAGTAGCTGGACTATAGGCATGTGCTACCACACTTGTCTATTTTTGTTTTTATTTTTTTGTAAAGATGGGTTCTTGCTATGCTGCCCAGGCTGGTCTTGAGCTCCTGGGCTCAAGTGATCCACCTGCCTCGGGCTTGAAAAGTGTTGGGATTACAATACTGAGTCTGTAATCTCAGGTACCCAGCCACAGATTTTTTGAATGTATACTGTAAGCAACTGATTATTTTGTAGGAAAATATTTTTTTCTTATGATTCTCAACAAAATGAATCATCTTGTGTTTGTAGAGGAATATCTGTCTACCTACCTACTTGTCTACCTGTCTATATCTACCACATTCACTTCTTGTGAAGCATTATACTAGCTTAGAATCTTTGACATGAGGTCTTTGAATGCATGAGGACAAATACTATGCTTCGGAGTAAGACCTCCATACCGCGTGGATGAGTCTTGCAGGAGCTCTTGGCCCTAGAAAGATTTGCTGAAAATCATAGACATGAGGCAGATGGATTCATAGGAGAAAAGGCGTACAAATGTATTTAATGTGTATACACGGTGCCTTCAGAATGATGGTCCAACTTTCCAGGGAACTCCAGAAGCTTATGCGCTATCCTGAGGTTATAGAAAGAATGGGGCTTGGGTTCTGCTAAAACCAGTTATGGGAGTGGGAGAAGAGGAATTCTATTGAGGGACAGTACATGATTACTAGGGAACAGAAATTAACTTGTAAATAGTTCTCTTTAGAATGTAAGTGATCCTTGGAGACAGTCATCATCTGGAAAAAGGATCTGTTCAGGTGTAGTTATGTCTAGGTCTTCTTTCCTGTAATGGATAACGAGGTAACAGGGAGGGGAACAAGAATAATTGTTCTCCTTGGTGGGTCAGTCTTATCCTTATGTAGATAGGGGAAAAGTCTCTTCCGGTGTTGATCTCTAAGGGTTTTTAATTCAAAATACTCATTGTACCAAGGAGTCATATTTTGGGGTGAAATATTTTGATTTCCTTCATAAGCAAATATGGCTGCAGGGAGAGGCTCATGAAGATGCTATGTTCCTCCCTGAAGCTGTTGGCATGGATGGTGGATAGCATCCTAGAGGACTCTGCTTATCACCATCCATTTCTCCAAACAAGGGGGTGGATGTAACAGAGTTGTGCCATCCTGGCCAAGTCTGTATGAATGCCCTAAAAGAAACTTGGTGTGTGGTTGTACTTCCCTTCCTGTTTTTCAGGGAACTCTAGTTACTCAGATTTTGTCTTCAAAAGCCCTTGGGCCAGTGGCTCCGGAATGACAGCATTCCCTTCAAGGGCATCTCTGCTCTGATCCGGAGCCGAGTTCAGGAAAAGAAAAGGAGGCCATGGATCCTTTCCAGACCTTTCCAGACCTTTTGGAGCTCTGAGGAATCAGCCAGCACACTGTACTGAGCAACCCTCAAAGGATCGCATCACTGCTGACTGGGGGTGCTTTACAAAACAGTGGTATGATGAGGCAGGAGATCTTTACACAGTTTCAAACGACCTCTGCAGGAAATTTATAATGATTTCAAAGGGAAATGGAATAACTTTGCTGTGGAGAATCCTGGCAGGCTCCATCTGAAGCAGGGATCAAAGTGCCCCACACTTTTCAGGTCTGGGGCAAACTGAATTGTGTGTCACCTGCGATGAGAAGAATACAGCATCACTTCAGTGATGTCCTTGGGAAGATGCATAATGTGAATGTAATCGCAAGGAAACATCAGACAAACGCTGGATGAGGGAAATGTCTGGCCTGTCTTCTTCAAAAGTATCAGGGTTGATAACATCCATGTTCCTAAGAGCATTATTTACAATAGATGAAAGGTGAGCCAGCCCAAGTGCCTGTGGACAGATGGATGTATGAACCAAATGTAGTCCATCCAGACAATGCAATATGATTCGACCTTAGAAAGGAAGGAAATTCTGACACAGGCTGCAACATGGATGAACCTTGAAGATATTATGCTAAGTGAAAGAAACCAGTCACAAAAAAAAAAACAAATACTGTAAGGTTTCACTTCTAAGAGGTACCCAGAGAAGTCAAATCCGTAGAGACAGAAAGAAGAACGATGGTTGCCAGGGGCTGGGGGACAGGAGAATGAAGAGTTTTGTGGGTCCGAATTTTGAGTTTAGGAAGATGAAAATGTTCTGGAGGTAGATGGTGGTGATGGTTGCATGATAATATGAATGTACTTGATGTCGCTGAATGGTACACTTAAAAGTTTTAAAATGGTAAACGTTATGGGATATATGCTTTACCACAGGTTTTTTTCTTTTCTTTTTTTTCAGACACAAGATCTTTCTCTGTGGCCAAGGCTGCAGTGCAGCAATGCATCCTAGTCCACTGTAACCTTAATTTCTGAGCTCAAGTGATCCTCCTGTCTCAGCCTCCCAAGTAGCTGGGACTACAGGTGTATGCCACCATGCCCAGCTAATTACTTTTAATTTTTAATTTTGTAGAGATGGGGTCTTGTTATGTTTCCCAGGCTGGTCTTGAACTCCTGGCCTCAAGCAATCCTCCTGCCTTGGCCTCCTACAGTGCTGGGATTACAGGCGTGAGCCACCAAGCCTGGTCACAATTTATTTTTCTAAGTGCCAAGGTTAAGCAAGTCAGGGAAAGACAGGGAATGTTCAAGATGGGAAGATACTGAGAAGACATGATAACAGGCTGGGCATGGTGGCTCATGCCTGTAATCCCAGTACTTTGGGAGGCCGAGGTGGGCAGATCACCTGAGGTCAGGAGTTTGAGACCAGCCTGGCCAACACCGTGGAACCCCATCTCTACTAAAAATACAAAAATTAGCCGGGCATGGTGGTGGGCACCTGTAGTCCCAGGTGCTCGGGAGGCTGAGGCATAAGAATTGCTTGAACCTGGGAGGCGGAGGCTGCAGTGACTCGAGATCACACCAGTGCACTCCAGCCTGGGCAACAGAGTGAGACTCTGTCTCTAAATAAACAAACAAAAGACATAACAATGACAGTTTGTGGTGCTGAACTGGGCCCTGTAGCTGTAAATGATGCTCTAGGGACTTGACGAACCTGGAATGGAGCCTGAGGGTTAGGCGGTAGTCATCTTTCAGAGTGAAGGCCTCCCTTTCTGGTGGTTGTAGTGAGGTTATGTAGGAGGATACCTTTATTTGCGGGAAATACACACTCAGGTATTTGCAACTGACAGAGTCAGCAACTTCATCTCAAAAGGTTCAGAAATAAGTTATTTGTGCCCTACTAGCAACATTTCAGTGAGTTTGCAATTGTTTCAGAATTCAAAAACTCATAATTGAAATGGAGTGGAATCATTCTTTGAAAAGAGTCATTGAGAACAGCGTCTTTTTTTTTTTTTTTTTAGATGGAGTCTCGCTCTGTCGCCCTGGCTGGAGTGCAGTGGCATGATCTCGGCTCACTGCAACCTCTGCCTCCCAGGTTCAAGTGATTCTCCTGCCTCAGTCTCCCAAGTAGCTGGGATTACAAGTGCATGCCAGCACGCCCGGCTAATTTTTGTATTTTTAGTAGAGACTGGGTTTCACTATGTTGACCAGGCTGGTCTCAAACTCCTGACCTCAAGTGATCCGCCTGCTTTGGCCTCCTAAAGCGCTGAGATTACAGTCGTGAGCCATTGCGCCCGGCTGAGAACAGTGTTTTTAATTTAAGGGATACCCAGGAGAAAGCAGTAGTAACAGGGTAGGTGCTTATCAAGGCGTTCGACATCTGGGTGGCCCCTACTTGACATATTCACCTGACCCCAATGTCCTGAGCAATCTGGATGTGTGGGGGCTATTTCCATATTAATTTTGTAAGGTCAGAGCTTCTGGATGGAAAAGAGAGTCCAACCGGCCCCTGTACCCCAATTAGACAGTGGTTATCCTGGGCCCATTGATTACCCCGTCATATCACTGAAGGTCCCTGTTCACCATGAACCCACAGTCTAGGCAGGAGCCAGGACAGGAACACACAATAATGACCCCACTATGTGTCAGTGTACTGGGTTAAATGGAGGCCCCTCAAAAGATATGTTCACACCCAAATCCCTGGAACCTGCATTTTACTTTCTTTGAAGGTAAAAGTCTTAGGCCCAGCCTGGTGGCTAACACCTGTAATCCCAGCACTTTGGGAGGCTGAGGCAGGAGGATTGCTTGAAGCCAGGAGGTCAAGACCAGCCTGGGCAATATACTGAGGCTCCATCTCTACAAAAAATTTAAAAATTAGCTGGGCATGGTGGCGTGCACCTGTAGTCTCAGCTACTTGGGAAGCTGAGGCAGGAGGATCACTTGAGCCCAGGTGTTTGAGGCTGCAGTTAGCTATGATCGCGCCACTGCACTTCAACCTGGGTGACAGAGCGAGACCCTGTCTCAAACAAACAAAATTTATGACTTCTCAGTGCACTTAGCACAAACCCAACCCCCTCTCCAGGGCTGAGAAGTCCTCACACCATCTCGGCCCTTCCTAGCTCTTCAAATTCATGCTATGCTTTCTCTTTGTTCTCTAAATCTCAGCCACCCTGAGTTTCTTTGAGTTCTTCCCGTGGCCTCAGCTCCTCCCTGCCTCAGGGCCTTTGCGTGTGATTTCCATCTCTTGAGCATGTCCTTCCCCTCTTGCTATGCTTGGCAGATTTCCTTTCATCCTTCACGTTCCAGCTTTAATATTCCTTCCTCTTAGAGAGGCAACTTCCCAAACCACACAATGTGCATAGGCCGCCTTCCCGCCGTTCCTCTCTCTCCCTGGATCGCGTCCGTGTGACTTCTGTGGGCCTGTCCTCCCTCCAGGCCGCAAGCTGCAGGGCTTCCAGGAGCCCATCATTTTGGTTCAGGCTTATACTCCCTGTGCCAAGCTCGGGCTCTGGCAGAAAGCAGAAGCTCGGTAAGTGCTTGCTGAATAAATGATAGCGGGAAGAAGGCAGAAATCAGGCGTGTCTGGGGAATCCAGCTGGCAAGGAGGAGGGTGGATTGGTAACTGGAGGAGTTTTAATTTCTCTGACTGGCATCAGCCAACAGCCAGCTTGATACGAGATTAGAAGCCTCTTGAGCCAGGAATTTCACTGCTTTCATATTCTCTGAAACATCTGAGGACTTGTGTGCTGCTTATACTTCAAAGTCACTCTCAGGTCTCCTCTCTTCTCTGGAAACTTCTCTGACCACAGGTCCTCACTGGCCCTGCTTCTTTTTGTTTTTATTTTTTTTTAATTCTTAATTTTTAATTTGTGTTAGAGACAGGGTCTCACTGTCACCCAGGCTGGAGTGCAGCGGCACCATCATAGCTCACTGCAGCCTCAACCTCCTGGGCTCAAGCGATTCTCCTGCCTCAACTTCCCAAGGGGCTAGGACTACAGGTACATGCCATCATGCGCAGCTAATTTTTTTTATTTTTAAATTTATTTAATGTTTTAAAGAAATGGGGTCTTGCTGTGTTGTCCAGGCTGGGGTTGTACTCCCCCCGCCCCCCCGCCTCAGCCTCCCAAAGTGCTGGGATTACAGGCACAAGCCACCACACCCAGCCTCCTGCTTCTCTTTGAATAAATACTGTATTAGGCCATTGTTGCATTGCTATAAGAAATACCTGAGACTGGGTAATTTATAAGAAAAGAGGTTTCATTGGCTCACGGTTCTGCGAGATGTACAGGAAGCACAGCGTCAACGTCTACTTCTAGGGAGGCCTCAGGGAGCTTCCAATCATGGCAGAAGGTGAAGGGGGAGGAGGGGTCTCACAGGGCAGGAGCAGGAGCAACAGCAAGAGAAAGAGTTGGGGGAAGGGCCACACTTCACAACAACGAGATCTCGCCAGAACTCTTGAAAGGACAGCACCAAGACATGAGGGATCCTCAGCTATGATCCAAACACCTCCCACCAGGACCCACCTCCAGCATTGGGGATTACACTTTAACATGAGATTTGGGCAGGGACAAATATCCAAACCATATCAAACACTTATTGGTTACTGGGTTCTGATGATAAGCATGAACGCTTTATTGTCTATTTCTTTTTTGTTTTTCTTCTTATTATTTTTTGAGACAGAGTCTTGCTTTGTCACCCAGGTTGGAGTGCAGTGGCGTGATCTCGGCTCACTGCAAACTCTGCCTCCTGGGTTCAAGCGATTCTCCTGCCTCAGCCTCCCGAGTAGCTGGGATTACAGGCGCCTGCCATCATGCCTGGCTAATTTTTGTATTTTTAGTAGAGATGGGGTTTCACCATACTGGCCAGATTGGTCTCGAACTCCTGACCTCAGGTGATCTGCCCACCTTGGCCTCCCAAAGTGCTGGGATTACAGGCGTGAGCCACCACGCCCAGCCTTTATTGTTTATTTCTTAGCTGAAATAAAGAGAGTTGCTCAAGGCAATGATGACAGAATGAGAAGCGAAATTTGGTGGGTCCGTTGGCCAACTTGCAGATTCCTTTGCTATGTCCTCCTTAGGATAAGGGAAGAAAGACTCCACGGTGGTCATTGAATTCTTTTGCCTTGATTGTGGGTGGAAGGGGCTTGTTGGCAAGGTTCTGAGTTCCTGGGCTATTTGCTGGAGAATATCCTCCCTTTGGAGACTCCACAGGAGAGGAACTAGAAGAAAACTGAGTGCGTGCTCCAACCAGTCTTGTGAAGAAGTCCCAACCCTGAGGATCAGAGTTAGAGGCAGGGATCCGAGAAACCTGGTAGTGGGGAATGGCAAATGGATGCATGATTGTGTGGTGCAACCGTTATGGCTGGCTTTTTTTTTTTTTTTTTTGAGACAATGTCTTGCTTTGTCACCCAGGCTGGAGTGCAGTGGCGTGATCACCATTCATTGCAGCCTCAACCTCCCGGACTCAAGCACTCCTCCCACCTCAGCTTCCCACCAGCAGCTTGGACCACAGGTGTACACCGCCATGCTCAGCTATTTTTTAAAAAAATTTCTTGTAGAGACAGGGTCTCCCTATGTTGCCCAGCCTGGTCTCAAACTCCTGAGCTCAAGACTCCCAAAGTGAGTGATCCTCCTGTCTTGGCCTCCCAAAATGCTGGGATTACAGGCATGAGCCATCGCCTAGCCATGACTTGCTTTTCCTGGGCAGTTGGAGTGGGTCCCTGGGTAGGTTGGCTGAGTTTGAAGATGAGGCCTGGACAGGCATGGGCCACATCCCTATTTCTAAATCCAAGGGTTCTCCCTGAGGAGCGATGTTATTCCCACTGCCCCTCTGGGAACATTTGGCAATATCTGGAGATATTTTTGGTTGTCACTTGTGGGGGTGAAGGGGGAGGGTTCTCCTGGCATCTAGTGGGTCAGGGCCAGGGATGCTGCTAGACACCCTGCAATGCCCAAGACAGCCCCCAGCAATAAAGAATTATCTGGTGAGGCCAGGGGTTCAAGACCAGCCTAGCCAACATGGCGAAACTCCGTCTCTACTAAAAATACAAAAATTAGCCAGATGTGGTGGTGCATGCCTGTAATCCCAGCTACTCGGGAGGCTGAGGCAGGAGAATCGCTTGATCCTGGGAGGCAGAGGTTTCAGTGAGCTGAGATTGCACCACTGCACTCCAGCCTGGGCAACAGAGTGAGACTCTGTCCCAAAACACACACACACACACACACACACACACACACACACACACAGAATTATCTGGAACCAAATGTCAATTGTGCTCTGTGAGCAGCTCTGCAATAAACAGATCCACGTGTTGGTGTCAATGGCCAAGTAAAGAGTCCATGGCTCAAAGGCCATTATATCTGTTAGGCATGTTGGCAACTGATGCCCATTCAGAGCCCCCAAACCAACTGGTTTCACACCCACAGACACAAACCAGATCCTAGTCTGCCAGGTCGAGGGTGGCCCATTCACAGGAGGGTGAACAGAAATTGCAGGAGACTGTTGACTTCCTGTTCATCAAATGATAATTCTTGTTAAATACAATTTGGAATATTTTATTTATATTTTTTCTTACTTGTTTAGTTTTTAGTCAGATCCATCTTTCACATGACAAAGACACAGTTTTAGGTTTTAAAACACAGTTAAACCTTGGGGGGTGGATTGTGGAATTAAAGTTAATTTTCTGGCTTCCGAGTTTCATCAAAAGACTCTTAGATACTGCCTTGTCTTAGATACTGCCTTGTTGCAACACTCTAAAAAAAAAAGTTCAGTCGTCCTCCCTCCTGCAGTGAGTTAGGCGTACTGGGCCTAATTGAATCTTCCTTGGACAGGGATCCTGCATTACCCTGGGACCAGCGTTCAGCTGGGCTAACAAGCCCTCTGCTGTACTTTAAGGGTGATTTCTATGTAATGGCCCCAAGATGCACTCTGGAAGTTGCATTTTTGATTAAGTCCCACCCATCTTCATCAACAGTGACTTCTTTCTTGGAATCAGACTTTGGAAAACAATTTTGATTGAGACGTATTCCGGCTCATTAAGGATATAGAGTACAGGTTGAGTGTCCCTAATCCAAAATGCTACGGCCCACAAGTGTTTCATGTTTCAGATTTCTTTTTTGGATTTTGGAATATTTTCATGTACATATGAGATATCTTGGGGATGGGACCCAAGTCTCAACATGAAACTCATTTCTGTTTCATATACACCTTATACACAGACCTTGAAGGGAATTTTATACCATATGTATATTTTTTATATGGCATAAAAATAATAGATATATTTTTGAGACAGGGTCTCACTCTGTCTCCCACTCGGGAGTGCAGTGATGCGATCATAGCTTACTGCAGCTTCAACCTCCTGGGCTGAAGTGATCTTCCCACCTCAGCCTCCCAGTTAGCTGAGACTATAGGCACGAGCCACCATACCCAGCTAATTTTTAAACAATTTTTTGTAGAAACAGGATCTCACTGTTGTTGCCCAGGCTGACCTTGCACTTCTGGGTTCAAGTGATCCTCCCGCCTAGGCCTCCCAAAGTGTTGGGATTACCGGAGTGAGCCACCACACACAGCCTATATAATATTTTTAATAATTTCGTGCATAAAACAAAGTCTTAACCACATTTTAACTGTGACCCCTCCCATGAGGTTAGGAATGAAATTTCCCACTTGTGGCATCGTGTTTGCACTCCAAAAGCTTTGGATTTTGGAGCATCTCAGATTTTGGATTTTTGGGTTAGGGTTTCTCAACCTGTATTTTACTTTATTTTATATTGTTAGAGACAGAGTCTCACTGTGTCACCCAGGCTGGGGTGCAGTGGCACGATCATAGCTAACCACAGCCTTGAACTCCTGGATTCAAGTGATCCTCCTGCCTCAGCCGCCCGAATCACTGGGATCACAGGTGTGCACCACCGTGCCTAGCTTCAACCTGTATTTGTAACTATTTTTTGAGTTTATGGGGAATGCTATCTTTTTTTTAGTGAGACTATGAAAATCAAATACAGATCCCCAAACGGTATGGTGGGAAGTTGGGTAGATTCACAAACTCCTTCGGCTCTAGAATAAGGGCGATAATGCACATAGAGCGCTTCCTCTGAATTTATTTGCCCTAATTAACCCTTCCTCCTGGCCTTGGTACCCTGGAGGTAGCTTAGAAACAATGTTCAGGCTTAGAGAGAAGCTCAGATGGTCCCACTTGGGTACGCAGGAGGCCTTCCCTCGTGGAAGCTGTATGGGGAAAGCAGATAAGCACTGGGGCCTCCAGAGTAATTTTTCTGGTAGTGGAAACAAGAAGTGCTGCAGGTAATCAGTCTTTATTTTCTTCTTTTTCTGCCTTCATCCGTGGTCTGTTTGGCAGTTACCCAAATTACAAGACTTGACAGTCATTTCTATTTAATAAGCTTGCTTTGAAGCCCAAGAAGCACCCAGTGTGCAGCTCTGCCAACAGGGAATCATTAATGCTGAACAGACAAAATGTGCATGTGTAATTGTTTTCATTGAAATAAGCGCCCCATATACCCCCTGCTATTTAATGAGTACACACAGGTTAACTAAGACCAGGACACCAGACACAGTTGCCATCTCTGATCACTTGCTTAAGCATGTGAAAACAGAAAACAGGCTTGGTTTTGGATGACAAATAGGATTTCACTTTTTTTTTTTTTTTTTTTTTTGAGACAGGATCTTGCTCTGTCACCCAGGCTGGAGTACAGTGGCACAATCTCAGCTCACTGCAACTTCGACCTTCTGGGCTCAAGCAATCCTCCCACCTCAGCCTCCTGAGTAGCTGGGATCACAGGCATGCACCACCACACCCAGCTAATTTTTGTATTTTTAGAAGATATGGGGTTTCACCATGTTGCCCAGGCTGGTTTTGAACTCCTGGCCTCAAGTGATCTGCCTGCCTTGGCCTCCCAAAGTGCTGGGATTACAGGCGTGAGCCACCGCTCCCGGTCAGAATTTGCTTTTTTACTTTCACCTTCCACTTCCACTTTAGCCTAATTCCCAAAGTGAAATAAGTCTGACTAACAGAGGAAGAATGAAGACATTTAAAAGCTTCTTTTTGGACATCTATTTCTCCCTTCCTGGACAGTTGGTGGTTACCAGTAAAAGCTAAGACACTGGCAAAACTTCTTGGCATTCCATTAGAATTTTAGTCAGGCTGCGGTACATCCCTGTTTCATAGGAAAAACTGGGAACCAGATTTATACAGGACACAGAAACCTGTATTTCTTCATATGTGAGAAGACAGGAATGCTGGCCCGGCTGTCATTGAATTTCCTGAGTTTTACTACCTAATAAGGCCAGTTTTTCCTTCCTTCCTTCTTCCTTCCCTTCCTTTTCGTGCTTCACTTAAGAACCATGGGAATTATAACCCTACCTCCAGATTCTTGATTCTGAGATGGTGGCTTTGACATGGTACCTCTTCCCAGCATGGGGCCATCAGCTTTCCATCCAAACCCACTCAACTTGCTGCAACCGAACTCAGTGTCGTCCCCACCCAACTCTGTCCCTCTTCCATCTTGTTTACTTAAATCGCTCCCTCCTCTAACTCATCATCCTGCCTGAAACCTTTCCATCACTTTTTACCAAATTCACCAAAGTCCATCTACATACAGAAAAGCACACTATTGATAAGTCAACAGCTCCCCAGATCTCATAAACTGAATGCTTCCCTGGAAGCGGCACCAGGTGAAGACGCAGAACACCGCCAGCGCCCTGCACGCCCTTCTGCCTCTTTTGAGTTGATGTCCTCCTTTCCCCTTTATCCTGGAGCCCTCACGCCTCCTGGGCCCTCTTCTCCTTTGTCCCTCAGTCCCGTCAGTACTTCTCCCCATCTGTTCTCACTGTCAGCTTCAGGCTAGAACACAACTCTATCATGTCTGTCTCTTTACAAAAACCCACTCTTGCTGTCCAGAGCTATGGTGTAAAAAAAGCCCTCAGTTTCTTAACCTAGACTCCAAGGTCCGCTGGGACTTGACTTCATCCCGTATTTACAGCCCTATTTCCCACAATTTTTCCTCGAACTCCTTATGATTGAGCCAAATGGAAATATGCAGTGACCTGGTAATAGAATAATGACAACAGAAATAACTGAATGGTTTTGAACGTTTAACAATGCACCAACCAGGCTCTTGGTTAAGATGTAATCTATTTTGTTACTTATAGCAACCTCATGAGATAGGTGATATTGTTAACCCCACCTCACCGGAAGCTGAGTGACTTCCTCAAGGTCACACATCCTGTGAGTCATAGAACTGCCATCGAGACTCAAAGGGTCTGAGCTTGGGGCAAGCTCTATGTACAAGTGTCAAGGTTTCCCACATCGGGATTGTGCTCATGCCATTCCACCGTTCAGGGCGTACATGACCAATATTTATCCATGTCTGACCCACTCTGCAAGACGCAGCTCACACGTGTCCCCTCCAGTGGGCTCTCCCTGGTTCCCCCCATTGGAAGTGGTCTCTGAACACCCAGAACATTTTCCTCATCCCTCTTCTGACACACTTCCTTTAATTCGTTTAACAAATACCGTCAATTCTCATTATTCAAAGTAGCGGTGTTCTCTACAGCCTCCATGCGCACCAAATTAGCAAATACTAAACTTCTGCTCCTAGGAGAAACACACAGGTCGGGGTCTTGGAGCCTCTTGTCAAACATTTTTGTCAACGGATCAATACACAATCTTGTTTTGTGTGTCTTCTGCTGAAGACACCTCATTTAATATATGTTATTGATCCATTAAGGTTGAACTCACGGCCAACGGCACTGTAACTCATACGTGAATAATAGCTGTCAAATGTGTATTTTCTCTGTGAGGCACATCACAGCCTACTTGTTTTAGGAACAGAAGACAGGACTTCAGCTCTACACTTGGGAACCATTTTAATAAGTGAAATAATTAGTTAGAAGTACAAACATGCAAAAAACATGGCACGAGGTAGGCTGTGAAAAAGACACTGGTTTACAGCAATGAGAGCTGAAACAGGAAGGCAGAGGGTCTCCTCGTTTGACCTCAGCTGGGAACATGCATGTTGAGCAACTTCAAAGACTTTGACCACTCTGTGCATATCCGAGGATGACTGTGAAGCTCGCCTAGCTGTGGATCACCCCCTTACACAGCTGCTGCACTTCGTGGCCCGGTCATGGCACTCCACACGCATGACCTCCCATCCTTACCTGTCTTGCCTGGGCACCGATGGACGACTTCCTCAAGAACTGGGTCTCAGGATGTCTGGGGCAGAGCTCTGAGCACCCCTTAATGAGATGAGATTCCAAAGGATTCCCCTGAAGCTCTGACCAACCCCCGATGCAAAGGGATCTTGAGCCGCTGTGGTCTCACCTACGTAGATACCGATATTTGTAAACTTCTTCCTTTGCTTTGTGAATGCTCTGGCTGTTTGTAAATTCCTCTCACTGACTGCAGATCCTTTTACAAAGCCACCCACTCAATGGTAGGATCCCTGTCTCTCTTCTCTCAATGCTAGCATAGAGCTTCGCCACATAAGTGGTTATTCAATTAAATAAAACTTGAAAACCTACAGGAGCAATACCATTAATTAGAAGGCGCTTACTTTATTCCAAAAAGAGTTATGCCAGACACACTCTGGTCTGCTTGCTAGAGTCTTCTTATTTCTTGAGCATACATCTTGTTGCTTTTGGAGGAGGATACGATAAGAATACTGAGTGGCTTAGCTTGATTTCGTAGTCCCTTTGAGTGAACTAGATCCCTAGACCTGGGTTCATGGAGCCTGTGGAGCTGAGGCCAGAAAGAGAAGCAAAGTTCCTCAGAGCCCAAGAACTGTTGACCTTAGGTCCTGTACAAGAGTCAGCAGGGCTGGAAATGCAGGCAGAATATTAGCTAGTATTGCACAGACACTTCTAATTGTTTTTTGTTTGTTTGTTTGGAGAACGAGACTCGCTCTGTCGCCCAGGCTGGAGTGTAGTGGTGCGAACTTGGCTCACTGCAACCTCTGCCTCCCGGGTTGAAGCTATTCTCCTGCCTTAGCCTCCGGAGGAGCTGGGATTACAGGCACCTGCCACCATGCCTGGCTAATTTTTGTATTTTTAGTAGAGACGGGATTTTGCCATGTTGGCCAGGCTGGTCTCGAACTCCTGACCTCAGGTGATCTGCCCGCCTAGGCCCCCCAAAGTGCTGGGATTATAGGCGTGAGCCATTGTGCCTGGCCCACACACTTCTATTTGTATGGTTCTCAACATGCAGGTATGTGTTTTGTAACCAAGCGTAGCCCCCTGTTGGACATCGATGGGTTAGTTGGTGTGACTGGGTCCTTTCTTTTTTCTTTTCTTTTCTTTCTTTCTTTCTTTTTCTTTTTTTTGAGATAGAGTCTCACTCTGTCACCCAGGCTGGAGTGCAGTGGCGCCATCTTGGCTCACTGCAACCTCTGTCTCCTGGGGTCAAGTGATTCTCCTGCCTCAACCTCCCAAGTAGCTGGGATTACAGGTGCGTGCCACCATGCCCGGCTAATTTTTGTATTTTTTAGTAGAGACAGGGTTTCACCATGTTGGCCAGGCTGGTCTCAAACTCCTGACCTCAAGTGATCCGGCCGCCTTGGCCTCTCAAAGTGCTGGGATTACAGGTGTGAGCCACTGTGCCAGGCCATGACTGGGTCCTTTCATGCTGCTCTTTCCATTTCTTTGCAGTCCTGGAAGCAGGCTACTTTGGGCAGCTGTCCTTGGCTGCTGCTCCCCTGCACCTTAGGATCCTTATGAAAAGCGACTCTATGCAAAGAGACACGCAGCTAATGCGTGCTGTAGGGTGAGTGGAGAGCCTGGGGGGCTGGGCTACAAAAACCTATGCAACCCAAGCCCGATCTGCCTGACCTTGAATTGGTTTACCACATGTCTCTCTCTTACCAGGCAAATCTCCAAGGAGTCTTTCACTTTGGACAGTACATCCCCAAATCAAAGACTGATTCATAAAAAGAACTGATGAAATGTTGCCTTTTGCTCAGGCACCCTATCACACATGTTTTTCCGGAGTCCCTTGCCATTTCTTCCTTGCTGACTCAGAGTAATGATGGAGAACAAAAAGCCAGGAGGATAGAAAAAAGGAAAGCTGCGCTATCCAGAGAGTCTGGGGAAAGAGCCAAGCTTTTCTCCCCAACCCGCATCTTTTTGGTTGTTGTTTCAAAGAACTTGCTTTGCCCCATTCAAGCTGCAGGGAAATCTCTTTTGCTAGAGGGTGCAATCAAAGCCGGTGGGGCATCTCCATGCAGTGTGTAGGTCACAAAATAGCTCTGAGGACATTGAAGGCCTGTGGGACGTTGCACAATGACATACTGGACCCGTTAGACACGCAGTGGGTTTCGCTTCCTGTACATTTCTCCGAAAAACCTGCCGAGTCATCGACAGTTATCACCACCTTGCAGAATTTACGAAAGCTTCTAAGCAGTCATCTGAATAGTTTCTTTTGCTTCTAGGGCTCCTTGTACTCCTGTAATTTAAAATTTGTTTAAATAATAAAACCAACACACAATCTGGGGCAAAATTAAAATTCCAGGGAAGGCAGGCCAGGTTTTGCTGGATGGGATCCTTCAAGAAATGTGCAGATAAAACAAGGACCAGCAGCTCCTTTTCCTGAGTCTCCTGAAGCGAACAAGTCATTGTTAGGTGCATGGCTTGATAAAGAGAAGTGACAAGAAGATGGTATTTTAGACACTGAGAAATGAAAGCAAGTGTGCGTCGTGTCTAATGCAAATTACTGCTGCCCCTAGAAAAGAAAGGTGTGTGTGACCATAACGAAAGGAATAAGTTTAAAAAAAATTTGCCAAGTTAGCAGATTTCTGTCTCAAGAATGTAACAAAAACCATTTTTTTATGTTGAGGATTTTTTAAAGTTAAAAACAAGTCATCTCCTAAGAAAAGATAAGAATGTGATTCCTGAGCTGAGGGTATTTGCATTTTGAATTTTTGTTCCTACCTTTCAAGTAGGAATTGTGCCAAGAAAGCATAAACACAGAGAAGGAAATGGGTGTTTGTATTTGTAATACCTGCCTCAGGAGAGGAGAGAAGCCAAGAAGAAAGGGTGTGTGATTAACTCCTGAGCGCACTTGGAACCCAATGCGGCCAGAGATGTGAGTTGTGGGCCAGCAGGTGGATCCCTGTGGCCGCAAAATTTTGCTGTGCGACTGCTTGCATCAGTGGTGTTGTGGACGCCTTTAGGCAAGGTGTGTCTGTGGCTTGCTGGTATTTCAGCCAAGGAATGTGTCAGAGTAAGTTCAGCAGCCACAACAAGAGAGGATGTGTAGTGTTTCTGGGAGGGGCTTGTGTTGTTCTCAATTTCCGGGTACAAGGCTGGGTGCAGTGGCTCACGCCTGTAATCCCAACACTTTGGGAGGCCGAGGCGGGCGGATCACCTGAAGTCAGGGGTTCGAGACCAGCCTGACCAACATGGAGAAACCCCATCTCTACTAAAAATACAAAATTAGCCAGGCGTGGTGGCGCATGCTTGTAATCCCAGCTCCTCGGGAGGCTGAGGCAGGAGAATCGCTTGAACGTGGGAGGTGGAGGTCACGGTGAGCCGAGATCGCGCCACTGCACTCTAGCCTGGGCAACAAGAGCGAAACTCTGTCTCAAAAAAAAAAAAAAAAAAAAAAACTCCGAGGACAGAGTGATGTTAGACCAGACAGTGGGTCTCAAACTGTGGGTGTGTTTCAGCCACCTGTGATGCGTGTTACAAAGGCAGTCACCTAAGATCTCACCCTGGAGCTGGGATCCATGGAGCTGGGCAGGTTGAGGTGGTTCCAAGTTCAGTACAGGTGGTTCAAGGTCCCTACTCTGAGAAACTGACATCAAATGAAAGAAGACAAGTTTAGCGTGACAGTCCTTTATCTTCACACCTCATAATTGGCAAGCCACACTGCTTAGCCACATTCAAAGTCACTGGCAAGTGATTTTATTTTATTTTCAAGCGTGGGACAACTTAATTTTGTGAAATGTATATTTTTTGGTCATAGCATAAGCTACCACTCCTCAGTTCTTTTTGGCTGTTTTACAAACCAGTCAGGAAATGTATGGCAAAAACAGCAAAAGGAAAGTCGATTTTAAAAATGTACGATGCATGTTTTCGTTGTATAGACATTAATAATGAAAACAAAAGGAAAATTTTGGCTCTCGAGAAAAATGGAAGTGCCTAAAACGTTAATTTTTTTTCTTTTTTTCCAAATACCCAGACGTCAAGGAGACTAAAATGTAAATTTTAACCTAAAAGTATGAATGTTTTGGGTAGCTGGTTATAGTATCATCCTTGTGATTTGGAAAACATTCTAATGTAACCTTTCCCTGATTATATAGAGATTAGCTAGTATTTTATGTGTAAGCAGGGCCAGCTTTGCTGCCTTGTGACAGTTCAGTCCCACATGGACTGGTTTAATGTTCTGCAACCTCCATATTGCAATGCCTCATCATGTTGTCTTTGAGTTTGTATTTTGAAAGCGACGGTCTGACAGGACAGTGGAGCATGAGCCCAGGGCTTGGAGGTGCCACCTCCCTGCCTCCCAGGATGGACTCTCTGTGCTCCACTTCCCTGCCCCCATCCAATGATGTGGCTACTCTCTGCCTTCTGGCAGGCGCGGAGAGGTTCAGGTCAGCAGGCATGTGCCCCACCTGCCAAGTCGTGGGTGGGACCCCGGGAGCCTGTGAGAGTCCACATTGGCCCTCCGAGTATCCCTATGCCCAAAGAGGTGCTGCATTAAGAGTAAAAAGCAAAAGCCAGGCGCAGGAGTGTGTGCCTCTAGTTCCAGCTACTTGGGAGGCTGAGGCGGGAGGATTGCTTGAGCCCAGGATGTCAAGCCTGCAGTGACCTATGATTGTGTCATTGTATTCTAGCCTGGGCCACAAAGCAAGAACCTGTCTCTAACAATAATAAGAATAAGTGAAAAAACACCATGACAGGTCCAGAACGACTGGGGAGGAGGGAAGGAAAAATCTTTCTTTTCTGCTTTTGAACAAAGGACCCCAAATTTACATTTTGCACTGCGCCCCACAAATCATGCAGCTGGTCCCATGTGTAAGTCATATATGAACACATCGCTCCACTGCAGGATAATGGATGCAGGTCCAAGAAAGGGGAAAAGGATGACTCATTCCCCCACAAACAATTCACAGGGAAAGCATTCAGATGGCCAATTGCTCACCTAACATAGTTTATAATTCCTAACATAGTTCTATAAATGTTGCAGATTACATTTTAAAAACCCGTGGATGCTCTGTTTATTTTTTAAAAATAGTTATGCATTATTTGTTTCCCCAGTGCAGCTCTGTGCAGTGACAAGCAGTTGGATGGAATCATGCGCAACAGCTCTCTGTAATGTAGAAGTGACACACTGTCCCCAAACTGCCATGTCTTGTTCCTCATAGGCAGGCTACTCTCCAGGTGTTTGAAGGGACAACTTCAGCAAGGGGAGAGATCCCATGATTCCCCCAAAGACAGGAACGTGTAGTGAGAAGGCAGAATGGCACTCAGGAGGTGCCCCAGGGACTGGTCGGCAGCCAGCAGCGGGAACAAGGACTGGCCAGATCCCTGGTCTTTGCTAATTTCATTGAGCTCATTACCATGCTCTGCTGTGAATGGAATCGTGTCTTTTTTCCAGTTAGTCTTACGATGGGTCTTCTTCTTCTTTTTTTTTAAATTTAGAAATGTTTTATTTCCTTGCAGAACTCAGTGTACCAATGGATCTTCTAAAGCAGTTATCCATGTAACCTCAGTGAAGAGGTATGGTTCTTTCTCCCACCTCAACAAAACACAGCACACTTGGTATTACATAATTGGTTGGAAAATATTTTGACAATATATATATGTATTTTCATGTAGTTAAAAATCAGCAAAGCAGAAATACATTTCTGTATACTCTTAAGTCAGTGATTCTCAACTGGGGGCAATTTTGCTCCTCCCATCCCAGGGGACATTTGGCAATGTCTGGAGACAATTTTGGTTGTCACAATGCGGGGCGCGCCTGGCATCCAGTGATGGAGACCAGGGATGTTGCCAAACATCTTACAGTGCACAGAGCAGCCCCCTACAACAGAATTATCCAGTCCCAAATGCCAGTGGTGCCAGGATTGACTTACATAAACGATTCTATTTTTAGAAGTGTTATTCAGTTCCATTCCCCAGCAATAATCTAGCATTATTTCTTCCCCAGGAGAAGCTTCCATGAACCAGAATTCAGAATATTAACTTATAGGAGCATGCCTCCCAAAAGGCGATTGTGGGTTTGTCTCTATCATAAAATACAGAGGAATGTGCAGTCTGAGAATGTTCACAATGGGAGCAAAGTGGAGGCATGCAGCCCTGCCTTGGGAGTGTTGGAAGGAGTGTATCACGAAGCTCCAACCTTGCCAGTACAAAAAGGCAAAAAAATTGAAAGCTGCCAGGCAGCTTTCAAGAATTTGGATGTGCAGGCCACACCCCAGACCAATGAAACCCCAGTCTCTGCCAGTGGGACCTGGGTGGTGGGAGTGTTTGAAGCTCCCAGAGTGCCCCCAATGTGGGGCCAGACTGGAGCATCACAGGACACATGGTTTAGATGTGGGGTAAGCGGGATTAGCTGTGCAGGAGGCAGTGACCAAGGGATAGGACCAACACCGCTCCACATAAGCTAAGGCAACTGACGCCTGTGCAAATCCACTGCAAATCAGCCCTCATTTAAATAATAACTGTACAGTCAGAGACTGTGGCTGGGATCCAAAGTTGGCTGGGGTCTACATGGCACACATGGGATTAATAACATCAAGCATGGAGATATTGGTGAGAAGGGGGAAGGAGAGGCAGGAACAAGCTCTCTTTTATTCATTACTGAGAATTCTCCTTCCAACTTATTTTAGAGTTAACTACAAGATCTGTTTAGTCAATGAAGTGACTGGAGCGTTTTCTTTTCTTTTTTTTTGTTTATTTTTTGAGACAGGGTCTCACTCTATCCCCCAGGCTGGAGTGCAATGGTGTGGTCTCAGCTCACTGCAACCTCTGCCTCCTGGGCTCAAGCGATCCTCCTGCCTCAGCCTCCCGAGTAGCTGGGACTACAGGCACCTGATACCATGCATGCCTGGCTAATTTTTTTTTTTTTTTTTTTTTGAGGCAGAGTCTCGCTCTATTGCCCAGGCTGAGTGCAGTGGCGCCATCTTGGCTCACGGCAACCTCCGCCTTCTGTGTTCAAGTGATTCTCCTGCCTCAGCCCCCTGAGTAGCTGGGATTACAGGCGTCAGGACCGCCATGACGCCTGGCTAATTTTTGTATTTTTAGTAGAGATGGGGTTTCACTATGTTGCCCAGGCTGGTCTTGAACTCTTGAGCTCGAGCAATCTGCCTGCCTTGGCCTCCCATAGTGCTGGGATTGTAGGGGTGAGCCACTGCACCAGGCCGAGACTGAGGCTTTTCTGTAGTTGAGACGACAGTTTCTCCATGTCAGCACCGTGAACATTTGGGACTGGAGCATGCTCTGTGGTGGGGCCGTCCTGTGCACGGTAGGGGGTTGACCAGCATTCCTGGCCTCCACCCATGGGATGTCAGGAGCACCCCCCGCACCTGTTTGAGACAACTCAAAAAGTCTGCAGACATTGCCTAATATCCCTTGTGGGGTAAAATCCCTGCTGGCTGAGGGCCACTGGTCTAGACCAAAGCTTTTTAAATTGCTGAGGTGCGTATCTCAAAAATTAGTTGGTTGTGCATTCAGTTGAGTGGGTAGTGACTAGCACTGAAAGCATGAAATGGAAGTGGATAGCCCAGAAAATTATAGAATGAGCCCATGGCAAGGGGAAGGATAAGTTCATGAGCATCATGTCACATTTTGGTCACATATATGTGTATGTGGGTCTTGTGTTTCTGTGTGAAATGTACTTCTTACTGTGGATGGGAGTTTCCTGGGGGAGAAGGAACCACCAAACAGCTCACGCTAGTCAGATGAGGTTAGTTCAAGGAGAGCCTAAGGAGGCCGGGCTTAACCTCATACATCGCCAGTGACATAAATGGATGGATTGGTATTATTATTATTATTATTTTATTATTTATTATTATTTATATATATTTATATATAATTATATATATAATAATTATATATTTATTATTATTATTATATTTATTATTATTATTTTAAAGACAGAGTCTTGCTGGGTCTCCCAGGCTGGAGTTCAGTGACGCCATCTCAGCTCACTGCAACTTCCACCTCCCTGGTTCAAGGGATTCTCCTGCCTCAGCCTCCCGAGTAGCTGGGATTACAGGCATGTGCCACCACGCCCAGCTAATTTTTGTATTTTTAGTAGGGACAGGGTTTTGCTATGTTAGCCAGGCTGGTCTCAAACTCCTGGCCTCAAGAGATCCGCCTGCCTCAGCCTCCTAAAGTGCTGGGATTATAGGCGTGAGCCACCGTGCCCAGCAATTTATGGATGATTTTGTATGGCATATGGGAAAGGCAGCGAAACACCATGGCAAAGATGATCTGGTGCAGAGTGTCTTGGGAACCAGCAGGAAGGCAGAAAAGGCTGGAAGGACTGAGCTCAAGTGCATTCCCAAAGCAACGAGGGCTTAGACCCAAGTAGGAAAGCAGAGAAATGGTCTTGAAGAAAAAGCCAGGATTTGTCACAGATTTGCTCTAGCACATGCTAGCTTTAGAGTGGCCTATCCTGAAGGTATTTTGCCTTTAATAGGTCTATAATAGGGGCCTTTTTTCACTTGGAGACAGTGCCTGCAAAAATGATCTGTTACACTATAACTTTTTATTGTGTTTTTTTTTTAAGAGACAAGGGTCTTGCCGTGTTGTCTGGGCTAGTCTCGAACTCCTGAGCTCAAGCGATCTACCTGCCTCGGCAGCCCCAAGTGCTAGCATTACAGGAGTAATCCACTGTACCCGGCCAACGCTATAACATTTTTAAACTTGAGAGTTAATCAAACTCTAGAAGAGTTTCTTGAGATACAATTTACATAGCGTAAAATTCACCCATTGTAACTGCATAATTCATTGTTTTGTTTTTAGTAATTTACAGAGTTGTGCAATCCTGATGGTAATCTAATTTTAGAACATTTCCATCACCCCAAAAAGAAACCTGGCGCAGGCTGGGCTCAGTGGCTCCTGCCTGTAATTCCAGCACTTTGGGAGGCTGAAGCGAGGGGATCGTTTGAGTCCAGGAGTTTGAGACCAGCCTGGGCAATGTGGAGAAACCCCATCTCTACAAAAATACAAATATTAGCCAGGTGTGGTGGTGTGCCCCTGTGGTCCCAGCTATTAGCGAGGCTGAGGTAGGAGGATCAATTGAGCCTGTGAAGTTGAGGCTGCAGTGGGCTGTGATTGAGCCACTGCGCGCCAGCCTGGGCAACAGAGCAAGGACCCGTCTCAAAAAAGAAAAAAAGAAAAGAAAGAAAGAAACCTTGTGCCCACTGGCAGTCTCTTCCCATCCTTCTCCTCCCCTCACCAGCAACAACCACTGTTCTACTTTCTGTCTCTAGCCTGTTCTGGACATTTCTTATAAAATAAATCATACGATATGTAGCCTTTTTGCATCTTGGCATAGTGTTTTCAAGGTTCAACCACGTTTTGGCATTTCAGAACTTCATTTCTTTTTATGGCTGAATAACATCCATTGTATGGATAGAGCACATTTTGTATATCCACGTATCCATTGATGGGCATTTGGATTGTTTCCACTTTTTGGCTCTCATGGGTGATACTGCTGTGAGCTTTCATCTAGGAATCTGTGGATGCATGTTTTCATTTCTCTTGGGTAGACAGATATGGTTGATCACATTGTAACATTGATATGATTGATTAAATTATTGATTATTGATTAAAAGAACTGAAGGTCCACTATGCGAACCAGCATTCTGAAGATACCAGAATGGCTCTGGAGTTAATTCTTTCTTACTAAAGAAATGGAAGTCAAGGGGTGATGATTTGTGGAAGGCAAGGCTGTGTATTGTTCTCAAATTTCTTCTTTTTATGTTCAATATTCAATATTCCTCATCAAGTTGTGTGATGAACACAAAAAGAGAGGTTCCTTCAAGCCAACCACCAATCTCCTGGGGGACTCTTCATAAACTCAGGCCATGAGCTTTGAGGCCTGTGAAGTTCATCATTAACACGTGACTGTTTTCTTTCACTGTGATGCCAAAAATCATGTCCCACATTGAGATTTGTGCCTTTCATTTTGGCCTGACACGGTGGCTCACACCCTTAATCCCAGCCCTTTGGGAGCCCGAGGTCGGTGGATCATGAGACCATCCTGGCCTTCATAGTGAAACCCCGTCTCAACTAAAAATACAAAAATTAGCTCGGCGTGGTGGCGCGTGCCTGTAGTCCCAGCTACTCGGGAGACTGAGGCAGGAGAATCCCTTGAACCAGGGAGTTGGAGGTTCAAGGGAGCAGTGAACTGAGATGGCGCCACTGCACTCCAGCCTGGTGACAGAGCGAGACTCCATCTCAAAGAAGGAAAAAAAAATGTCACTCAGGGCCGGGTGTCCTGGTTCACGCCTGTAATTCTAGCACTTTGGGAGGCCGAGGCGGGCGGATCACTTGAGGTCAGGAATTCAAGACCAGCCTGGCTAACATGGTGAAACACCATCTCTACTAAAAATACAAAAATTAGCTGGGCATGGTGGTGGGCACCTGTAATCTCAGCTACTCAGGAGGCTGAGGCAGTAGAATTGCCTGAACCTGGAAGGTGGAGGTTGCAGTGAGCTGAGATCGTGCCACTGCACTCCAGCCTGGGGAATAGAGCGAGTCTCCATCTCAAAAATAAGAAAAAATAAAATCCACCATCTTGCTGAAATGCACATATGTATATATATCAACATGCAAAACACTCTAGTAGAGAATATAACAGAAGGGAACATTTCCACTCCCCACCGCCAATATTTAGGCTTTGCAGGACATCCCCAGAATGTGGCGGGCAGTGCTTTGGGAGAGAGGGCTCCTCCCGAGGCTCTGGGATATTAGGATATTGGCGATGCCCCCCCCCCAGACACCTGGAGCACCCCCTACTGTCCTGTTTTGCTCACCCTCTTTTCTTTTCTTTCTTTTTTTTTTTTTTGTTGAGATAGGGTCTCGCTTTGTCACCCAGGCGTGAGCACAGTGGCACGATCATGACTTACTGCAGCCTCAACCTCCCAGGCTCAAGCAATCCTCCCACCTCAGCTTCCCAAGTAGCTGTCACCCTCTTTTCTGACATAAGGTCTAACTAAGGTCAAGAATCAGCTTTAGGCTTGGAAACTTGGCCAATGTTTTCTGCCTTTAACTCTAGAAAGTTTCAGACAGGAATTCCAAACAACCCCAGTGCAGGCAATGGCAACAGACGGACCCATGGTGCAGAGGAAACTGTATTCATTTCTTGCACTGAAGCTAGTGAAGAAAAAGGTGACTTATGTGACTACACAATGGGGAATAACTTAGGATACCGTCCTTAAATGTTAAACAAGAGGAATACTGTGCAAGAGGGATATGGTTACTACATTCTGGCATATACAATTCCACGCGGTGGAATTTAAGCCCTCATTTAAAGTATAATTTTGAAAAATATTTAGTGACCTAGAAAAATATTTATTTTTTAATACTAGGTAACCAAATCGGAATGCTGAACTATTTATACAGAGTGAGCCCGATTTTATTATTTACCTCACCTCCATCCTCAACTCCCATTTTTGGATGGGAAAATTCTTCCACACAGAGGAAAACGACAGGCACGTCGTGAATGCAAACGTCAACGTTGGTTTTCTCTGGGAATTTTTATTTTCTTGGACAGAAAAGTGGCTACACTTTGTTTTTTATTAGGAAGAGAAGCCGCTTTAACATCTAAGTAGTGAAGCCACAGCGAAGTGAAGAAGCCCCTTCACCCATCAGATGGCTTAAGAACGTCATCCTGGCGTCTTCCAAAACTCCTCGAATCCCCTCCTGCCGTGATGACACAGAATCAGAGGCTTCCAGGGGTACGCTTAGGGGGCATCTGATGCGCAGGTGCACACGGCAGCTACTGAGCCCCAACTCTGGAGTGTTCTTACTCAGGGATTTAATTATAGGACGGGGTCGTCAGGAGCAGGTCTCCCACTGCCCTGCAGGAACCCTTTTTGACCTTCAGTAGAGACAGAGCCCTAAAACTTTGGGCCTGATTTTCCCTTCCCCAACTCCTCCTCGTGCCCTTCCCAGGCACTTCCTCACCCCCAGAGACTCCCTTCTTTACCTCTGTCCCCAAGTCCCTCTCCACCCAGGCCTTCTCAAGGGCTCCCCCGCAGCAGGACCCCTCTGCCGTCCCCTTTCCTGTTTCAGAGTGTCGCGGCGTTCTGGGAACCACAGCACCCCCCAACAGCCCTGAGATCCCCGGGGGAGGACCCGGTGAACCTGAGCCGTGTTTTGGGAGCACAGGGAGACACCCGCGCGGGCGGCCGGCGGCGTGGGGGCGGGGCGCTGCGAGTGCGCAGCTCTTCTAAGGTCCTCGGTAATTCTTTCCCAGTCCACGTAGGGCGCTGGCACAGACCGGCCCCGAGTCTGATCCTGGGGGAGGGGAGGAGAAGAGAGGGGAGGGGAGGGGAGGAGGCTGGAAGACTAAGAGGGAGGAGGGAGGCTGTGGCCTAAACTCCAATGCAGGGAGAGGAGGCTAGGAGGGGGGAGGGAGGGACAGAGAGGGGATGAAAAGCAGAGGAGGAGGGGGAAGGGGAGGAGAAGGAGGAGAGAGGGGTGCAAAACGGAGGAGGAGGGGGGAGGAGGGAGGGGGTGAAAAGCAGAGAAGGATGGGGAGGGGAGAGGTGGAGGGGAGAAGGAGGGGGAGGGTAAAAAGCAGAGGGGGAGGGGAGGAAGAGGGAGGGGTGAAAGCAGAGGGGGAGGGAAGGAGGGAGGGGGTGAAAGCAGCGGGGGAGGGGGAGGGGAGGTGGGAAGGAGCAGGGGGAGGGTAAAAAGCAGAGGGGGAGGGGAGGAGGAGGGAGGGGGTGAAAAGCAGAGGGGGAGGGGAGGAGGAGGGAGGGGGATGGGAGGTGAGGGAGGGAGGACAAGGGGAAGTGAAAAAGGGAGGAGGGGGAGGGGAAGTGAAAGAGGGAGAAGCGGGAGGGGAAGTGAAAGAGGGAGGAGGGGGAGGGGCGCCACCCAGCCTCTTTCCGGAGGAGACTCATTTAGATGCAATGGCCAATTTTTTTTTTTTTAAACCAGACTGTATAAATTTACAGTTTCCTTTTCAGCTGAAGCAGACAATGTTAAAACACATTAGATTTTCTGTTTCGGAATGCAAATTAAACATAGGCAAGCTCTTGGAAGGCTTCATTGAGGGCTTGAGAAAATAGGAGATTGAAAACGTCGATGCTTGAGTAAGGCAAGAGATTTTAGCCTTGCAGCAATGTGGTCGTGTGTGTGTTTACTTAAAAAGAGAAAATTGCTTAATAATAAAACGGCCCTAGTCTTCCTTGAACATAACAGGAAGCACTGCTTAAAAAAACATTTATTTCTTTTTTTTTTTACAGCCACCATTTATTTGTCGGTGCACAGGGAGGGGGTGCCGTTGAGGCAGGGTTGGGGTAGTCACCCAGGCACTCCCCAAAGCCTGCTCACCCGGCCCCTCCAACCCCAAGGAGTGGAATCTAGAAGCAGCCCCTAGGGGCTCTCCCCTCTAATCTAGAAATGACTTTCCTAAACAGCTGTCACTATAAACTAGGTTCCTTTCTGTTCTCTGTCCCCTTTTTTCACCCCCAAAGCAAAAACAACAAAAACACAACCTAATAGAAAAGCCCCTCCCGCCGCAACTAAAAACAAGCAGAACACTCGCCCCAAATTCTGTTTCTGCTGTTCCTGCCCCCGTTTATAGGAGCCTTGTGGGCTATTTTCTGCTCTTTTCTCCCCCTGGAGAGTTATTTAAGTCCTTTAAATGCCATTCTGTGCACACATAACTTAAAAATGGTCTGGCACGGGGGAAAAGTTGGCAAATGTCTAGTTCACAATCTGTTGGGTTATGTGAAGCCAGATTCAGTAAAAACTCTATTGGCTTCCGGAGCCAGGTTATGCAACATCTTAAAAGGGTTTGGGGATGTGTCTGTAGGAGGGGGAAGGGGGACCTGAGAGGGGAAATACCGAGCTGGGTGTCACATGTAAGTTTGCTATACTGGGGATGGCCGTGGACACAGACGGGTGTAGGGAGCTGCACCATTTCAGTCTTAAGAGCAAGAAGCCCCCCTGCATTTTAACTGTGTGGGCTTTGAAAATAGGGGTGAGGGGACCAAAAGGCCTTCCCGGGCCATGAGTTCCTGTAGGGTCTCCACGTTGAGATGGCGAGTGGGGGATGGGCCCGTATGAGCCGGCTAGGGCTGCCATGCCAGAGTAGCAGACAGGGATTCCCTCACATTCTGGAGGCCACATGTTTGAAACCCAAGTGTCACAGGGCTGCTTTCTCCCGCAGCCCCTCTCGGTGGCTTGTAGACGGCCTGTATCCTCCCATGGTCGTCCCTCTGTGTGTGCCTGTGTCCTCATCGCCTCTTCTTATAAGGACTCCAGTACTACTGGACCAGGGCCCACCCTAATGACCTCATTTTAATTTAATTACCTCCTTAGAGATCCTGTTTCCAAATACGGTCACATTCCAAAAGGTAGTGGGGATTAGAGCTTCAGCCCTTGAATTTTAGGGATTATTCCCCATTATGGGATGGGGAGAACACTTAGGAGGCTTGATAAGGGAAGCAGAGAGGGTGGGGAAGGAGTTTGCATCCCTTGGGCATCCAGGCCTCGGGATGCCCCGGCCCCTCAGCCCCTGGGTTTGCAGACTGGAGAGCAGGGCTGCTCCCAGGGAAGTGGGCGGGGTGGGGGCGGGGTAGCTGTTAACTGCTAGACTTGGGCCTGTCGCCCATATGACAGCTGCATTTTTAATTCTCTTTTGGAATATTCCTTCTGTATTGCAGTTTCACCATAGCCTGAGAGCCAGCTGGATAAGCTGCTAGGGACACAGGATTCCCTAGTGATAGCGCAGGGCAGCAGTGGTGTCTCAGTGTCTTGCTCACATCTGTGTGCTTGGCACCTGGGAGGGAGCCCCAGGTAATTCTGCAGACTTAAAGGAGGGGAGGAGCAAGCTCACCCTGTGGGTTTTCAAGATGCTAATTTAATCTTCGTTGTTTGTACTTGACAGAAACCACAAAGCTTGTTTATCCAAAGTAGTATCTTTTGTGGTGAAACGATTATCAGTAATTATTAAGAAACAGACGGAGTCTTCTCCTTGGCCACTGAAAAACTCAGAAATGTGGGGAGAAATATCAAAGTTGTGGATGATCTGATATCATGAATTTTCTCAGGAAGGAGATGACCAGAGGCGAAAGTGTATTGGAGCTTCCATCTCGGTGGCTTCTTTTAAGGTTTGGTTCCAAATGGTGGTGACTTCAGAGAGTTGATGATCTCAGAATGCTTTTGAATTTGCACAGCGAAGCCTTCAAGTCCTGCCTTGGCAGTTTCAACAGAAGCATAAAGGATTCAAGGAACCACAGACATGATGGTGGAGACATTTGTGGTGGTGATTTTCCTGGCAAAGCCCTGGGGGAGCCGGCTGGCTTGGTCAGCTGTAGGCAGAGTTTGTCCTTTCCCTCTGGGGGAATCCCACTTTGTCCAGGACACTCCGGAGTCCTTCGGGCCATTCACGATCTTTCCCCCTTTATTCAAGCCCACCTTTCTCTTTTTTTTTTTTTTTTTTTTTTTGAGACGGAGTCTCGCTCTGTTGCCCAGGCTGGAGCGCAGTGGCGCGATCTCGGCTCACTGCAAGCTCCGCCTCCCGGGTTCACGCCATTCTCCTGCCTCAGCCTCCCGAGTAGCTGGGACTGCAGGCGCCCGCCACCACGCCGGGCTAATTTTTTGTATTTTTTTAGTAGAGACGGAGTTTCACCGTGTTAGCCAGGATGGTGCTCATCTCTGTTTAAGGAACAGCCGAGAGTCCCTGGAGGCGCCAAGTCTTCTCTTCTATGGAACTACGCCAGCAGGAATCTCTATGAGGGTTCCTAGGAATTCCGTACCTGAGTGAATGCAGACTTTTTGCACAAACTTCCAGTAGGTGATTCACTAGAGGCCAGAGGCAGGGGAAATGGAATCATTCACTCATTCTTTCATGCCTTTTGTTTCCTGCTTCTAAACTCCTGCTTCTTTTGTGTGTATTTTATTTTGTTTGCCTTAGCTTCTTAAGTCAGGGAGGGTTGGAAGAGAAGGAAGGTGTTTGAAATATACGAGTGAGAAATGAACGGAAATTTGCTGCTTGGTGATAGCACCAAAGGAAGGTGAAAATATGTGTAGTGGACGTGGGTAGTTTTTGTCTGACTCCGTGTTCGGCCTCTATCTTTCGGTTAAAACAACTCAAGTTTTCTCTGGGGGAACACAGGCTGTTATTCTCAGTCCCTGAGATACAGAGCTCCAGCGCCGGGGGCCCAGGTCTGGCCAAACGGCATCTCATATTTCTTGTCTACGGTGACTTCTTAACCCAAATCGTGACCCAGAGACAGCCAGATCTGGGCTTCTATTAGAATTCTTGACAAAGGTTTGTTTTTGTTTTTGTTTGTTTGTTCTTTTTGCTAGGGTTGCTAAACAGGTACCAGTAAACCCAGTGAGGAAAAAAATCCCATCATTCTTATCACTCCTTGAGACCGAAAATGGTACTGAGGAATATGGAGCTAAGGGGTGACACCTCTCTGGATAGCATGGGAATACCTGGATCTAGCCAAGCCTGAAGACCACACATGACATTTGCAGTTATGTGAACCAATGTGTTTCTTTTCTTTTTTCTTTTCTCTTTTCTCTTCTCTTCTTTTCTATTCTCTTTTCTTTCTTTCTTTCTTTCTTTCTTTCTTTCTTTCTTTCTTTCTTTCTTTCTTTCTTTCTTTCTTTCTTTCTTTCTTTCCTTTCTCTTTCTTTCTTGTAGCCCCATTTGACTTTAGTTTCAAATGCTTATGACTGAAAAATGTTCTTGGCTTATTGAAATACTAACCTCTATTTTGTTGAGTATTAAAATTATAGGCCAGGCACGAAGGCTCACGCCTGTAATCCCAGCACTTTGGAAGGCCGAGGCGGGTGATCACCTGAGGTCGGGAGTTTGAGACCAGCCTGACCAACATGGAGAAACCCCGTCTCTATTAAAAATACAAAATTAGCCGGGTGTGGTGACACATGCCTGTAATCCCAGCTATGCAGGAGGCTGAGGCAGGAGAATGGCTTGAACCCGGGAAGGAGGTTGCGGTGAGCTGAGATCGCACCATTACATGCCAGCCTGGGCAACAAGAGTGAAACTCCGTCTCAAAAAAATAAAAAATAAAAAATAAAATTAAAAAAAAAAAATATATATATATATATATATAATTTGATGCTGTTGGAGCCACAGAGCATTTTCCTCCTTCCCTTTCATTTTTTGTTGTGACTTATGACCTATAAGTGTTAAAGAGCATTCCAGAGACATATACATGTTATTGAACCAGTGATTTCCCAAGTGAAGAGGCAGAACATTGCCATTTGCTCAGGAGCCTCCTGCGATTATCATTGCGCTAGAAGTCTCTCACCATCGGAAGCCACCACTATTTGGGCTTTTGGGGAAATCATCTCCTTACTTTTTTTTTTTTAATCATTTTCTCTATGTGCGCATTCTCAAAAAGAATTAATTTTGTATTAATGGAATCATACAGCATGTATCTTCTGGGGTCTTGCATCTGTCACCAGCGTTGTATGTGCAATGTTCCTATCTGCTGTCACTGTAGCTCATTCATTCTCAATGCTATCATAGCATCCCACATATGACGGTACGCAATGTATCCGTTAGAGAGTACCTTGTGTACTGGATGTTTACTGTAGAGAATTCATTGAAGTCGATCAGTGCAACAGAGCTCATATTGGAAACAAACTGAAATGTGCATCACTCTGTGCAGAAGCCCAGTCTTGAATCAGCCCAGCCATCTGCCTTCCTTGGTCCACATCCAAGCAGTTGATGGCTGCTAAGGAAAAATTGCATAACTGAGCAAATCTGTGTTACTACAGCATTGTGATCTTCAACCCCAGCTGGGCCCTCCTGAGAGCAAGCGATTCTATGCATCCCTCTTTAGCCCTGTCTTCCATCCTTTGTTAAATGATCAGTGCTTCCCCCAACCCCTTCCCTGCACATTCTCAGCAGATGGCTTTGCCTCTTTATGGAGGTCATTGGGCAGGAAGTTCTTTCATTTCTTAGCTTAGCAGCAAGGAACCTTATCTACATCCATGCCCTTCATGCCTGCCGTTCCAGGGCCCAGTTGTCCTGTTTTTTCCAGGTCACCCGCGCTTGTGCCCTGCACCCCTCTAGTACCTCCTATCCTTGTCTTTGTGCTCTCCCTTCCCCACATGAGACAATCTGACGATGTCTGTGCAAGTCCTTTGCCTTAAACCTCATCTTTGTTGTCCTTGTGTGGAACCGGATGTTTTCAGTTCTCATCTGAATTATTGCGTTAGTTTTCCTGATTGGTCTCCCTTTAACGCTTGCCTCTTTTGGTTCAAGCTATATTCCTCTACAGAAGCCGCAGTAATGTTTCTGAAATACGCATCTGACGATGTGAATCTGTGTTCATTTCCTGGGGCGGCTGTAGCAAATTACCATGAACTGGGGGTGGCTTACAACAGCAGAAATGCTTTCCTCACAGCTCTGGAGGCCACAGGCCTGAGATCAAGTTGTTGGCAGGGCTGGTCCCTTCTGGAAGCTTCTGGGGGAGACTCCATCCCATGCAGCTCATTTAGCTTCCAGGGGTGGGGGGAGCCAGCAATCCTTGGCACTCCTTGGTTTGCAGACTCACTGTCACTCCAGTCTCTGCCTCTGTCTTCACATGGTGCTTTTGTCCCTGTCTCTAATCTCCCTCTCCTTTCTCTTATAAGGACACCAGTCATTTGATTTGGGGACCACCCTAAACCCAGTGTGCTCGCACCTCGAGATTCTTGTAATTACACCTGCAGAAACCCTAATTCTAAATAAGGTCACATTCTGAGGTTCTGGGAGTTCAAACTTAGATGTATGTTTTGGTACTTGCTATTCAGCTCACCGTATACCCTCTTGCTGAAAACGCTTCTGTGGTCTCCCGTTTCCCTGCAGGGTGTAATCTAAACTCCTCAGCCAGGAATATAGGCCCTTCCTGAACTGACCTTCCACAGCCGCAGCTGTATGGCCTCCTGGCCCCATGTGCCTGCCGTGTACGTCGTTCTTCTGTGTGAACCGATCTTGCTCTCCTGGAGTCTCTCTGGCGTTTTCTTTGTTATTCAGTCCCAGTCCTGCAGTATCCTCCTTGCCTCTGGACTCTCCCGTCTTCCTCCAAGTCCATGGAGTGCCCTGTGTAGACTGTCAAGAGGCCACAAAACCAAGTCACAGAGCTGACAACCATCCCCAAAGTCAACCAGCACAGCAGATTGGAGAGTGGGATTATATTAGGGAGGCTTAATCTCAAAAAAAAAAAAAAGTCAAAATTCACCTACTTATAAATTACCTGCAAGTAGACCAAAAAAAAAAAACTCATTAAAGAATGTGATTGCTTATGAAAATAGCCACCATTTCCCATTGCACAGAAATTGCTTATGATTGTCAATAACGAAGGGGAAACATGAGCTGTGGTCATGGAATTTGGAAATGTAACTGGATATTGCGGAAATATTTAAACAGAATTCTGTTTGTCTACACCTTATGGCTAAATAACTAGACCATGCTGTGAATAGATAGCTCTGCATTTTAACAGCATATTTAAATTATGGCCGCGTTCCCAGACAGGACTGAATGGCCAGGATGACCAAACAGTGTGCTGCTTAGTGGGGAGATCAATTTCCAGAACTCCGGCTCATGGGGGAAAAGCAGACTTTGGCATCCGTTGGGTGCTGGGAACACAAGACTCTCCATAAACCTGGTGTTGGGGGTGGCCTTTTATGGTTATTTGGTTTTATTTCACTTTTAGTTTATTTTTTATTGTGGTAAAATATACATAACACAAAGTTTGCTATTGTAACCATTTTTAAGTGCACAAATCAGTGGCATTAAGTGCATTCATCATGATTTTATTTCCTCTTATTAAGGAATTATAGATTGGACACAGGACAAGATAACTTCAAGTGAGGTAAAAAATGCAGACTGTTGGCCTGACTCAGTGACTCACCCTTGTAATCCCAGCACTTTGGGAGGCCGAGGAAGGCGGATCACTTGAGTCCAGGAGTTTGAGGCCAGCCTGGCTAACTTGGAGAAACCCCGCCTCTACTAAACATAAAAAAATTAGCCAGGTATAGTGGCGTGCACCTGTAATCCCAGCTACTTGGGAGGCTGAGGCAGCAGAATCACTTGAACCTGAGAGGTGCAGGCTGCAGTGAGCTGTGATCGTGCCACTACACTCCAGCCTGGGCAACAGAGCGAGACTCTGTCTCAAACGAAAAAACAAAAGATTTCTTTCTGTCATAGGTTTTAAAAAAATAGACTGCCAAGTGTCTGCTTTTTTGTTTTTTTCTTTTGAGACAGCATCTCACTCTGTTGTCCAGGCTGGAGTAGTGGCACGATCACGGCTCACTGCACCCTCAACCTCCTGGGCTCAAGTGATCCTCCCACCTTGACCTCCCAAAGTGCTGAGATTACAGGCATGAGCCACTATGCCCGGCTGAAAAGAAATCTTTCTGCCCAATAAGAAATTTGAGAATTTGATGGGCTATGTTCTCCTGGTACAGGGAGAAGGAAACAACTCCTTTAGAAGCCTGCTGATACCATGCAGGCTGTTGTTTTTGCAGAGCATTTTATGCTTTCTGTTTTGGAGCGAGCATTCTGGTTTGTAGGATGAACGTATCTCAAGACGAGGTGGGCAGGCTGTCAGCAAAATAAGAGGAAAAGATGGTACCACCACAAATGCCGAGCCCGTGAGAACTGAACGCATATCCCCAGAATTCTGGACGCTTGACAAGCCCTCCCAATGCCTCACTTGTAGCTGAGACTATACGGTGAAATGATAAGGGAAACACTGAAAAGAAAACATTCTGGTTTGGGAGTGGAATTATTTTAGTCTTCTCCTGGGTTGTAATGTTCATTTGACCTCACTAATGTGCACAGAGTTTTAAAAAAATTTGTTCCAACTGAAAGATAACCCTCATTCTGCATGGAAACGTCTTTTGAACAATCATTAACTAATGGATTGATGGTGAGAAATTTGACTCCGCATGGAAATTAACTTGCAAAAGCATGACATAAAGCTTCTCTGTTCTTTCTGTGAGAAATTTTCTCCCAAATGGTTTTTCAAGATGAGTAAAAGTGCATAATTGTGGCTGTCACTAGATCTTCTCCTTCATTTTGGGGGTCTATTCTTACTTATTCGAATCATGTAGACAACTTTGATTATGCCACAGTTGCCCACCGATTCACTCATCTGCAAAGAGTCCCCCGACCACAGACCCCATCTGCTCTCTCACCTGACAGTCCTCTGTTCCACACCATCCAATTTTTACCCTGTGCTTTCAACTCTGTTACAGTCGCCTTAGGAAGAAACCACATTTGGAAGGCTCTGTGTTGGAGAAATACTGAGCTATGTCACCGATTTCTCGGATATGGGAAACAGAACACACAAGCTCTGCTTTTTACAACTTGGATTTGTATGTGGGTTCTCAGACAGCTCTCGTGTTCTAAAATTACTCTTCGGACATCTCATTGTCTATTCCCAAGCTCTTTATTTTGACTGATTCTAAAAGGGCTGGCCTATAGTCTCTCGAGGCAAAAAGGAGACATTGGTGATGATTATTTTTTTCCACAGCAATAAGAAAAATTATTTGTAGTCACTCTTTTTTTTTTATTTTTATTTTTTGAGACAGAGTCTCACTCTGTTGTTTAGGCTGGAGTGCAGTAGTGTGATGATAGCTCACTGCAGCCTCCAACTCCCTGGCTCAAGCAATCCTCTAGCTTCAGCGTCCCGAGTAGCCGAGATTACAGGTGTGTGCCACCACACCGAGCTAACTTTTGTATTTTTAGTGGTGATGGGGTTTCATCATGTTGGTCACGCTGCTCTTGAACTCCTGACCTCGGGTGATCCACACACCTTGGCCTACCAAAGTGCTGGGATTATAGGTGTGAGTCACTGCACCTGGCCGTATAGTCAACTCTTATTGTAGACTCCTGATTCTGTCAGTCCTTTATTTTCTTTGTAAAGTGTTCCCAGGGTCTGGGTGAGACAAAACTTTTTTTTTTTTTCCTTTAAGCAAACCTACTTAAGAGGGAGATGGCTTCTGTGTTTCGACTAGCAGACTCATTTGTTGGTGATGGCATTAATGACCCATCTTCAGAGGGTACAGGGCAGGGGCTTCTGCGTGACACCCAGCAGCCCTTGGGCTGGATGAATGTATCCTTAATGTATCCTTTTTTTTCTTTTCTTTCTTTCTTTCTTTTTTTTTTTTTAAGGCAGAGCCTCGCTCTAATCCCCAGGCTGGAGTGCAGTGGCATGATATTGGCTCACTGCAACCTCCACCTCCCAGGTTCAAGTGATTCTCCTGCCTCAGCCTCCCGAGTAGCTGGGATTACAGGTGTGCACCACCATGCCTGGCTAATTTTTGTATTTTTAGTAGAGACAGGGTTTTGCCATGTTGTCTAGGCTGGCCTCAAACTCCTGGACTCAAGTGATCTGCCCGCCTCACCCTCCCAAAGTGCTGGGATTACAGGTGTGAGCCACTGCACCCAGCTGAATGTATTCTTAATTGATTTACAAGGCCAGTGGGTGTGCTCCTGTGAGCAATTTTCAGAAAGAATTAAATGCCTGCACGAGCAAAGCAAAGACTTCTGGCGGCATCTTTGGCAGAGCTTACAGTAGGGAAGGCATCTCAGCAGGCTTGGCCTCTGCTTGCTACCCCTCACTTGAGTTTTTACTGACAAGCAGGAGGATTCAGGGACAGAGGCTTGGGAGCCAGATAAAATACAGGACACGGGGTTGTGTGTGAATCTCATTCAATGCAACGAATGATGTTTCAGTGTAAGTATGTCCCAAATATTACTTGGGATCTACTTAGATGAGCAGAAAGCCTACGTTCTCACCATCACTGTGTACAATTGGACTTGTCCGAAGCTGCAGCCGTAAGTGGAAACTGCATTCTTTTTCGTCTTTTTCTCTTCTTACTTGGCATGCTCTTCAGATGTGCAGGGACCAATGTGGTGGCTAGTCTGAATCGAAATGTCATCTGATCAGTGTAAAACACACCAGATTTCCAAGGCTTTTTATGGAAAAAATAGAACATTTCTCATTAATAACTTAATATTCCTTATGTGTTGAAATGATCCTATTTTGCATATATTGGGCTAACATGTATCATAAAATTATCTTCCCCTGGTTTTTTTTACTGATTTAATCTGGCTACTGAGAGCTTTAAAGTTACACATGCTACGTGCACTTCATTTCTGTTAGCGCTGGGATTAGTGGACTTTCTGTAAAGGGCCAGTAGCAAATCTCTTAGGTTTTGTGGCAGATAGGGTCACTGTCTTAACTATTTAACTCAGTTGTCTCCAGCCATAGACAATATATAAACACATAAGCATGGCTAAGTGCTAATTAGTCTTTATTTATAAAGCCTTATTTGGCTTGCAGGTGGATTTGTTGACCCTTGCGTTAGAGATTCTGTAGGTTTTTTTATGTGTAATTTTTAAATGGCATGTCTTTGTGTCTCTAAGCCTTATTGATTTGGACAGAGCGAGAAATAATAGTTAAATAGACAATTTACCCTTTGCAAGATGGTTCAAGTACTACATAGAAAAGTGTTGGCAGGATCTCGATTTTTTTTTAAATAAGGGAGAAGGAAAAGCATACATATGGCTGCTAATGTGTGGGTCCTTACTGTATCAGAGCCTCCTGGATGGGGTGGATTGCCATCAACTGTGAGGAGGCAAAGAGAATCCAGGAGGTAATGTTTTGTCCTGGGTCCTATAGAGGTGGAGGGCACACTGAATACACAGTGCATTGAAAACATAGTGGCACCGTCTAACAGGTTTAAGAGATGAGGCCAGGCGCAGGAGCTCGTGCCTGTCATCCCAGTGGTTTGGGAAGCTGAGATGGGAGGATCGCTTGAGCCCAGGAGTTTGAGGCTGCAGTGAGCTAGGATTGTGCCACTGCACTCCAGCCTGGGCAACAGAGCGAGACCCTGTCTCGAGTGAACAAACAAAAAAAGATGAAATTACAGCAATGGAGAGGCTTGGGTCGTGGGTAAAGGGAAAATAATTTTTACAAAGAACTGCTGTGCTAAATCCCTTTCCTTACCAAATTAAAATATTTTATCTACTAAGAGCATGGCCTGATGTAACTTATCTTATTTCATATTTTAACTAAAAAAAAAATTGTACAGGTGGGGCCTTACTGTGTTACCCAGGTTGGTCTCAAACTCCTGGTCTCAAACAATCCTCCCACCTCGGCCTTCCAAAGTGCTGAGATTATAGGCGTGAGCCACCGTGCCCAGCCCATGATTAATTTAGAATTGATTTTCATTGGATTGGAACATATCCTGAAATGTAAAATTTATTTGGGATCACATTTAAAAAAACGTAAACGACAGGCGCAGACATATTTTTGGGAAGTGAGCTAGGGAATTGAGACACATCAGCCATGATTTGTACTTAAGTGAGGTGCTTATCTGTTTCTTTTACTGATGAGAGTGACTTAGAAGTCCTTTGGGAATAAGATGATCATAAATGAAAGTGAAATCCCAGGAAATTTCTAAATTAAAGTTTGATTTATAGCCCTTTTCATGCTCTTCTCTTCAGTGCTGAGAAAAGCTGGAGATAATTCATGTCCCTTCAGTTTTGCAGCCTGTGAATCATGCCCAGTTGTCAATGTCGAAGTTGAGTTTCAATTTTTATTGTTATCTTTCCTTTCAGTGTCAGTGTGTAAACTTAATTTCACTGCAACTGATGTAATTGCTTAAGTAGCTGGGAAGTCCTGTGGGATTAGATTAGGGCTGGTGTCGGGGTGCACCTTTCAAATGTAAAAGTTTACAACCTTGGAGGACTGCCATGAGGGGCTTTGCTCACAGGAGTGCAGATTCAGGGACATCTCTTCCCCCATCCCAGTCTTCATTAAATTGTCACAAGTCTAGATACTCTACTGGAAGAAAAGTAAGCAAAATGTAGTGTATACTTACAGTGTGGTAGGCATGAGTTCAGCACATTACATATATGATTTCATCCTGAAAATTACCCTTTGAATAGTGCTAAAATTCAAAATCCTTCGTAATGTGAAAAGCACAAAATCCTTAGTAATATGAACTAATATATAAATACAAAGTTTCAATGGATTCAATTTAATTCTCTAAACTATATATCATTAAAATGTCTTTCCAAGTGAAAAAAATTGAGGCACAAATGATCAGTCTGATAGTGTCCAAATATTAGCCTAAGACTTTCTAAACTGTCTTTTCCCTTCTAGAAATTGTTGCTGGGATCTTTTCTTTTATAAAATGGCGTCACTAGCAAAAGGATGCCAGGGTTCAACGGAGGAAACTGTGTTAAGCTCTTCCAGGGACTTCTGCATCAAAACCATAGTCAATGAGCGTAGAGTGTGCAATGACAGATAACGGAAACTTGGAAGGTTGGGGAGTGGAAGAGGAATGGACGATGAAACATTACTTAAGGGGTGCAATGTACATTATTCGGGTGATGACTACATTAAAAGCCGTGTAATAAAATTACAGTTGTACTCCATCAATATATACAAATAATAACATAAAATGAAATGATAGTTGTGAGGACCCTGGTGCTTGACGTGTCAGCCCCAGGATGTCTGGGCATGCTGCCTGTACCTGTCACCAGGGGCACACCTGGTGTGCCCAGCGCCCCCCACCTGGCCTTAACCTGACAGCTTGGGTCTCAGCCTTGCCCAAATGCTGTCACCAAGGCAGGGGCTCACAAACCTGCACCATGCCCCTCCAACTTGAGCACTCTCTGGAGCAACAAGTGACTGCCACACCTATCTGGACACCTGTGTCCACTGGGTGGCTGCCAGGGCTTTCTGCGTCAGCACAAGATGTCCTTTCACAGCCTTAAAAACGTCTGAAATCCAGTTAAGCTTCATGCACTGCATTTGGCTATGACCGTATTTAAAAGTAAAATCTAAAACAATATGCCTGCCTTTAGTTTTTATTGTATGGAAGTGACCTTTTTGGGAAAAGTCCGTCTCAGTTATCTTTTAATTAATTAATGAATTAATTAATTTGAGTCAGGGTCTCTCTCTGTCACCTAGGCTGGAGTGTAGTGGTGCCATCTTGGCTCACTGCAACCGCAGCCTTCCAGGCTCAAGCGATCCTTCCACCTTACCCTCCCGAGTAGCTGGGACCACAGGTGCACACCACCATGCCCTCTAATTTTTGTATTTTTTGTGGAGACGGGGTTTCACCATGTTACCCAGGCTGGTCTCAAACTCCTGAGCTCAAGTGATCCTCCTGCCTCGGCCTCCCAAATTGTTGGGATTACAGGCGTGAGCCACCATGCCCGAATGCCAGCTGTCTTTAATGTCCCATGATCCATATTTGTCAGATTGCTTCCTCATGTTTTGATTTGGGTTGGACATCTTTGGCAAGAAGACTTGGTATGTCATTTTCATTGAGTTTCATAGGGGTCAGATGGTTAAGTTGTTCTTGCATTGCTTTTGCTGAGTTGGATCTGTTGGGGAGGGTTGTGTCAATCGGATCTCGCCTTTGTGCAGATACCTTCTTTCCTGTGTAAGGAATAAGATAATTGGGCGTGATATTTGAGACTGTGTTCTGTTCGTAATCCCTTCCTTATTGAGGTAGTCCATTGGTGGTTACAAATTGGTGCATTGATGATGCTGTCATTTCTTCTAAAGTTCTTGGTTGAAGTCCTCCCATGAAGAAGAGCTTTATTTCCATACTCCCAGCTTTTGAGTATCACTCTTGATTCCTGGCTTCTTTTTTATTATATGTGGCATAAGAATTACCATCGTTATTGTTTTATTACTTTTTTAATGCTGAAATTATCCCCACATTCACCCATGAGAGTCCCTGTGGCTATTTATCACTCTTAAAAGGCAGAGTTTCTTTTCAACCTTCTACACATGACATGGCAGAACACACACACGCGCACACACACACACACACACACACACGTGGCTTTGATATTTTTGATATCACTCTGTTTTACCTAATCTCTTGTCTCAGCCAGAATGTATGCCATTTAATTTGCCAAAGATTAACATCTCAGGCAATGTTGGCATTGAACAGCATTGCTATGCTAGGTGACCTTGCCTGCCCCAGGCCAAAGGGAAATTGTATTTTCATAAAACATTGTGGTTTACCTCATTGAGTCAACAGTCAAGCATGGTGAAAATGTTATGACGGCAGAAATTCCCTGACAATCAACCAAGAAAGTTTTTACATCGGCATGCAAGATACAGCCCAAACTCTTAGTGATGTGGTTTGGGAAGACAGGCATTTTTTTTGGAAAAGCCCTGGTAATGTAGAAATTTCATTTTAAATGTGATACAAATAACTTCTTATGGTATTTCTTGTATGTGTGCGTTTGTGCATGCATGCATGTGCTGTGGTCCATTGCACATGGTGTGTGTGCCTCTGTGCGTGTGTCTGTTTCTCTGTATGTGTCCCTGCATGTCCCCATGTGTCCCCTGCATGTCCCCATGTGTCCCCTGCATGTCCCCATGTGCACAGGCTGCGCTTGTGCACATGCTCCATTTTGGATGGCACATTGGCCTCTGTGTGTGTGCTTTGATCCACCATGGATGGCATGTGTGCCTGTGTATAAGCACATGTGCATTGCCTCATGGAAGATGGCATGCAGTGTGTGTGTGTGTATACATGGATTACTCCATTGTAGGTGGTGTTTGCGCCTGTGTATGTGTGTGCATTGCTTTGCTATGAGGCAGTTGAACTTGTGAGAAGCTATTTGTTTAGTCCATTTGTGTTGCTGTAACAAAATACCATTAACTGGGTGGCTTATTAACAATGGGCATTTATTACTCACAGTTCCGGAGGCTGGAATTCCAAGATCAAGGCACTGGTAGAGTTGATGTCTTGTAAGGGCTTCCTGACTTCTCGCTGTGTCCTCACATGGTGGAAGGGGTGAGGGAGCTCTCTGGGGTCCCTTTGATAAGGGCACTGATCCCAGTTCTGAGGCTCTGGCCTCATGACCTCATCACCTCCCAAAGGCCCCACCTCCTAATACTCTCACCTTGGGGGTTAGGAATTTTGGGGGGACACAAACATTTGGACCATGGGACTATTTGACTTCTGGATGATGATAATCTATTTTTTAAAAGTAATTTCACTCTTCCTTATATACCCTTCATAGGCACGGTTGCTGGAGGTAGTTGCCAGCAATTAATATTGAAATTTATATTGAAAAGGGTTCTTCCTTTACTGTGATGTGAAGGACGGTTTCTTTCTATTTGCACATCCCTCATGCAGCACAAAGACATTCTCCCCCCTGATATGCACACTTCACAAGCTGAGCCTGAATTTAATGAAACGATTTAAATTAGCTTCCACAAGACAACAATCTTGGGTCTAAACTCATGCTTAGAATGGGAATAAAACAGATCTGGGAAGAATTACTAAGAGCCGCTTGTGTGGTTCTTGTTATAGCCTCTTCCCTTCCTGAGCCTGGGGGCTGAGGGAGTCGCGGGTTGGGTAATGCATTACAGAATGTGGGCTTGCGTGTGGTTTACTCCTATGGTGGCAGTGGAATTCAGTGCATCGTATGAGTTGTGCTGTGAATGTTAAAGCTTGTGATACAGCCAAAGTTTCCCCTCAGATTGCTTGTTAATCAGGCTCAAAAAGCACTAGAACCTTTTGCTAAGTTAGTAAAATATCAAGAATAATAATTACAGTGTGTAAAAATAGCAAGAAAAAAGAACATTAAGTCACATCGTTAAGATATGTTTTGCAATACAGTTCATGCAGTCCTCCTTACCTTTCCAGAGATTCCCCAATGGTGTCTCTTCCTGGATTCCCTTGTGTTAGTGAGGATAGGCTTTGTTACGGTGCAGGAACAAATAAGCTCAATGTCTTACAACTATGTGTTGCTAAGTTGGCCGGGGGACTCTGCTTATTGTAGTCATGTAGGGACTGAGGCTGATGGAGATGGAGGAAAATGATAGCCACAGTGTGGATCATGAAGTATCCCACTAAAATGTCTTGATTCTCATCTTCCATCGGGGAAAACAAGTCACGTGGCCACAGCTGAGTTCAACCGTGCAGATGTTTAGTCCTTCTTCAGAGAAGGTCCTTGGATATTGGTGAGCATACTACCACTACCACACTCAAATCAGGACCTAATAAATTAAAGTATCTTAAATACATGATGCAATCATGATACTGGTGCTGCTATTAAATCCACAGCAGTAATAAATATGCTACAGTCAGGGTGTGCTGAGAAGCTGAACAAAATATGCTCTCAACCATGAAGTCACCATTGAGGCTTCACTCATCTTCCCCCTATGAGTGATCAAATACTTGGAATTCTTTGAAAATATCTTAGTCTCTAGGTCCTATATGTTTCACACCTGCTGTATTATGAGTTTCTCAAAAAAAAAAAAAAAAAAAAGAGGCCAAGCGTGGTGGCTCATGCCTGTAATCCCAGCACTTTGGGAGGCCAAGGCAGGTGGATCATTTGAGGTCAGGATTTTGAGACCAGCCTGGACAACATGGTGAAACCCCGTCTCTACTAAAAATACAAAAATTAGCTGGGCGTGGTGGCGGGCACCTGTAACCCCAGCTACTCTGGAGGCTGAGGCACAAGAATCGCTTGAACCCGGGAGGCAGAGGTTGTAGTGGGCCGAGATCACGCCACTACACTCTGGCCTGGGTGACAGAGCGAGTCTCTGTCTCAAATAAAATAATAAAAATAAATAAAAAAAGGGAAAAGGAAAATTGAAATTTTAAATATATGGAAGTCATGGATTCTCATTAGTAAGAATTCAGAAAATACAGAAAAGTATAATTAAGAGAATTAAAAATGCTTATGGTACCACTGCTTTGAGGTAGAAAATTTTAGTTCAGAGGACACACACACAAACACACAGTAGAGATGCCACCAAAGTTTTTTGAAGTCCCATTTTAAAAAGAGAATGTGTATTCCTTTAATTACTAGAAAGGTTGAACACTTCCCTTCCTGAATATTTAGAGTCTGTCGTATTTATTCTCCTATGTTTTTCTGTTCTTTTCTGTGTAGGGCTATTTTAAGTGTAAGTGACAGAAACCTGCTTCTATGTTGGCATTTGACAATATGCAAATGAATGGATGTGTCTGAGTTCTAATAAAACTTTATTTTTGCAGAACCATGAATCAGTATGTAATTGCCCAATCCCGGATTAGACAATCACCAAATCTCCCATTTAGCCAGTTTACTTAGGCATAGCTGTGTCATTTACTTAGGGATAAGCAACAAACAGTGTAATTGCCATTGCAAAATCAAATGGGCCCCGATCAGTTACTGGCTAGCCATAAATAGATTTTGGCATACTTGGACTCAACAAATAATGTGCTTGTGTGTTATCATGTCTTCTCAGTATCTTCCCATCTTGAACATTCCCTCAGTCTTTCCTTGACTTGCTTAACCTTGGCACTTAGGAAAATAAACTGTGGCCAGGCGTGGTGGCTCACGCCTGTAATCCCAGCACTTTGGGAGGCCAAGGCAGGCAGATCACCTGAGGTCAGGAGTTCGAGACCATCCTAGCCAACATGGCGAAACCCTGTCTCTACTAAAAATACAAAAATTAGCCGGGCATGGTGGCGCACACCTGTAGTCCCAGCTACTCGGGAAGCTGAGGCAGGAGGATCGCTTGAACCCAGGAGTGGGAGGTTGCAGCGAGCCAAGATCACACCACTGCACTCCAGCCTGGGTGACAGAGTGAGACTACATCTCTTGGCTGGGTGCGGTGGCTCAAGCCTGTAATCCCAGCACTTTGGGAGGCCGAGGCGGTCGGATCACGAGGTCAGGAGATCGAGACCATCCTGGCTAACACGGTGAAACCCCGTCTCTACTAAAAATACAAAAAAAAAAAAAATTAACTGGGGCATGGTGGTACACGCTTGTAATCCCAGCTACTCGGGAGGCTGAGGCAGGAGAATGGTGTGAACCCGGGAGGTGGAGGTTGCAGTGAGCCGAGATCGCACCGTTGCACTCCAGCCAGGGGTGACAGAACAAGACTCTGTCTCAAAAAAAAAAAAAAAAAAAAAAAAAAAGTGGTTGTGTGATTGCATATAAAGTCTGTTCCCTTCTAGGTATTTGAGTTTGAGATTCCTTCATTTGTCAAAAGACACATGGATGGCTGTAGTGAGAGGGACTTTAGAAATGCCTCATGCTGGGGATACGGGATTCTATTTTGTACCAAGTGCAAAGAAAAAGAAATGCTGATGTAGTTCCTTTGCTGACGAGGGAAAACCATTAACTTCAGATAAATAGAAATGGCTGTCACTTTAAGGAAATACAATCTTAGTGACAAAATTAATGGAAAAGCAGCCATAGCATTGATGAAATTTAACTCCATCTGGCATATTGATTACACATGCCGGTTACTGCCTCTGTAGCTCATGGTTCCCTCCTGGTGACACTAGGAGTGTGATACAGGTTGTGGAATGAGCGAATTCCTGGGCCCATGCTAGTCTCCTGAACCAAGCTCTCTACGGGGTGGTACCCAGGAAACAAACAAACACCTTTGGTGATCATTCCGAGGTGTCTTTACAATTGGAAAACTCCTTATATGAGGTGGCACATTCCAAAATAAACTTGCAGTGAGTGTAATCAATTGTCGGAGACATTCTTGACTTATCCATTTTGTGTCCAGTGCAAAGAGTGTCGGGGATATTTATGTCTGATTCTAGGGAATGACTCAATGGAAAATGTGACCTTCTGCTTTCAACCTAAGTTTAGCTTCATGGCTTGGTAGTCTCAACCATATCACAATTTTGTCTTTAAAACTTTCTATAGTTGTTAAGACCAGGATTATGACTAAAGTTAACTCTGATGATCTGTTTTAGCTTAACTTTATTTCTAATCCCTCTTAGTAATATTAACTTCAAGTTCCTTAGCAAAATCCAAAGAAACACACAAAGAGCAATCAGGCTAAAATAAACCTTCTGGGCCAGGGGCGGTGGCTAACGCCTGTAATCCCAGCAATTTGGGAGGCCTGGCAGGTGGATCATTTGAGGTCAGGAGTTGGAGATTAGCCTGGGTAACATGGCAAAACCTCATCTCTACAAAAAAATAAAAAATTATCTGGGCATGGTGGTGCATGCCTGTAGTGCCAACTACTTGGTGGGGCTGAGGCAGGAGGATCACTTGAGCCTGGGAGGTCGAGGCTGCAGTGAGCCATGTTAGTGCCATCCGGCGTGACAAAGTGAGACCCTGTCTCAAACCAAAACAAAACAACTAAAAAAACCCTTCTGCTTTATTAGCATTTTTTAAAGAAATAAAATTCTGCACCCCTACCCTTAGTAGCATAAGGTTTATGAGGGGGGAAATGAATGATATATCAGTTTTGTTCTTACACAACTCTTCTTATATATGTTAGTGGTATCTATTCAAAGGGAAATATTACTTTCATGTTTAATATCATCTCTTATAAATTATTATTATTGTTATTATTTTTTTGAGACAGAGTCTCACTCTGTTGCCCAGGCTGGAGTGCAGTGGCGTGATCTCGGCTCACTGCAACCTCCGCCTGCCTGGTTCAAGCAATTCTCCTGCCTCAGCCTCCAGAGTAGCTGGGATTATAGGCACCACCACCACACCTGGCTAAGTTTTTGTATTTTTAGTGGAGATGGGGTTTCACCATGTTGGCCAGGCTGATCTTGAACTCCTGAGTTCAGGTGATCCACCTGCCTCGGACTCCCGAAGTGTTGGGATTACAGGCATGAGCCACCACGCCCTGCCTACCTCTTGTAAATTAAATTGGCTTAGAGTTGCTAAAGTATTTAGAGAGACTCTATTAGAACACAGATTTTCTTAAATATTTGTGTATGCATCTGTCTTCCCAACTGGACTCTCAGTTATTTAAGGGCGCATGTCTTATTTGTCTTCCGGGAGCCATGCCTAACATGACTGTTGCTCCTTAATATACATGCTCTGAGGGCTTGATATTTGTGTGGAGGAAGGCACATCGTGAAAAATTCCAGCTGATCGAGCTGCACATCAGCTACCTTTGATTTAAAAGTCTATTTCTTCTACTTAAAGATGAGGTGAACACCTTGATTCTTTATCTGTTCTTCAGCTTAAAAAATCCAGATGACAGAGGTTGATTGTGAATCTTGTATAAAACCTGCATTTCCGCGCGCACAGTAACACCCCTTTATCACTTTGCGTACGTCAACTTGGATGCTTGAATGCTGCCTGATGAGCTCTGATTTTGAACTCTCCTGCTTTCCCTTCGCCCTTCCCCGCCCCCTGCCCTTTCCTTCTTCTTCTTCTTCTTTTTTTTTTTTTTTTGGAGACGGAGTCTCGCTCTGTCGCCCAGGCTGGAGTGCAGTGGCCCTATCTCAGCACACTGCAAGCTCCGCCTCCCGGGTTCAAGCGATTCTCCCGCCTCAGCCTCCTGGGTAGCTGGGATTACAGGCACCCGCCATCATGCTCGGCTAATTTTTGTATTTTTGTAGAGACGAGGTTTCACCATGTTGGCCAGGCTGGTCTGGAACTCCCGACTTCAAGTGATCCACCCGCCTTGGCCTCCCAGAGTGCTGGAATTACAGGCGTGAGCCACCGTGCCAGGCCCCACTTTCCTTCTTGAGAGTATTCACTTTCTGGGTCCCAAAAGTTTGACTTTCCATTCAATTTGGATGGACTCATAGCCTTGGAGCTGCGTTGTTCGTGCCATTATTTGGAGTAAGGGAAGAAATGACTGGGTCTCCTTCACAATCTCTGTCCAATGAAGATTGCTATGCTGTAAAAGAGCAAACAATAAAGAACCAGAAGCACAAAATGATGACTCTTAAAGTCATCCCGCTAGGAAAAAACAATCAAACAAAAACCTAACGAAACTCAGTTTTGGAGTGGTGATGTGAACACAGCCTGCTGCAGATGCCTTTGTCAAGAACAGAGGTGGGTACTCGACTTCTTAGTGAGTTTACCAAGTGAGTCAATAAAATGTCTTCAAAAGCCAAGTTAAACACTCTTTGTTTAACTTTCGTAAATCTTCTGGCTCAGCCTTTGCACAGCGACCGTCAGGAAATCCCTCTCACAAACAAAACTTTAGTAGTGCCCCTTTATCTGCAGGGGGTACATTCTGAAACCCCCACTGGATGCCTGAAACCGCTGATAGCACTGGACCAGATTGCTGTCAGTCAGAACACATCCTTCTTATTATTTTTTAAATTAAAAACAATATGGGCCAGGGGCGGTGGCTCACGCCTGTAATCCCAGCACTTTGGGAGGCCAAGGTGGGCACATCATCTGAGGTCAGGAGTTCAAGACCAACCTGAATAACATGGTGAAACCCTGTCTCTACTAAAAATACCAAAAATTAGCCAGGCGTGGTGGCAGGCACCTGGAATCCCATCTACTTAGGAGGCTGAGGCAGGAGAATCGCTTGAACTGGGAGGCAGAGGTTGCAGTCAGCCAAGATCGCACCACTACACTCCAGCCTGGGTGACAGAGTGAGACTCCATCTCAAAAAAAAATTTTTTTTTAATATATATGTATTTCAGATGGGGAGTCTCAGTATGTTACTCAGGCTGGTCTCAAAATCCTGGGCTTGGGCTATCCTCCTGCCTTGGCCTCCCAAAGTGCTGGGATTAAAGGCATGATCCACCACACCTGGGCTGTAACACATTTTTGTTCAGGTCTTCCACCCACAAATTTAATGCCTTTTGCATCTTAACTAAGCACTTATCACACACTGTGGCCACAACCTTTGCAGTTTGAGATGTGACAGCAAAACTGGCATGAATTTCTTCTTCCTTCTTCACAATTTTACCAATGGAAGGTTTGCTCTTACTGTAGATCTTAGCAAGTCTGGCATAAGATTTTTTTTCCTTTTCTTATGAAGCTGAGAACTTTTACCATTTCACTTAAAGGGGGCACATTATGGCTTCTCTTATGCTGTCCATAGCCAAATGGACAACATCACTCCTCTTGTGCTTTGGGGTCATTATTAGGTAAAATAAGCACCGTGACACCGAGACAGTTGGTCGGATCACCAACTAGACAAAGGGGAGATTCACATCCCAGGCAAGATGGAGCAGGGTAGTGAGAGATTTCATCACATTGCTCAGAATGGCAGGCAATTTACAACTTAGGGATTGTTTATTTCTGGAACTTTACATGGAGTATTTTTGGGCTGTGGTTGATTTCAGGTAACTGAAAACTCGGAAGGCAAAACAGCAGATAAGGGGGGAGTACTGTACCTCTGTTGTCTTTTTATTATTTATTTATGTATTTATTTTTTAGAGACACAGTCTTGCTCTGTTGCCCAGGCTGGAGTGCAATGGTGTGATCATGGATCACTGGATCCTGGAATTCCTGACCTCAAGTGATCTTCCTGCCTTAACCTCCCAAAGTTATGGGATTACAGGCGTGAACCACTGCACTCAGCCCCTGTTTTCTTGATGACATTTCACTTCAGGTTAAGTTGAAGGAATTACAGTTTTCTCCCCTACAGCATTTATTTTTCCTTTGTCTTCCTTTATTCTGTTTATTTATTGAGGTTTAATTAACTATAGTAAAATTCATATATTTTAAGTTCAGGGCTCCTCAGGCTGCGTGCAATTCAGGGGTCCCATTCAGCCTATTGACTTTTTTTTTTAATAAGTTTTCTGGTAATATAGCCATTTCTATTCATTTACGTATTGCGTATGGCTGCTTTGCTTGCTGTTGCAAGTGCAAGCTGGAGTAATTGCAACAGTCTTGGCCCTCAATCTCGAAAATATTTATTATCTAGACCTTTACATAAGGTCTCTAGACTTTGCTGAAGTTCTATGAATTTTGACCAATTCAAACAGTCATGGAGTTACTACCATAATGGAGACATAAAAAATTTCCATTGTCCTTAAAAAATTGAGGGAGCCACAATTTGAGATAAGAAATGATTTTAGAAAAGTAACATTTTGCTCAATGTTAACACTGACTTTAGGTTTTTGACATTTGCAATCATTACGTATACGCGGCAGATTGTACGTTTGGCGTTCACATTTTCTGCAGAGGTTTCCCACTACTCTGCTCGACAGAACCCCGATTCCCTGCTGGGGAATTCATTCTCTCCCATTTTTGTACCTGACATGTGAATTAGCTGGATCCCAGCCAAAGCCTCTTCCATCCCTGCTGGTCCCGTTCATGCATCCAGAGACCGACACCTGCCGCAAAGGCAAGGAGAAAGGAAGGCCTTATTCGTTCCTGGGTGCTGCCAGAAAAGACTCCTGTCTGTTGGCCCAGAGGCAGAAAGCAGCCGGAATGGCTTGCACTCATCGGGGGCCTACGAGGGAGACCCCACCTGGAAGGAAAACTCAGGCTGACAGGGCAGAGCTGAGAACTGCAAAGAACCTGATCTTGGTCCTGATGATTTTCTGACCCCGGTTCAAGTCTTGCCTCTCTTTAGCCTTCCTGCTGGGCCTCTCTGTTACAGGGCCCAGTACATTACCTTGAGTGTAGAAGTTGGTTAGCGTACTGGTTTCTGTTATTTGCAACTAAATGAGCCCTAATGGCTACCCATTATATAACACTCAGGGAATTACAGAAACACCTTATCCAGTTATGCTGCAGTTGAGGATTTTATAATATGACTCAGCCCTTTGCAAACGGAACCTGCCTTGTCATTTCTAAGTCAATTAATCAATTGTCACTCATCTATTCTTTCACTGAATACTCATTGGGTATCTGCAATGTGGCAGGAAACCCCATTGTGACCCAAACTCTGGGGAAGTGCAGCTTCCTGTGGGTGTATAGCCCACAAAATCAGCAATCTGTACTAGTCAGGTCTTGCTGAACGAAGCCCCTTTCTGATTTGTCATGCATGCTTGAAACTTGGGGATCATCTGTGTCCCTCCATCCTCCCTGGAAGTCACCAATTCTGCCCTTCTCCCTCCTAGGGGAAGTATAAGAAAATAGTACTGGAATGGAATAGAGTGCCAGGCAGGAACCATAGTGACTCCAATGCCCAACATATTGACTTTCAGATATTTCTGGTTCATTCAAAATCCAGAGCTTGGAGGAAGCCCCGGTTTAGAGCTGTAGACTCGATGTCATCTGTGCAGGTCAAGGGGCCCAGGGAAAGTGAGGAATGGGTCACAAGAAGGGGAGCAGGGGAGCTCCTCAGGAAACACCAGCATCCCAGGCAAGAGAGAAGGACCCCAGGGGACCTAGAAGAAAGGGCCGGTGACAGAGGGGGAAGTCCAGGGCAGCGAGGTGTCCTCGGAGAGCACCGAGAGAGACTACAGGTGCCTGCCACCATGCCTGGTTAATTTTTGTATTTTTTTTGTAGAGGTGAGGTTTTGCCATGTTGCTCAGGCTGGTCTCAAACTCCTGAGCTCAAGTGATCCACCCGCCTCGGCCTCCCAAAGTGCTGGGATTACAGGTGTGAGGCACCGCGCCTGGCCTGGTGGTCCATCTTTATCTGTGTGTGCATGTGATGTATACTGCATGCATGCACACACACACTCACCTCTTTGTTTTAATTCCGTCACCTGAAGAACAGCCTTGAGACAGGACCAGAACAATGAAATGCTCTGTTGGGTGCAATTTGGCTCAAAAGAGTGTGATAACAGCAGGCGGTGGTTATAATATTATAATAGGAAGCTCAGAGATGTGCAATAATTTAGCGTGTGCAGCTGGGCATTGGGTGACAAGCGGGGCATTTGGAATGTTCCTTGTGAAATCCTTGGGTGGGTGGGGCCAGCTTCTTTGGCACTGCTGGGCCCTCACTCTCCATGCGCCGAGGTCAAGCTTCTTTGTCTGTGCAGCTGTGTCTTGGGCTTTCCCATGCATGCCTCTCTGAGCTGTTCTCTGCCTGGTTCGTTTTGTATTTTCTGTTGTCTTTTGTCTCTCCTGCTACCTGGGGTGTGGCCTGCAGGCCCTTCCCAACGTTGCTGAGGGTCCAGGGCTGGGGCACAAACAGACCCCCACTTGCCTTGGGTGTACACCATGAGCTGTAAATCAAGCTAACCACCTGCTGAAGAGAATCTCTTCTATCCTGCTACCTTCCAGGCCATGCTTCAGACAGCCAGGGTTGGTTGCAGCTTCCTTGGCCTCCCTGGCAATGCAGATACAAAGTGATGCGGAGCGCACAGCCCTGGCCCACGCCTGGGCTTTCTGCTACCCCCTCAGGCTCTGACCTGTGTGGTGGGAGGTCTTCACACCCTGGTACAGACTTTCCATCAGTGTACCCTAGGGGGCCCTCACCCTTGTCCCCATTTAGGGAAGAGGTGCTAGGGCCTATAGGCATGGCCTGGAAGCCGGAGGGCTTCACGTAGGCGCATCCCCTGCTCTCCCTTGGCCTCATGAGTCCTTTTCCCTGAGGCAGGACCGAGGTGGCTTCAGGGTAATGAATGTCTGAGATTGAGTGAGTGACAGAGAGAGAGAGAGAGAGAGAGAGAGTAGAGAGAGAGAGAGGTGGAAGGATCGAGGGAGAAAAAAGGAGGAAGTATCTGTGTTTTAAGTTTTTGTTTTTAGTTCACTCCTTAGAACTGGGGTGATAAATTTGACTATTCTGAAAATTTCTTTAATCCAAGTGTATATTAACCAAGCAATAATGTAGCTCCTACCAAGTGAAAAGTTTCGGGTCAGCCTAACACATGGCACGCCAAACAGCTTTATCCGGGCAGGCTGGTTCCAGGATTTCGTGGATTCTTTTACAGTCATATGCGGCTTGTGTGGCTTCGTGGAAGTTTGAGAAGAGTCTTTTTAAGGAACACACTTGCGGATGTTCTGTTCTGCTTTCCCTCTGGGTGTTTATAAATATGTCAGATGACACTACATGCAATGACATTGAACTTCCCCCATTAAACTCTAGGGATGGGGAGATTGGCAGCCTGCGTATTCAGAGCGGAGGTGAAAGTTTTAAGGAGGCCCACAGCCTCCTGGCTTCTGTCATTTCTGCAGATTGGAGATTACTTCCCTGCCGCTTTCTGCAGGGCTGTTGAAACCAAGCAAAATATAAGAACGTTTCAAGAAGCAGCCTCTTTGTGGGGAGCGTTTGGCTAGCAGGAAAGGAGAAGTGAGGAATGTGGCGTGAAAGAAAGAGTTGTCTACTGAATGAATCTGAATTGGCCACGTTTGTCGAGGAAAATCCTCCCTATTATGTATGTGTGGGGGTCTCGGTGAGGGCTCCTATAAGTGACTACCATAATTTAGGACCAGTTGATGAATTCATATATCTCTTGTCCTCTGTTCTCATAGTTTATGAGCAAAAGAATGGGCGGCCGGGCACGGTGGCTTATGCCTGTAATCCCAGCACTTTGGGAGGCTGAGGCGGGTGGATCACCTGAGGTCAGGAGTTTGAGACCAGCCTGACCAACGTGGAGAAACCCCGTATCTACTAAAAATACAAAATTAGCCGGGCATGGTGGTGCATACCTGTAATCCCAGCTACTCGGGAGGCTGAGGCAGGAGAATGGCTTGAAACCGGGAGGCGGAGGTTGCGGTGAGCCGAGATCGTGCCATTGCACTCCAGCCTGGGCAACAAGAGTGAAACTCCGTTTCGAAAAAAAAAAAAAAAAAAAAAAAGAATGGGCCTACTAAGTAGTCACCTGTCATTTGGAAACCCACAAAAATGGGAATTACTACGAGTTTTCAAATTCTTGATCTAGTGCACTGTAAAAGTTTTCATCACATTTTTTTGAGTGCGGTGTCTTTTCTTCTTTTCTTAATCATTTCTGATGTTTTTGCCCTGTATAGTGACAGGACTGTAATGGAATGGGATCATTTCTCTTGCGTGGGATTGTGGGAGTTAGTTCCATCAAGTGAAGGTTACACCACAGATGCCACGCAGCAACAGCTGTGTGGATGGAAAATTCCAGAGTCTTTTTTGTTGCAATATTTTCCATTTTTTATATGTGCAGGCAACTGTGTGCTTAACTGAACTCAGCTGTTTGAAAATTCACAGAGACTGTGAGATAATACCTGTCTTTTGTCATTTAAGCAAGTTTTAGTAATAGAAAAGCAGTGGTTGGTTTAAAAGAGTTTATGAAGTATGTGTTTCGTGAGCAATACTTGGTTCAACACCAAGAGAGGTTTAAAAATCGCAGTGTTGGCCGGGCGCGGTGGCTCATGCCTGTAATCCCAGCACTTTGGGAGGCCGAGGCGGGTGGATCACGAGGTCAGGAGATCGAGACCATCTTGGCTAACATGGTGAAACCCCGTCTCTACTAAAAATACAAAAAAAATTAGCCGGGCGTGGTGGCGGGCGCCTGTAGTTCCAGCCACTCGGGAGGCTGAGGCAGGAGAATGGCGTGAACCCAGGAGGCGGAGCTTGCAGTGAGCCGAGATCACTCCACTGCACTCCAGCCTGGGCGACAGAGTGAGACTCCGTCTCAAAAAAAAACAAAAAACAAAAAACGCAGTGTTTAAATTCTGATAGATAACACCTGTAATCCCGGCACTTTGGGAGTCCAAGGTGGGTGGATCACCTAAGGTGAGGAGTTCGAGACCAGCCTGGACATCATGGTGAAACCCCATCTCTACTTAAAAAAACAAAAAAACCAAAAAACAAAAAAAACAAAAATTAGCCAAGCGTGGTGGCTCATGCCTGAAGTCCCAGCTACTTGGGAGGCTGAGGCATGAGAATCTTTTGAACCTGGGAAGTGGAGGTTGCAGTGAGCTGAGATCATGCCACTGCACTCCAGTCTGGGCAACAGAGTGAGACTCTGTCCTAAAAAAAAAAAAAAAAAAAAAAAAAAAAAAAAAAAAATTCTGACAGATACAATAGAGCAAATGTGCATGAAATAATTTATGTTTTTTTAATAGAGAGAAAATGAAAGATGGTTATAGGACAGTTTCATGGTTCAAGGAAGTGGTGAGTTTTCAGCTGTACTCTGAGGATGGATAGAACATTCTTAAAAGAAAAACTACGAAGTAAAGTATGTGTTTATTGTAAGGGTATGCATTGCTAACTTTTTTTTTTTTGAGACAGAGTCTTGCTCTGTCACCCAGGCTAGAGTGCAGTGACGTGCTCATGGCTCACTGCAGTGTTGACCTCCTGGTCTCAAGCAATCCTTTCACCTCAGCTTTTCAAGTAGCTGGGACTACGGGTGTGCATCACCAGACCTGGCTAATTATTATTATTTTTTTTTTCATTTTTTGTAAAGATGGGGTTTTACTGTGTTGCCCAGGGTGGTCTTGAACTCCTGGCCTCAAACAATCCTCCCACTTCAACCTCCTAAAGTGCTGGGATTACAGGCGTGAGCCACTGGACCCTGCCCATTGCTAACTTTTGACAACAGAGCACACACACCTAACCAGCAGCCATATCAAGAAAATAACACTCCCAGCACCCTGGAACCTTCTGCCCCCATCCACTTCCCATCACCACCCACCACCTCTCTGAGCAGTGTGAATGCATGGTACCCATTTGTGTACTTTCTATACACGGAACCATGCTCTATTTAGCTGGTTTACCTCATCATCACGCTTGTGGGATATTTCACTCTTACGTGGAGGTGCAGGTCATTTGTTTCATTGCTCGTAGTATTTCCCTGTATACATATACCACATTAATCCATTCTATTGTTGTTGGGATTTGGGATGTTTCGTTTTAGGACACTTTGAAGAGTCTGTTGCTATGGGTATGCAAATGCATGTCTTAGGGTGATCATATATGCAAATTTCTGTGGGGTGTATGCCCCGGAATAGTAGACAGTCCCTAAGTAGTGGCAGCAGTTCACACTCCCACCAGCAGGGGGCGAGGTTCCAGTTGCTCCACAGAGAGCTTGATGGGCATAGTCAGGAAGCCACACAGAGAGCAGGAAAGAAAGTGCCAGCCTGGGTTTAGAGACCGAGCGTCCCCGAGCCCATGTTAGGGCCACCTTGGGGAGCCAAAAGAAATAAGGTGGCTGGGTCTCAGGAGGTGGGCAGGGCCGGGTGGGTGCTTCCTTGCAGCTTGCAGAGTTTGAACTCACCCCTAAGCAGTTTACAGCTTTGTAATTTACTTGGGTACTCCAAGGGCTTCGGAACCTATTTTCTTCCTTCCTTCCCTCCTTTCCCTCCCTTCCCTCCTTCCCTCCTTCCCTCCTTCCCTCCCTCCCTCCCTCCCTCCCTCCCTTCCTTCCTTCCCTCCTTCCCTCTTTCCTTCATTTCCTTCCCTCCCTCCCTCTCTCCCTCCCCTTCCCTTCCTTTCCTTCCTTCCCTTCTTTTCCTTCCCTTCCTTCCTTCCCTCCTTCCCTTCCTTCCTTCTCTCCCTCCTTCCCTTCTTCCCTCCCATCCATCACCCAGGCTGGAGTGCAGTGGCATGATCATAGCTCACTGCAGCCTCGACCTCTTGAGCTCAAGTGATCCTGCTGCTTCAGCCTCCCAAAGTATTGGGACCATAGGTACACTTCACTATGCCCAGCTCATTTTTTAATTTGTTTGTAGAGATGGGATCTTCCTATGTTGCTTAGGTGGTCTCAAACTCCTGGGCCCAAGCGATTGCCCTGCTTAAGCCTCCCAAAGAGTTGATATTACAGGTGTGAGCCACTGCACCCGGCCATGGAATCTGATTTGTATTCTAAGCAGCCTCTGCTTCCCATTGCAGCTCCATTTCACCCCAAAGGTGTATGTTGGTTCCCCAGTAATAGATCACACAGAACCTTCTTTCCTTGATGGGACTTGGGTTGAAGACCTTAGGTGTACTGTCTCCTCTCTTTCTTATCTCTCTTTTCAGATTAGGTGTTGATTTTAAGAAACTCCAGAAAATAGTAGACCCATAGGGTTCCCTCATTGTTTTGAAAAACAGCTTGAGATTTTGGGGTTTTGAGTACCTTTCTATCCATCTTTGGCAAAAGGAGTCGTAATTCCCAGCCTGTCTTCGATCTAAATTACTCCAACCGTTTTGAATGTGCCCAGAACGCTGTATGAAATGGTTCAGTCCAATACAATATATCTTCTAGCCACATGTGGCTATTTAAATTTAATTGAACTGAAATCAATTTAGTAATTAATAATTGATTAATAATTAAATTACTAATAAGATTCAGTTCTCAGTTAAGCTAGCCACATTTTAAGTGCTCAGTGACCACAAGTGGCTAGTGGCTACTCTGTTAGGCAGCAGAGAACATTTCCATCATCACAGAAATGTAGTGGGCAGCAGAGGATGAGATGGTGAAACGCCGAAGGAGGGTGGATTGTATGAAAAATGTACATGTGATGTGTCCTGTTTTAGTGGTTACTAGAAAAATGTTTGGTCCGTGATCAAAGCTGCATCACTGTAGTAACATTTCGTGTTCCTTGGGATTCTTATTTCAGTCATGTCTGATAGGCACTTCTGCATTTTGTTTCTCTCACACATTATTTTTTTCCTGGCTGTGAAATAAAAATCTGGGTGTTTAGGCATTTCCCACCAAGTGAAAAGCCATCACAACTTAGGACTGCATGTTGATTTACGGCTCATGTGAGCATAAGTAACTTGCCCAGAAAAATGCTGCCTTAACCCAGTGCTCACAACTCCTCTCTGCAGCTGGAGGTGGGCTGGGGTGAGATGAGGTCATCAGCAGGCCAGACCACTCCTGTCTGAGGGCCTGCTGCCGAAACTCTCCAGTGGGCCTGGAACAGGGAGCGGAAGAACACTTGGAGGATCGAACAAGACATTTTAGTTTAGGAAATTATTCTTATTTTTGCATGCCCTAGGGATTTTTGCATGTTACTGAAAAAACAGTCATACTTCTTGCCCTTCAAAGTATTTTCTGAATAAAACAAATGTCTTCTGGGAAGCTCAGATCAATCAAAGTCACAACTCCAAGATATTCCCTAGTTTCTTCTTAGATATAGAATTTATTCCCTTTTGTGTCAGCATAAAAATGAGAACAAAGCCCTGTGGTAGACTAGTTGTGTCATATGTATTTTGGCCATCATTCATTCATTCATCCAAAAATATACACCCAGTGCTTATTACTTACTGAGCAGTAAATTTGATCCTGGGGATGCTATGATGACCAAAACTGCTCTATCCCCTGTTCTCATGACCGTTATTATTCAGAAGGGGAGATTAGTGTTTCAAAAATGCAAGAAGTCCTATAATTAGGCACAGAATAAGGTGACATAATTGGCAAAAATTGAACTGACAGTTAGGGAAATGTAAGTTGAGATGGTCAAAATATTTTGATTTTACACAAGACGTCATGGAAAAGGTAGTGTTGTTAAATGAAAAAGCACAGGCTTTTGGGTTGAGACCTTTGGATTTAATTCCTGGCATATTTATTACCTATTGCCATGTGACAAGTCACTCCCTTGCAGTTTACAACAACTGTTTATTATCACATAGTTTCTAGGGATAGGAATTTGGGAGCAACTTACTTGGGTGGTTATGACTCAGGATCTCTCATGAGATTGCAGTTAAGACTTCAGCCCTGGCTGAAGTCAGCTAAAGCCTTAATTGGGGCTGGAGGATCTGCTTCCAAGATGGCTCACCCACATGGCTTTTGGTAGGAGGCATCAATTCTTCTTTGGCTTTTGATTGTCATTCTCATTCGCAGCAAGTGGACCTGTCCAATGGGCTGCTTGAGTGTCCTCACAACGTGGCGGCTAGCTTCCCTCAGAGTGAGTGATCAAAGAGAGAGCCAGATGGAAGACACAGTGCCTTCTATGACTTAGTCTTGGAAGTTTCATACCTTTATTTCACCCTTATTCTATTTGTTGGAAGCAAGTCACTAAATACAGCCCACACTCGAAGAAGAACAATTGGGCTCCATGTTTTGAAAGGAGAAGTATCAAAGATACTGGACATATTTAAAAACCATTTAAATATGGCTCATTTTCCTCTAGCTGTGGGATGATGAGCAAGTGTCTACATTCCCTGTGAGTTTTAGTTTTCTCATGTGACAAATAAGTTTAATAATACCATGGCTGGGCATGGTGGCTCACGCCTGTAATGCTAGCACTTTGGGAAGCTCAGGAGGGAGGATCCCTTGAGGCCGGGAGTTTGAGGCTGCAGTGAGCTATGATTGCACCACTGCACTCCAGCCTGGGTAACAGAGTGAGACCCTGTCTCTATAAAAAATTCAAAGTAAAAATAAATTTTATAAACAATGATACCCATGTCACAAAGCTGCTAAGAGAGGACTAAGTGAAATGCCGTAAGTGAAGAAAGATTTGTAAATTTTAAGGAGTTATATAGAGGTTAGTCATTTGGAAAAGCGTGGCCGAGCGTGGTGGCTCATGCCTGTAATCCCAGCACTTTGGGAGGCTGAGGTGGATGGATCTTTTGAGCCTGGGAGTTTGAGACCAGCATGGGCAACATGGCAAAACCCTGTCTGTACAAAAAAATACAAAAGTTATCTGGGCATGGTGGTGTGCATCTGTAGTCCTAGCTACTTGGGAGGCTGAGAGCCTGGAAGGTCAGGGCTGCAGTGAGCTGTATTGCACCACTGCACTCTTGCCTGCTTGACAGAGTGAGAGCCTGTCTCAAAAAAAAAAAAAAAAAAAAAGGCAAGAAACATGGATCCCCACACTTATAAACTCCCTATTTATGCAGTGCAAGACATTTGTTAAGCATTGAAGAGTTTCCAGGGTGATTCAGGCCTGATGTTGTGGGCTGTTGAAGACTTTCTCCATCTTTTCATTTTCATTCTCTTCTTTTTTTTTTTTTGGCGGAGTCTCGCTCTGTTGCCCAGGCTGGAGTGCAGTGGCACGATCTTGGCTCATTGCAACCTCTGCCTCCCCCATTCAAGCGATTCTCCTGCCTCAGCCTCCAGCGTAGCTGGGATCAGAGGCACACACCACAAGGTCCAGCTAATTTTTTTTTCTTTTCTTTTTTTTTTTAGAGATGGGATTTCACCATGTTGGCCAGGATGGTCTTGAACTCTTGACCTCAAGTGATCCATCTGTCCCAGCCTCCCAAAGTGCTGGGATTACAGGAGTGAGCCACTGCGCCCAGACTATTTTCATTCTCTTCTATTGGAACTTTAGGTTGATATGGATTGGAGTTCCTCAATATTTCTTTGATTAAACCAATTTGTAACTCTTTGTCTGTCTGTTTTGGGAAGATTTTTTGATTCAGCCTTCTAATCATGATTTCTTTTCTTGGCTGTGTTCAGCCAGCTTAAAGTAGATTCTGTCTATCATGTTTGAAATTTCAATGGCTCTTTTCATCCCTAAGATGTTTATTTTTTTCTATCCACATTTTTTTGTACTTTTCGGCATTAGTTTCAATTAATAGATGTTGTTGATCTCTACTCATTAGGGGCTTACCAATGAAAAGAGTTAAACCAACACAGATACACAGAAAAGAGATGAAAAAAAAAAAAAACAGCTGGTGACAAATGAAGAAATGAAGGAATGTTTTGTGCTAATGAAGAGCAACTAATGCTTTAACACTACACATTAACACTACGCATATTCCATGTGTTAGTGATTGTGGTGAAGGCTATCTTGTAGCTTCATTTCTTCTAGTTTCTTCCTTTGTGTCTTTAATGCGGGTGCCAGTGATGAGTAGTGAGGCCCTGAATCCCAGCTGGGATGAGTGTGCCAGTTGTTTCCTTTGGCATCCACTTTCTGTGTGTCTATGCTGCTCTAACTCTTTCAGTTTGTAAGCTCCTGATGTGCAGAGATCAGCAGCTTCTGTGATGAAGGCATTCATGTGTGTTTCTCCTTTACTGTTAGCTTTTGGCTTTTATCTGCTGATATCCCTAACTCTACCATCGTGGCTCTATTTTAACACGAGTGCTTACTTGCCTGTTTTCGGGCAGTTGCAAGTCTCTCTGACCATTGGCCATTTTTACCTTTCCTTTTTCCCCACAATTAGCCTAATTTCCCCTCTTTCTTCCTAAAGATCAGTGTCAAAAAAGATGAGAAAAGTGCCCAAGAAGCGACATACAATGGCAGCAGAAGCCCTCTAACGCAACTTGCTAGGCTCAGTCAAGCCATCTTTGGTGATCACGTACTCTGGTCTCCACAGTGGACTGCTTTGCCGCATGCTGTACATCCAAAGAAAATGGGGCATTGCTTTTTCTTTTCCGGAACTCACTATTAAGTGTTTCTGGAATCAGTGGACTGGCCCATGGCTGTCAGAATCATTTAGGCTGCTGCGGAGATGGCTATGGTGTTGGTGCTTTTGCCATAGACATCACCATTCGGTATTAATAGTGTCTCCTGGCTGGCTGCAGCGTGGCTCACGCCTGTAATCCCAGCACTTTGGGAGGCCGAGGTGGGCGGATCACGAGGTCAGGAGATGGAGACCATCCTGGCTAACAGGGTGAAAACCCGTCTCTACTAAAAATACAAAAAAACAATTAGCTGGGAGTGGTGGCGGGTGCTTGTGGTCCCAGCTACTCAGGAGGCTGAGGCAGGAGAATGGCGTGAACCCAGGAGGCAGAGCTTGCAGTGGGCAGAGATCGCGCCACTGTACTCCAGCCTGGGCGACAGAGCGAGACTCCGTTTCAACAACGAAAAAAAAAACTGTCTTTATTGCTAGACTTTTGACTCCGACAATGGACATAGATGCCTTTGTGCTTTTTTCTGTGCATCTTTGGCCAGAAATCAGGAGGTCTGGATCTAACATTAGCTTTGCACTGCCTGGCGGTGGCACAGGTTGTGCAGGCTCAACATCACCCTGGCTTGGCGTGGTTACTGGTTTATGTCTTGTGTGCTGAATGAGGGAACGGAAACACAAATGAAATAAAGACAGGATCTGGGGTAATTCAGTCGGCTTGTCCAAGCTTTAGGTTCACCGTTTAAAAACAAGGTAATTGCATTCATGCTCTTTAAAGATTCTTTCAGCTCTAACACTTTTTAATGATTCTAAATTAAATTATTCTTCATTGAACTGAATACCTCAAAGAAAAAAACACAAGTCGGTAATCTATCATAGTGCTGTATTATAGTTAGATAGTATCCAGTGATGATTTCTTGGTATTTTTTCCAAGGAGAGTGCATAAACTCAAGAAGATATTTTAATTAGTATTTCATCTTTATTATCATTGCTTTCCTAAGGTGCTTAACCTTGTCAAGCTGTTGCAGGGCTCACCTATTTTATGGTTAGCGGTATCAGTCTCACTCAGATACCATCATCACGTGGCATTTTGATAATTTGACAATTCCTCAGCCATCAACTGCCTTAACACTTTACATTCATTCAGATTCTTTTCTCTGTAGGGTGAGTTTTTAGAAAACTTCCTGGTAGTGAATTACTGAGTCCCTGTTACAAAAGGAACCACACTTATTATTTACCCTTTTATAACCTTGTGTGTGTGTGTGTGTGTGTGTGTCTGTGTCTGTGTTTCTAGCAAACAGCTTGCCATTAGCAAAGTCAAGTTGCTTTCCAATGTACCAATTGCTATGTTCTCCTTAATTACATATTAGTTATCAATTTCCCTAGATTAACTATGTTTTACAAGTATATTTTGATTTTGTGTTGGCCACTGTTGTGTTTCTCATCTTAAAACTGGCCAAGAACATATACAGGCCCGGCGTGGTGGCTCATGCCTATAATCCTAGCACATTGGGAGGCTGAGGTGGGCGGATGGCTTGAGCTCAGGAGCTAGAGACAAGCCTGGGTAATATGGTGAAACCCCGTCTCTACAGAAAATACAAAAATTAGCTGGGTGTGGTGCCATGTGCCTGTCCATTACATGCATACAGTCTCAGCTACTTGGAAGGCTGAGGTGGGAGATTCCTTGAGCTTGGGAGGTTGAGGCTGTAGTGAGCTGGAACTTCACTCCAACCTGGGCAACAGGGTGAGACCCTGTCTCAAAAAAAAAAAAATTAATTAAAAAAATAAACACACATGCAGCATACTACATAATGCTACAACATGGGACTAGAACAACAATTAAATCTTTCTTGATGCTGCTTGACTTGACACCAAACCACCAACCCTAGTCCTTGACTATAAACATTTCCTTAAAACGTACTCTGTTTTTGGAATTTCTTGAGGTAGTTGAATTAGAAGCACTTGGTTTTTCAATTATAGTCTTATAAGTCAGGAAAACCCCTTTCAGTGCATTGCTTTGTACATTGATAATACGAAGCAGCATCACCGGCATCTTTGAGAAGCTTCTGGAAGGTGTGAGGGACTTGTAGAAGGTATGCAACACCTGTACAGGGGACTCCCAGATTTCTTGGGAATTCCATTCTGTTCTGCACCGTGGGATAGATGATAAAATAGCTTGTTTTAAAGCCACTAAGTACAGATGCCCTTGGAGGCTGATTTTATGAATTCAAATGACCAGGGGCATAGAATAATGGTTAAGGGTGTAGGCTTTGGGATCAGACTTCCCAGGTTCAAACTCTTATCCTGCCTCATACTAGCTGGATGAACTGGCTGAAATTTCCTACTGTCTCTGAGCCTCAGTTTCCTTATTGTGAAAAAGAGGATAACAGTACTAATCCCAACATAGGATTACATGAGCAATCCTAGTTGGATAACTGAATGCTTAGAACCATTGTCTGGTCGTAGGAAATGCTCAACAGAAAAAATTTTTTAAAGGTACGCAAAAAAGCCACTTTGTGCCATGTTTCTTTTCCCTTGATGTAAATAATGAAAAATTAAATCCAGATACACAAGAAAGCAGGATAGTCACTTACTAAATTTTTTTCCTTATTTTTACAAGATGTTTTCTTGTGGGATTAGAGGGTAGACTTTTCAAAGAGGAGGTGGCACTGCGGTTGGAGAAACATCTGGCTGAAGGAGGGACAAATAGACATTTTATTTGGGTAATTACTCAGAATATAGAAGGCAGTTTTCTGTGCTTGAGAAATTCCCTGCTATGGTGAGAGAACCTTCTTAATTTTTGTTTTAAATTTTATTATGCATGACAGGCTGGATTCTCTTTAGGGGTCTTCTGGATATTGGGTTTGCTCATATAATTTCACACGAACTGAGTTATTCCACTTATCTGTGAGCAAATCTCATACATTTGATTTTATGAATATAATTTGGGATGTATTTGACTGAAAGAGACTTTGGCTAACACGGTAAGAATTTCATCTTGGTATAGGTGTAGCAAGATAGAAAACACATAGCAAATGCAGCAAGCCTGTTTTATAGGAATCTCATTGTATCAAGATAAATTGTTTCTTAAAAACAAAGGGCTTTGGAGAAGTTGAGGCTGCAATGAACTGTGATCGCAGCACTGCACTCTAGCCTGGGCACAGAGTGAGACCCTGTCTCAAAAAAAAAAAAAAATTAAATGAAGGGCTTGGCATATCCAATATAGTCTTGTTCACAATGTAGCATCTAATACAGCTAATATTCAGTCCATTACATGCATACAGTAAAACAAATAAACAAAAAAAACCCTTGAGGTTAATTTTATTTCAATGTACTTGATAGAATACTTACAATTTTATCTCAATATTTTCCCCAAACTCTATTAAGTTTTCTTTCCTTTCTTTCCTTTCCTTCCTTTCCTTCCTTTTCTTTCTTTCTTTCTTTCTTTCTTTCTTTCTTTCTTTCTTTCTTTCTTTCTTTCTTTCTTTCCTTCCTTCCTTCCTTCCTTCCTTCCTTCCTTCCTTCCTTCCTTCCTTCCTTCTTTCTTTTCTTTTCTTTTCTTTTTCTCTTCTCTTCTCTTCTCTTCTCTTTTCTTCTTTGACAGAGTCTCGCTCTTTCGCCCAGGCTGGAGTGCAGTGGCGCAATCTGAGCTAACTGCAACCCTCCACCTCCTGGGTTCACCAATTCTTCTGCCATAGCTTCCTGAGTATCTGGGATTACAGGCGTGCACCACCATGCCCAGCTAATTTTTGTATTTTTAGTAGAGACAGGGTTTTGCCATATTGGCCAGGCTCGTCTCGAACTCCTGGCCTTAAGTGATTCTCCTGCCTTGGCCTCCCAAAGAGCTGGGATTAAAGGCATGAGCCACTGTGCCTGGCCAAGCTTGCTTTTGTAAAAAAAAACTAAATCATGTTCTATACCGTCTCAATTTGATTTCTACTTTTTGTCAATTAGATGATATATCACGTAATTTCATAACTCACATGGGTTGTGGACAGTCATATCTAGACAGTTATGGAAAAATTTGGAGAGGCATTCAGACTATCTCCACGCCCTTTATCAGAATATAACTAGAAAAAGGAATGTTATAGGAGAAGATACATTGGCTCTAAGATGAAAAATATAATTAATATGCAAAATATTCACAGTCAATGTTTGGATCCTTTAAAGACCATGAATAAAAAATTATTTAATTTGATCCACTGAATAATCTGCTGGAAGGGCTGAGACCTTGGCGAAAATTTGTTCATAGTAGAGTTGAGTCTTTTTCTGGGTAATCTGTGTTTGGTGTATACATGTATGTGTGCATTCCAGTTACAATGGCTGTGTAACAAATCATCCCAAAATATAGTGGCTTAAGAGAAAACAAAGGCAGTCATTTCTTATCTCTCAGGGATTGTGAGGGTCAAGTATTTGGAAGTGACTTAGTGGGGTGGTTCTGGTTCTGAGTGTCTCAGGAGGTTGCAGTCAGCCATCAGCCCAGGCTGTGTTCATCTGAAGGCTTGACTGGGACTGGAGGATCTGCTTCCAAGTGCCTCCACAGTGGCTCCCTCTGTGACTGGCAGGCTGTTCTATTTATGTGGACCTCTCCTCCTGCTGCTCGAGTGTCCTCACAACATGGCAGCCAGCGTTTTCAGAGTGGGTGATCCAAAAGCCAAGGTGAAAGTGTTGATGCCTTTTAGGACTTAGCCTTGGAAATCAAACACTGTTGTTTCTACTGGATGTGTGAGACCAGTCCTGGTTGATGTGGGAGTGGACAACTCAAGGGCATGAATTCCAGTTGGTGAAGATCATTGAGGGCCACATTGGAGGCTGGCTACCCTCATGTGTAGGCGTCAGTCATATGCTGTTACCTACATTTGAGAACGTGCTTAGTAAATATACTGATTTCCCCACAATCTAGTGGGCAGGACATACATAAGCATATGGCACAAAAGAATTAAGGTTTTAAAAAAGTGAGTTCAGAAACCACCCATTCAGGAATCATGAATGTGATCAGCTTTTGAACAAAAGAGTGGTTTTAAAGCCATGTCCTTGTGTAATGGATAAAAGATTTAAAAACTTTGTAGATGCAATCATACTTAGGCTTTGAATTACGCTCCTCCCCTTCGCTTGGCTACAAGTCATGTATACTCGAGCACCTAACAACTAACTATAATGGTAATTCAAGTAAACAGGTCACATTTACCTAAATGTATTGGATACAGAGCACATTTGTATGTGCTATGGTTTGATAGTGAACACATTCACATGTAAGAAAATCTGGGATATTCAGGATTTGCAAGCTAGTTAAAAAATTCTGGTGTGTCAGATTTTATAAAATCTCTCTACCCTTGGCAGCCTCTGAAGACGAGTGCAGATATTTGTAAATATGGCAGAGAAAACTCACCTGCCCACTTCAGAGCGTTAAGAGATGCACCTCATACATCCTTATGAGAATCAGCTTCAGAGTTCTGGGGGTGGCTCTACGACTGAAACATTGCCTGATGTCTCATTAAATACACTCTTGGAGCAAGAACTGTGTGTTCCTTGTATAGCAGAACACAGGAACAGGCTGGAGAAAGAGACTATTAGAGAAACATATGAATCTAGGGAAAGCAGTGTTTGGATTCAGCAACCCGTAGTCTCTGACTGGAGTTGTTCATAGTTGTTTCATCTAACGAAATTGCAACAACTGTGCTATCCCTTTGGCTGAAGAAAACCAAGTCCAAATACATCTTTGCAGGCCTTCTCTTTCTTTGTTTGTTTTGCATGGCTTTTCTTCTTTGCTGAAACTGGGTTTCCTGACCAGCCAGCTTTGAAACATTGAATGGTAGGTTTGCTTTCTACTTCTAAGGTTTTGTGAAAAACAACTTAAAAAAAAAAAAACAAATAAATAAACCAGCCAACTTTAACCCTATTATAAGAAACTACAAAGAGATAGGGGGCTGTGATAAAGTTGGGATCATTCTTTAAAAAATTTAATAATAATTTATCTTTCAGGTATCCAAAATATGATGTGCAAGTAAGATACTATATTTTTTAAATTAGATTTTTTGGATGGATTCTTGCACAGGCTCCATTTGCCAGAGGCTTATTTTTGTCTGGGCTCTTTCTTTTTTGAAACTGTTGGAGAGAACGATTTTCTCAGGACATTTTCTTTCTCAGATTCTTGGCTCAAGCTGTAACCAGACAGGCTGCAACTTTTTTTTTTTTTTTTTAGTATCTTTTTCGTCTTGTTTCTCATCTTTTATTTCTCAAAATACATGTGCTTTTTATAGATATGGGAGCAATTTTCAGATCAGGCTCTGAAAATAGTTTGAATTAGAATATATTAGGGGAAAATCATAATTTACCCACAGAAGCACATTGTGTTTTATTTTATTAAAAGCAGTACTTGGAGGCTTCGGAGGCTGCAGACTGGAAAAAATGAGGGGGAAAATCTTCTCTCAGCTATTACTGAAGCCATAGTTTTTGTTTATAGGAATCATTTTTAATGTTAGACGGACACATTAATTAAAAATACATTTGACCACAACTAGTTTCTATTTTGCTTTTCTTTGTTTATATTTCTCCTCGAACGTCTTCCTGAGGGCTGAAGAAGTCCAGAGAGGCATATTTACAAGGATATCTTTTTTCCAACTGTGGAATTAACTCCCTAAGATCTCAAAGTACCTTGCTCCTGGGTCCTTTTCCCCTGTCCTCCCTCAGTGACCCCGTCTGAGTTCACGTACCTTGTCCTACCTTTGATTACCGTGGCCCAGACTCTTCCTGTCCAATTTGGTCTCCATATTGCACGGGATTCTTACTTTTAATGTGGGACTACTCTGATCACATGCCGTCTACCCAAAAGTTTGTGAACACTTTTCATGCCATTCTTTGAAATCCAAACTCCTGTAGCTTGGCATTGATGATTCTTCAAAATCCTGCCACCGTAAAACATGCAAATACTGTACCACTGAGCAATTGCCCCCTTGGGTATTTGTTGCAGAGAAATTAGGTTCACATAAATTTCGTTAGTTCCTAAGACCTGCATCGAATATTCATAGCAGCTTTATTCATAATGGTCCCAAACTACAAACAGCTCCTAGTGTTCCTTGACAGATGGGTGGTAAAGAAACTGTGGTACGTCTGTGCTGTGGAGCACTACTCAGCAATGAAAGGAACAAACCATTGATGTGTGCAGTAACTTGACAGATCTCCAGGGAGCCGTGCTGAGTGAGTGAAGCCCGTCAGTCATTAGCTGAGAACTGCTCCACGTTAGAATAATTCCCCCCCGCCCCCCTTTACAGCTTGCTGCCCTCAAGAGTGGAGTGGAATCTGGTTACCACAGAAAGTCCCCAAGCCAAGAGTTGTCGGTGTCGGCAGTTGGAAGACAGGCTGACAGACATGGATGTACATGCCAGCTGGATCTGGGTGTATACAGACAGGGCTCACTTCCTGAGAGGGAGTTGGGGAGATCTCCTAGGAAATAGAACAAAAACACCAAGAAGCAATGGATGACAAAAGAGAAAATTACAGGACCACTCCAGCAGGTCCAGTAGCTGAACATAGCAGTTCGAGGAAGAGAAAACAAAAAAGAAAACTGAAAAACAGAGGGAATAAAGAATAAATCATTTCAAAAGTGTCCGAGAATACAATTTCTGGTTCTGATAGAAGCATGGTGGCAGCTTAATTCTGCATTGCCTTCTCCCAGGAACCATACAGAGCTCCAAGGAGAATGGCAACCTCCAAGCCACATTGTCAGTGACTCTAGGAAACAGAGACCACTTGTAAACTCTACATTAAAAGCACAGCTACCAGGCCGGGCTCAGTGGCTCATGCCTGTAATCCCAGCAGTTTGGGAGGCTGAGGCAAGTGGATCACTTGAAGCCAAGAGTTGAGACCAGCCTGGCCAACATGGCAAAACCCCTGTCTCCACTAAAAATACAAAAAAATTAGCTGGGTGTGGTAGTGGGTGCCTGTAATCCCAGCTACTCAGGAGGCCGAGGCATGAGAATCGCTTGAACCCAGGAGGCAGAGGTTGCAGTGAGCTGAGATTGTACCACTGCACTCCAGCACTCCAGCCTGGGCAACAGAGCGAGACTGTCTAAAAAAAAAAAAAACACAGCTACCAAAATCAGAATAAGGAGGACTCCAAGCATGGTGACTCATGCCTGTAATCCCAGAACTTTGGGACTCTAAGGTGGGAGGACTCCTTGAGCCAGCAGTTTGAGAACAGCCTGGGCAACATAATGAGACCTCATCTCTACAAAAAAAAAAAAAAAGAAAAAAAAATTAACTGAGCATGGTGGCACATGCCTGTAGTCTCAGCTACTCGAGAGGCTGAGGCAAGAAGATTGCTTAAACCCTGCAGGTCGAGGTTACAGTGAGCCATGATCACACCACTGCACTCCAGCCTGGGCGACAGAGTGAGACTTTGTCTAAAAAAAAAAAAAAAAAAAAAAAAAGAAAAAAATAAGTAGGAAGTTGCAGCAGCTTGATATAATAATAGTATGAACACAGTCTTATAAGGGGAGTCATCTACACAGATGATATTTGAAGTCATTGGAATAAGGACTTTATCAAAAAGAGGAGAAAGAGCTTAAATCAGTGGTGTTTACATGTGCTCATGGATCACTAGGGTATCTTGTTGCAGAGCAAATTCTGATCCTGAAGGTCCAGGGCCACCATGAGCTAGTATTCTGTAAAATATCTTTTTTTTTTTTTTTGGAGACTGGGTCTTGCTCTGTTGCCCAGGCTGGAGTGGAGTGGCATGATCATAGCTCGCTGCAACTTCCACCTCCTGGGCTCAAGTGATCCTCCCACCTCAGCCTCCTGAGTAGCTGGGACCACGGGTGTGGGCCACCAGGCTGGGTAATTTTTTTAGATTTGTAGGATGAGGTCTCCCTGTGTTACCCAGGCTGGTCTTGAACTGCTGCGCTCAAGCTATTCTCCTACCTTAGCCTCTCAAAGTGTTGGGATTACAGGCATGAGCCACTATGCCTGGCCTGTAAAATATCTTAATACATTATTTTAACTTGATTCTGGGGAAATCCAAGACAGTGAGTCCTTGAGTGACATGGATTACGACAGTGAATACGTTGCATATGGTTTAATAACAGTTAAGACATCAACATATACAAAGTTTTAGGAAAAATATCCACTTATACATATTAGAGTGGCTTCTGAAGTGATTCGTTGGTTCCTAAACCTGCAAACTTGATCATTGGGCAAATTGCTGCCCATGGTATGAGAAACCCACTCTAAAGCTGAACTTCAGGAAATTGCCCCGAGCCCTGCCTCTGCCCTTCTGCTTTGGATCCTCAACGTCTCCTCTAATTTGGCTTCTAGCATCACCAGGGATATCTGTTGTCTTCTGTTCTACTTCATCTTCTTAGTCATTCTATACTTACCTATCTCTGATTTGTCACCTACTTATGTCACAAGAGATCAACTCACTGCAAAATTCTGAGACAATTTGTGTGTAAAGTTCTAACTTTAATAGAGAGGCACTTTCTGTCATGTTTATAGAACCTTTTCCACCTGCATGTCTTTTGTGCTAGCTACTTTTGTTCCTAATTGCTCCTGCACAGGTCTTTGCAATGCTATAACTTCTGGAATCTCAGGAACATAATCACCATAAGCAGGAGAAGCCATGACAGAATTTTTGTTTTCTTGCTGTATTCTGAGTACTTGGAAGAGTATCTGCTACATAATTGTTGTCTTACTGAGATTCACTTCCCCTTGGGAACCCAAGTGCTAATTGCTGCAGTCTTCAGAAGGATGATTGAAAGTAACTCATAAGGCAGTTGTGGGAGGCATTTTTTGTGATTCTGCATTTTAGGCTTCAGGCTGCAAGCTCCTGGGAAGACGTTCCTCCATTATTCAAAAGACTTTTCCTACATATTGTTTTCTGTCTCTGTGAATAAATACCCTCTTTCAAGACAACCACATGTCTACTCAGAGCCAGCCTAACATTTGGGGAGGACTTTATTTAAAACATTTTAAATATGGGTTTCTCTCAGCAAAACTGATACTAAAGAATCAGTGACCTTTCCAAAGTCACTTACTTGGCCGTGGAGTGGCAGAAACAGGACTCACACCAGACTTTCTGACTGTAAGCTCGATGTTCTTCCCAGGAAGATGTTAAAGGACTGTTTTTCTTAGGAGACAAGGAAAGGAAAGAGGAAATGCACAGCTTTGACAATCCACAAGTCTAAAGCTGCGAAAAACATGTTCCAAGCACCACATTCTATAGATAGGGGAAACTGAGGCCCAAAGATTCTCCTAACAAGTCACAACATAATAATGAGAAAAAAGTGTCTAAGGCTGGGCACGGTGGCCTCCCACTTTGGGAGGCTGAGGTAGGTGGATCGCTTAAGTCCAGGAGTTTGAGACCAGCCTGGGCAACATGGCAAAACCCCATCTCTACAAAAATTACAAAAATTAGTCGAGCATGATGGCACATGCCTGTAGTCTCAGCTACTCAGGAGGCTGAGATAAGAGGATCACTTGAACCTGGGAGGCGGAGGTTGCAGTGAGCCGAGATTGTGCCACTGCACTCCAGCCTGGGTGATGGAGTGAGACCCTGTCTCAACAACAACAACAACAACAACAACAACAACAACAACAAGAACAAAAGTGTCTAGAACTCACTGTCTAATAGAAATGTAATGCCAGTCACAGATCCAAGCCATATTTGTAATTCTAAATTTTCTAGCAGCCCCATTATGAAAAATAAGCAGATGAAATTAATTTTAATAATATATGTGGCCAACCTAATACATCAAAAATATTATGATTTCAACCTATAATTAATATATCAATTATTAATGGCGTGTTTATGTTCTTTTTTCATATGGGATCTTGGAAATCTTGTGTGTATTTTACACTTATGGGGCATCTCCATACATACTAGCCACGTTTCTGGTGCGGAACAGCTAGCTGTGCCCGGTGACTGCCCTCTCAGAAGGCCCGGCTCCAGGACAGCCCTTCGGTCCTGACTCCAGTTCCCATCTTGGCAACTCCACACTGCCTTCCAGACCTGCATGTCGGAATGTGTAAAATAGGAACAAGAAAGAGCTGGTGCTTATTTTGAATTACTGTAGGTAAAAGAAGGCAGAGTAGCAAGCAGCTGTGGTATATATTTTGTTCATGGAAGATGGTTTAAATGATAACTCCTGTCCAAGTAATGCAAATCAGTAATAAAAACTAGGTTATAAATTTTGCAGTAGAACATAATATTTAAAATGTTTGTGTTCTGGAGATAAAGGTGACTAATACACTTTTGACATAATGCTTCCAGGATTTCTGAGTTTTATTCTTTGAGTTATTTTCCACTATGGTTACTTTCATTAAAACTCACCCCGCCAACCTCCAAAGAGCAGCACATGGGCTATTAAAATGTCAAAGTAGAAGAACTCTCCCCTCCCTTTATTTAAATAAATATGGTCAGTTTTTCAAAAAATATGATCAGCAGAACTAGTTTTGTGAGTTGTTGTTAACAGAGCCTACTAGGAAAAAGAGCTTATGTGTCCAAATAAGTCTGGGCAATACTGGGCTAATCATATCAATCATGCTAGGGTTAGGCTTATAGCCTTGACCAAGCAGGAATTACAGTTGACCCTTGAACAACTCAGGGGTTAGGGGCCTGAGCCCCTTACAACTGAAAATCCACGGATAACTTTTTATTCCCCCCAAACTTAACTACTAATAGTCTACTGTTGACCAGAAGCCTTACCAATAACAGTCGATTAATGAGGTCTGGGCGTAGTGGCTCACGCCTGTAATCCCAGCACTTTTGGGAGGCCGAGGCGGGTGGATTACTTGAGCTTAGGAGTTCGAGACTAGCCTGGGCAACATGGTGAAACCCACATCTCTACAAAAAATACAAAAATTCGCCAGGCCTGGTGGTGAGTGCCTGTAGCCTCAGCTACTCAGGAGGCTGAGGTGGGAGGATCACTTGAGCCTGGGAGGCAGAGGTTGCAGTGAGCTGAGGTTGTGCCACTGCACTCCAGACTGGGCAATAGAACCAGACCCTGTCTCAAAAACAAACAGACAGAAAAGTAAACTAAAGAATATTTTGCATGTTTTACAAATTATACACTGTAGTCTTACAATACAGTAAACCAGAGAAAAGAAATTGTCATGAAGAAAATCCTAAGGAAGAGAAAATATACTTTGTATTCACGAAGTGGATGTGGATCATCCCGAAGGTCTTCACCCTCGTCATCTTCTTGTTGAGTGGGCTGAAGAGGAGGAGGAAGAGGAGGCGCTGGTCTTGTCTCAGGGGTGACAGAGGCTGAAGAAAAATTACGTATAAGTGGACTAGTGCAATTCAGACCTGTGTTGTTCAAGGGTCGCTGTAATTTCTTCTTCTCATAATGAAAATGACCCAGATAAACACAGTCCAGGCAGGGCTGGTGCTGTGACCCAATGTTCTCACCAGCATCCCACGCTCTGTCTCCTTCCCACTCTTGTCCCCGGCTTGTATCCTTAATCATCATGCTTAGTACTTTGTTTCTGCAAGCTTCCCCAAAGTGTGTGTTCTAAAGAAGAAAGGAGGTAGGAAGGAAGAAATGAAAGAAGGAAGGAAGGGAGGGAGGGAGGAGGGAAGGAAGGAAGGAAGAAAGGAAGCAAGGAAAGAAAGAGGAAAGAAGGGAAGCGAGAGGTCTCTATCAGGAAAGCAAATTCTTTCCCAGAAATGTCTGAAAGACCTCTACTTATGTCTTATCAGCTCGAACTATATTGTATAGCTATCTGCAGCTTTGAGAGATTCTGGGAAGATCATATTTTAATAGAGGATTGTATAATGGGAAACAGAATTATCCTTCTCTTTTATAAGACCAGAAAAGAGCATGGAATCTGGGGTGCTGAATATCCGCCACATGAAGTGAAAGGTTTCTTAGCAACGTTTATTGAAGATTTTACTTTGTGTCTAATGGGGGGACATGTTGTCATTTGTTCCATCGATTCCTCATTTTTCTTTTTTCTTTTCTTTTCTTTCTTTTTCTTTTTTCTTTTCTTTTCTTTTTTTTTTTTGAGACAGGATCTTGCTCTGTCATCCAGGCTGGAGTGCAGTGGGTGATCTCAGCTCACTGCAGCCTCCACCTCCTGGGCTCAGGTGATCCCCCCATCTCAGCTCCCTGAGTAGCCGGGACCACAGGCTCACGCCACCATGCCCAGCTAATTTTTTGTAGAGATGGGATTTCTCCATGTTGCCCAGGCTGGTCTTGAACTCCTGGGCTCAAACAATCCTCCCTGCTCAGACTCCCCTGTAGCTGGGACTACAGGAGTGCACCACAACATCTGGCTAATTTTTATTTTTTAATGTTTTGTAGAGATGAGGGATCACTATGTTGCCCAGGGTGATCTTTCACTCCAGGTCTCAAGTGATCCTCCCACCTTGGCCTCCCAAAGCACTGGAATTGCAGGTGTGAGCCACTGTGCCTGGCCCTGTGAGAATTTAAAATAAGGTATAATACTATTTAAAAATCTAATCGATATAAAAATGGAATTGACTTTAAAGCATTGAGAATCCCAGCTCTAGGGAAAATCAGGGAAGCAGACATTTCCTTGCTGAATTCATCTGAGACCCTGTGTGGGTGCAATATGCTGCTGTTTTTTGGGCAGCCGTGGAGGCTGCTGGAATTGAGTATCGAGACTCTTTCATCCTGTTGTGTATTAATACTTGTGAGGGTGAGATTTCTTTCTTTTATGCTTGCGAAGATATTAGATCCCTGCCCAAGAGCCAAAATGGAGCTGCGCATGGATTAGGTGAGAAATGGTGTGTTTTCATCTGCAGGCAGTGAAGGATCTGCAGGTGCGTCTGTGTGGGTGAAGCGGGTGAGTGATGATGCAGCTGGGTCTGGAGCCTGTGTCCAGCCCGGTGTAGGGGGGCCTGGGGCAGATCACTCATCATCATGAATCTGTTTGCTCCTTTGTGAGGTGGGGGGTAGATAGTTCTTTCGGGGGTTCGATGAGATAATTGACTGGTGCTTCCTCCTTTCCGTTCTCTTTTTGTCGTGATTATGATACACAGTTAAATGGCATTAGGCTTCAAGCATAAATGTGCTTATAAGGGACAGATCAAACAGCATACCCGGCACGGCAAATAGGGACTGTCCCTTCTGAGTCTGATGATATTGAAGTGATACTTGAGGAATCCAATCACAAGTAAACTGGTATATGAACTTGACATGAATAAAACAAAAATGGGTTAATACTCCAATATTACTCTGAATTTCTACCTTGGACAATTACCACAAAGTATTTCATTGTTGTATTTAACTGATTATGGTTATATATATGGTTATATAAGAAATTGTTTTGGGGGAAGACAGGGCTTAAGTGAAATACAATCTTTCCTGTCATCCCTGACATGAAAAGGTATAGAAACGATTTGGAAACTGCAGTGCTTGCACATGCTGACCTCCTTTTTTTCTTTCTACTGATGGCAGTATGGCAATTTAACTTGACCCTCTAATGAACATCCCTCCTGTTCATCTTATCGGCTTTTGAAGATGTGGAACAAAAGCTGGCATTAAAATTGACTGGAAACTTCACAGAATCAGGACTTGATGGATATAACTACGTTGTTCATTTGGATTAAAACCATATCCATTAACAAACAAAAAAACTTTCCATTTTCAACTTTTGACTCTGAAGTTTAGGTTTCATTTGCAAGCTGATTTTTTCTGATTACGTAAAATTGCCTGATAGAGATCAGGAGGAGAGACGCTTCGGAAGCCCCAGCTTAGCTCCGTCCGAAGGCGCCCTGCCTCGCGGCTAATCTCCCTCCGTTTGGATGCTGCAGATCCGGGCTGTGTTTTAATAGGGATGTTAGAAACATTTGCCAAGCACCCAGACAGCCCGGAGACCTCTGGTAGCTTTGTGGTGTCATTTCACTGAAAGCACAGTGGTGGTTTTTTGAATACATTTACATAAGAGTGAAGACTCAGAGGGAGAGGAGAAAGGCAATTTGTTGTGAGGATTTTCATCCTGAAAGCCTTTAATGAATTGTTCTTTGCTCCCCGCATCCAGCGACCAAAGTGCCGCCGGCTGTTTGGTCTGCCGGCGGGAATGCGGTGTATAGGGTGGGTTCTCCTCTCCCCTTCCCACTGCCGCCCACACCTGGGCCCCACCTGGCACCTGCCTACCTGCTAGGAAGACCTAGTTCCTAATTTGCAGAGCAGACAGGTGACTGAGGGAGAGAGGTCACTGTTTACTGTTCTCTGAGCTGGTCTCATTTTATCAGATTGATTTCTCATGTTCTGCTTTCTACATAGTTTTCTTGCCTTGGTTCAGGGAGAACAGGGCTGGTCCACTTTGCCAAGGAGTAAGCCCCGGAATACATTAGGTTTGGGTTGACGTGCTCAGTTATGATCTGCCTGTTAGCGGAAGATCAATACGAGAAAGGCGGTGGCCATTACCTTTCTTTGACTTGGTCTCCTGTTATGGAAAGCTTCGTGGTGCTTGGTAGGAGTTGGAGGTGGCTAGGTCGGCCCCAGGGCAAGCCATCATTGTGATAAGAGAGAGAACCCATAGGGTTCCACCCAGAACCCCAAGGTTGACAGTTCCTGTGCTCTGAGAAGGAAGGGCCCGATGTAGCACACAGCAGAGACTGGAATACTGGAGGTGTGAGTTCAAAGCCTCGAGTCTTTAGAATGTTGTTGCCCTGGCCTACAATTTTAAACAATGAACCTCTTTGAGGAAAGGCCTTAAAATGTCCCTACTTTATTCAGTCTCTCAGTTGAAAAACAGAGCTCACCATATTAATATGTGTGGGTGTATATGCATGTGCATGTGTGTATATGGGCATGTGTGTCTGTATGCATACGTGTATGCACACATACCCATATGCACACATAGGTGTGCATGTGTGTACAGACATGATACTGCCTACATATGCACGTGTGTACGCAATTGCATGCATGGCGTTTACATGTTTGTGTCTGCATTTGTGTGTTTCTGTGTATATACGCACATGCGTGTTTGCATGCACACATGCATGTGCGTGCGTGTGTACTGTGTGCATGTTTGTGTGCACATATAGGTATACACATCTGTTTGTGGGCCTCTGTCTGGGTATCGTGTATAACCTGTAACTTTGGTGGTGGTTTGTTTTCCCACCCTGCAATCAGAAGTGATTTCGAGGCCCCAAATATGAGACTGCAGCTTCGCTGTATTAATGGGTCGGGAGGAGCGTACTGATTACGGAATAGAGAAGTTATTTAAACATAACTCCTCAGCAATCTGGACCGGTGGGATGAAACCGGAGAGCCGCAGCCCTGCCGGGGGCCGGCGCCTCCCACTCTAGACGGTGGGGAGGGGGCGCCGGTTGCCTGGAGACGAGTGTTAAGGGCTCAGGTAACAAAAGAAGTTCCAGGGCTCGGTGAAGGGCAGCAGCTGCCCCGGTTGAGGCGGCTTCCGAGGCTTGTGTGTATTCATTTGGTACTCTGCTTTCAGTTAGCTGTTTACACTGCACGCGCAGCATCATATTGGTGCATTGTGCAATTAAAACGCCACGACCCCAAGCCACCACAGACAGTCTATACTCAACTAAACAAAGGCACACCTGATGTTTTGAGAGATTTCTTTTCCCTTTGCTTCCTTTTCTTTTCATTTCCCGTTTCCTTTCAGGTTCTTCTCTCTCTCCTCTTTCCCTCCTCCCTCCCTTCTTTGAAAAAATTCTAGAGGTTATAAAATCAATTTTCTTCTTTGACAACCCTCACAATAATTAGATGAGAACTGGGCACAGTATTTACCTTGATATATAACCATGCTTTTCCTATAGACATAATATTTCCTCCTTAAGTTTTCTTATATTTATTGCCATATTTCCCCCCGATTTTTTACTAAGTCGCCTTGTTTTTTTGGAGACAGGGTCTCACCTTGTCACCCAGTCTGGAGTGCAGTGGTGCCATCATGGCTCAACGCAGCCTTGACCTCCTGGGCTCAAGGGATCCTCCCATGTCAGTCTCCCAAGTAGCTAGGACCACAACTGCATGCCATCACACCAGCTAATTTTTTAATTTTTTATTTGTAGAGAGGGGGCTCTCACTATCTTGCCCAGGTTGATCTCAAACTCCTGGCCTCAATCTATCCTCCCGCCTCAGCCTCCTAAAGTACTGGGATTACAAATGCGAGCCACCGTGATCGGCCCAAGTCATCTTCTTAAACGTAACAGCACAACATACTCTTACTTCCGCTTAGTACCATCTAGGGCCAAGGAGACGCTAAACCACTTAACACTTGTAGGGGCTGCACATGAATGCTATAAGGAATTACGACCCACTGGTGTTGATTTACCAGAGTCGGTTATATTACAGCTTTCACATCCGAGGCGGGTAAAAATAAGAATAAAAATCACTGCATTTCTGGGCTGTCTCACATACCGGGCAGTCTGACTGCTTTGCTCTACTTGCCCCAATTCATTCTGTGCCCCCTTCTGACGTCCTTACTAAGACCCCAGGACATTCAGAGACTTCCTTCAGACCACACACTTGCGGGAAGCTGTGATTCTAACCTGGGAAGTGTGGCTTCTCTCCAAATAGAAAATGTGTGCAATCAGACAGGTGTTAAAGAAAACATGTCGCGACAAAACAATGTGTGCCAATCAAGTGGCAGCTTCTGCGAATGAGCTTGCAATGAGTTTTTCACATCCTCCCCACAGCTTATTTAATTAAACTCCAGGTTAGCGGTTCTGGAAAAGTGCTGCTCTCTGTGGCCACATCTGCCTCACTGGGGAGCTTATTAGAAATGCACATTCTTGGGCCCGACCTAGACCTGCTGAATCAGGAACTCCTGGGTGGGTGGCCCTTTCCAACGACACTTCTAGGCTGGGCATGGTGGCTTACGCCTGTAATTGCAGCACTTTGGGAGGCTGAAGCAGGCGGATCACTTGAACCCAGGGGTTCGAGACCAGACCAGGCAACGTAGTGAGACCCTGTCTCTACAAAAAATACAAAAATTAGCCGGGCTTGGTGGTGTGCTCCTGTAGTCCCAGCTACTCGGGAAGCTGAGGCGGGTGGATTGCTCAAGCCCAGGAGATTGAGGTTGCAGTGAGCCAAGATTGTGCCACCGCACTCCAGCCTGGTTGTCAGAGTGAGACCCTGTCTAAAAAAGAAAAAAAGAAAAAGAAAAAAAATACTTCCAAGGGATCCTGATATACTTGCTGCTAAAGTATGGGACCCATTGCTCCAAGGAAAACTCTACACTCTCTGCAGATTCTGGGGTCGTGTCCTTTTCTCTCACAAGATCCACTCAACCCAGGACCAAGGGAATTGAACGGGGCGGAAAATGCAAGTTAAACTCCAACGACTCATGGGAGAGCAGGGCATAGGCAAGAGAGTGTTCAGATTGCCTGCCCGCTTTGGTAAAGACTTGCAGTTAGACTAGGATTATTCCTGATCAGAACATTTCTTCTGAAAAAGTTGAAGCTTAGACAATTCTATAGGAAGGATGCGGATTTTAAAATTTTACGACAAACTCCAGACTTTTCCTGCATTTCAGGTGGTGTTTCACCTCCCCGGTACTGCGAGCTCCTTGCCCCTGGAGGCCCAAATAATGAGAATTGGATGTTAAAGCACAAGGCCGGGAGACAGGGCTTCCGCGTTCCCTCTCTCCACGCAGGATCTGCTCGTTGGCTTTCCTTCCAGAGTCAGGGAAGGGCCCCTGAGCATCAGCTTTGAAATGGCCCAAAGCAGTGAGGGGGATCATGGGGCTTCTCCTAATAGGCTCTCCCACAGTCTAGTGGATTTCATTATCAGAAAGTAATTTCATTTGTAAAGCATCTTGAAGATCAGGATACAATGTGAGAACACTGTTTCAGTTGCCACTGTCTCCCAGCTGAGGCTTAAGAAAACAAAAGAAACAATTTCATGTGATTATATTAGCAAATACATCTTCTATAATATAAGCCCAGTCTTCAGGCCTTTTGAATTGCATTATCTCCTCTTACTTACTTGCAGAAAGAATTTTGCTGTACAAAGCGGGAGAAATTATTTCACACTTGCTTTGATCAGAAATGTGTTGAGGTGGTTAAACGTTCAGTGTATTCAAATGTGGTGAGCTTTGCTAAAAGAAGGGAAGGACGATCAAATTGTTAGCATAAATCAGGAAGCCTGAGTGCTGTCTTGAATATTTTCAGATGGATTTAAAAGGGTAGTTTAAATTTAAGGTCAAGGAATCTGGGAATCTGAAGTGAGCCCATTGTTCACTATTTTGGTAATACTCTAACATCCCATCTCACGTGTGCGACATCTGACATGTAGATTATATAGAGCCAAAATAAGGTCGCCATGGCTACCATCTGTGCCACTGATTTACTGTTATGAGTTGGATTAGGGTCTTGGCTCAATTATGAAATGTTTGGTTTTTGTTTTAGCTGAAGACAATTTGGTAGTTTGCATTGCTTCCAGTTTCTGCATTTGGACGCGAATAGTGCTCTGTCTTTTCTCCCATGAAAGGTAACCATTGTGTAATAGAATTCACAACTTTACAAAATAGGAATTGGCTCATAACTTAGCTAAGGGTTATCCATCGCTTTATAATAAAAATATTTTTTTGAAATACCTTGAAGCTTTGAGGATTTTGTTTAATGATTACATAACTAGTCGGCCATTAGTGTATGGCATGATGGAAACTTGTGGAGGTAAACAATTACTTCTTGGTAGTCCAAATGGAAGCTGTGTCTGGGAGAGCAAAAATGACCTAAAATTCAGGAAAAATGTGTGGCTTCCTTCAATAGTAGCCACTTACAAATGACAATAAAAGTTGCCAGAGGCATAATTATGTAATCAGTGTGATGTGGGAAGCTGAGTTGCCAGTAGGCTCAGGAAGGTGTGTTGGCCTGAGCACAGCAAGGTGGGCCCGTAGAAGTGAGCCCAGGTAGTGTGGCCAACCTGGAGGGGTCTTCGGGAGGCTGTATTTCAAGACAGGTTCACTGTGGGTTAAAACCAGTGGGAAATATATATTTATATAAAATAAATGACAGAACTCTACACAGGTGTAAAAAGGTGTTAATGGCTATTATTAATTGCAGGATTTTCTGTGTAATTCTGTTAGCTACAGAGGAGAGTAAAGGAGTCACATCGTTGAATTTAGGAATTAAAGTACTTGATGAAGTACTTGATGAAGACCGAAGAAGAAAGATTAAGTAGATATTTTGTTTCAGGCAGAGAAAAGGACCCATAGGTCAGAAAATATCAGATGAAATCAGCGGATCTGTATAAGGACTGTGGGGATAGTAAATAGATTCATGGCATTTTATCCTGGGGTAGAGAAAGTGCTGGGAAAATGAGCTCATGGGATGGAATTATTTTGGGCTTTGAATTCAGACTTGAGTAAATCTTGGCTTTGACTTTGTTATGGCCGCCCTAAGGAACAGATGCAGGATGAGTATAAACTAGTGAAATGATAAATCACCAGCGGAGGAAGTAGTTTTGAATCCCAACTGCTATAGCCGGGAGTGGCGGTGTTTATAAATGGGACATAGAAAATAGAGGGAAGCCTATTAAAGCCTATAGGGAAGCCCTTTAAAGAAATGATGGGAAAGCTTCCACGTCATGCACAAACCTAAATATTTCTTCTTCTGCTTAAGACTTTTGAAGTTTAGCAAAATCTCCCTGGTTCAGACATCAAAAACAAAAGGGGCATCCCAGGTCAGTAGATGCTGTATTTATGGAGGTTTCCATGCTGTATGAATTGATGCAGTAGGAACAGCAAGAGCAAGGGAGGTCCAGGAAGAGTTGCTCACCTGTTGTTCGGTTTAAGCAGAGACAATGAAAAGATTGGACGTCAAATAGACTGTACCCTGAGAAGTCCAAACAGTGGATTTGATCAGTTTTTAACAGCAGAAAGCAATCAGGCTTAGACCTGGGGTTGACAAACTCTTACTTTTTTTTCTTAAATTAAATTAAAAAAATTTTTTTTGAGTCAGGGTCTCACTCTGTCACCCAGGCTGGAGTGCAGTGGCATAAACACAGCTCACTGCAACCTTGAACTCCTAGGCTCAAGCGATCCTCCCGCCTCAGCCTGTGGAGTAGCTGGAACTACAGACGAACACTACCAAGCCTGGCTGATTTTTAAATTTTTTGTAAAGACAGGGTCTTGCTATGTTGCCCAGGCTGGTCTTGAACTCTGGCCTCAAGCAATCCTTCCACCTCAGCCTTCCAAAGTGTTGGGATTACAGGTGTGAGCCACTGCACCCGGCCTTGTGCAATCATTTGAACATGCCAGAACCATTCTCGTCTTGCAGGCCGTGCAAGAACAGCAGGTAGGTGGGATGTGACCTCAGGCTGTGGTTTGCTGTCCACTGGCTTGGAATTGTAGCAAAGCTAGAACAACCAGGACATGGAAAGACAATGTGGGTCGAATTGCCACCAAGACAGGGAAACTTGAACTAACGTTTGCTCTTATATGTTAGTTATTGATGGGTTTGATGGCCAACACTACAACTATAACATAATCTCTAATTCATTGCATATCCTCTCTAGTGTGGATTTAGCCAGTTTTTTAGGTGCATTCCCCCAACCTTATTATTACTGTTATTATCATGTTGTTGTTGTTCTTTATGATTTAAGTTTGGGTGAAGAGAGCAGTGGTAGTTCTAAAGACTTTCCTGGAATCGGGTAAACCATTTCTAAAAAGCTCTTTCCCCTATAACAGTTTTCTGCCTGATTTCCTTGTCTTTGTGGTCACTCCTTGGTGCCTTGTGACAGAAGCTGCCTCATTACCCAACACACTTGTGTCCTTCTCCTCTTGGGCTCACGGCTACACCACACTTCCCAGTTTCTCTGACACTTCTGTGTAGCCATATGCCTAGGCTCTGTCCAGTGGGATGTGGCTGAATTGACCTATGCTGGCTGCAGGCCCAGCCCCAAACAGCCTCCTGAGCAATGCTCCATGCTGGCTCTTTCCCTCTTGGTATGCCTGGAAGGCGAATCCTTTATAATCCCAGAATGTGGCAGGTCCAAAAGTCAGAAGCAGGAAAGGTGCCCAGGAGCACCATCAGAGCAGGAACTTGCCCATTGGAATGTTACGTGAACAAGAAATATAGACGCTCCCTGACTTTCCATGTAGTCGCATCTTGATCAACCCATCATAAGTTGAAAATATCATTATGCCAAAAATATGTAGCTGAGTGGGAGCTGTGGCTCATTGCTGCTGCCCAGCATTGAGAGAGAAGCATGATTTCTACTGAATATATATTGCTTTCACACCATAATAAAGTTGAACATTTGTAAGTCAAGCCATTGTAAGTCAGGACTGTCTGTAAGCACTCACTGTGCTGAACCACTGAGGCTGTTTGTTCCAGCAGTTATCCTGCCCTGGCAAATACAGGTTTGGCTTGTGAAAATAAGATATACTTAACAAAATGGTGCTGGGAAGGAGCTGACTCCCATTCCTCATGCTCACCCGTAGTGTGTCTGGCATCCCAAATCACTCACCTCACTCAAGACCTCTGGCTGGTCCTTGCTGCTCACCTCCTAGAACTTCCTCTAGCCTGGCACCCCAGGGGGCCTGTGTCCCAGTGCTTATCTGCTAGTTGGCCCTCTCTATGCTACACCTGCGTTCTGTCTTGCAGAGTCATTTACGGGGCTCGGATGAATTATTCATCCACTTTCCTCATATTGTTAAAAACTTTCGAGAGAGTGAGTAACAGCACAGGAAATAATACATTTAAAGGGCACAGAAGTGGGTGGTGGGGGCCTGGTTCCGTGAGCCGAAGGGAAAGCTGGGGGTGGGTGAGGAAATGTGAGTCATTTCAAGAGCGAAGAGTGACTGGTGGTCACTGTGTCCCTTGGGGACAGCCCCACATTGTCTGTGGCATCTAGAGGACAGGTAGGCTGCCATGGGTGAGGCATTAATTTGGGAGTTATGTACATTTTATGGTTTGGTGATTTTTAATGGCTATTGTATATGCTAGTAAAGACATATTCATGGTCATTATACATTAATATACATATTATATAATACACATTGTACAAGTGCAGAATATAATTTTATATAAAAATATAAATATTACATATTACACAAAATATATAATTATGTTTGATAATTATGTATTATGTATACTTACCTCCAACAACTATTTAATTGTGTATTATACAATATTGGATATAATGTAATTATATAATAAATAAAATCTGATTTTACAATTCTATAATTTTATAGTATACGCACATATATAGACACACATATATGGTTCCTGGCATCTATTCTATCAAGGCAGAAGCTGAGTTTTGTTGTTTTTTCCCCCAAGATGTAGTACTCTTGTTTTTCCAGATGCCAATTGATTTGCTTTCTGAAATAAAGAACTCAAGATTATGGGTAATCTTCTCAAGCGTCAAATTGGGTGATTGCAGAGAGCCTTCTCATTTGGTCTCTCTAGTCACCTGATACTCAGCGTGAAGCGTCCTACAGTCTCCATAGAGAGTCTCCAAAAGCAGCCCCAAGGGCCTGGCTATGTCTGAATGCAGTTAGCACATTGCATTCTCTCACATGTGTGGGTGTGCACATGCATGCAGTAATGACTGAGAGCCATGTGTCCATAAATACAGAGCCCGTTGTGAGAAGGGGCAAGTATGGTCGGTTCCTTGAGTGGAAATTCTCACAAGGCAATGCACACACCTAATTGCAATGCATGTATATTTCTAGCATTTTTTTCTTTTTCTTTCTTTTTCTTTTATTTTGAGACAAGGTCTCTGTTGCCCAAGCTGGAGTGCAGTAGCGTGATCACAGCTCACTGCAGCCTGGACCTCCAAGGCTCATGTGATTCTCCCACTTCAACCTCTTGAGTAGCTGGGACTACAGGCGTGCGCCACCACGCCCAACTAATATATATATATTATATATAATATATATATATATAATGTGTACATATATATACATACATATATATGTGTATATATATATATTTTTTTGTAGAGACAAGGTCTCGCTATGTTGCCCAGGCTGATCTTGAATTCCTGATCTCGAGCAGTCCTCCTGCCTGGGCCTCCCAAAGCACCAGGATTATAGGTTTGAGCCACTGTGCCTGGCCTGTTTCTAACATTTTTTAGCATGCTTTGAATTTCTCACCAAACTTGCCCTTCCTATTTCCTTTCTCATCTTAGGGATGGGAATCTCCCTCCTTCTTGTAGCTTGGGCCCATCTTGGAGTCCTTCTTGAGTCTGTTTTTCTCTCCAGCCCACTCCAATCTATGGGGATCGGCAATACCTCTAGTACACACATCTGAGCCACCACATCTTTCCTCTGCAGCCACCCGGAACCCTGCTTTTTTGCCTATCGCCAGTCATTAGAGGTGATTCTTTGTGGGTGATAAAAGTTGGAAAGAGTCTGGGCATGGTGGCTCACGCCTATAATCCCAACACTTTGGGAGGCCAGGGCGGGTGGATCATCTGAGGTCAGGAGTTCAAGACCAGCCTGGTCAACATGGTGAAACCCCATCTCTACAAAAATACAAAGATTAGCCAGGCATGATGGCGGGTGCCTATAATTCCAGCTACTTGAGAGGCTGAGGAGGGAGAATTGCTTGATCCCGAGAGGCAGAGGTTGCAGTGAGCCGAGATCACGCCATTGTACTCCAGCCTGGGTGACAGGGCAAGACTCCGTCTCGAAAAAGAAATTAAAAAAAAAACAATTGGAAAGAGATAAGGAGATTGGTAATGTCTGAGCATTGTGAAAAACAGATGTCCTGACATAGAACCAATTGGATTTTTTACCAGTTGAGGGAGGATGGAGGAAGAGGAAGGACTTACTTTCCAGGATGAAGGCAAAGTCTTGGTTGGTAAAAACTGGGTTAGAAGGTTCTGATGGGTTTCTAAGTAATGCAGCAGGGCTTGATGGTCTTGATCATTGTAGGTGTCTGGTGGGGCAGGCGTGGGAGGAGGATAGAACAGTCTTAGGGGCCTTGGAGGGGAGGTGGGGAGCTTTGGGCAGCCATGTTTGTGGAACATGCATTTTAGAGACCCTGTAGAGGCATTTTGTTGAAGGCAAAATCATACAACTTCAGGGAGAGGGGCCGGTTGACTGTTTCTCTAGCTATAATGAGGATCCCCTGGGAATCTTGTCAAAACGCAGACTGTGATTCAGTAGTTCTAGGGTGGATGGAGACCCTCCATTTCTAAGAAGCTCTGGGGTGATGCCAAGGCTGGTGGTCCATGGACCATGCTTTAAGAAGCCTGGGGCTATACTGATGTCTCAATTTCTTTACCTGGAAAAATGTCAGATTCCTTGCATTAATCCACATATAATGGCCCAGCTATGTGTCTTAATCTCTGCTTACTTTATTTGATTTTGGGTAGATAAACTGCAACTGTTTTTGCCTTTCAGTTGCCAGCTCCATAGGGTAGAGGTTTTTTTTGGTTTGTTTGTTTCTTAGAACCACTTATTCTCAGAATCCACCAAGAGGCATTTAAAAAAGTGTCATGAATATAAGACTTTAGAGGTATCTTAAATGGATTCTTCCAAAAAAACAAAGCAAAAAAAAAAACCCTAAATCCTTTGGAACAAAGACTTCACAGATTACTTAGCAAAATGTATTTCATACATTTTCAGTCATGCACATAAAATAAAATTAACCATTTTCAAGTGAACAATGAAGTGGCACTTCATATGTTCAGTGTTGTGAAACCACTGCCTCTGTCTAGTTCCTCAACAATTTCATCATCCCCAAAGAAAACCCCGTGCCTGTTAAGCAGTTCCTCTCCATTCTCTCCTTCCCTCAATCCCTGGCAACCAGAAACCTGCTTTCTGCATCTGTGGATTTCGCTATTTTGAATATTTCATGTAAATGGAATCATATCATATTCATCCTTTTGTGACTGGCTTCTTTCACTTAACATGTTACTTCCAGGCTCATCCATGTTGCAGCGTGTATCAGCACTGCATTCATTTTTATGGCTGAATAGTATCCCATTATAGGGATGAACCACGATTTGTGAATTCATTCATCCTCTGATGGACACTTGAGTTTCTTCCACCTTTTGGCTATTATGAATAATGCTGCTATGAACATTCATGTAAATTATGCATTTTTGTTTGTTTTGTTTAGGGAGTGATTCTGAAAGATACAAATTGATTTTGAAGTTAGTGATTTGAGAAGATTGCCACTCTCATATTTAAATTCAAAAATGAAAAAAATTACTTTCTAAAGCACACTTCAAGATATTCTAAATTGTTTCAAGTGATGAATGGTCTCTTGTTACCTGCACTCTTCAACTGTTTACTCAGGAATCCTGGGGCTTCCTGACACAAAAGGGGCTGTGCGTACAGCTGTGTGTAGTGTCACAAGAGATGAATTGCGATTTCTTCACAGAATTCTTTTCAGCACGCCCAAGACTTCAGAGACACTTGCTTCTGTGCCCCACAGTGGAGCTGTCTACTTGCCTGCTAAGGGCACAATTCGAAAACTCCTCCTGTACCCTATTAAGCTGCTGCAACTCAGAATCACACGGAAGGTCCAGCATACTGAAATAGAATATAAATATACATCTATCACGTCTGGATGCAGAGGGGCTTCCATGCGTTTCCGGGAGTTAGGTAGAAAGGGAAACCTAGTATGTGTGTGTGCGTGCATGTGTGTGCGTGCACGCGCACACACACACACACACACACTCATGCATATGTTGCCCTCATGTTGTCTTTCTGAACAGCAAGGCTTATGTGCTCTAAGATTTCATCAGAGCTTATATAGGCGGAAGTCTGAAAAGGTGACCACGCTGGTTGCCGATCACTCCAGACTGAGGGCTGTAATTAAGATTTACCCTTGTGCAGCTGCAGAATGTATGTTTCCATCTGCCCGAAAATTGGTCCCACATGGCCAGGCCTTTGGGGACTAGACTGGCAGAGGACTGAATGTTCCTCAGCTGTGGTTATGCTGGATAATGCTGGCGAGTGGATACCAAAATCCTGTCCAGGATGAGATGAGAGTGGCTCAAAATGGCTTGCCAAGCAAATGGTGCAGGAACTGACCTTGGGGAAATGCAATGTAGATTCCAGTCAAGCCAGAGAGCCAGGGGACTTTAGCTTAAGCATACAGGGGCTGAGCTTGGACACTGAGCTCCCACACTGGAAGTTGGCGCGTATGCATTGCCTGCACATTTTCCTCGGTTTCAGGCCCTTAGGATGGTGAGCCATCTGGGGCACCGGAGATGCCAACTCTCCTCACAGCACAGAAGCCATAAGATGAGGCCTGTGCATCTGGAGTACAAGTCTCGTCTGGATACTTGTGCATCCAGATGGAAGCTTCTGCATGTCTCTATTCTAGAGAAACGGGGAAGCCATTTGAAGTTAAATGCACTTGGGAGGAAGTATTCCTGACTTTACAGCCTGAGTTTACCACACTTCTCTACTGGAAAGCATTCAAGTCAGGATTTACAGGTACAATTAAAAAAAAAATCAAGGGTAGTTTGAGTTCTTGTTGATGCCAGCTAGGGTTTGTTTTGTGTATGGGAAGGAAGGGCACATAGCTGCCTCTTGTAATTCAAGGTTGTCTGCCTAAAGATAACCTCTTCCTTGGTCAGCCACGGTCCTTGCCCTTCAGAAGACATCTCCAGCTCTTGCACTCTGAGTGTTCGTAGCTATCTTTTGCATTGCTGCAGGGCATTGCTTTACCTTGTCACACCACCAGACACCATTGGCTCCTTGATATAGTTGTGAAAGTGTCACTATTAGCATTTTTGTATTTGTTTGGTGGGTCAAACAAATATGTGGACATTTTTTTCTAGAAGTCCATTTGTGAGCTGTAGTTTTGCTCCCCTAAGTTTATTGAAGTGAATTCCACCAAGCGCATTAATACTGAAGCCCAGATACCTATAGAATAAGGGGTTTCAGAGGCTGGGATGGGGAGAAGAAAACACATGAGCCCCTCAGGGACTTGCAGGTCTTAGCCATTCCCTGAAAATGCCAGAGAGAAGGTACCACCCTGGGCTGCACAGGGGGACATGGAGACACGGAGGTCACATGCAGGCTGGGCCCACTGCCCACTGTACTTCCCCTGGCTGTGACTTTGAGGCCACGGGACACGGAGGGATGAAACCAACCAGAGGGTGGGATGGACCCCTTGCTGTCTGTAAGGGAGGGATGTGATCTAAGAGTGTGAGGGCAGAGACGGCTCCAAATATTAAAATTACCTGACACTTTGTAAAACTACAGGGGTGAGAGGTTCAACTGTAGAAAGCCCAAATGGAATTCCTCACAGGGCTCCATGTTCAGTACTTACAGCTGAAGGTGAGACGAGAGACCACTGCCCAAACTCAAGTAATTATACCCAAATGGTAAACTTGATCCGAAATGAACAAGCACATACACACGTGTGTGTAGATACACATGTATATATGCATATATCCATATCTATATGTATACATGTAATCTTCTTCATATTTGAATCTAATAGACACTGTAACTAATTTTCCAATACATTATACTAGAGCAAAATGCTTGACACCTCCCTTTCCCATTCTTGTAAATAATTTACTGAAAATATTGTACTTATAGTTTTTCTTGACTATATTCCAAAAAAGTATTAATTCACTCGGCCTGGTTTATTTAGTAATAATTACATGTCGGAAATGAAAATAGGAGTTCAAAGTAAGTTTGTAATTGGAAAGCTTTGCTTTGCTTTAGCGGCAGATTTCAGCCTGGACATTTAATAGTGTTTATCACAATGTTTTTTCTTTCCTGCTATCGACCTTGACTAGCTAGCTCTGCTGGACATGGAGAAATGGAGCTGCCTTCTCAGATGTGCACTTTAATTTACTCAGCAGTTCTTGAAGCATATAGGGGCGGGAGAAGATGTTTCAACACTGTTGAAAGCTTTGGGTTTCTACTTTCAGTTTCAGCTGAAGTTGGAGACATTTTAGATAAACGAAAGATGCAAAGACACATCATGTAGTCCCTGTCTTCAAGGAACTCTTAATCAAGTTAAGCCATTTAAACAGAATTATAGGAAAAAGATAACTAAGGATTGCAGACAGTGAATTAGGGGAGTAGCCCTTAGGCACTCGAAAATAGTTTGGCCCAGGGAAGGGGATACTCCAGGCTGGATGGTTCAGGAAGAGAGCTGCAATTTGAGACATCTTGGCTTTTACCAAATAGGGAAGAATAGACAAGCCAGTGCAGGCAGAGAGAAACAGAAAAAGCTTGGGATCATTGCCTTCCTCATCCAGCATTTCAGAGGGGTGATACTTACAAATTTTGAAAACTGGCTAATTACTCTTGTGTATCGGAGGAATTGTAGATGAATTCTGCCATCTTTTCACATTCTTCCTCCAACTACTCTGGTTGTTGCTAAGCGAGCTTGTGTTTTCATGAGAGTATACAGTCCAGAACACAGTTATCCTGAAAATGCAGTTTCGAGTCCATAGTCATTGTGAGCAGTGTGGTTTCTTCCCATCTGGATGTCAGGTGCCCACTTACTAATCTGCTGATTTGTTCTGCTGAATCCTCAAAGCACAGACTATGAACTAAGGAAAATAAATCCCAAACCTTTTCCTTGGAAAGCCTGGGATTTTCAGTGAGCTGGATAACTCTACTGGGCTCTGCCCAACAACCCCCATCTCTTGACTCATTCCATCAGCCAGTAGTGCTTGCTCGAGGTCTTGCTATATGCTGGGTTGTATGGGGTTATGGAGACATGGCAGGAGGGAGGCTACGATGTTGTGGTCAGGACGGCAGATGGTAGGAGGCTGACATAACATGGGCAGAGGAATTGAAATGCTTCCTTGGGGGAAAGGAAAGCAGAAAACAGAAAAAGGAGAGGAGAATCATAACCAGGTGGCTTAGAAAGGTCTCTGCAGAGGACAGAACCTTGGAAGTTACTTTGAAGGATTTTATTTTTATTTTATTTATTTATTTTTTTATTTATTTTGTTTGAAACAGAGTCTCACTCCGTCACCCAGGCTGGAGTGCAGTGGTGCAATCTCAGCTCACTGCAGCCTCCGCCTGCCAGGTTCAAGTGATTCTCCTGCCTCAGCCTCTTGAGTGGCTGGGACTACAGGTGTGCACCACCACGCCGAGCTAATTTTTGTATTTTTAGTAGAGACAGGGTCTCACCATGTTGCCCAGGCTGGTCACAAACTCCTGACCTCAAGTGATCTGCCCACCTCGGCCTCCCAAAGTGCTGGGCTTACAGGCTTGAGCCACTGGGCCTGGCGGGACTTTGAAGGATTTTAATAGGTAAAGAAAAAAAGTCAAAAATGTCAAGGCCAGGGAGCAGTTTGAACACAGGCTCAGGGCCGTGGAAAGGCAAGGTACATTTGAGGTAAAGCAAGCAAAGAGCATAGTATGGCTGGAGGGGACGTGGGGTGGCAGGGCCCAGCAAGCGCCACCTGTAAGACAGCTGTGTGAGGCTGAGGCCAAATCCCAGTGGGGAGGCATGGAAAGCCTGGTAGCGTCTGATGTGATCTACTTTTGCAGATGTAAATTAGTTGAGAGCTTTTATAGACTGGCTCACTGGGGAGGAAAAAGCATTTTTTTTTTTTTTTTCCCCGAAGTGGATTTCTAAACACTACAAGAAGGAGAGGCTGCCAGTGGAAAGATCCTGGGGTACTTTGCAAATGCATTCAATGGCGAATGATGATGTATGTGAATTTTGGTCATCATCAATGGATCTGTTCCTTGAGGAGAGTCATCCTTTGACTTCTTCCAACATGAACTTACTGCAGCTTAGAGCATAATCTATTTTTGAGTCTTAGAATACACAGAATAGAGGCATATAGTGATTATATGTGTGCAATTGCATTACCCTGAAAAAGATAGGTTGAAATCTTAACCCCCAGGACCTTAGAATGTGACTTTATTTGGAAATAGTGTCTTTCCAGAGGTAATCAAGTTAAAATGAGGTCATTAGGGTGGGCTCTAGTCCAATATGACTGGTGTCCCTCTAAAAAGGGGAAATTTGGACACAGAGACAGACAGACACAGAGGGAAGACGAAGTGGACACACAGGGGGAAGATGTCTACAAGCCAAAGATAGCCTGAGGCTGCCAGAAGCAAGAAGAGAGGCCCGGGACAGATTCTCCCACCCAACCCTCAATAGAAACCAACCCTTGCCAGGTGTGGTGGCACCAGCCCGGAGTCCCAGCTGCTCCCGAAGCTGAGGTGGGGAGATTGCTTGAGCCCAGGAGTTGGAGTCTGCAGTGAGCTACGATGGCACCACTGCACTCCAGCCTGGTTGGTAGAGTGAGACCCTGTCTCAAACAAACAAACAAAACAAAAACAAACAAACAAAATGACAAACAAAAATCAATCCTATTGTATCATAAAAAGGACAAAAAGGAACCAATCCTGCTTGACACCTAGATTTCAGACTTTTGGCCTCCAGAATGGTGGGAGAATAACAATTCTGGCTTTTAAAGCCACCCAGTTTGTGATACTTTGTTACAGCAGCCCCAGAAAATGAATATAGTGTCTAAGGGATTTGTGTACATATTTTAACAGGAATAGTGTGATGACGTTGTTGGTAAGTTTCAAGAGTGTGATTCTTTTGTAAGATAATTCAGGATTCTTCTTGATTTGTAATGATTTTCAAGTCATTATCTATTTGTGTACAGCTCCGCATTAGCTCTTGAATATAATATTTCTACATGTTATTTTGTTTGAAATTTCTCCTGGATTTTTCTTCTAGAATTAGTTTTTCTTTGCTTTAAAGTTTATAGCCAGGCAAGGAGAGGAAAAAGCAGGAGACATCTGGAAAAAATTGACCAGGCAGGAAGATTCCTTAATTCTACTATTTTTGGGGGGGGGAGGCGGGGGGTCTTGCTCCATCAGGCTGGAGTGCAGTGGCATGATCATAGCTCACTGTAGCCTTGCATTCCTGGGCTCAAGTGATCCTCCTGTCTCAGCCTCCTGAATAGCTGGGACTATATACCTATAGACATGCCACCACGCATGGCTAGTTTTATTTTTGTAGAGACGGGATGTCGCTGTGTTGCCTAGGCTGGTCTTGAGCACCCAGGCTCAAGTGATCTTCCTACCTCATCCTCCCAAAGTGTTGGGGTTACAGGTGTGAGCCATTTTGCCACGCCCTTAATTCTATGTTTTAAAAATTATATTCTTGGTATTCTTTAGGAATGCGTCAAACTCTTCTAGATTTACAAATACATATATATAACGCCACCGTCATCAGCACAGCATCATGCTCTGTAGTGAAAGATGGAAAAATCTACATTTTTCTTCCCTAAATTGCAATGAGTTCATTTTAAGAAAAGTCAGAATTGAGGAAGGCCACAATCCATTTGGGGTGTCCTTTTCCTTTTAACTACAATTCTAAAGTATACCAAGCTTTTGTCACTAATTATTTTTCTGAAAAAAAGAGAGCACTGTTAAATGAAAAGCAGAGGAAAAATAAAGGCAAATGAAGATGTTCTAAGGCACTAAAGTTTTTGTTGGCTTGTTTTTGCTGTTTATTTTTGTTGGTTGGTTATTTTGGGCCCCTTGGAATGGCAGGTTCTGCAGGTTGGAAAGGATCGTGTATGTTAGTTTTTTGCTCAAGGCGGGACTGTCTATAGTGTGCGGAGAGGCCGTCCATTTTTACACTGCGGCTGCATGGCCAGCTTGCTGCTGGTCTTCAACTGCTTGAGTTCCTACTTGTGAAGATGGAACTCTGTGCATAGAGGTGGGACTACTGCCACCGCCCCGTCCTCCGCCACTCCACCTGTGCCTGGTGGTGGGAGGTGCTTTGTCTATTCCTCCCGTAGCTGGCAGACAGAACTTTCTGCATGTGTCCTGCATGAATGCAAACAAGGCATCCATCTCTGCCTCGTTTTCTCAGTTACAGGTAGTGAGCCCTGTGCTTTCGGGTGTGTGTTTGAAATTGCATCCTCTACATCTGCCTTATTATAAAACAGCTCGCTGCCTCTAGACAAAACATCATCTGCATGAGATTTGCTCTCCAGTATCTGCTTTGTGGAAAGAGGCAGCAAATGAAGCGATGGATGTTTCAAATCTATCATGGAAAAAAAATACAGCACGGCTGAACCATGGTATCCAGCAAACTCATGTATTAAATGCATCTCGTTATGATAACCCGTGTTAAGGAGCAAGCATTTCTATTTTGAACTCTCATTTCAGAGGCGGGGTGAGCCATATAAATTTTCATAGCAGTGATTTGTTTATTTTATCATTTCCCTTGCTGACCCTTCTCTCTCTCCAGCTCTCTATGAGACAGGTGGTTTGGCTTATTACCGGCTTATTTGAACTGGAGCAATTTAAATATTTCTTTCTCTCTGTCTCTCTCTCTCTCTGACGGAGCCTCACTCTGTCGCCCAGGCTGGAGTGCAGTGTCACGATCTTGGCTCACTGTGACCTCTGCCCTGTGGGTTCAAGCGATTCTCCTGCCTCAGCCTCCCAAGTAGCTGGGATTACAGGCGCCTGCCACCACGGTAATTTTTGTATTTTTAGTAGAGAAGGGGTTTCACCATATTGGTCAGGCTGGTTTTGAACTCCTGACCTCGTAATCCACCCGCCTTGGCTTCCCAAAGTGCTGGGATTACAGGCATGAGCCGCTGCGCGCCTGGCAAATACAGTATTTTTCAAAACACAATTTGTTGTAAATCCAGAGTTTCATTTGGCAAGCACCTTTGGTATAGAAATTGTACTAAGATTCCAAACGCTGAAGTTTGGAAAGGAGGGTCTATCCATAGGCTGTAAAGATTGTATCTTCCATCTTTCCAGACTCTGAATCCAACTTTCTGTGAGGCTGATTATTACGTTGGCACCAATCTCTGATGCAGACATTGCCCTAGGCAAAGGTGGAGAGTAGGGGGTTCCTCTACACTCATCTGACACCCCCCCAAAGAAACTGTACTAATGCTTCAATTAGTACATCATGCATACACACTCCAAGTCCTGCCATCAAACTTCCCTTGTGGCAGCAACAGTTTTCCTTCAAATCTTTCCGCCTGCTGTCTCACTAGGAGTTGCTATTTAACTGTTTCACATAAGGGTTAAATTAGCAGAACTTTGTGTAAAAAGTGTGTCCTCCTCCTTCGTCTTCTTCTTCCTTTTTCCCCCTTCTTCCTCCTAACTTCTTCCTCCTTTCTACTTCCTCCTGTCTTCCTTTTTTCTTCTTCCTACTTCCTTCTTCCTTTTCCCTGATTCCTCCTGCATTCTTCCTACTTCCTCTTCCTCCATTTTCTTTCCTACTTCCCTCTCCCTCCTTCCTCCTTTCTACTGCCTTCTTCCTCCTTCATTCTTCCTTTTTCCTCCTTACTTCCTTCTTCCTCCTCCCTCCTTCCTACTTCCTTCTTCTTTTTTCTTCCTTCCATCTTCCTTCTTCCTACTTCCTTCTTCCTCCTCCATCTTTCCTTCTTCCTCCTTCCTTCTCCCTCCTTCCTGCTTCCTTCTTCCTCCTTCCGCTTTTATTTTTCTTCATCCTCTTTCCTCCTTCCTTCTTCCTCCTTCCTTCTTCCTCTTTCCTGTTTCTTCTTCCTTCCTCTTTCTTTCTACCTCCCTTTTCCTTCTTCCTCCTTCCTTTTTCCTTCTTCCTCCTTCCTTCTTCCTGCTTCCTTCTTCCTCCTTCCTGCCTTCTTCTTCCTCCTTCCTCCTTCCTGCCTTCTTCTTCCTCCTTCCTCCTTCCTGCTTCCTCCTTCCTCCCTTCTTCCTCCTTCTTCCTTTTCTTCATCCTTCCTCTTCCTCCCTGTAGAATAAAGGTTTAGATCAGTGTCAGTGAAGATTTTTGGTTAAGAACCAGATAATTCATAGTTTTATGTTTGTGGGCCACCCTTTCTCTGTTGAAATGTCTCAATTCTGCCATTACAGCAAAAGTAAGCATAGACAAATTAATGCCTCTAACTGTGTTTCAACAAATCTTTGTTTACAAGAATAGGCAGTGGCCAGATTTGGCCTGCAGGCTTGTAGCATGCTGTCCCCTGGCTTAATCAGTGCATCCCAATTACTTTGGGAACAGTGTTTTATGACATCCTACATCAGGGGTTGGGGAAGGGGGATTCTGCTTTTCGAATAAGTGCCCAGCAAGTGCTGATGGTGCTTGTTCATAGACCATACTTTGAGTAGCAAGTGTTCAGATAGCATGTGCTTTTTATAAATAGACTTGGCAATTGCACCGAACAAGGGGAGAGTGGTTGATGATTCTGATGAGCTGCAAAATTTTACGGAATTCCAGAGAGAACCTGAAAAGTGGTATCTAAACTCAGAAGAAGACCGTGTGAATGATGCTCTATTTAAAAATGTCTTCTAACCAAACCAAACATGGGAAGCTTGGATAGTCTTGCAGTGATTTCATTCTTTCTCCTCAGGTTTCCTGGAACCCATTTACTCTTGAAACCATTCAGGAAGAATGCAGGAAATTAAAAGGGAGCCTCATTTTCAGTGTGACCTTGGATCTATTGCTTGACCTTCCAACACCTGGGGCAATGCAAATGAGTATCAAATTGTGTCAAAACAGGGTCTTACTGGAAAACAGATGTTGTGTCAGAATTTTCCTGCATGTTGGGGAGCTGAATTTCCAAAGGTAGCTCAAAGTCAACCTATTAAGAATGCTGAATTTTCCAAATACCAGAGCTTGAATGCAAAGGACTAATTACTCTCAGATTTGCGAAAAACGCAACAGCAACAAAAAAAAAAACCAAAAAAAAACTCTTATGTACAGAATGAGAACAAGACTAAGAACAACCACAAAAACTCCAATGAATGTATTAACTATCTTTAAAAGAATAAAACAAACTTTTCCTGAAGGCTTCCTTTAAATATGTGAAATGATGATTGCAGTGACGACGTTCGATGCTGCACACGTCATGGTATAATAGGGATCAGCTCCTTGGAATCATCGCCACCTCTCCCGCCTCCTCTTCCCCTCTCCCTCCATCTCTGCCCAGTCATGGTAATTCTTTCCATATGGAAATGAGAAGTGGCCAGATTTGGGAGACTCCCTTCTTTGGCAGATTGTTGGACTCAACTCCATGTGTATAACTGATCTGGCAGATTGCTCAACATGTGGCGGAGGGGGTCTGGAATTATTTAAAGTTTCAGGTTTTAAAAATAGCAGGCAATTTTGACCCTCTTGGAGGATTTGCTACTACTGGACGTCCTCCTGGGATATTCAGGTAGGGGTCAGGTTTCCCTGCCTGTCATTTCAGAATACCCTTCTAAGTTATGTTGGTAACTGTTTGCATAACAGATTTGTTTTGGTTGAAATTTCGTCTGCTGCGATAATGGCATGTCATGAATTGGGCCTCTCTGTCAGGAGCTGCCCGGGTGAGAGCATTTTAGCAGTAGCTACATATAGGTGTGGGTCCTCTGGGAGGAAGCGTGGCCTTGGGGTTAGAGCCAGAAAGGATCTCGACATGTAGACTCTTGGCCTCTGCTGTTTCTGATCTGCTAGACCTCCACATAGCCATTTTTACATTTTGTAAAACATATGTAAAGTGTTCTTCTTACAAGGGTATGTTGGAGATGGAAGCATGATTATTGCAGCTTGACAACAACAGAGATGCTTGACTTTGGACACTCCTTGAAGCTTGAGAGATTCCCTTCAACTTGTACTTCTGAGAAGAAAAGGGGAGCCCAGGGAGACAGGCAGAATACTCTCCAAGGAGAGAGGAGGCCTCTGAGACCCTGGGAAGGACAGAGCTATTTTGCTCCAATTTTTCCAGGGAGTTTCTTTCAGACTGGAATGGAAGACACTGTCTTTTAGGTGCAAAGGCCCCTTGTGCTTTTTGCTTTGCCTAAGTATTTTGGCCGTGGACATTGGGCGGTGTCAGGCTAGGGAGCAGAAAACTAAATACTGCATGTTCTCACTTATAAGTGGGAACTAAACATTGAGTACACATGGGCACAAAGAAGGGGACAATGAATACTAGGGCCTACATGAGGGTGGAGGGCAGGAGGAGGGTGAGGATTGAAAAACTATCAACTGGGTACTATGCTGACTACCTGGATGATGAAATCATCTGGACAGCAAATCCCCGTGACACACAATTTACCCGTGTAACATACCTGCACATGTACCCCTGAACCTAAAAATTTGGAAAGAAAAAAAAGACAATATGGGTTAATATGTGCAACTCAGGCTATTTCTCCTGCATAAGAGGGGAAATAGTAGAATGAGGATGTTTGCTTCCTTTAATCTTTTGCTGGTTTTGGCAGTGGTGTTTCTTTTTCCTTTCCTTTCCCTTTCCTTCTTTCCTTCTTTCCTTCTTTCCTTCCTTCTTTCCTTCTTTCTTTCTTTCTTTTCTTTCTTTCTTTCTTTCTTTCTTTCTTTCTTTCTTTCTTTCTTTCTTTTCCTTCCTTCCTTCCCCCTTTTTTTTTTTTTTGTTGAGACAGAATCTCCCTCTGTCATGCAGGCTGGAGTGCAGTCGCATGATCTCAGCTCACTGCAATCTCTGCCTCCCAGGCTCAAGCGATTCTCATGCCTTAGCCTCCCGAGTAGCTGGGATTACAGGCGTGTGCCACCATACCCAGCTAATTTTTGTATTTTTAGTAGAGATGGGGTTTCACCATGTTGGCCAGGCTGGTCTCCAACTCCTGGCCTCAAGTGATCTGCTCGCCTTGGCCTCCCAAAGTGCTGGGATTACAGGCGTGAGCACTGCGTCTGGCCAATGGTGTTTCTTAATTGGGTCTTTTCTGTAGTAGGCTCTCTGAGCAAGAACACCCTGGGTATGACTACTTGTAATCATGGGTGAAAGTGGGAAATGCAGGAGTTGTTATTAAATGTCCTTGCATGTTTGCATATGAGTTTTGAGAGCTTCTGCAGAATCTGGGAATGTGGGATGAGGCACTTTTGGAAGGTTTGGGTGAAGGACCCTGTTGCTGGGAGATCTTATGGGGAGCAAAGCCCTTGTGTGTGGCAGGTTCCTGTGGATGTGGTGGTATATACCACAGGCAAAAAAGCAGGAAGATCCAGGATCCTGGCTCCTGCTGGTGCACAGGCTTCTGCTTGGACTTTTCCAGGGTGGCCCCAGAGGACAGGGAAGACCACTTTTGGTCAATTCTAAAATGCACATTTTCCAGCCTTTCATATTTTGAAAATCAGAATGCTTCTTTCAATCAGCCACATCTCATAATTATTGGTATCTGTTTTTCCTTCTTAGCATTACTCAAATTACAGGTGTGTCTTACAGTCCATACTCTTCTAATATTTGGCAAATTGTGGTAGATTTGGGCTCCTGAAGTTGGAATAAGAATGCAGTCAAACTAAGTACTCCCATCTTCTGGAGTTCAAGGGCCAGAGAGAGAAAAAGATGAAACATTTATGCTTTCCTTACCTATCATTTCTGTCCAAAGTAGAGGAGAAAGGGCAGGATTCTTTTATCTAGAGCTGTGGTTCTCAAAGTAAGGTTCCCAGATGAGCAACATCAGCATCACCTGGGACCCCATGAAGCAGAAGCTCGGGGTTTTAAGCAGCCCCCCAGGTGATCCTGAGAACCACTTGATGCCAGTAGTTTCTGCCCAGTTCTTGATCACTGACTCTTTAATTTATATCTAAAGTCCAAGTCTCTGGAGCCTCCACCCCCATATACTCATGATAGTTCACTTGCACCTCAAACTCTATGCACTTAACTGGAAATCCTTGTCTTCCTCCTCAAACCAGTTTCTTCCTACGATTTCTCCCTCTGGATGGTTCCACCATCTCACCTGCTGCTTAAGGTGGAAATGTGGTGTCTCTGTTCCTCTCCGTCTCAGTGTCTCTCTGAGGCATTCCAGCCCCTCCATGCCCACCGCCCATGGCCGTGCCTGGGTTTAGCCTTTCCCTTCCTGGGATATTGCCAGGGTATCTTGTGTTTTCCATGCCTCAGGGCCTATCCTGTCCAGTCCCTCCATGCTGGTCAGGTCAGAGTGACATCTGTCACATGCACACCTGATGATGAAATTCCTTTATCTAATCAGTCTTTAATGACTTGTCATTCTCTCAGCAGTGTTTCCCAACCCAGATCCCTTTCAGAACCCTGAACCCTGGACTTCCGAGATCATCACCGACATCTGAGAACTGCTGCTTATGATCTTTCCTTTTGGAAACTCACCACCACCTTTGACACTTTAAACTCCTTTAGGTTTGACCTAGCATTTCCCATGGACTTGGCTGATCTTGCCTCTTCTGCATGTCAGCTGGCCCCAACTTGCTCTTTGGCCTTCTTTTCTGTAACTCCCCTGATTATATTTTTGGTTGATGGTGATTTGGAAATTTAATTTCCTGAAAATGTCATGTTCCCTTCTGCCCTTGGACTTTCACCCATTGTTTTTACCTCTGAATGAAATGCTCTTCATTCTCCTTGGCTCCTGGAAAATTCCCTCTCGTCATTCAGGTCTCAGTTTAACCACTGCCTCCTACAGGAAGCCCTCCCCGACTCTTCCAGAAAAGTTTGGGCACCACCTCCCACCGATGTCTGCACCTTGTCTAAACTTTCATCATCCCTGTCTCCTCACAGACTAGAACCTTCTTGAATGCAGTGACACTGGTTTAGCACAGTGTCTGCATGGTGCGGGTGCTTAGTAAACTCTGGTGGATGCAAAGCCAGAGTGTGATAGAGTCATTGAGTCCCGGTAGTTTCTGGCCATAATGGTGTTATCCTATTATATTTATATGTAATAGTGCTTTTACAAATGCTCTAATATAATGACTCGTGTAATCCTTGTTACATCCCTGGGTAGGCACTAGCATTTTTTGAAAAATATTATTTTTATTTATTTGTTCATTTATTTTTCTAGAGACAGGGTCTATGTTGCCCAGGCTGGTCTTGAACTCCTGGCCTCAAGTGATCCTCCCACTTCAGGCTTCCAAAGTGCTGGGATTGCAGACATGAGCTCCTGTGCCTGGCTGGCACTTAGCATTGTTATCTCTACAGTTCAGATGGGGTGAAGATGGAAGGATTTTTTGGGTGTGGCCCACCTGTCCCCTGCATGTGGAAGTGAGAAGGAGCCCTCATCTCTGGGAGGAATGTTGGCGAAGAAGGAACAGAGGGCTTTAGGAGGTGCTTTTTCTTTTTCCTTTTTTTTTTTTTTCCTTTTTGAGACAGGATCTCACTCTGTCACCCAGGCTGGGGTGCAGTGGCACGATCTCGACTCACTGCAACCTCCGCCTCGGAGGCGCTTCTTGAGAGAAGCAGAGCACATGCCTGCAGGTCATTTTTCCTTTTCTTGTGAGAAAGGAAGAATTTCTCGTCTTCTCTAGGAAAATGAATACTTCCCTTACACTAAGAAATTTTTGTCCGCAAGGGGTTACTTGCAATTTGTTGGCAAATTCAATAGGGTAGTTATTCTCTGGTTACAGCAGCCCAAGTTGTTAGGATCTTGGTGCTTCTTGTAAGTAAAGCGGGTAACTTTATGGCATGGGACATTTAGCAACGTCTGGAGACATTTTTAGTTGTCACAAATGGGTAGAGGGTGCTCCTGGTATCTGGTAGGTAGAGGCTGGGGTGCTGCTCATCATCCTGTAGTGGAGAGGATGTATCCCTCCACAGAGAATCACCTTGCCCAAATGTCAATAGTGCTAAGTTGAGCAATCCTATTTTATCATCGTAGGCTTAGGCATACACCCAGCATCTTAAAAAGTAAACAGAAAATGTCAAGGTCTAAACACAGCAGTGGGAAACCGCAAATAGGCCTGACCTAGGAGGTGACTGTGGGTGGGTCCCTGAGGTTTTTTTTTTTTTTTTTCCAGACAAAGTCGTCTCACTCTGTTGCCCAAGTTGGAGTCCAGTGGTGCAATCACGGTTCACTGCAGCTTCAACCTCCTGGGCTCAAGTGATCCTCTCACCTCAGCCTCCAGAGTAGCTAGGACTACGGGAGAGTGCCACCATGCCCAGCGAAGTTTTTAGTTTTTTTTTAGAGAAGGAGTCTCCCTATGTTGCCCATGTTGGTCTCAAACTCCTGGGTGCAAGTGATCCTCCTTCCTTGGCCTCCCAAAGTTTTGAGATTACATGCATGAACCACAGGTCCCTGGATTTTAATGAGCAAGACACAATGAAGGACATGAAACTAGAGGTAGGGGGACAGCCTCCACACTCCATTTAGTTTTAGGAAAGGAAACTGCAGGACTGCCAGCCTTGAAAGGTAGGATTGAGGACATCAGTAACCTTGAAGAGATTTGCCTACTATTTGCACTTGCTTCCAGAAGTCCACAAAAAAACCTATACTGTAGTTTTTTTTTCTGAACATTATTCTTAAGGAAATGTTCTGGAAATGTTCTACAAATGTCATTCTTGAAGAAATGTCCTAAAATGACAATAGCAGGGAAAAAAAAAAGATTGCTTTCAATGATGGAAAGATAATTGGGAAAAGGGTAGTGACCAATGAATGTCAGATCTGATGGATCCAGTATGGTATGTAAGACTGGCCACAGGACTCACGTCTGTGAAAGGTCTTATAACTGCATCAGGGAGAGGAGGCCAATAGGAGTAGAGGCCTCCATAGTGACTGAATATAATTTGGGCGGTGTTGGTAGCAATTTGTTCCATGTGGGAAGAAAATATTAGAACATTTTTAAGAATAAAGAATTGAGGCCAGGCGTGTTGGTTCAGGTCTGAAATCCCAGCACTTTGGGAGGCCGAGGCGGATGGATCACTTGAGGTCAGGAGTTTGTGACCAGCCTGGCCAACAAGGTGAAACCTCATCTCTTCTAAAAATACTAAAAGTAGCTGGGTGTGGTGGCACATGCCTGTAATCCCAGCTACTCAAGAGGCTGAGGCAGGAGATTCGCTTGAACCCAGGGAGGTGGAGGTTGCAGTGAGCCGAGATCACGCCATTGCATTCCAGCCTGGGCAACAGAACGAGACTCCATCTCAGAAAAAAAAAAAAACAAAAAACAAAAAAAACAAAGAATTGAGGCCGAGGCAGGAGTATTGCCTGAGGTCAGGAGTTCAAGACCAGCCTGGGCAACATAGTGAGACCCCATCTCTAAAAATAAAAAATTAGCCATGCATGGTAGGGTGTGCCTCCCAAATAGTCCCAGCTACTTGGGAGGCTCAGGTGGGAGGATTGCTTGAGCCCAGGAGGTGGGGGCTGCAGTGAGCTGTGATTATGTCACTGTACTCCAGCCTGGGTGACAGAGTTAGACTGTCTCAAGAAAAAAAAAAAAAAGAATAAATGTTAACAGTCTTTATCTTTGGCATTATTAATGTCTATACAGAGCAATACTGGTGCTCACACCCAGCCATGTGCCAAATGTCCCAAGTCAGAAATGAAATAAGAATTAATCCAAGGGCAGAGTGGGGCACCCCACAGTATCCCACATATTGGCATGTATTGTGCCTTACCCAGGTATGGTCATGTGAACCCAGAGATGACATCGAGTTTATGTAAAACCTACCTTCACAGCATAGGTAAATAGCTTAAAAAGACTTTTGAAGATGTGCAACCTGCTGAAGGTAAGGGTAATACTCCAAGCACAAGTGACCACAAGAAAGTGGTCAATTTGTATTCCTGATGTGAGTTCCTTACTGTATTGAGAGGTCCAAACATTGTCTTCATCAGGTCTGGCAAGAAGCTGACCAGAAAAAAAATCAAAATGATCAAGAGACTATTTGAAATGCAGTTTTATGTCTAAGTTCATTAATGATAGCTATTTTCCTAGCCTCATATATGTGCTTTGAGATATTACTGATATTAGCACTTGGAGGTAATTTGTAAATAGATAAATAGACACATTGCAAGAGTAAGCTCCAGCTTGACCATTCATAAGCCTTATAGCCTATGATGAGGTGCTTGTATTTCTTCTGATTGATTGATTGATTATTTTTTACACTAAGTTTTATTGATGCATAACTTATATCCAGTAAAATGCATCTGTTTGAGGGGTATAGTTTGGTGAGCTTTGACAAGCCAGTATAATTGTGCAATCACCATCACAATCATGATATGGAACAGTTCCGTCATCCCCCCACCTCCCCAAATTCTCTCATATTCCTTTGTAGTCTGTCCTTGCCCCCATCCTGGCCTCTGGCAACCACTGATCTGATTTCTGTTCGTAGTTTTACTTTTCCCAAAATCTCATATAAAACCAGTCAGACAGTATGAGGCTTTCATGTCTGGCTTCTTTCACTTAGGCACAGTGTCTTTGAGGTTTATCCATGTTGTCACATACGTCAGTAGGCCTTTCTCTCTCCTTTTGTTTTTAAAGAGACAGGGTCTTGCTCTGTTGTCCATGCTGGAGTGCAGTGGTGCGATCATAGCACACTGCAGCTTGACTTCCTAGGCTCAAGTGATCTTCCCACCTTAGCCTCCTGAGTAGCTGAGACTACAGACATGTGCCACCATGCCTGGCTAATTTTTAATTGTTTTTGTAGAAACAAGGTCTTACTATGTTGCCCAGGCTGGTCTCAAACTCCTGACCTCAAGCAGTCCTCCTGCCCTGGCCTCCCAAAGTGCTGGGATTATAGACTTGAGCCACTGTACCCTGCTAGCCTTTCCTTTTAATTGCTGGGTAGATTCCCTTGTATGGATGTACTTACTGTTGAATGTTTGTCCATTTCTCAGTGGAAGGGCACAGGGTTGTTTCCAGGTTTTGGTGATTACAAATAAAGTCACTGTACACATTTGCAATTGAGTCTTTATGTGGACATAAGTTCTCATTTCTCTTGTATAAATGCATCTCTAGAAGTGTGATTGCTGCATATGGCAAGTGTGTGTTCACCTTTATAAAAAAACTGCTCAACTGTTTTGCGAAGTGGCGGTGCTATTTTACATTCCTACCAGCAATATATGGAAGTCTGGTTGCTCCACATCCTTGCCAGCACTTGTTATTGTTCTTTTCTTTTTTTCTTAATTTACCCATTTAATAGGAAGATAGTGGCATTTCACTGTGATTTTAATTTGCACTTCCCTAACGGCTAAAGATGCCGAACATCTTTTCCTGCGTTTGTTTGCCATCTTCATCTGTCCTTGAGTGAAGCACACTTATTACATGTTGAGCATAAGTTTCCTTCTATATGTACTCTGACAATCATGTGGACAGAATTTTTTGGAGGATTACAATGAAATAATTCCGGTGAAAGTTTTTTTTGTTTTGTTTTTGTTTTTCAACCCGGTGCTTGGTACATAGCTGTTGCCATTTTTTATTTTCAGTGAATGGCTTTTGGTCAAAGAGTGACCTTAGGGGTTATGACAAACTGAATGACATATTTGTGACTCTTTTTCACGAAGAAGGGGAAGAGCATGAGGAATAGTGACCCAAGGAAGGGAGGTAGGAAGGATTTGTCACCTGAAAACCCCGATATGGAGATGAATGGCTGGAGAATGTTCTGGAGAGCCATGCAAGTTTCCCACCCTGAAAAACTGGTGTTTCTCTCGTGGGCAACAGGAGGTCATTAAGGGTATGAAGACGAAAATGTCCTCATTAGATCTGAGTTTCAGAAGCCTGAGGGCAGCACACTATTGTTTAATCTATTTCACTTGTATGTTGGCAGTGTTCCCAATATGAGCCGCGTCCTATTAAGTCAAGAAGGTTAGTGTCTCGAAACCCAAAGAATGGGGAGAGGCTGAAACGGAGACTTCTCCAGAGGATCACACCAGGCGAAGCCACCTCTGTGGAGTTGAGCAAAGGCTCTGCTTGACCCCAAACATCTTCTGTATGAACATAGACAGGACCTGGGAATCCTACATTCTGTCCTTGAGATCTGAATCGACTATTTTCACTTTGTCACTTATTGTCATATTGATAGAGGATAATAGATTATCTCACTGTCATTAGCAGGCTTTTTATTTCTCTTATTTCCTTTTTAAAATCTTAACAGTCAGAATTCCCTATGAATGCACAAATATATGTTGGTTATAAACAAAACTACTAAAAAGTCTGTACAGTAAAAATGGAAAGCCTTAAGCACACTCAGCATGTTGATCGAACACGTATTCATGGAGCACCTGTTGCCAGGGATTCCCAGGCACTGCTTGAAGGCGTGGGATAGGTAGATCATCAAATAAAGCATACAGAGCTCCCCCAGGACCATGGATCTGCATGCTAGCAGAGGGAGAGACAATATGTGATAATAACAAATAAGTAAATTATACTATCTGCAAGAAGGCTGTGCTATGTGGAAAAGATCTTTAAAATGTACGGAAGACATTTCCATGTGGTTTGTATACAGCTATGATCTTTGTGTAACTTACGGCATACTATTCTGTGGCTGGAGCTAATTATATCGGAGCTGGGATTTGGTCCTTATGGGACGGGATGTAAAGCTGTGAGGTTTTGGTGGAGAGAGAGGGCCCCGGGGAATGAAGAACTCAAAGCTCTGGAGCCTGTTTGCACAGGGGGTGGGGAGTGGCTGGAACCACCAGGAACAGCGACTGTTGATGCTCTCCTGATCCCAGGATGATTTCCTACTGAACTTTTTGGAGGGTCAGGGTGTGGGGAAGATGAAACAGAACTTTCAAACACAAATGCTGGCTGTGATGGAAGTCTGATGGTTGTAGCAGTGGGCCCAGATCCATACTGTTTATAAGGAAAGAGGAGAAGAGAATGTCCTCTTATGAGGCTGAAACATGCATCCATCATTTCGTTTGGTTTCCTTTTAAATTCCACTTGCAAATAAGAGTTTCTTGACACATTACATTTGAATCTTTTGAAACTTAATTTTCTTGTACAGAATATTATTCTGTTTTCCCTTTCTTTCTCTGCAATAAAGCATGCCTGGCTGTTCTCTCATGGATAGAACTGCCTCTGTCCTATTGCTACTTACTCTTTGAATATTATTGACAAAAGTGAGAGCTCATTTGTCAAAGCATACATTATGTTCTGGGTTGAAAAAAAATCCCCCTGCTCTAAAACATTAATTTCCAGAATGTAAGACAGGCTGTGCTAGGTGATACAATTTTCATCTGACACATAAAACACATTAACAGAATATTTTTTTCCACAAGTAGAATAGAAACTTGTAATTCGACAAGCCATCAGACACTTCTCGCTTCCCAAGTTTGAAGTACAACTCTTTTTCCTCTTGAAGCTAATGATTTCATTATGATGAAGATTTTCTGCATAGAATAGGCTTCTCTGCTCCTTTACAGTTTTTGCGCAGTAGGTAATTGGGCCTTTAGTTAATTAGCTGCGGCTGATAGGATATGTGCTAGAAAGAATCAGGTGCAATTTTCCCCCTCTTCTCATTTTATTGTGTGCATTTTGTTGGCGAGATAATTTTAGCCCAATTCATTGTTCAAGTCTACCAGGAGAAAAAAATTAATTATATTAGTTTCATGGTGTTTGGTCTAGAAGGTATAAAATGTAATTTTCTACTTTAGGAGGCCGAGGCGGGTGGATCACCTGACATCAGGAGTTCAAGACCAGCCTGGCCAACATGGCCAAACCCCATCTCTACTAAAAATACAAAAAATTAGCCTGGCATGGTGGTGGGCGCCTGTAATCCCAGCTACTCAGGAGGCTGAGGCAGGAGAATCACTTGAACCAGGGAGGCAGAGGTTGCAGTGAGCCGAGATCGCACCACTGCACTCCAGCTGGGCAACAAGAGCAAAACTCTGTCTCAAAAAAAAAAAAAAAAAAAAAAATTCTGAGGAAAGAAAGGCATGCATGAAGGCTCCATTCCTTTTCAAACATAATTTTCTTTCTTTATTCTTGGCTTTTGTTTGTTGTCATCTCTTGGGTCTTTGCTCAGCTTCTCTCAATTGTTCCAGAGTACACAGGGACCTCTCATCTACTAATGAGTTCTCCAGCAACATAGGAAAACCCAGACCAGATATTGATGTATGTGGTAGCCTTGAATCGGAATCTGGCAGACTCCAAGTGCAGGGCGCATAACTGATCAAGGGCCCCAGCTACTGTGCTCTGCAGTCCCTTGCAATGTTGGTGCAGGGGTGCAGAGGCCATGTTTCTCACTGACTAATCCCAGCCAGCGACCCAATATGACTGACATTGGCTTGACAACTCCCCTGGGGTAGCCTGGAACCTGTCTTAGTCTGTGTATCAGTCAAGAGCGGTCCAACCTTCCCTCCCTTTATCCTTCAAGTGGGGGCAGACTTGCATTGCCCTTTCTTTTACAGAGGTGTTCTCTCTGAAACCATCTTGATTTTCTTAATCCCACGTGGACATCTGCTTCTTGTTGGGCCAGGACTCACTTAATGTCCCTGCAATGTGTCCACTGATTCAGCTCCCCTCCCTCCATGCTGTGTGAAGACTTGCTGTAAAGATGGGCTACTCTTGTAGTTGCCTTCTTGGTGTTCACAGACTGGCAAGCAGACCAGACAGCAGCCTGCTTACTTGGGCCCCCATATGCAGCCTGATTCCTGCTGGCCTTCCTGAGGGTCCTCTCGACACCCCATCTTGACATGTTCTCTTATTTTAGCTACACTGACAAAATACCCACTGGGTTTTGCTGCTGTCTTGCTCCTTAGTCCTGTATAGCCTCTCCACTGACTCATGTCTCTTTGTGCATGTTGGTCCTGCTGTGGTTTTCTCATTTTTCCAGGTGATCTCAGCCACATCCAAGGCTTCCCCTTGAACATGTATACTCAAATTCTATACCAAAGCCACTCTAGGGGACACTACCACCCACAGTAGGCACTTCCTGAAACTCAGTATTTCTGACACCCACTTCACCCTCCTTCATTCACAAAACACCTGGTGTAGCTAATGGCACCACCATCTTTGCATTCTCTCAAGGCAGAAAGCTATGAGTTAGTCACAACAGAACTCTGTCCCACTAACTCTCCCCCACCCCATGGCCATTGATTCCTTGCTGATTTCCTCTCTGTAGCATTTTTGAATCTTACGGAAGAAGTGCAAAATGTATGCTCTGAAAACTATAAAACATTGTTGAAAGAGATTAAAGAAGACCTAAATAAATGGAAATGCATCCCATGTCTATGTTCATGGGTTGGAAGACTTAACAACATTAAGATGGCAGTACTTCCCAAATAGATCTATAGACTCAGTGCAAGCTCTATCAGAATCCCAGCTGGCTTATTTGCAGAAGTAGACAAGCAGAACCTATCATTCATCTGGTAATATAACAAACCCAGAATAACCGAAACAATATTGAAAAGGAAGATCAAAATGGAGGAGTCACACTTCCTGATTTCTAAACCCACTATAAAACTTACAGTCAAAACTTATTATAGTAATAAAGGCAATGTGGTAGTGGTAAAAAGGTAAATATGTAGATGAATTGAATAGAATTAAGAGTGTAGCAATAAACCCTCACATTTGTAGTCAATTAATTTTAAACAAGAGAGTCAATACAATTAAGTTGGGTAGAGAATAGGCTTTTAAAAGAATAGTGCTGGGACAACTGGATGCTCAACATGCAAGAGAGTGAAGTTGGATTCCTACTTCACATCGTATACAATAATTAACTCAAAATGAATCTAAGACCTAAATGTAAGAGCTAAAACTATAAAATTCTTGGAAGATATGAACAATGTCTTTGTTTAGAAATCTAGAGAAGAACTTTTAAAGCAGCTAAAGAAAGATTGGGTGAGAGGTGGCTTTGTGGGCAGAGTAGTATCTGACCAATCAATGGCTAATTGGTCCAGGGAAGCTGCCACCTGCTTCTGGCACACCATGTTGGTGCCCCCTTCTCCATCTTTTTTGGGCAAGAAGATAGGGAGAAAAAAAAAATCTAACAGGATGTTGCCTACTTAAAGGAGTGAGAAGCACTTGTTAGAACGTTCTGCCCACCGTGGGGGTGAAGATGAATGTTATCAGTTGAAAGAAGAATTGACATCACAGTAGCAATGAGCATGCTAAGCTCACAGATCTTGGTTTCTAAATCCCTTCTCTAATAGAAGGAACTAGGGCTCCTTGGAGACTGCTTATTCTGGGACTGAGGCAAGGGAAATCCAAGATGTTCCAGCAATATCATATGGTGCCTAAAATTAATGAAGTGTTTAGAAAATGTTAGGGACATGTTTTTCAGTTAGATATCAGGTGGATTTGTATTTGCGGTCTAGTTTTTAAAAATACTAGCTGATTTGAGTGGCTCTTGCATTTGATGAGTTTTCGTTGTGCATAGCCCTTGACTGGGGGCAAAAAAGGAATTTCTAGCTCTCGAACAGCATGAAGCAAAGAAGTTTGATGATTATTATCTTCATGGAAATATTTTATTAAGTATGTGAACAAAGCTAATGGGCAATTAGTTTCCATGTCATGAAGACTTTGTATCTCAAAAGAATTTTGCAAGAGACTGTATCTAATTCATTATTATAACTTCAGTCAAGCAACATTCTTGAAAAATAGCACTCACCAGGAAGAAACCATTTATGGAATTAAATACAGACAACTTATTTTTAGAATGAACACCGTTGAGTTTCAATAGGAAGAACACCTTTCAGTTTCAATAGGAAAAAAATGACTATGTATTTGAGATGTGAGATAAAATTAACATGAGGAGAAGAGCAGCACAGACCGTGTGGGTAGAAATTTGTTTTCCTTTTGGGTTCTAAGAGTCACTGCCATCAAACTAAAAATTGGCCTTTTCAAGAGGAAACAAGGTTTTGTGCCAGCTTTGTTTTATTATTATTATTCTTTATGCTGTATTTTTGGCTTGCTGACAGCAGCCTTCTGCAACAAGGATTCATAAATGGTTCTTCATATTTAACGTAAATGTCAAGACTGTCAATTCCTGAGCCTGCAGATTTTGCAAAAATATCATTCACCAGCATCTTCATTCTAGTTTGGAACAGATTCAGGGAAATGTCCTTGGCTCCAAAAAAGCTTTAAATAAGGTTTGGACACTCTGGGAGGCTGGCTTGGCTCCACTGTCATTGCCCTTTTGCCACTTCCAGGTAGGGATGGAGATCTTTGGGCATCTGTGCCTTAAAAGGCCTGGGCCTATAAATAAGCAGAGAAAGCTACATTTTTCCATGCTATGTGGCCCTGACCCTTTTACACAAACATAGATGGATGGTCTGAAAGTAACACAAGAAAGCCAGATGTGAAAAGCAACAAAAACAGGGAGGAAAAAAAAAAGTCTGCCTCGCCCTGGAGAGTCTCGCTTAACTGAAGGCTTTTCTCTCTGCCAAGGTTTCCAGCTCTGCGTAACTCCTGTTTCCAGGCTGCCTTGGGTTTTAGGAACCTGTGGACTCCAGAGATAAAACAGGAGGCTGGTTTCCCATGGGTTTTTGCAAGTTCCTGTGTCATCCTAGCCAAGAATTGTATTGGAGTCTTGCAATGATGGTGTGCATGTGTACGTCCAGTGGTGATATACATGGGGTCTCATGGCCTGCAAGATCCCAAATGATGTGGCTGCTGTCTCCCTTTCATGTGCTTCCCATTCCTTCTCTCCCTCTGAGCAAGCAGTCTGCCTTTCTCTCTGCTCCTCAGGCTGCCACAGTCAGTCCAGTCTCCAAGTCTCTGCACTTGCAGTTTCGTGACTTGTCACTGTTTTCCCCAAGATAATCATACAGGTCTTTATTCTTTCAAGAGACCTTTCTTGACCTCACTCACTCCCACGTGGCCCCTCTCTGAAATCCCTCTCCTCTTATCACACTTTCTTTTTCATTTTCTTTCTTTCTTTTTTTTTTTTTTTTTTTTTTGAGACAGGGTCTCACTCTGTTGCCTGCAACCTCTGCCTCCCAGGTTAGCTGGGATTACAAGTGTGTGCTACCATGCCTGGTTACTTTTTGTATTTTTAATAGAGATGGGGTTTTGCCATGTTGGTCAGGCTGGTCTTGAACTCCTGGCCTCAGGTGATCTGCCCGCCTCGGCCTCCCAAAGTGATGGGATTACAGGTGTGAACCACCGCGCCCAGCCTGTTTTTCTTTATGTCACCTGTCTGGACTTGCCATAATAGATTTCATTGTTTATATATCTGTCTTCTCCATTAGAAAGTATTCTTGATGGGAGCAGGGACTTTGTTTTCATCCTTGCTTTCAACTCAGCACCTAGAACCTGGTACATACTGAGTGTTTAAATAAATATATGTTATGTGTAATCCCAGCACTTTGGGAGGCTGAGGTGCGAGGATCACTTGAGGCCAGGAGTTAGAGACCAATATGGGCAACACGGCAAAACCCCATATCTACAAAAACTACAAAAAGTTAGCTGGGTGCAGTGGTGCATGCCTATATTCCCAGTTACTTGGGAGGCTGAGGCAGGGAGATTGCTTGAGCCCAGGAATTCCAGGCTTCAGTGAGCTATGATCAGCACTGCACTCCAGCCTGGGTGACAGAGCAAGACCCTGTCTCAAAAGAAAAAAAATTTATATATATATATATAATGCAGATAAACAAATGAATGCATAGATATATTCCTGAGTACAGTAGTTTTGATTTTGGTGGCATGTCGTACTTGTATTAGTGGGGTGTCACTCCACCGAAGAATTTTCTTTGACTCTTCCAATGATGGTATGCATGTATACATCCGACGGTAATCCATCTCTATCTATCTATCCATCCATCCATCCATCTATCCATTTCATCTATCTATCTATCCATCCATATCTGTTTATCCATCATCCATCTATGCATTTTATCTATCTATCTAAATTAGGTTTCAGATAGAAAACACAAAACTTGGGCAGGGTGATTCCATAAATAGTATTAGAAAAGAGGTTAAGATTGGGGTTGCTTCCTGAAGGAAATGGATTTGTTATCATCATGATCAATTACTGTGATTGATGTAATGAGGAAACAGTGATTAAGTAACATGGTGAATTCAAATTATACATTAGCAATTATCCTCTTAATTGTATGAGCGTGAAGATATACTTTTTGAGAACCCTGGTATAGAAAGGAATGAATAAAGGGATGTAGTCCTTACATTATTTTTTTTGTTTGAAGGCTTAATGTTGATGATACTGAAGATCACATTTATCACAGTAAGGAGGCAGTCTTTATTCTTTCACTCCTCCTTCCCTCTCTCGAGCCTCCCTCCCTTCTCCTTCCATCTTCTTTCTTCCTTTACTTTCCCACTCACTGTGTCCCTGGCTTCTTCCTTTGATTCTTCATAGGGTGAGGAAGTTCTTAGTAAAAAATAATTGAAACGGATGATTTCACTTGCATTATGACATTCCCTGATCCCTTATTCTAATAATAATAACATCATATACCCAATGGTGGCCACTTTGTGTTCACTGCCTCACCTTTCTCTTCTGTAAAATGAGGATTATGATAAATACTGCACAGATGGAGAATTATATCAGGGATAGAGGATGTAAGCAATTACCTTGAAGTCACATGGTGTCAATTACCTTGAAGTTACAGGATTTGACTTTGAGAGGTGCCATTCAGATACACTACCTACCTCTCCAAAAACTGTTAAATATGTGCATAAAGCAAAAATATATTATTTTACTTCTCAGTTTGAAAGAATTTGAGACTTATAAAAATGTTGCCAAACATTTTAGTACAAAGTAATTACCTTTATATAGTACATATACCCTTCACCCAGCTTTCAAAAATGTTAGTAACTTATGTAGCTATTGTACAATGATCAAAACTAAGAAAGTAACATGAGTATAATACTATTAGTTAGCCTGCAGATTTTCTTCAGGTTTTTGTTCAATTTTTGTACTAATGTCCTTTTTCTGGTCCAGGAGTGCATGCAAGACTTCACATTGCATTTAGGTGTTGTCTCCCTAACTCCTCCAATTTGAGCCTTTCTTTGTTCTTTATATTCTTGACATTTACAAAGAGCACTAGCAAATTTTTTAGTAGAATGCCCCTCAATTTGGGTTTTCCTGGTGTTTTCTCATTATTAAATTTAGGTTATATGTTTTTTTGCAAGAATGCCAAGGAATTGATATTGTGTCCTCTGCATGTTATCAGGGGGACACATGATTATGTCACTGTGTTTTATTACTGGCGATATTAACCTTGATCAGTTGGCTAAGGCTGTGTCTGCCAGGATTCTCCATTGTAAAGTTACTATTTTTCCTTTGAAATAAAAAAATATTGTGAGGAGACACTTTGACAGTGTACAAATGTCCTGTTTTTTATCATATTTTTTTCACCAGCTAATGTTAACAGTCATTGATGGCTTCTTCAAGAACAGTTATTACTGTGATACATGCAAATGGTGATATTCTATTTCTTTCATTTCTTTTACATTGAATAATGGGAGTTCTATGATAAGAAAGAGTTATACCTTCTCCTTTGATTTAGTAGTAATGAATTCATGGATAATCATTTTATTCTATGGGTTATAATTCATTAGTATTAGTACTTTTTGCTATTTCTGCTATTGCTCCAGTTGTCCCCAGATTTGCCCATTGGGAGATCCTTTAACTGTCAATTCCTTTTGACATGGCCCCATCATTTTCTAAATACTTCCTTAATTTTAGGCACCATATGATATTGCTGGAACATTGTGTATTTCCCTTGCCTCAGTCTGGGAATAAGCAGTTTCCAAGGAGCCCCCATTCCTTGTATTGGAGAAGGGATTTAGAAAACAAGATCTGGGAGCTTGGCATGCTCATTGCTACTGTGGTGTCAATTCTTAACCCTCTCAAAGAACAGGGCTATTTCCCAGTATATCTATGAATACACAGACATACACATATAACCATCTATACCTATATGTATATACCTTTATGTTTATATATTAAGGACCATGAGTTTATACTGTCACTGATTCCAGTCTAACATCACAGTGTTCATTCTAGCCTTCCCCTGTATTTGTAATTCTTCAACAGTAAAACATCTGTCCCTCATTACCCTCAACATATTTATGAACTCACTCAGCCCTAACTTATATGTGTATGCATGTTTATAGTCCCCAAATTGCTAACTCACATGCCACTTGAAAAGAATATGTATTAACTAGAACACAGTATATGTACACATTTCTTTTTGTCTTTTAAGCCTTCTAGTATGTAGTCAAAATATTGTTTTTCAAAGTTATTTAGATCAGTTCTTTTCTTCTTTTAGCATGTCTGTGTTATGCATTTGCAATAGAGTTGGGCTCATTTGTTACTCTTTAAATTCCATTTTGGGTCTCTGCCCTACTGCCACCACCACTGTCCTGGCTGATTTTAATTAGTTATTACTTTTTGAGTAAGGGAAGCATAACATAGTTCTAAAAGTCAGCATCATACAAAACACATACACAGAGAGGTCCTGCTCTCCACCCCTCCATCTGTGATCCCCCACTCCCATTCTCTCATTCCTTCTTCATTCTCACCCACCCCCTCTAAGTAACCAGCTGCATTCACTTCTGATTCATCTCTCCTGTTTATTTTGCACAAAAGAACAAATGCATGACTATTTTCTTATATCTCCTTCATTCTTACATGAAGGGTAGCATATTATAAAGATATTACTTTGCACTTTGTTTTTTTTCCCCACTGAACAATATGTCCTGGAAATTTCAGTTCATAAAGATCTTTTCCATTCTACACTTTTATTTTTTTCCCACTGAGGTGTAACTTTCATATAATAAAGCACACATATCTTTTTTTAATTAAAAAAAATTTAGAGACTCTAAAAAAAAAGCTGTGTCTCCCAGGCTGGAGTGCAGTGGTGCAATCACCATTCTCTGCACCCTTGACCTCCTGGGCTCAAGCCATCCTCTCTCCTCAGCCCCCGTGAGTAGCTGGGACCACAGGTGCATGCCACCACGCCCAGCTAAATTTTTTTATGTAGAGACAATGTCTCACCATGTTGACTAGGCTGGTCTTGAACTCCTTGGGGTCAAGCAGTCCTCCTGCCTTAGCCCCACAAAGTGCCGAGATTACAGGCATGAGCCACCACGCTCAGCTGAGCACACACATCTTAACTATACAGCTTGATGATTTTTTTTCCATATACTTACATCTGTAAACACCATTCAGTGGATAACTAGAAACACTGCTGGTGTCCTGGAACATTCTCTCATGCTTTTTCTCAGTCACCATCCTCCCCTACAACCAGGGTAACTATTCTGATTTTTATCACCATGAATTAGCATTGTCTGTTTTTGAACCTTGCATGATCAGACTCCTACAGTACATACTGTTCTTGTGGTTTTGTTTGTTCCAGATTATGTCTTATCTATATTCATTTAACCTGGTACAGCCCCGGTGGGTAAATCTTGGATCTGAAAGCTTCATCTTCTTCTGTTATCTTGGAACAAGATTGATGTAGGAGGACAGCTTGCAGGTATTATAGCTTTCTGCACCTTGCTTTGCAGGAGATTATATCTTGTTAAAAATAGATATTTTATAAGGTTTTTAAAAAACTGACACTAACTCCAGTGGTCTCTGAGTGTTTGCATTAAAACCAACTGAGGAGACAATTCTGCCAGTTGGTTTGAAATAAATGGTTGTGCACTTGATCTCTATTTATATAAATAACTTTCAGTGGAATAAACATAATTCTACTGAAATATATGTCCCACGAGGCAGAGATGATGCTTCCTTTATTGACTACCGTATAATGACCTAGTACTTGGTTGGTGAATAATTCTAAAGTGAATAATTCTAAAACAATTGTTAAAGAATAAAAAACCGGACAGTTGCCACAATTTATTCATTAATTACAAATTCACTAAACACTAATTATTATTATGATGATGTTATGCATTGGGAATTGGGCTGGATCTAGCTGGGAATGTGTGTGTCCAGCTCTCAAGGATGTTGCCTTATGCCAGTGAATTGGCCTGGTCCTCCTTCCCTTGAATTGACCAATTCTGAGTTCACCAACAACTCAGGGGGCTGCAGAGTTCATGCTAAACGATGATTGAGGCTGATAACACACAGGCAAAGGGTTCTTTATTCTTTCCCAATGGGCTGAAGCTGCCTTGTTCATTCTACTGCTCTCACTGGGTGGGGGGTGGGGGGGCAAGGAGGAGAAGTGCTGTTGTTCCTCGAGGAGCAGAAAGAAGCGCTGGTAGATAGTTCTAGATTCAACTTTATCTGAGTAACACGCTAAGTGGCACATTACAGTAGTGAACACACTGCCCTTTCTTTCTTGGTTGGGATCTCAGCATGATATGCAGCTTGACCCACAGGGAAAACATTCCTGCATTCTTAGCATGAGCTGTTTTTGCAAGATAAAAGATGACAGTATAAATGAGAAAGAGATATTTCCACTGGTACCTTGTCCAGGTCACCCTGCTAAACACTTACTTACCCATGCATACAGGATGAATGGCTCTTCATAATCGTAGATGGTTTTATATTTGTGATTCTGCACCCCACTGAGCAGAAACAAGCTGAAGCCTAAAACTCTGCTTTCAATTTCAAACACCTCTCAATTCTAACTGGAATTACCTGCTGAAGGAAATTCCATAGCTCAGTGGTGATAATGTCCTACAGGCATTTTCAACTAATTAGAGGAGAAATGTCCTAATTTACAAGGGGAAAAGACAGTTGTCTTGAGAATAATTAATTTCTGCTATGAAAGATGCATATATTAGTATGGTTACCTTCAAGAATTAATTACCTCATTTTGGACTATTTGTCTTTTCTGGAATGCTGCTTACTTCAAAATGTAATTAAAATATTTAGCACATAACAAATTGAAAATCACTGCTCTGCTGTCGAAGCCAGCATGCTAGAAAGGAAATAGTGGTTTGTAGAAACGCTGTAGAAAATTTCCATTTAAATTCTTTTGGTCAAGGATAGTGGATATATCTTCTCAGATAATAATATCTGTTGTTATGTTACGATTTCTAATGAGTTTCAGAATGAGCTGCCTTGTACTAATGCTGTGAGTGGATAAAGAAATAATAACTGATTTTTTTCTCATGAGGCTATTTTAATCTCATGATCTGTGGGTGCTAAGGGAACTTTGGGTGGTGGTTACATCTCTTTTTATGGCTCCACAATTGTCACAAGCACTTGTGTCTTAGACGATGCAATAGAATGTATCATAGATCATCACTCTGTGAGTTGCCGGAGTGGAGACCATGAATTACTGTAAGCTTTCTGGTCCCACATGTCTCTTCTAGCATCTTGCTATTTCTCATCAGAAGGCAGCGTCTATTTCTTATCTCCTTAAACTTGAGTGAGGCTTCGTGACCATCCCAACAAGTAGAATGTGGCAAATGTGATGCTATGTGACTTCTAGGCTAGGTCATAAAATTCTAAATGGCTTCTACCTCTTCCCTGAACATTGGCTGTTGGACAGCCACCATGTTGTGAGAAAGCCCACACTACACAAAGAGGCCATGTATAAGTTGTTCAACCAATAGCCCTAGCAAAGATCTCAGCCAACAGCCAGCCAATATCAACATCTAGACATGTGAGTCTTCAGAGGATTCCAGCCTTGGCCTTCAAATTCCCTCAGCTAAGACGGAGAGGAAAAGAAGCAACCTATCTCTGACGAGCCCTGTCCAGGTTGCAGATTTGCGAACAAATTTGGGATAATTTGTTATGTACCCTAGTAACTGGAACACAAGACTGACATACTGAAAAGAATACTTTTTGAGGAAAATTCATTTGTGGTGGGTTGTAGAGCAGGCTTTCAATTAATGTTTGTCAAAGAAAATGCTTTGTGAAATCAGGATCAGTTAGACAGTCCATAATTGAGTAATTAGGCTGGTCTTTTTACTTTACTTGAATGAGTTTACACGGCTGCCAACACACACACACACACACACACACACACGTATGCATACATATGAATACACATACATCCTTCTATATGTCAACTTTACCATCTCTCTCCTGCTGTAATGCAGTGCTGTTTTGCCTTCTTAGATTATTCATAGCTCTGCTCTAGACCAACTGGAGCATAGGGAAATCTTTATTTCACTTTTATTTCTCACACACATTTTCCTTCAAAGTCCTAAAGAATATTTATAGTTTTCCCCCTTGCCTTGGTTCCAAGGTCTGCCGATGCTAGTTTGCAGAGGCTGATGGGCCCGCTTGCCCTTCCTCTGGGTCATATAAAATGCTACCTCTGTGACTTGAGTTCTCATAAATCCAAATAATGAGGAGATGAGCCTCAAATGGAAATGTGCTGGCTGGGCGTGGTGGCTCACGCCTGTAATCCTAGCACTTTGGGAGGCCAAGGTGGGTGGATCAGTTGAGGTCAGGAGTTTGAGAGCAGCCTGGCTGACATGCTGAAACCCCATCTCTACTAAAAATACAAACATTAGCCAGGCGTGGCAGCGGGTGCCTGTAATCCTAGCTACTCAGGGGGCTGAGGCAGGAGAATTGCTCGAACCCAGAAGGTGGAGGTTGCAGTGAGCCGAGATTGCACCTCTGCACTCCAGCCTGTGTGACAGAGTGAGACTCCCTGCTCAGTGGTAGCTCCTTTCCCCCATAGCTGGAGATGGCATTGGAGCAACCTTGTGATTTCAAAAATAAAACACGCATTAACCCTTTGCACCCTCACATTTTTAAAGAAAATCTGTAACACAAGAAAAGCAACAATTTTCCACTCACCTCCTTCACAGTTGTGTGGAGTGGAATAACGAGAGTGTGTGCTTGTGGAGTGCTTCTCAGCAACGTAGAGGGGCCAGCCTGTGCGGAATGTACCTTCGCGACATCACGTCATTTGGAAGCGCCACCAGAATTGACCACCAAAATTGCTGCATCCCTCTCAGCATCAATTCAGGAAAGTCTGCATGATGAAAAAGCACTCTTCTCTCCTCCAGTACTAAAAATTGTCTTTGGAGTGGTTTGAGGCAGTTGGCAGTGCAGTTTTTCTTCTCCATGGCTTCCATCGTTGTTGCTCATGGAAACTCATAATGTGATGTCAGTGGCTCTTCTCGCTGTCAAGACGTATGTTACTCTGGGGATTGGCCTGTGGCTTTCAGCAGGAAGTTTGCTCTGCCAGTTTTAATACAAACCCTTAAATTTCTTTGTCAGAGATCACCAAGGCATTTTCACAGCATTGAAGATGATTTGTTTTTCCCTGGTGTGGATTGCTTTTTGGAGATGATGACACTTTTTATTCCGCAAGTCCATGCTGATTGCCATGCCGATTGCAGGAACTCTAGAGATATCAATTGCAGGAATTCTATAGATACGGGGCTCTATAAGGCTACTTTTAGAAAAGGGAGCTGGAAACTTGACAGGGCAGAAAGCATCCATCCTGGCCATGAGGCAGATTTTGAGAAAGCAGAGACATTTGGACATTTGTTAAGATTCTCCTGGATGGAGATTGGAGATGTTCCTTTTCAGTGCACTACCCAAGACCTTCCTGGGTGGGTGCCAAGAGAACATCAAGACAGAAAGCAAAAAATTCCATCGGTCCTTGGAACACTTGGAATAATCTAGTGAGATGACAGGCTGAGTTTTGCACATCTCAGAGGGGCCTCGACAGTGTGTGGCTGTGATTCAAACCAGACACTGAAGTGCAGGCTGAGGAGAATGAGTGTAAACTTGGTTAACAGGATTTTTCTTATGTAGGCAATTGCCTTTTTTTTTTTTTCTTTTGCGGTTTCTGAGATCAGGTGACCAGCATGCTTTTGCAAGTTTTGAAAACTTGAATGCTTTCTGGAGTCAGGCAGTAATGTGGATGTTTCAGGAAGCTCTGGGTATAAAAAAAAAATTAAGAGTGTGGGGCCTATTGGGAACAGGTAAGCATAGGAACAAATGTCATTCCCAAATTCTTGCATATTTTCAAAAACACTGCATGGTGAAACCAAGCAGGACCAGCTACATCACTTGCAGCTTCCAGAGCAAAATGAAAGGATGAAGACCCCTTTTCAAAAATTAAGAATTTAAAGATGGCAACAGCAGAGCATTAAATTGAGCGTGGAACCTGTTTTTTGGCATTTTCTAATATGTTACATAAGTGGAAGGATACAGTATGAGGTTTTCTTGTCTGGCTTCTTTCACTTAGCATCATGCATTTGAGTTGCATGATACAGTCATTCTTTTCTTTCTATCCCTTGGGAGTATTCAGTTGGATGGATATTTGTTTGTTTCTCTATTTACCTGTCGAATGGTGCTGGGTTGTTTCCAGTTTTTGGTGATTGTGAATAAAGCCATTGTAACATATACATTAAATAAGCATTTCCATTCAGATGCTGGTGTGGATATATGTTTTCACTTTCCTTAGGTAAATACCTAGGAGTGGAATTGTTGGGTCATATGGTTCATGTGTGTTTAACTTTATAAGAACAATTTTGCATTCCTACCAGCAATATATGTGAGTTTCACTTGCTCTGCATTTTCCTTTTTTTTTTTTTTTTTTTTTTTTGTGAGACAGGGTCTCACTGTCTCCCAGCCTGGAGTGCAGTGGTGCGATCACAGCTCACTGCAACCTCCACCTCCTGGGCTCAAGTGATCCTCCCACCTCAGCCTCCTAAGTAGCTGGGATTGCAGGCGCAAGCCATCAATGCCTGGCTGATTTTTGTATTTTTTGTGGAGACAAGGTTTTGTCATGTTGCCCAGTCTGGTCTCGAACTCCTGAGCTCAAAGTAATCCTCCCACCTCAGCCTCCCAAAATGCTGGAATCACAGGGGTGAGCCATCACGCCCGGCTTGCATTTTCATTAATACTTGTTACTGTCAGTCTTTTTAACTTTATCAATTCTATTAAATGTATAGGCATTTTCATTTGGATTTTCCTGATGACTAATGGTTTTGAGCATCTTTTTGTAAGTGTATTGACTATTTATATCTTCTCTTTTGAGGTGATTGTTCTTATCTTTTGCTCATTTGAAAAGTTGAGACGCAACACTTGAGGCCAGGAGTTTGAGACCAGCCAGGGCAACACAGCAAGACCCTGTCTTAGTATGAAATAAAAAAAATTAGCTGGCTGTGGTGGTGTATGCTCATAGTCCTAGCTACTTGGGAGGCTGAAGCAGGAGAATAACTTGAACTAAGAAGTTCAAGGTTGCAGGGAGCTGTGACTGTGCCACTGTGCTCCACTCTGTGTGACAGAGTGAGACCTGGTCTTTAAAAGAAAAAATAAATAAAAAATAAAATTGGGTTGGTTTTCGTCTTCTTATTGAGTGTGAGAGTTACCTATATTCTGGATACATGCCTTCTGTCAGATATGTTTTGCAAAATTTCCCCACACTGTGGATTTCCTCTTCATTTTTTCCTAACTGTATCTGTCAGACAGCGAAGGTTTTTAATCTTGATAATGTCTATTTTATCAATTTTTAAAAATAGTTGTGCCTTTTGTGTCCTGATACAGAAATCCTCACTTGATCTGATTTCCCACAGATTTTTCTCTTAGGTTCACCACTAGAAATTGAAGAGCTTTAGTTCTCTCATATATGATGCGCTTTGAGTCAACCTGGGGGTGCGGTGTGAAACAAGGGTCAAGATGCATTGTTTTCCCCATACAAATATTCAAGTGTCCTGGCACCATCCATTTGCAAAGTTTGAATTTTATTTGGAAAAATGCAGAGTGAGTGCCGTGTTGATCTGACACCTCTGCCGTCATGCTCTGCTCTCTATACACTCCTTTTTATTTATCTTTGATTCGAATCACTTGAGCCTGGAGTACGGTAGGGTTTGTCCCGCTGGAATTAGGGACCATAATTCAACAATGCCATGAGCAAAGGGGAGCTAAGCACTCTCTCAAAATTTCATAAGAGGCCGGGCATGATGGCTCACACCTGTAATCCCAGCACTCTGGGAGGCTGAGGCAGGCAGATCACTTGAGGTCAGGAGTTGGAGACCAGCCTGGCCAACATGATGAAACCCCGTCTGTGCTAAAAATACAAACATTAGTTGGGCATGATGGTACACACCTGTAGTCCCAGCTACTTAGGAGGCTGAGGCACGAGAATTGCTTGAACCTGGGAGGTGGAGGTTGCAGTGAGCTGAGACAGCGCCACTGTACTCCAGCCTGGGGGACAAAGTTAGATTCTGCCTTTAAAAAATTAAAAATTAAAATTACAAAATAAAATGTGGCTTTAAAAAATCATATGGAATTATATCTTCAAATCTAGATTAAGTGGAAGTGATTCATGGTAGAAGGATTCATGTTTTTATTTAAAAAATTTTTTTTTAATTTATTTTTTTGAGGCAGAGTCTTGCTCTGTCACCCAGGCTGGAGTGCAGTGGCACAATCCCGGCTCACTCCTGCCTCAGCCTCCTGAGTAGCTGGGATTACAGGCGTGTACCACCATGCCTGGCTAATTTTTGTATTTTTAGTAGAGACGGGGTTTTGCCATGTTGGCCAGGTTGGTCTCGAACTCCTGGGCTCAAGTGATCCACCCACCTTGGTGACCCAAAGTGTTGGGGTTACAGGCATGAGCCACCACACCCAGCCAGGATTCACGTTTATGACAGGAACAGTCCTTGCTCCTGCATCTCCTTTCCTCTGTTGGCAAGAGGATGCTCTGGCAGACATTCTGTTCCCATCCAAGGAACATCCCTCATTTTTCAGCAAGTGATAAATCATTGGCAATGAACATAATCACTCTTTGGTGCTTTTTTTCCTTACACCAGTTCACATTTTTTTTATTATTAGATTCTGTGTATCACTATAGAAATACAAAAATAAAATCTTCCAAATTTGGTCCTAACCCAAAACTGTGCAAATAAACACAAAGTCCTACGCCTGAGGCATCAACGGGTATTACCTAGCAGGTTTATTTCTAATAAGAGAAACACGAGTTCTGTGAAACTCACTTTTCCATTTCAGAGGAGGATGAAACCCCCCAGAGCTTCCTGCCTCTTGGTTTGTTGGTGATATGTGTACTTCAACTCTCATAGGAATTCAGTCCAGTTCTCTGGATGTGGGGCTACACTACCTCTCAGAGGAAGTCACATCCGAGTGCGTAGATGTCTATACCATCCAGGATCATCATTGAACATTTCCTGAGTCACTGCGGGGCTGCACACACTGTCCTGCTGAGCTCACGATGTCATCTTAAGGGCAGACTATCCACTTGTCTCACGGTGGCAGAGGAGAATGTCAAACTTCTGTGAGTGCCTCCTCGAGGCCACACAGACTTCTCCACCAGGCTCACGAGGCACAGTGCCCAGGACCCATGAAAATGTTTTAACTTCCTTTAAAAAAGCAGGAGAAAGAGAATGACTTTACCCCAGCATGGATTATAGTCAGTTTTCTACAAAGGGTCATCAAAATAGATAAATTAATGTGTTGAAATTAATAGAAATACTATGTATTTAGAAATATTAAATATATTTTAAAAATATATTTAGACATATTTCATACATAAACTTATATAGATACTTTACAGGTTGATATGTAAATTAATATAAATATTTGTGTATAAATTTACATATAATTTACTTATACGTAAACATAAAGACCTGATCTATATTGAAATTATATTATTATATAATATAGGTGGTATTTACATATGTATATCATATGATTTTATAACGATATAATTATATATATAACTTTATGTTATGTATATACAAGTAATTATATAAATAATTATATAGTTCTTGAATGTTATATTTCAATAATACAATGTTATATAATTAATGTTTTATAAAATTATTTAATATTACAAATAGTAATTAAAACAATGATTACATAAATATATAAACAAATATTACATATTTATAATAATTTATAAATTTGTATGTATAAAATCTTACATATCAGTAAATATATATGTGCGCATATTTATATGTGTTTGTGTAGTCACAACAAAGCTCCAAATCAGGTTCCCTCTGGGATGTGAGAGGGAGATGAGTCGCCTGGGGCCTGGGGAAGGCTTAGGTGTGAGTGGGAACTGCTGTCTGCTGGGCTGGGCTGATGCTTGTGCCAGCCGGGCCCCAGCCTGCTCATGGCATCTCCATGGATGCAGTGCGGTGGCCCCTGTGACCCTTAGTTCCCAACTAGGGAAGGGGCCCAGGGCTGCCAGGCACACGAGGATTTCTTTGTTACAACTGAATTCAGAGGCAAATCCAGCTGGGGTGGGGGTGGGGGGGCTGGGTCAGCATCTTTCTAAGTTCTTCTTCCTCACTTGCTCATGGATGTGGAAAGTTCTGGAAGCTCTGCCTTTCCCCTTTGAGACAGGATTGTGTTCACGCTGGGTGTTGTCATCGGAGGGAGAGCACAGTTCATCAGAGAAGTTTGCCTTTTTTTAAAGCATGAAATTTTAAGATATCTCTCTCTACAACTGAAAGAATAGTATACAAAAATTCAGAAGCAGAGACTATTTAAACATGTTTGGCATACTTTTCCTAATTGTTGTAATAAAACGCTAAAGCTTAGACTGCAAAATATACTATTATTTTTAAGTGCACATAGAAAATTGACCAAAATTAGCCATATACTGACTCATAAAGCAAGTTTTAACAAATCTTAAAAAATTAAAATTCCACAGAGTATATTCCTTGGCTGCAATGGAAGTAAGCTAGAAATCAGTGATAAAAAGATAACTAGAAAATTCCCATGTTTAGAAATTAAGCAGTATTCTTCTAAATAGTAGAAAAGTGAAAGAAGAAGTTACAACGGAAATTAGAAAATATTTGCAGCTGAATGGAATTGAAATCATGGCATATCAAAATTTATGGGATTCAGTTAAAACCCTGAAGAGAAGAAAATATTTACTATTAAATACAGGCATGAGAAAAGATGAAATGCCAAAAGTCAGGAATCTCAACATGCGTCTCCAGAAGTTAGGGGAAAAAAGCATACTGATCTCAAATAAAGTAGAAGAAAATATTAAAGAACAGAAATTAATAAAGTGGAAAACAAATATAGAACAAGGAAAAATCAAGAAAACCAAAGTTCAAAACCAAACATTGCTCTTTGAAAGTACTAATAAAACTTATAATTCCTTGGAAGGACTAATCATAAAAAAAAAAAGAAAAGAACGAAAGGCACAAGATGTCAATATCAGGAATGAAAAAGGGGATATAACTACACATCTGCCAGGCATTAAAAAGAAAATAAGTGGAAGCCGTAAAAAAAAACCAAAAAACAAAAAACAAAACCTTTGGCCAATATATTTAAATATTTAGACGAAAAGAGTGAATTTGTAATTAAACACAAAAAGAAATAGGCAATTTGAAATATTCTATGCATTTTCAAGGAATTAAATCCATAGTCAAAAACATTTCCTCAAAGAAAACTCCAGGCCTAGATAGCTACACTGGTAAGTTCTTCTAAACATTACAGGAAGAAAAAATGACAGTCACACTGAAACTGGAGAAGTTTGCCTTTCATGTGTGGAATTACTTCAGAAACACATATATTTTTTCTGTAGTGTTTAAATAATGTTCCCCCAAAATTGATGTCCACCTGGAACCTTAGAATGTAACCTTATTTGGAAAGAGGGTCTTTGCAGATATAATTAGGATAAGGATGGAGATGAGATCATACTGGATGGGGGTGGGTTTACGTTATAAGAGACAGAAAGAGGAGGCCGTGAAGATGGATGCAGCGATTGGAGATTCCCCAAGAGATTCTCCAAGCCAGGGAACACCAAGGATTGCTGTCAACACCAGAAGCTGGAGAGAGGCATGGGATGGTTTCTTCCTCAGAGCCTCCGGGAGGAACCAAGCCTGCCAACACCTTGATTATAGACTTCTGCTTTCCTGAACTGTGAGATCATAAATCTCTGCTTTATGCCAACCAATTTGTGTGAATATGCTTAACTATGTGCCTGCCACTGTTCTAAGCCCTTTACAAATGTTGACTCACATAAGCCTTGTAGCCAGTCTATGAAGTTGGCATTATTATTGTCTCTACTTATCAATGAGGAAACTGAGGCAGAGAGAGCTAGGAGAGTGCACAGATGGTCTACAGCAGGTGAAGCCTGCCTCAACTCCAGGCTACCTGACTCCTGAATCCAGCTGCTGTGCGGGTGCTGTGATTGTATGTGGGGTGCTTGGGTGCCATAGCAACCAGCTGTGAGCTGTCGTTAGCAGGATCAGATGTGAACGGTATGGTATGTTTGCTAGCATCAGTCTCTTGGATGTGAAACATGATGTTTCCACCTAGAGATAGTGAGGGAAGGGGACTTCTAGTTTTATTCTGCGAAATTTGAATTTGCTGCAGTTTTCATTCATTTAGGGAAAGCTGGGCTGATGTGAGTCTGGGCATCTGTGAACATGGGCAGGGCTGAGCAGTCAGATGGAGTTGAGATTCCTGGAGGCCAGATGATCGTGACTCACTATAGCAGGTCCCTTCTGCTGGAAGGAAAATTTGTATGCTCATGGGTCTACCTTTCCATCCAGTTTGAGCCGTCCTCGCCCCATGGTGGTAACTGTGACTAGAAGGAATGAGGAAGGGTGGGGTTATCTCACGGTATTCCTCTTCCAGCGTGGCATCCCAGGTCTAGCTTACACTTAGCAAATACCTAATAGTTGGTGTGGATAGGGAGCCTAACACTGTGTCTCCTCACCATAATCAGTGTGCCATGACCAAATCAACCATGGCCCCGAAAAGATTGGTAGGAAATACATGGAACAAATATGGACTGGTCCCACTTCTAATCACCGGTTTCCTGCTGCGTCCCACTCAGTTGCTGAAGTCACTGCCCCTTCATAGTCTGACAATTTGAACAACATGAATAGAAGCTCCTGCTTTATTTTTCCATACAAGAATTATACACCAATCTTCCACAGAATGGCCCACAAAAGAAAGTAACCCTACCATTGGAAGTTTCCCCCCCAGATGTGCTTTCCTAAAGTCATTCAAATGAGAAACTTCTTTGTGGAAGAAAGCCATGAAGCCTTACGTTTTCAAGAAGTGGACTTTGGCGTCACTGCTCTCTGCCCACACAGATGCCAGAGGTGTGCTGGGATTCTTGGCTGCGCGTTCACAGGCCTGCGTAGTGAGGTTGCCAAAAGACAGTGCTCATAAATGCCCCACTGGCGTTCCTCTCACAAGAGACAGTCTGCTGTTGAGCAAACCAGCCTGCCAGGATGTACCTGTCGAAGCCCGAGAAGACTCGGAGCTTTCAGCAGAGGACTTTGCCTGGTAGGGCTTTGGTTAAGTGGCAGCAGGAAGAATTCTCCATTGTGTTCTCTGCAGACGGCTGGATTGAGGCCTTTCTTCCCTTCTCCCTTTACGCCCCTCTCCCTCCCTTGCATCCTCTTCTTACGCAGTTGTCTGCAAGTCTAAAGGGGTTGGTTTAGTATCTCACAGAGAAGATTCACTATTTGTAGACTCTCCTGTGGCCCCTTCAAATGCTTGTATAACCCAAGGCTTTCTCTAAAGGCTCACTGGCAATTTCTGCTTGCTCAGGAACTTTAAGGTGCGTTTTGTGACACCTGGACCCTATATCTTGTTGATCTCATCTCCAAAAACTGCAGTGCATGCTTCTCACCCTTTAGGACGTGGAAGATCCCCTCAGGGAGCTTGTTAAACATGGAAGACTCTGACTCAGCAGGTCTGGGATGGTGTCTGGGAATCCACACGCATGACAAACTCCGCAGGTGATTCTGAGGCAGGTGGCCCCTCCTCACCCAACCTTTCACACACACAGCCCCCAACAGTCCTGATTGTTGATGTTTTGGACCACTTTGTCCAGGCTACTGGGACTGCCTTCTTTAGATTTCCATCTAAATAATTTAAATAAAGAATGCAGGCCGGGCATGGTGGCTCACGCCTGTAATCCCAGCATTTTGCCCTAAAAATACAAAAAATCAGCCCGGCATGGTGGCACACACCTGTAGTCCCAGCTACTTGGGAGGCTGAGCTGGGAGGATTGTTTGAGCCTGGGAGGTCGAGTCTGTAGTGAACCGTGATCACGCCGCTGCACCCCAGCCTGCAGGGGGTGGGGGGAAGAATGCAATTCCTTCCCATCATCTTTTTCTTTTTAAATGAAGACAATTGATTCATCAAGCAAAGGGAAGCAGTGGCTTGACAATATAAAACTGCATGTGTTCATTTGTATTTGACTGCCAAGTACATTTTATACCATGTAGCTAGAGCCATGGGGGGTGGTTCAATTTCGGATAACTCACGGAGGGCAAGGAATTAAAGGTGAGAAAGTGTCCCAGTGTTTGCTTTCTTTTGAATGTTCCCCATTTTCACCTGGGCTATCAAATCCGTATTTTTTAAAAAACCAGTGCTTGGCATCCGCTTTGCCGATGTCTGCTCTGATGACTTCTGCGGTTTCCCCCAAATAAGTGAAGTCAACGAAGAAGCAGCATCCACAAGCCTCTGTCCTGTCCCACAGCTCTTGCTCGTGTATGATCTAGAGTTTGCTTTCAGGGCACTGGCCTTAGTCTTGGACATGTGTCGACAGCAAAGTTTGGCTCTTCCTCCTTTCTGTGCTCCCCGAGCCCTGCTCCAGGGTCGGCAGCGTGCTCTGCATGTAAGAGTTCGGCTCCATTTTCAGCTTAACTGCTGTTTCTAAAAATGCATAATGCTCAGTCATGAAACCGTAGTCTTTCAGGCTATAGACTTTAAAAAGTTTCAAAGCCATGCTATACAGGTGAACATCTAAGGGGCTCACAGTCCCTCGACTCTGAGTGTAGGAGGAGCAGCCAATGAACCGCCCAACCAACCAGAGAGAAGTGGATTAACTCAATTAGGTTAATCAGCACCCATCTTGCTCATCCTTGGCCATGCTGAGGGCATTGTGAGTATTTCAAGGGATTTTTACACCAAGTTGGCCAATGATTTTACAGCTAGAACCACCTGGGGTGGTCCAGTTCCCCATAGTTCAGAGTGAAAAAGAAGAAAGCATTTTAGTCCTTTTATTCTTTGATCAAGCTGTGATCAACACACCAAGGAGGTAGCAGGATGGACATCAAATTTGCCTGAGTAGTTTTCGAAGAAAGCTCCCTCTGGTCATTTATCCCTAGTTTTTGCTTGTATTTATTTCTTTGAATAAAACATTTTTGCCAGGCGCAGTGGCTCAGGAGGCTGAGGTGAGAGGATGGCTTGAGCCCAAGAATTTGAGGCTGCAGTGAGCTGTGATGGCACCACTGCACTCCAGCCTGAGTGACAGAGCGAGACCTTGTCTCTAAAAATAAATACGTAAATACATTTAAACATTTTTAAATATTTAAAAAATTTAATTGACACATAATAATTATACATATTTATAGGGTATATAGTGATGTCATAATATATGTGATGTATAGTGATAAGATCAGGGTAATTAGTATATCCGTCATCACAAACGTTTGTCACTTTTTTTGTGTTCGGAACATTGAATATCCTCCTCCTAGAAATATGTAAAATTCATTTATGGTTTGTAAACCAGTTTAACAAAAAGGAAAGTTTCAAGTGAATGCTCTCTCACTTCGGAGGATGGCATATTAAATGTGATTTGGAATATTATTGACTCACGAATGTGATGTTCAGGAAAAATTCATAATAATACAGACAAGTGCTCCTGAATGTAAGACAGATAGGAAGGAGACAAAATTGTTATGATGACGAACAACATAAGCCTATGTGTAGGGAAAAGGTCTGGGGTAAAATACAAAGGTTGGTAGCAATTAAATTTAAATGATTAAGCTGTAGTTTCCTTTTCTTCTGATTTTCTGTGTTTCCCCCCCAGATTTCCTCTCACAAATAAGCTGTATTTTAAAGTAAAAACATTGAAAAATTTGGCATGTTATAGAAATTATTTCAATAATTTCATTACACTTCTCAAATATTCTACCTTTAAATTCTCATACAAATGACTATAGTTTATCTTGAGTTTAATGATAGGGGCCTACTTCCTTTAGACAATATACTAATACGTGATCCCCATCTTCCCCCTCTACCCAAAAGCAGAAAAGATATGTCAGTCACATAAGTAGTTAGGCACCTTATTCTCAAATAATTTTTTTTTTTTTTTGTAGAGACAGTCTCACTATGTTGCCTAGGCTGGTCTTGAACTCCTGAGCTCAAGCAATCCTCTGGCCTTGGCCTCTTAAAGTGCTGGGATTACAGGCGTGAGCCACCATGCCAGGCCTCAAATAATGCTTTGACAATATATTAATTGCAGGTGAATCAACAACCTAACACATGTATGTTAAAAAAAAAAAGAAAAAAAAAAACCCCTCCTCTAGTTGTGGCCCAGTGTGGCTTGTAGACAGCAGAGAGGGCAGCTGCTTGGAGCTCATAGGCAATGCAGACCTGCAGATGGAAATTCTGCATTTTAGGGATACCCCCACCCCAGGGATTGGTGTGGGCATGAAGATGCAGCCCTGTTCTGAGCACAGTAGGGCATCTGTGAGTAAGAGCAGTGCCAACACTTAGGAAATGGTTATTGGTCTTGTGTCCAGCATGCATTTGGTTATTGCATGTTATCTAGAATTGTGCTGCCTCGTTTATATTTAGTTGCCTGCGCCACCTCCTTTATGTTTAGTTGCCTGTAAAACATCGAAGGGTCAGGCCAGTTTTCTAACAATGTGGTTTTCAACCACATGTAGGGCATGAGGGAGGGAGACAAATGTGTCTCCTCGTCCCCAGAGGATGTTTGGCAATGTCTAGAGACATTGTTGGTTGTTGTTCCTGGGTAGTGCTACTGGCATCTAGCAAGTAGAGGCCAGGGATGCTGCTGAACATGCTATAGTGCACAGGGCAACTCCCCCTGCCCCCGAGGGATTATCTGGACACACATGACAATAGCGCCAAGGTTGAGAAATACTGTCTTACACAATGTCTTCCATTCTGGATCTTTCTGTTTGCTCATAATTGGATTTAAAATTAACATTTCTTGGTAAGAATACTTCCTAGGTGAAATGCATTTCTTAATAAATCATACATCAGGAGGCCTCTGGTATAAGTTGTCCCATTGTTGATGATGCTAAATTTGATCATTGGTTAAAGGCTGAATGCCGGATGCTTGACTTCTAGAATGGCAATACATATCCACTCTATTCATCAGCTAGTGGATAAAGTTTGTAGTCAGAATCTTGGCTTACTCTGGAATAGCACACGCTTGAGCACACACACACACACACACACACACACACACTGAAACCATCTTTGCAATGGTTGTATATTCAAGACAGTTAAGCTGCTTTCAATAAGAATTATATTTTTTGTTTTTTAAGAGGATATTGGAGGAGAATCATTGCTAATATTTCTCTATAACATGCAACTAGGGCACTTTCTGTTACACAGGGGACCCTATTTTAATTGAAGGATGGCATTTTGAAGCTGAACTGAGCCTGAGAACTACCCACAGCAATCCAGTGGGAGCAGGTCTTCGAAAAGCATTGAAGAGAGATTTTGCAAATGCTTTCCACAAAGCTCACATCCCGTCTTGTTTATACTCTTTCTCTGCGCTGTCTCTGGACAAAAGGGAAACATTGGCTTCACTGCTGCCCAAATGGTCAGATTCGTATTTGTGCATTTATTAGCCCTTTGAAGCCCAGTGTTTTATGTATATTTATCCCTCCTAACAAATATAGGGTATAAGGAATATTACTCTTATTAGACAATTTGGAAAACTGAGACCAAATCCCTTGGCTAGGTGGTGCACACAACCAGAGAGTGGGAGACTGATCTAAACACCCAGGATTCAGCAATCAGTTCAGCAGGCTGGCTTCTTCCCAGTGCCCCGTATTGCTGACGGGACTAATGAGAAGTAAATGAAAACCTTCATTATGATAGCATTCTACTCTACTTGTGAAGGCAACATTGAAATATCTGTCTTCAAGAAAATGTTTATTCAACGATCATTTATGTGGCTGGGCATGGTGGCTCATGCCTGTAATTCCAGCACATTGGGAGGCCGAGGTGGGCAGATCGCTTGAGGCCAGGAGTTTGAGACCAGCCTGGCCAAAATGGCAAAACCCCATCTCTACTAAAAATACAAAAATTCGCCAGACATGGTGGCTCATGCCTGTAATTCCAGCTAATTGGGAGACTGAAGCATGAGAATTGCTTGAACCTGGGAGGCAGAGGGTGCAGTGCACTCCAACCTGGGCGACAGAGTGAGACTCTGTCTCAAAAACAAACAAACAAACAAACAAACAAAGAGCATTTACGGATATGGATTGTACAATGCTGAAAATAATTTGGAAAAAAATCCTGATGATTGGCATTGTGGGATCTTAAAACAATTATAAACAAATACAACTGTTTCTTTTCCTCTGCACACATGTTCTCACACACGATTGCTTGAGATTCTAGTTTTGCAGTAGTGTGCATTGTAGGGAAGGGAGTGATCTTGAAAGGAAGTCAGGATTCATGTTTCCAAGGTGATGACCACAGGACAGTCAGGCTGGGCACGTCTATCTGAGGCTTGTGTGGTGGCCTAAGGATTGGGTGGCTGCAGCCTCGATTCTGCCAACATCCAGCTCAAATGTTCATGGCCCCTGTTTCGCATGGTGGTAAATGCAGGCATCAGATGTTATCTGTTTGTGTAGTTATTTACATTATTAATAAACTTTGTATTGTGAAGCAAATTTCAGATTTACAACAAATGTGTAGAGACACATTTGTCACAGCTAAGAAACCAGCATAGGTCCACTACTATTAACTAAACTCCAGACTTTATTTGAATTTCATTAGTTTTCTCACAAATGTTCCCTTTCTGTCCCAGGATCCCATCTAGGACCCCACGTTGCATTTAGTCATCATGTTTCCTCAGTCTCCTCTTGGCTGGGACAGTTTTCCAGGTTTTCCTTGTTTTTGATGACCTTGACAGTTTTGAGGAGGACTGATAAGGTATATTATAGAATATCCCTGGATTTGTGTTTTTCTGTATTTCTCATGATTAGCCTGGATTTAAGGGTTTGGGGAAGAACACCACAGGCACGAGGTGCCCTTCTTCTCACATGATTTCAAGGGCGCATGCTATCCATATGACTTATCACTGCTGGTGTTGACCTTGATTGCCCAGTTAGGGTGGTATTTGCCAGGTTCTCCGCTGTGATGTTACTTGTTGTTTTGTCTTTCCATACCCCATTCTTTGGACTTGAGTTACTAAATCCAGTGTGACCATCAATTTTAAGTACCTTTTTTGTCTCCAAGGGCAGTCCTGAGTTTGCACCTACAAATTATAATCCTGTTACAATGTCCTTGGACTTCATGGCTACCACTTTAACTATGAAACAGAGTTCATAAAAGCAAAGAGGCATTTAAGATAGTAAAAGAGTTTTCTTTAACAGTTACAGATAGCATTGAGATTCGCTTTGTGCTGAAATTAAATTCTTATGTATGTTCTATACATTATTACCCAACAGGGAAAAATGTGAATACGTACATTTTTGTTGTCTGTCTATGTGCAGCACGTGAGGCAGCTCCCTATGATTATGGCTTAATCTATACTATAAGGTATTGCTTCCATTTTGCAGATGAGAAAACTGAGGCTCCTAAAAGTTAAGTAATTTCTGTCACACAGCTGGTGAGCAACACAAGTGGGCTCTCTAACGAGGCCACTCAGCTCCAAAGCCTCAATTCCTTCCATTCTGCCATGCAGCCTTCATGGAAGGAAGAAGGGTAAATGGAACGAGAGGGTTTAAAAATAATCCTTTATTCCCTTTAAATGCATTGAACATCTCAGTTAATACTTGGCATTCCAGGCAGACCAAGTTCCGAAGGGCTCCTCTATTCCTGCCCTCCAGCATTTTCACATACTGGTTCCCCTGTGGTCTGTTATTTATTCGCCAGGATAGCTCTTTTCCTTCTGCAAAACACTGCTCAGGACTCCTCTGTAATCTAATCTTCTTAGACAAGCCCCATCTGACCCCAAACCCAGCCCAATCTCTCCCACAACTGCCAAACTTCATTGGGTCTGCAGAGCTGGGCACTGACCACACACAGACATATGCCCATGTCTGCAAGTCTGTATGTGCAGTGGGTACTTTTTGCAGTTGCTTTGTACAAAGCACCCTATTCAGGTCTGTGGAGAATGCAGAGTTGAATATGGCACAGTCTTCACCTTCAAGGAGCTGCTAGTATCAGGGAGGAAATCTCTCATGAGAGCAAGTAGCTTACAAATACTAAAATAAAGGTAAAAGCAAAGGGCAAAGAAAAGGAGAGTCAGGGTTGGCTTCTTGGAAGAGGTGGAGTCAGACGTCATCCTTGAAGGCTGAGTACATTTGCCAAGTTGGAGAAGGTCAAAGGCAATGTGGGAAAGCCAATGCAGAAACAATACGGCAGCAGGCAGTTGGAGAAGGCACGCAGAAGAAAAATGATGATAATATAGTTGGGGCCACATGAAAGAAAGCTTAGAATTTTACCCAGATGAATGCAATTTTATTCTGTAGGTAATAAGAGGCTATTGCTGGTTCCTGGAAAGGATTCTGTGGTGCATTTTAGAAGGCCTCTTTGGCAGTGATGTAATGGATGAAGAGGATGGGGAGGAAGTAGGATGTCTTTTTGCAATGCATGTTTTCGTGTCATTTATTTGTGCTTTTCTTCCATTTTATGATGCAATTCCTGAGGTCAGGCATTGTGCTTCCCTCTTCTTCTGCCGGCAGCACCCACTGGACATTTCATCCTGTCCTGTAGAGAACGAATGTTCGGTACCTGTTGCCGGCCCAACAGTTGTCAGGGACTAGGACCACAGAGCCTCATAAGTTGTACAGGCAACCTAAAAGCGTTCTATGAACCACCCAAAGTGCCACAGAATGGATTTCCTAGGCGGCTTTCTTGGCTTGCCTGCTAAGTACCACATTGTAATGACACCCACCCCTGCCCCCTTCAAATGATTGTCTTCAGGTGGTCTCTGACAGCTTTGGTCTTTGGGGTGGGATGCCTTCATACACACCACCCATTGCTCCATCCAAGCACACCTGGAATAGCTTTTTAAGCTCCACTGTTATTATATCGATGAAAAGGTTTCATTTCAACCTGACCTTCCAGCATCTAAGAGAGAGAAAAAAACCCTCCTCCTTTACAGACCTGACTAATTGCATCTCTGCACCATGGAAATCGATATTTTAAGAAGTAAAGCGGCATTCATGAAGCAGAGCAAGTGTATCTGAGCTTCTGTAGAAGTTGCCACAGCAACACAAGTTGGAGCACTTCCCCTACTTTTTAGCCTTCCCTAAAATCTGCTTCAACAAATTGCCCTAGAAAAAGACAGAGCAGGGAAATGGTATCTTTCATTTGCTGAAAATGTCATTATCTTTGATCAGTGTTAAGTGCAGCCCCCAAATGAGATGTAAAGAGCATTGCTTTTAAGAAATCATGTTGCAGGGAGAATAAAAAATGATCAAAGTGGAGTTATCCAGCCAAACAGGGCTCTGAAACCCAAAGCAAAGTCTCTCAGATGGAAATGAAGCTGAACTTTGGCTGACCCTGGGAATGCATTTGCTAGAGGCCGTGATACCCAAGCCAAGTGTTGTTGAGCGCCATGCTTGTTTCCTCTACGTTTGGCTCTGATATGAAACAAAGTGGGAACATCGATCATTTGCTGCTATTTACTTGTATAAGAGTCTTTGCAGAACGTGTGCATCTCACCAAACAAGGCTATTTCCAAGGAAGTCAAAAGAGGTGATGCAGGATGCTTGCCTACACACAAAGGTGAATATCCAAGGAACAGTCAAGGAGTCACCCTATTACACTGGGACACACTGATAAATGGAAAGTGTCAGAATTCTGGTGTTGGGAAGCCACTTGAGAAATTTGAAGCTACCTCTGTATTCCAAGAGAGATGCATTCAACACAGTGTTGAGTGAATTGAGTTGAATTTTGTGTTCAACTTTTGTGGGATGAATTTTGAATGTTGAGTGAGTAGAAGTGAATTGAGTTGCATTTTGGATCTGATCCTACCTACTCTGTTCCATGCAGATGGAAATATAGGCTATGTGGTAAAGAATTCTAGGACCTTGGAATCTCAGAATTGGAGAGGACCATAAAATTTCTTTCCTGAGTCCTTTGTTTTACTGATAAGAAAATGGGCCCAAGAGAAATTGTGTGTTTGGCAATGTCAGCAAATGTACTAGACACAAAGGATGGAGATGTTCTGGCCTTCTCCAGAAGGCGTTTATTTATTTTTATTTTTTATTTATATACCTATTTCTAGAGACAGGGTCTCTCTCTGTCACTCAGGCTGGAGTGCAGGGGTACGATCATGACTGCAGTGTCAACCTCCTGAGCTAAGGTGAGCCTCCTGCCTCAGTCTCCCAAGTAGCTAAGACTTCAGGCATGCGCCATCACATCTGGCTAATTTTTAAATTTTTTGTAGAGATGGAGTCTCACTTTGTTGCCAAGGCTAGTCTTGAACACCTGGCTTCCAGCAATCCTCTGGCCTTGTCTCCCAAAGTATTGGGATTACAGGCATAGGCCACCATGCCCGGCCTGCAAAAGACATTTCTGAGTTTAGTTGCCTTCATTTCAGAAAATTCTTGTTCTGAAATTCTTCATGTGGTACCCAAAGCTCACTTACTTGTGGGTTAGAGTTGAAGACTTAGAAGCACAAAATGTCAAAAGCTGTTCTTTACTTGCCCCCACAAGTAACAGTGAAATGATCAAAGCAATGGTAATCATGGACTCATTATAGTCCCCTAAACATTTTTTACAAGGAGTAATAGCAGAGATTGGAGATGAAGCTCAATCCTGGCTTCTGTTCCAACCATTACAGGTCGTTTCCTATTTTTCTGGTCTGCAGGTAAGAATATAACTCTTCTGAAGAATGATGAAGAAATTGTTCACCCCCTTTCTGCCCTGGTCCTGGTGGTCCCCTCTAATTTGCATGCCTGGTTTACCTTCCACTACCATCTGCTGGAACTCTGGCTGTGCACCTGGGACACACTCCTGCCTTTAGAGTTGCTCTTCATTGAACTCCTCTCCCCGGCTGCCCTTCACATCCTCACCAAGCTGCCCGCTTTTCCAATCATCCTTCATGCCTCCTAATCTTAGTCATGTTCTTCAGTGTTTTTAAAAAAATGTTTGTCATGTCTTAGACTCTATCTGACTCATAAGTTTTCTTTGAAGTGGAGATGTTTGTTCTTTGTGGCTTTTGTTTAGAAATGAATGTTGGAGATCTATGCATTGGTACTAGTGTTTGCTACCTCGTGGCCAAACAGAATCAAGACAGTTGCAAGGGACGCCATGCTTCCAGCAAAGAAGGGTGCTGTGTTGTTTGTGTTTTTCCATTTGTACCACGGGTGGGAAGAAAGTGTTAGTTCTGATTCACAAACACAGTCATTATGGTGTTTGCCACCAGCTGGCAATCAATATTGCCAATTATTGAGCAAAACAATAATTTGGTAAGAAACTGAACATCCAAGATGGATTTTATAGGAAAAGAGAGCATGTAAAATTAACTTTTGATTTTTGTTTTGGATAAATTAATAGGTAGCATGTTTTACAGAATGTTTGGGTCTTTCAAATTATGTAACAGTTAACCGTTCAATGAAGAACATGTGGAAAATGAAGGCAAAAAGAGGGAAATGTAAAGCATCAACATCTTGTTACTCTGAGATAGCCGCTGACAACATCATGCTCATAGTTTTTTGAACAGCACGATATGTACGCATGTATTTATATCATTCTAAATACTGGTTAGTTTATTTATCACCATGTCCTCGGCACTTTCCTGTGTCATTATATAGTCTTCAAAAATATATTTAAGGATGACATGCGATTCCATTTTAAGGATTTACTATGTTTTAATTAACTACAACTCTGTTGCCTGCCATTTAGGTAATTTCTAATTTTAGCTAATGCATCCTAAGAACTTTAAAAGAACATTGAATTTGCTAAATGACTATTTAAGCAAAACTTGGGGATAGTAGTTCTTTTACTAACTTTTGACAGATTTCCAGTTTCAGAAATCACTCAGACTAACAATCCAACCCATATCATTCACATGGGTGTGTGGGCTGGGTGATAAAATTCTAACTTCAGCAAATATCTGGCTGGAGAGATGGGTTGAGTGGGTTTATAGTATCCATGAATATTGGCTTATTTGTGCATGGCACAGCCAAGGGAACAGATTGGGAAGCAATTCTTTGTACTTGAATCCTTCAAACAGACCCATGCATACCCAAGTCCATTGTGGGCTTAAAGGGCTTTGATCATCTAAGGCTGTGACTCTTACTGGGCAGGTTGGAGACACGATGATTTTGGCTCATTCTTTCCCTGAGGACATTTGGCAATGTCTGGAGACACTTTTGATTGTCAAGTGTGGGGAATGGCTACTGGCATCTCATGGGCAGAGGCCAGGGATGCTACTGAAGACTCTTTCATGCACAGGATACCCCTGCCACAAAGGAGTATCTGGCTCCAAATGTCAATAGTAGTATTGAGGTTGAGAAATCCTGATCTTTCAGGGCGAGCTAATTAGGACAGAATTGAATGCCTCTAATTTCATTTGAGAAAGGTTGTCAGTCTGTCTTACTGTCTGATACCCGTATGCAGCTGTCCTTTTGGCAGATGTATAAAACCAACTTGTGTACTTCTACAGGGAGCTGGTTTTCATTTACCCTTCCTTTCTAGGGACTAAAACTTACCACCTTGGTCATTCTAGATCCGGAGCTTTAAGAAGACTTGCTCATACATAGGGCATGGAAGGAATATCTGCATACAAATTGGCTCACTTGTTGAACACAAATGCTTCCAGGCGATGACACCTTTCCCTTTTCCATTCATGGGTCTATAATCTTGATTTTCTTTCCTTTATATCATTTGCTTTCTGATAGCATTGGGAAAATAAAGCCTGTTCCGTCTATGCCAGGGGATATTGTAATTATATGACATAAGTAGTCCTCAACTTTCATACATTTAATATTTTTAAACATCATGTACTTTTGCAAACTATACTTCAACACTCCTAACTTGCCTTTAAGATACTGCAGTCTGACACGCACACGTATGTTTATTGCGGCACTATTCACAATAGCAAAGACTTGGAACCAACCCAAATGTCCATCAATGATAGACTGGATTAAGAAAATGTGGCACATATACACCATGGAATACTATGCAGCCATAAAAAAGGATGAGTTCATGTCCTTTGTAGGGACATGGATGAAGCTGGAAACCATCATTCTCAGCACACTATCGCAAGGACAGAAAACCAAACACTGCATGTTCTCACTCATAGGTGGGAATTGAACAATGAGAACACTTGGACACAGGGCGGGGAACATCACACACCGGGGCCTGCTGTGGGGTGGGGGGATGGGGGAGGGATAGCATTAGGAGAAATACCTAATGTAAATGATGAGTTAATGGGTGCAGCAAACCAACACGGCACATGTATACATATGTAACAAACCTGCATGTTGTGCACATGTACCCTAGAACTGAAAGTATAATTTTATATATATATATATAAAATAAGAAAAACAAAAAAAAGATACTGCAGTCTGTGTGTGTCAGCTGAGGAGTGGACATTTCTAGCTGTGACTTAGAGATGCCAGTTGCTGCTCATAGTTCCCTTTCAGTAGATTGGCTGTCTTGGTATAGATGCATATGTCTTGGCGTATTTGTTTTACTATTATATTGTATTCTTCTGGTTTTCTTCTATAAATATGGATGAAAAAAACCAAGGAAATTCTAGTAATATAGTAGAAAGTGTAGCTTTTATAAATATAACACAATGGCAATCAAAATGAAAGCAACAGATGTATCAGAAGTAGCAAACCTTCAACCCTTGTCTAATGTTCATTGGCTCTTAGCTGGTAGAATGAATATATGATCAATTATGAATAAAAATAAACTTAATGAACATGTATAACATAATGAAAGTATATTGCTGAAGGTTGTGTCTGAAGGACAATGTGTAACTCAGTGTTTTATCTATTTGCCTCAAAAGAAAAGAGGTCCTCTTATGTACACTGGGTATAACTATTGTTCAGTTGCTTACTTTTGTCATACTGACCTTTGGCATACATTTTCAGGACAGTGTTGTGTGTAAAAACAGAGGCCAACTTATGGTGCCCAGGAAAGACTTTGCAATCCCTCAAGGCTAAAGATCACTACAGTGTGGGAAGCAAGGATGGATGATTAAGAAATACAGTATTTCTGCATTGATTCCCAAAATGAATTGCTTTTTTTTTTTTAAAGAGTCTGCCTGAATTTCAAATATTAATGACCATTAGATGAAATTATATGTTTTAATATTTTACCAGTAGGGATGAATTACATGTATTTCATTTCACAACACATATGTACTTCCATACTTCCATTTAACCAATTATTAGAAATCTAGATATTATTTAAACACATGCTTCACCTTGAGAATAAAATCTCAGAGACCTCAAATGCAACAGTGTAGCTGCCCTGCAATGGATACAAGCACACATTTGATGATATTTTTCTCTATACTCCACTTTCCTTGCTTATGTGTGTTTGTTTATTTATTTTGAAACTGACCATAATGGTTCTTTAAAGGGTTGCCTTAATTCCTTTTGGGAATAAGAACAAGAGTGGGACAGGAAAGTTGGCAGTTTACTCTTATACTGAGGCTGTAGATTGTGGAATGTGATTAAAGTGAGTATTCACTTGGCTTCTGCAATTTATCAGCAATCCATGTGGCTTAGGGAACATTGTTTAATTTCTTTGAGCATGAATTTTCTCAACTGAAACATGGGAATAGTAATGTGTGTAAGTTACAGGATTGTACGAGGGGTGAATGAGACGATTTATGCAATGTACTGAGCATGGTGTCTGGCTGGATAAATCAGTGGTCACTGACATAATCCTTATCCTTGCCCAAGACCTTTCTGCCACCTAGGTGTGTTGGATTCCATGCTGCTGCCCTTCTCAGAGGAGATATATTCCTTTGCTTTTGCAGATGAGAAAATTGACTTTTGTGAGTGCTTGTTGGCTTCTCCCTAGTCCCCAGGAATATTCTGCCCACTTTTCCAGAGAAACTGCCTAGACCATTTGAAATAAATTTTCAGAATATGCATTGTCACTGTTCACCCTGCCCAGAAGAAAACAGTGAAAAATATCTTTGAGTGAAGCCACCGATTGACTATTTAGCCACTTGCTCTACATTCGCAGGAACTGCGAAAATGGGTTCCCATTGCTGTTTTCTCCATAGTTACAAAAACATTGATCACTGCCTGATTTGTGGTGGTTTTGATGGTAACAGATTTCACCCAGTATCCACATTTGCTCTTTGGAGATGACTGTGCTAGTAAATTAGTCATAAGGATTTATGTGACGTGATAAAAGAGCTATTTGCTTTCTTCGATCCGTCATGTTATTGGCAGCAAAATTAAAAAAAAAAAAAAAAAGAGCCTCCCATAACTTCCCAAGCTTCCAGACTTGACTGCATGTGAGGACCATGTGCTGCCCAGAAATCCCTTCTGCACAGAGAAGTTGAGTCAGTGTGTTTTAGGCCATGTTTGTCCAAAATCGTCCTTCTTCCTATTCTGTTCAAATGGAACAACGTAGATAATGCTAAGAAGCCGGCCAATTCAATAACAAAGTCTGGCAAATTTTCTTTCTACATTTTGTAGACTCAACAACACTTGAAAGGCAAAAAAAAAAAAAACAAAACAAAAAAACAAGTCAATTCTGGTCCGTGTTAGACACAACAAGCTGCAGCCTTCCTGAGAGCAGAAAGCTCAGTGCTGATATTTTTATTGAAAAAGAGGCCGCAACATTTAAGGTTTAGGGACATCTTCAGATTAGACATTGGATAATTTCTTTGCACTTCAAAGTGCAAAGAATCTATAGGTTATAATCTTATAATCTATATATATGAAAATGGAGCTCTTTGCTGAATTTTGTCAGTTGACATATCAGGGTGACAGAACTGAGCTATCGGGTATGTTCAATTTTAATCTCCACAGCAGTTCCCGTTTCACTCCCACGATCCTAGTTATGGGGCCCTGGCGTCCTCTCCCACTGGAGACTGCACTCTAGCTTTGTGATGTGGGATGCTCTGCTGCTTTTGCATTGGCAATTGATACCAGCCACATTTTGCAGGACTGAGATTAGAAGAAATAGAGAAAGCTGGACAGGCCTTGTGGGCAGATGTGTTGGCGTGAATCAACAAACTCTGGCTCAAAATCCAGATCTGAGATCTGCTTGATTTTGCAAGGCATCCTCTCACCTCCCTGTGACTCAGTTCCCTCTTCAGTACAATGAGAATGGGTAAGAAAAGGTGGTCTCAGGGACCTTTTTCAGAGAGAGCATTTTGGTATTCTGGAAGGCTGGGAAGGATCCAGGAATTCTTTAGAGGAATGTGTTGTCAAGGGTTTCCTGTAGTTCAGTGGTTCTCAAAGTGTGTTCCGTGAAACAAAAGCATGAGCACCACCTGGGGATGTTTTAGAAGTGCAAACCCTCAGGCTCTGTTCCACATCTATTGACTCAGAAGCTTAGGGATAGGGCCCAGCCATCTGTGTTTTAAAGGGCCCTCCACCAGCCTGGGCAACATGGTGAGACCTCATTTCTACTAAAAATACAAAAAAATTATCTGGGTGTGATGGTACGTGCCTGTGGTCTTAGCTACTTGGGAGGCTGAGATGGGAGGATTGCTTGAGCCCAGGAGGTTGAGGCTGCAGTGAGCCATGATCACACCACTGGATTCTAGCCTGGGTGACAACAGTGAGACCCTGTCTCAAAAATAAATAAATAAATAAATAAATAAATAAATAAATAAATAAAGTCTTGATTTTTTTCCACTGAGAGAAAGTTTTTGTTTGTTTTTCTATTCAGTCGACTGAATTATTTCCCCAGTCTGTCTTCTTGCCATTCTCAATGCCCACATGAGAGGACCTAAAGTAATTTCTAGCAGCCTGGGACTCTTTGGGAAAAACAGAAAAGGTGCCACAGACCCTGTTTTGGAAAAAACCTCTGTTTTCCTCCTGGAACCCCAAGAGCTGTAAGCTGACAGGTCCCTCTCAAAATCTAAGGCTCTGCTCTGTTTTGCATTGCATTGCCTGATGTTTTTGACTTTTGGGGGGTATCAGAAATTACTTTGCATTATGAAAGAGCTAAGTAAGAAATGTACTTTTGAGGATGGTTAACAGCAGTTATGGAGGGATGCTTAACTCTTTGCATTTTTGGATCAAAGAAGCATGCTTTTGGCCACCTGGAAGGTATGGAAATGTCCCCACCCCCCACTGAGAAATAAGATTTCCATGGGAGATGGGCTGATTCCCTCTTGTTGAGATCCAGGAACTGGTATAAAAATAAGACCCTTAATTTTTGGGGATCTGTTTTGCTTTCCAGATGTGCCTGCTTATTAGGCCCTAGAAACTACATGTTTCCTGGTCTTGGTCCTTGAAGGGCTCCACCCTGAAGCTAGTATTCCAATTAAGAAACTTAAAAACTGCAAAATGAAAAATCTTACAACTACTGGGTCTTCTGTCTGTCTGTGTATTTATGTGTGTTGTGTGTGAGATGTTTATATGAAAACACTCTGGTTTTTCATAGAAGTTTCAAATAAGTTCCCTTTTACAGAATCTGGGTACACATATCTTTTAGAGGACATGATGTCTGTGAAGGAGAAAGGCATGGGGGGCAGCAGAAGGTGGGAGAGCTGGCAGTGATGCAGGGTCAGCACATGTCAAAAGAGAGCAGAAAGTAAGGAAGACTTTGTAGGAAGAACTTCAGGCTACAGTGTAGATTGGACAACATTTTAGCTAGGCTGCTGGGGGAGTCCTCAAGTCGAGATGGCCAATTAGAACACACGGTCTCAGCCTAGGGCAATTCTGCTCCCAGGGACACTCTGCAGTCTGGAGATACTTTTGGTTGTTATACCTTGCAGGAAACGATGCTCTCAGCATCGAGTGGGTAGAGCCCAGGGATGCTGCTAGACATCCCGCAATGCACAGGACAGCCCCCAAAACAAAAAGTTACCTAGCTTCCAATGTCAGTAGAACTGAGGCTGGGAACCCTGCATTAGAGGAATGGCCAGTTCTAGTGCTGCTGCTGAAGTCTGTCATTGGTTGGAGCAGCCCAGGGGAAGCTTGGGCTTGGCAAGAACATTGTTGTGGAATCAAGGTGCAATATCTGAGCAATGCGATCCAACCGCGCACCCCACAGCAGGTGGGAAAGACCCGAGCCACGCAACTCTATGGCTGCCACAGCCCTCAAGACAATTATTATGTCCACCAGGAATCTAAATGCTAGAACCACTGCTAAAGATCTGTGTCTCGGAGCTTGGTGCTAAGAGAGATCGACTTGGAGAAGCATCAAGGAATGCGTTTTCCTCTTGAAGATCCTAAGTACACTTCAGTGTATTTAATACTCGAGAAAGTCTTCAGTAGAAACACCCGCTTAATTTTGTTTGTGTGTGCCAAAATTATGTGACCACAGTTTCCTTTATTCTGTGCAACACCCGTTTTCATCCTACCGAACACATGGGTCCTGAGAATTACTGCCGCGTATCAAAGAATAAACCAGATTGCTTGAAACTTGGGCTAATGAATTACTAACGAAGGTGGCCACCTAGGTAGCATCTTTTGGAGGACTACAAAAGGCTTCACTGATTCAGAAATGCTTCCTCTGCCTACTGGTCAATGTCTCTCCATTAGGGTTTCATTGTCTTGGCTTTGAGGCTTTCATCTTTGCTAAAATATGAATACTCCTGGGAGAGGGAATTTTGTCCTAATTCCACGAATGTTTTCTGAGGAGTTTTCTCAGTACACAAAAGTCGACTGGGCTCTGAAAAGATCTCATTGCTTTAATATAGAAGATGGATGCATATGCAACAAGCTCCTAGAAATATTTACATTAATGAACTTTTAGAGCTTCGTATGAATGGATTTTTCAAATTCTTCTTTGGGATGAGACTTCCATCCGGGAAAGAGGAAAGCCTGAAGGCTTGGAGTCTGGAGGGCAATTGAGAGGCAGGTCCCAGGAAAGAGTGAAGGGTAATGAAAAAGAAGCAGAAAAAGAAATTCTCCGTACATCTCAGATATGCACACATTTATATGTAGAACTAACTGTTCACCTATTGACCATAAGGGTTGGTGTTTTGAGTCTCCATTAAACAAAATCCCTGTTTTCTTCGTCTATTACCTACACTAAATTGTGACTTCATAGGGTCATTGTGGGTTCATGCAGAGGGTGAGGTGGGGCATGAATGCATGAATTGCCTATAATGAAGTCTTTTTTTTTTTTTTTTTTTTTTTGAGACGGAGTCTCGCTCTGTTGCCCATGCTGGAGTACAGTGGCGCGATCTCGGCTCACTGAAAGCTCTGCCTCCTGGGTTCATGCCATTCTCCTGCCTCAGCCTCCCGAGTAGCTGGGACTACAGGTGCCTGCCACCACACCCGGCTAATTTTTTGTATTTTTAGTAGAGATGGAGTTTCACCGTGTTAGCCAGGATGGTCTTGATCTCCTGACCTTGTGATCTGCTCACCTCGGCCTCCCAAAGTGCTGGGATTATAGGCGTGAGCCACCGTGCCCAGCCTAATGAAGTCATTTAAAAAAAAATTTTAACTTGTGTAATTGAAGCCTTCTTATGGAGTGTGCGGAGTGTTCACAAATAACCTGAATTCAGAAATACTTCCTCTGCCTTGAACTTAACAGTATTTTAACAAGTGTTAATAGAAAAGGAGACCTAAGTACATCACACACAAACACACACCCTGTTAGCAACACTAGTGGTGTTTAAGGGATGTCAGAACACACACACACACCCACACACACACGCTCTGAGCACCGTGTGGTGCCATGAACGCTCATCAAGCTGTACTAGAGAAATATGGGCTGAGATGGGCCAAGAGCAGCTCTCGCTACCATACAGAGACGTGATTAGCTGGGCAAGGCTGACCAGCGTGCACCTTGGGGAGGGATCTGCAGCACTGTCACCCTGCACATTTAGAGGGTAATGGGAGAAAGTGACTGATGATGGGAGCCCTCTGGCTGAGGCAGTGCCGTTAGGAAGCACAGGCATCCACCGCCTCAGCTTCCCTTCTGTGCAGGTTCCTGCTCGGCCACTAAAAGTGGAGAGGGACCCACTTTTTCTGCTCACCCTCTAAAAGTGGGGAGGGCCCATGTCCTCTAGTGGATCTTTTTCTCAGCAGGTTTCTGAGGGTTTTCGCTGGCGACAAGATTCTGAATCGCCTGAAGCACATAGCCTTCCACGACCAACTCCGGTTTTGGGTTTTATGCAGGGCAGTGTCCTTTCACAGCCCCCTGGCTAAACGCCCAAGTGTTTGTTTGAATCTATCAGGGGCATGGAGCGAGGCTTTCTGGTTTCTGTGTCAGTCAGCATCTGCAGCTCGCTCCAGGAGCACTTACCTGACAGAACTACAGCCAGTGACTCAGCAGCTGGTGGGAAACAGTCCCTTCTTGCCACAGCCAAGGAAGTTCCAGTTTTGTTGATAATGGCTACAAATTGGAACTGAATTTTATTGATGAAAGCACCAGGCACCTTGCAAAAATTCCTGAATGTACGGATTTTTGTTATTGTTCATGTGAAAATTAACAAAAAACTTATCAGAAAGAAATACTTATTTGCTCCAAGTTTCAGAGGGAAGAGAAGCCAAAGAGGCAGAAAAATAGATTGAGGCAGGATCTCAGAATTGACCTTTTCTGGGATATGATTCAAGTGTCGCTCTTAGTGTGTGTCCTGATGAAGACCCTGAGATGGGCTTTCAAGAGTGTGTGGGGGTGGGAGGGAGAGGATGACTCAAGACAGGACCCACACCCACACTGATGGCTGAGCACCTTCCCCTCTGCCCTTCCTGCGGCTCTCTATTGCTATGTTTATATGCAACAAGAAGCAGGTTGGCTGGGCCTTTATCCACTGCCTTCGGTTTTTATAAATGGACAGCATGAATAAATCAGATCAAAGCTGGCTTCTCTTTCCAGTTTACATTATTTAAGCAGTACTTGGAACAGAAAGACAAACTGCTGCAAGAGGCGGCCCATGAGAGGCCAAGTCACAACGGCTTTATTCCTTGTTTTAAAACAATTCATCCTTGTGATAAAGATCAAGCAATACAGAGACATACAAATAATAAAATAAAATAAAATAAAATAAAAACCAGCTGGAATTCCCACCCACGAGGAATAAATGTCATCAGTGCTGGATGATCCTTGTCCTGAGCACCTTCCAAAGTATGTGTCCGGGATGAAGGATGGAAGTAAAGATGGACGGATAGTTCTACAAAACCATGTTTTTATTTTAGTAGTTTGTTATTCATCCAGTTTTATGAAAGTATTATCATTATCTTTACTTCGTTAATTTTACTTTACTTCAGAAAGAAATGAAACTGATATGGAACTGAGAGAATCACTAAACTTCATGTACATTTTTTTTTCTGTAAGAGATATTAATTAGCTCCTAAAAGATTGCTTCTAAGGTTAAAGGAAGAGATGATTAGTAACATTAAGAAGTTGGAGACATTACATATCTTTGAATTACAGTTTCAATTTTAGATAATATTGATTGACTCCCTGCTATGAAATGTGAGGATGTTAGTAATTTCATACTTCTCTCCATTTTCCCTTGTGATTTTCCTCATTCTTATATTATTTTCACACTGTGATAGTTTACATAACGGTTATGTTATGCTTGGTAACCATAATTCTGACAATTGCTTAATATCAGTCTTATGTAAAAGGATTCTCTGCTCCTTCTCCATTGTTTGACCAAAGATTCTCCATTCTTGAGGTTTTAGTTCTGTAGAGTCCTATTTGTCTGGATTTCATTCCAAGCGGTTTTTAACAAGAGGGCTCATGGGTGCTGGTTTTTCTGAACCATTTCATACTTTCTCTGCCATCTCTTTGCTGGCATGATATCTTGAATGGATTTCATGTGAGTCTCACATTCTTTCCTTTAGAATATTGTACTCATTGCTCCATTACTGTCTGGCTTTCAGTGTCACTGCAGAGATGTGTAACCCTATTTTGTAGGTTACTTGTCTTTTCTTCCTGAGTGTCTGCATTATGTTTTCTTTATCCTTGAAGTATTGATGACAAGTCTTGTGGAACTCTTGAAGAAAAATCCAGTGTTATTCTATTGATCCCATAGAGAAGGTGTGCATCAGTATATATGACTTGGGAACCTACTATTTGTTTTTCACTGTGAAACCTACAGAAAAATCACGAGAGCTGCCATTTATTGCCGCTTCTGTGCCTAACTCAGTACCATTCTAGGTGTTCTAGGAACACTATCTCAATTCTCCCACAAACCTTTGGAGTAGGGGTTATTATCCCCATTTTATGGATGAGAAAACTGAGCTTCAGTAATAATAGGTAACTCACCAAGGATTGCATAGCTGCTAAGTAAAGCTCAGGTAAAAATATATATATTTCACTTTTGCTTTATTCGTGTCCTGGTTTTGATATTGTACCCTAGTTATATAAAATGTCATCATTGGCAACAGGTGGCTGAGATGTACACAAGACTCTATGAACTATTTCACAACTACCTGTGATTATATGATTATGTCAAAATAAAAACTTAAAAGAAAAAAACAAAACAAAGCATTCACCAACTGATACCTGAGACTGATCTAGAATGATATTGAGAGCCATGGCGGAAACAGACGGAAAGCACATAGGTAAAATGAGACACAAATTATACATAATGACACCCCCTGCATTGGGGACTAGCAGAGAGATGCAACATAGGGAATAGCAAAGGGTTTAGCATTTGGCAGGTAGGGGCCCAATGTCTCAGAGAGTAGTTGTTAAAGTGACTTTATCCAGTACATCAGTCAGTTAGTGCCACAGTAATACTATGTAACAAATTTCCCTGAAACTCAGGGGCTTAAGATAAAATTATTCTAACACTTATGAGTTTCAAGACCAGCTATAGTTCTCCTGAACGAAATTGGACTCTATGCTCTGGGTTCCAGCTTCCAGGCTGCAAATTGGGTTAAGCTGTGTTGCATGTGTCTTATTTGGGGCCCAGACTAGACGGGTTTGTGTTTCTCCTGGCAGAAGTTCATAGCTTCCAAAGGGAATGCATGATACCCCTTAAGTCCAAGGTTCAGAATCATTTGTACACTGTCACCTCTGTCCACTTGCATGGTTTAAAGAAAGTCACATAGCTATGGTCTGGGGAAGTACACTCCGCCATGGAGGTTTGGGTGGTGGGCTGTGGTGAGGCAGGGAAAAGAATGAATATTTGCTGAACAGTGATCAAATCAACCAGCCCTAAGATTCATAAACTTGTGGTATAAGGAGACTTTCCAGTTAAAAATAATATTTAAGGATTTTTACCATTTTTTTGAAAGCTTATTTTGAGCCAAGTATCATGTTATGCAATTTGCAAACACAATCTCATTTAATTCTCCTAGCGACCCAATATGATGACATTATTATTATTTCATTTTCCAAGTTGAAAACCCTGAAGCTCAGACAAGTCTTGACCAAGGTCATAGAGTAAGCCAGTAAGTGGTAGGGCCCTAATTCAGATCAAGACTGGGGCTTGTTTTCAACCAGCAACAGAAAACAACAAGACCTTTAATATTTATATTTAATATTTATTAGATTACTTTTTGCCTGTAAATTACCTGAATCCTTATACCAGAGAATACAATTTTGAACTTATGACTACTTAGTCTTCATCAAAATGTCTTATTAGATTGCTTTGTACAGGAAATTAAAAAATATATATCTTATGTGTATAAATTACCTGAATCCTTATACCAGGAAATACAGTTTCGAATTTACAGCTACTTAGTCTTCATCGAAATATCTGTTGAAAGAAATGGTTTTTAGGGAGAATTACATGAAGAACATGCCAGCTCTCTGTTCTTTCAAATATTCTGAAATCAGTGAGGTCAAATCCGATCAAGGGTGAGCTAGGCTGTAGATCTGATTTTTCTGACTATTCCAAGAATTGCTCATGTCACGTTGAACTTTGGTGGGTGCCATTGGTTTAGATTAAGGTTAGTTCTATCAAGTGGTCTACAGAAATTCATTGTAGTGTTTACTGTGAAGCTGTTCTGGAAAATGCTGTTGCTTCCATTACCCATGGTGTGCTGGGGAGAACTTTTTGTAAAGTCTTAGTACTAAGAATAGTACTTTTCCTACTGTTTCCTACTATTGCACTAAAAGTACAATTGAATTAGTTTTATTTTTAGCCTGTGGACATTGTGAACTTTGTTGTGACGTAGGTTCTGTTGAGTAACCTCCGTAAGGTTATACAGGCTTAAAAGTGGCAGAACTGGGATTTGAACTCAGGCAGTCTAGCTCCAGGGTCTGTATTCTTAAACACCAGGCCATTAAAGTGAATATGTAGGTTATTTTATGTATCCAAACCATGGTGGGCAGACTTCTAAGACGGCCCTCAGTGATTCCCACCTCCTGATATTTATGCCCTTGTGTAACCTGCCCCACCTCCCCACCAAACCTTGAGTGTGGATTGACTTAGTGACTTGCTTTTTACCAATAGAATATGATAAAAGTGGTGAGATGCCATCCTGTTGATTAGGATGCAAAGGGCTGTAATATTTATCTGGCTAGCAGACTTTGCCACTATTGATGACTTTGAGACTCAGTCTTATTGCCTGCGAGGAACTGAGTCCTGCTAATGATCACACAAACTCAGAATCAGGTCATTCCTCAGTCAAGTCTTCATATGGGATCACAAATCTTGGGCTGATGCTTAGTGAGATAATAAGTGTGCGTTGTTTTAAGTTGCTAACTTTTGGGGTAACTTGTTACACAGCAATAGCTAACCGACATAGCCAACTTTAGTCTTATTCCTACTTTTACTTTTTGATCCTAATGGTGCTTTTCTTCCTTCTTGTCGTGGGTTGTGTTCCACTCTTCATGCAGTGGCCTCTTCTGGGAAAATGGCAAATATAGATAGGCAAACAAGAAGTGGATTTTGAATTAGGACCCAGGACTCTCTGACTGCCAAGTCCATGCTAGTTTCATAGAGGCTAATTGAGGAATAATGGCTAATTCTTGAAATCATATCTGTGCTACATTGCAGCATAGGTGGAGTGGTGAGAATTAAAGTAGGCTCCAAATTATAGAAAATGAAGGGAAGTTTGGACTTAATATGTTGAAAATAGAAATTTGTTAATGAGTTTTAACGCAGTAGATAAGAGACACATTTCAGGAAGTTCCTAATGAGAATGAAGAAAACACTTCTATTAGTTATCTACTACTGTGGAACAAATCACCCCAAACCTAGTGGCTTAAAGCTACAATAATCTATTATCATTTTTCAAGGTTTCTATTGGTCAGGAATTCAGTAGTAGCTCAATGTGACAGTTCTGGCTTGTGGTTGCTCCTAAGTTGTCAGTCAGGTGTCATCTGGGGCTGCAATCATATAAAGGCTTGACTGGGGCCGAGGAATACATTTCTAAGATGGCACCCTCACAACTTGGTGTTGGCAACCTGGTTCCTTTCTATTTGGGCTCTCCACATGGATGCCTGAGTGTCCTCATGACATGGTGCCTGGCTACCCTCAGAGCAAGCTTTGGAATCCCCGTAAGGGATTTATGTAACTCCTTAGAGAGAAATCCATAGGTTAAATTGGCCATGTTTAACTAGAAGTTAAATCCTATTTTAAAAATCTCCTTATATCACATCCATATAATGCAGATACTTTATTTAATCAGTGAAGAAATTTGTTGAAACATATTATATTCTTGCTGTGAAGTAGAGAAAACAATTTAAGTTGTGGTTTTTCATTGTATATGTATTATCTGCTACAGATATTCACTATTTATTGGTCTTTACACTGCTTTTGTGATGCTAATAGAGTAAACACTACAATTTTTATGAGAAATTGAAATAATAAGCAGCAGGTGTGCATCATAAGAGATTTTTTTTTTTTCCCCTCCCCGCCCCCCCACCCCCCGACACACAAATTTCTCTAGAGGTATGAGATGAGGTATGAAATCAAACCAAAGAGGTATTACGCGTCTGGTGAAATAAAACTTAACAACACTACAGCAGAACTCTTATATAATTATATTTTCCTCTTGGGGATTTTAGGATTTCCCTGAATACTTTAAATGATCGTTATCATTATATTGTTCTGCATGCATAGTGTTTTTCTGAAATTATTTGATGAGGAATAAAAATGATTACCAGGCTGGCCACATAAAAATTCTATGAAGAAAAATCACGACAAATTCCATTAGGAAAAGCATCGTTAGGATGAAAAAGTAAAAGTAGGAATGAGACTAAAGTTGGATATGTCAGGAAAGTAATTATTATGCAAAGATTTAGCATCTTCTTGACAAGGTATGGTTATCTTTTCAAAGACTTCATTAACCTCAAATTGGACCGCTCTCCCTAGCCTTTCAAAATGTCTCTAGTATACAGGTGGCCATTTGTTCTCTGAAAAGCAACACCTCAGTGATGATTGCTTCTGGGTTTAGCCTGATTTAGCTCCAGAGATACCCAAGGCATCTCTTCAGGGAACGCAGCTCAGATGCTGCCTCTGAAGAGATGGTGTGCAAATATTTCAGAGCTAAGATGGCATATGAATTGCTCCCCAGAAAGCAGAGACCATCAGTGAGTCCTGAAAAGGCTTCCTTGGTCATTTTCCTCTCTCTGAACCTGGAGGTTCATGTTATCCTCATGCATTGTTATCCTCAGTCCACTACAGTGAAGGAATATGTAATTCCCATTTCATTTTTAAAGACAGGAACATATAATAATCATTTTATTATTGCTTGATTATTAATTTACAAAGGCATTGTTTTATAGCCTCTATCTACAATGCTCTATTAAAAACATTTTAATTGTGGTTTAATACTTATAATATAAAATTTACCATGTTAACCATTTTTAAGTGTGCAGTTCTGTGGCATGAGTTACATTCACATTGTTGTGCAGCCATCATCGCCATCCATCTCAGAGTTCTTCCAGCCTCCAAACTGAAACTCTGTCCCATTAAACAATAAATTCTCATTCCTCTGTCCCCTGAGCCCCTGACAACCACCATTCTACTTTTTACCTCTATGAATTTGTCTACTTTAAGTACCTCACATGAGTAGAAACATACAATATGTGTCATTTTGTGTCTGGTCAATTTCACTTAGCATAATGTCTTTAAGTTGCATCCACGTTGTAGCATGTGCCAGCATTTCCTTCATTTGAAAAGCGAAATAGTCCATTGTATGTCTATATCACATTTTGTTTATCCATTCGTCCCTTCATGGACACTTGGGTTGCTTCTATTTTTTAGCTGTTTTGTGAATAAAGCTGTTATCATCATGAGAATACAAATGTCTGTTCAAGTTCCTGCTTTCCATTCTTTTGGGTATGTAACCAGAAGTAGAATTTCTGGATCACATGGTAATTCTATGTTTAATTTTTTGAAGGACCACCATATAGTTTTTCACAGTGGCTGCACCATTTTACATTTCTCCACATCTCATTATTTTGTTATGATAACTTGTATGTATTTTCTATGTGTCAGGGAAACTGACAAGGTCAATCTATGTGGATTTTTCTACTTTAAAAAATTGACATAAAAGTTACACACCATAAATTCAATGTCTAAAACAATGGTTTTTAGTATATCTACAAAGTCTTGCTATAATCAATCTAATTCCAGAATATTTCCCTTAGCAGTGACTCACATTCTCCTCTTCTCCCAGCCCCTGGCAACCCTAATCTTTTTGTCTCTATAGATTTGCCTATTCTGGACATTTCATACAAATGGAATCATACAATATATGTTTTCTTGTGACTGACTTTCTTCATGTAGAGTAATGTTTGTGAGGTTTATTTATGTTGTAGCAAGTATCAATACTTTATTCCTTTTTGTGGGTGAATTATATTCCATTGTATGAATAGAACTCATTTTGTCTATCCATTCATCAGCTGATGGATATTTGGTTTGTTTCATGTTTTGGCTATGATAAATAATGTTTCTGTGAATGAATATCCATATATGGGTTTTGTATAGACATGTGTTTCCAATTCTCTTGGATATATATGAATCATATGGTAATTCTGTGTTGCTGTGGACTGAATGGGTCTCGCTAAAATTAATATTTTGAAGCTCCAACCCCCAGTGAGATGGTAATTGGAGGTGGAGCCTTTGGGAGGTAGTTAGGCCATCAGGGTGAAGCCCTCATGAGTGGCATTAATGCCTTTGAAAAGACACTAGAAAGATGCTCTCTCTCTGCCATGTGAAGACACAGCAAGAAGGTGTCTGTCTGCAAACCAGGAGGAGAGCCCTCACTAGAACTTGAGCATGGTGGCACCTTGATCTTGGACTTCCCAACCTCCAGAAGTGTGAGAAATAAATGTATGTTTAAGCCACCCAGTCTGTGGTATTGTGTTAGAGCTGCCTGAGCTGACTCAACCACTATGTTTAACATTTTGTGGAACCACCAAACCATTTTCCAAAGTGGCTGCATGATTTTACATTCCTATCGGTAGTATATGATGGTCCTGGTTTCTCCACATCCTCACCAACACTTGTTATTGTCTGTTGTTTCATTATAACCACCTTAGTGGGTATGAAATGCTGTCTCATTGTGGTTTTGATTTGTCTTTCCCTGATTACTAATGATGATGAGCATCTTTTCATGCACTTAATGGCAATTTGTACATCAGTGGCAATTTGTAGAAAATGTCTTTTCAAATCCCTTGCCCACTTTTAATTGGACTATTTGCCTTTTAATTGTTGAATGGTGCCTGAATTATTGGATCCTCACTAAATGAGGATGGCACTGGTCTTGTCCCATTTGTGTAGACGAGAAGAGCTGAAACTTAGAGAGGCTGGCGGGTAGGAGAGCTGGAATTCCACCCCAGGTTTGCAACATGCCAGCGCCTGAACTCCTAACCACCAGGCTACACTGCTTCTGTCTTGGGCTTCTGCTGCTGTGAGATGTTCACAGAACTGTTGTGTGCCAATGCAGTCCCAACAGCACAATTTTTTTCCATTGAGTAGTACTTAGGGATTATCTTCAGGATCTACTTTTACCGGATTCATTGGATGGGCTGAATAGCTGAACTTCTGTTCTTAAAATACTCAAATCATCAAATTGACAAAAGTTTCCATTCCCCTTCGGCTGTGCTAGTATCAAGGCAGAGTTTGTATGTGGCTTCTTTCAGAGTCGATAGTGGCAGATGCTTGTCGGTACGTGTGAGAACATTCAGCTGCTCAGAAGCCTAAAGGATAGCCTGCCCTGGGGTCAGACCATTCTTCTTAAGGGTCCATTCATCTATAACCTTGATCTTCAGACTTTTGTGTGTTTGGCAAGTTATTTATCTCTTTTAAGTGCAACTGAATTCTTGTCTCAAAGTTAAGATCCTTGTGAGTGCTGTGTAGATGCTTAATATTTGTTGGAAAAAAACCGAACTTACAGGGTTGGCTAACGCCATTCTTTTCAAACTGGGTGCACTTGAATCACCCAGAAAACTTGTTAAAAGAGATAATTGAGTACCACCCCAGAAATTCTAACTGGGCAGGTCTGAGGTGGGGCTTCTGAAGATGTATGTCTCTTACATGCTCCTGGGCGATGCTGATGGACCAGTTTATGGGCCACACTTTGAACAGAACCAAGCAAGTGGTCAGTTTCCTGAGGCTTACTGTATTAGCTCCAATATCCTGCCTGGCTTCGAGTATATGCAAAAGTTGGTTCCACCTCTTTCACACAGCCTCCACCCTCATTACTTGAAAAAAGTTTCCTATTTACTAAGGCCAGGCATTGTACTGTCTTCTGAACAGAAATGGACCCATGCATGAAACTGTTTCTTTCCCTTGTGTTTCCCCTTCCCTAGGCTCTGTATGTGTGGCAGAATTCTAAGATGGTCCTCAATATTGTGCCCCGTGCTGTGCACACCCCATATAACCCACTCCCCTTGAGTGTGAACAGAACCTGGGATCGAAGTCACTCCTGTGATTAGGTGACTAATTCTGTTCACATTGAGTCAATCAAAAGGACGATGACCTAGGTGGATCTGACCTAATCAGGTGACAGCTTAAAAGGAACTGGCTACTCCCTGAGGTCAGAGTGGTGGGAAGGGTGAGGAGGCTTGTGGAGGGGACCACATGGCAAGGAACTGTGGGCAGCTTCTAGGATCTGTGAGAAGCTCCCAGCTGACAGCCAGCAAGAGATGGGGCCTCAGTACTGCAACCACAAAGATCTGAATTCTGCCAACAGCCATGTAAGCTTAAAAGAGGACTATGAACCTTAGATAAGACCATAGCCCAGCTGACACCTTGCTTGTGGCTTGGTGAGACCCTGAGCAGAGGACTCAGATAACCTGACCCACGGAAATTGTAAGATAATAAATCTGTGCTGTGCGATGTCACTATGTGGTGATTCGTTACACAGCAATAGAAAACTAGCGCAGTATGGAGCACTCTTACTTTGCTACCCCACACTCCAGATGCCTGTGCCTCATCATGCTCCTCAACCTAGGGGCAGACCCACACTTGAATAACCAAAAACACCCATGGACTGGTGCCCTCATTAAAAAACGTCATCATGCTGTGTCCATTTTTAGCACCAAAAACAACTTTTAGAAGCTTTTCAATTGCAGTTTTTCTTTCTTTTGGCCCAGGTTAACTTTTAAAAATAGACACATAATGTTTTTATGCATTTATGGGGTGCATCCCGTCTTGGGTATGTCAAGGGGAGGGGATCATGTATCATTGCAGGACAGGTGGTTGGAATTTGGGGCCATCTTAGACTGTTCATCACAATTGTGAGGCAGAACAGCCCATCCCTGGCAGCACTTCTTGGTACTTCTTGACATGGAAGCCCCTGGGAGTTCTGCTCTGATGCGATATGCAATTCATAAGCGACGGGAAGGTCACAACCTATGGAGTCCACCAATATCTCCACAAATCTGCATGCAGCACTAAGCAATTGGCCAATGCTGGGATCTACTCAGTGATTTTTCTTCTAACCCATTTAAGAGGCAAAATAAATATAGCTTAATTTTCCAGTTCAAAATGTATTTGGAGAAAACCCCAAGCCCTTTTTCCGTGCATGCTCAATGCAGTGACCCACCTTGAGTAAAGAGGAAGGAAAGGACAGTTTTAGCAGGAGGAAGAGGTGAAGAGAGGGCATTGCAGGAACAATTCCATTCCAACAACACCTGCGTTTGATTGGCCAAAGAGTCTTCCTGTTGGGGCAAATGCTGCTTTGAAGAGGCTAGTATTGGGGTTCACTTCCCTCGAGATCATCTCAGGGTCTACCTGCAGATGATAGTATGAGCAGTAGCAACTAAAACATGTCTGACACTTCCATACATCGCTAGCAGCTGGGGCTTGGGGCCCTTGGAAAATGGTAATGGCAGACTATAGGGAGGAGAGAAGAGAGGAAGTGAAGCCATGGTTATTTCCTTTTTGCGGGGGAGACGGAGTTGTGCTCTGTCATCCAGGCTGGAGTGCGGTGGCACGATCTTGGCTCACTGCAACCTCTGTCTTCTAGGTTTAAGCAATTCTTCTGCCTCAGCCCCCCAAGTAGCTAGGACTACAAGCAGGTGCCACCATGCCCAGCTAATTTTTTTGTATTTTTAGTAGAGACGGGATTTCACCATGTTGGCCGGGCTGGTCTCGAACTCCTGACCTCAAATGATCTGCCCACATCGGCCTCCCAAAGTGCTAGGATTACAGGCGTGAGCCACTGTGCCTGGCCAGTTATTTCATAAGATAACTGTGCATTTTACCTTTGCCAAGAGCTGCCCATTCCATCCAGCCTCTTAGATCAGTGAATGTGTTCTCCAAGTAGGTGAGGATGTAGAAAAGATTTTCTTTCTCCAATCCAATAGACATAAATCTCAGAGACCCTCCCAAACAGACAAATCATATTGTGTGTGTTCCCAATGAAATATGCCTCAGAAAGCTGCCTTTGCTCTTCACTCAGCTCCACACTCAGGGATACTCTCCCATTTCTGATTAAGGTGAGGAAACAGCATTCAACAAGCAGGCACTGAGCGTCTTTGGTGCTGAACGGGATGCTAGGGTTGGGCTACACTTTGAATAAGGCTTAGATCGACTCTACCCTCAAGGGGCTACACATGTTTCAGGATTTCTTGAGACAGAGATGAACAAAAGCCCTGGGAGCCCAGGGGAAGGAACATTGAACATTTCTAGGGGAGATGAGGAATGATGTTGCTAACATCTCCCTGGTCACCTGCTAATATTTTAAAGTCAGGATTATATATAGGTGTTGGCTTAACAGCCCTAAAGAGCTGAAAGCAACGAACACATGAAACTTAAGTCCTCTGGTAAGAATCTGGCTCATTCTGCAGCTTTAGTCTTTGTGTCGGAAGAGACCTTTCCTGTGGCAACTTGCATTTATGGAATAGAGATTGAAAGAAGGATCCGAAAAGCACCAGATTTGAAGGTTAAGAACCACTTCAAGTGATCTTTTTAAGACTTTAGGCAAACTTAGGTTCACAAGTGACAGCCCTGCTTACTGCCTGTTTCTGTATGGCCCACAGGCTAAGAATGGCTTTGGCATTTTAAAATGGTTGGAAAAAATCAGAAGATAATATTTCCTGAAATGTGAAAATTATATAAAAGTCACATTTCAGTGTCCAAAAATGAAGATTTATTCGAGCTCAGCCATAACCACATGTTTACGTATGGCTTGTATTTGGGCTACAGCAGCAGAGTCAGTAGCTGCCCCAGAGACTGTGTGGCCTGCACAACCTGAAATATTCACTGTTTGGGCTTTACAGAAGGACCTGCCCTGGGTAATGGGGTGAAATAAGTGGAACAAAAACATACACAACTTGGAAAATAAGTAGAACACGACATTCTGCCAATCTGTAAAGTAAGTTGAACAAAAACATACACAACTGAGTGTGGGTTGCAAAGGCTGTTTAGGAGCTGATTATAAAAGGGTTGGCAAGAGGCCGAGAAGTGTGGGTATATTTAAAATCAAATCAGTTTCAACATTTACATCTCTTGATGGCAATTCGAGTGCAGGAAATAAATGAATTGAACAAAACCAAAGTGTTTCTCATTCTGGCAAGAGCCGAGGGCAGTTGGGTCCATTGAACCTGTTACATCTAAGCCCGAGTCTTCCAGAAAATTCTTATTGAGATGACTAAGAAATAGTCCACGTGTTTGAAAGAAACATTGAGATTCAGTTTCACCCTGAAAACAAATTGACTTGGGTGCTGAACCACTTGAAAGTTGTCAAGATCTATTTTTCCCCCTTTTCCTCTTACTCTCTTGCCTTTTTATCTTGATCAATCTGCCTGCATTCCGATTGATTCATGTCATTGACAAATATGTATTGATCATCCGGTGTTTGCTAGGCACTGTTATAAGCATTTGCAATTTACCAATGAACAACCAGCTCAAAATTATAGTCTAATAGGAGTGTTGAAAAATCTGCAAAATAAATATGTGAAAGATACAGCATGTTAGATAGTCAAGAGAGGCAAGAGGAAAAGTCCAGGTTGTTCAGGCTGGGAGATGTCGCAGTTTTAGACAGAGTGCCTGTTGGTGATAGAAGCTCCTAAGAGAGGTCTTATTGGCTGGTTTGGAGGATCAATACTAGCATCAGCAAACATCAGTGGGTACCTGGGTGTCCCCAGGTAAGCCAGCATCAGCTCTAACCACAGGGGAAAATACGAGGCGGAAATGTCCAGAAAGCATTGGGAAAGCTTTTAAATTTCTACCCCACTAGTTTCAAATTCAAGATAATTCTTGAAGCCTACCAGAAACATAACTTGTCAAGTAAATTAACGTGATCGAATGAATCCAGACAGTAGTCAAGCACCAATGGAATGGACATAGCCTGGCTATGGGAGGTATTTCTGCTTTCCCTACTGTTGTCTGATAGTGTGTCTTCCTTGGGGGGCTTTTAGTACTCTAGCCTCAGATGGAGCTTGCTGGAGCCACACCTTACATTTACCTAGAACCCCAGAAATGGGATTTTGATGGATTTAAATAACATACCCTTAGCAGATTTGGTGAATAATACTCTGAAATCCTGCAAAACTGATCTTCCTCAGGTACTTTTTGTTAACCTCTTTTGTATTGGTTAGTACACTCAATCATCATCTTAAAGTAATAGATCAAATTAAGATTGAATTAGCTTTGTCTCTGCCCAGAAAGTAATTTTCTGAGTTTATATGCTAAATTTCTTTCTTTTTTTTTTTTTTTGAGATGGAGTCTCGCTCTGTTGCCCAGGCTGTAGTGCAGTGGGGTGATCTCGGCTCACTGCAAGCTCCGCCTCCCGGGTTCACGCCATTCTCCTGCCTCAGCCTCCCAAGTAGCTGGGACTACAGGCGCCTGCCACCACACCCGGCTAATTTTTTGTATTTTTAGTAGAGACGGGGTTTCACCGTGTTAGCCAGGATGGTCTCGATCTCCTGACCTCGTGATCTGCCCGCCTCGGCCTCCCAAAGTGCTGGGATTACAGGCGTGAGCCACTGTGCCCGGCTTTATATGCTAAATTTCATTGTTTAGAATCATTTTGGATATGTGGTATGTTTAGTATCAATACACACACATTAACATATCTTTTTTTTTTTTTTGGAAACAGGGTCTCTCTCTGTCACCCAGGCTGGAGGGCAGTGGTGCAATCTCGGCTCACTGCAATCTCCGCCTCCCGGGTTCAAGCGATTCTCATGACTCAGCCTCCTGAGCAGCTGGGACTACATGCACATGCCACCATGCCCTGCTAATTTTTTGTATTTTTAGTAGAGATGGGGTTTCACCATGTTGGCCAGGCTAACATATCTATATAAATGAAATAATATATGAAAGATACATAAACTATAAATATATTTAATGTATTATATGTATATTTGTATATGATAAACATACAGTTACATGTATATATTATCCAGTTACATGCAGATAACCAGATAACATATTTTCTATATATCCGTTTACAACCATATAACATATATTATATATAATTGTATATTACATGTATGTATATTTATATATAATATCTATAATAGAAATATGCTTTATATATTTTATACCTATAAAATAGCTGTTACATATTATAAGTATTATGTATAAATATCCATATTTTAGTATATCACTATATATAATGTATAAGTATGTATCAAACCATATCTTTATTAAATATGGGGTGGTGGAGCAGATATATAATGAGGCTACATTTAGATCTTTATGCGTAGCATCTCCCTGGTTTGTTTTGAAGTTTTTTTTTTTTTTTCAGCTGAGTAGGAAACGAGTTTAATTTGTTTCTGGAAAGGAGTTGACGTAATTTGAATAAAAAATAAACAGACTTTCCCATTAGGTTTGAAATGTAATTTGTAATGTAAATGTTGGAGAAAATGGTTATTTTTCTTTTCCAGGAACCTAAACCATTTTTGGAAGGGCTCTGTTCTCTTTGGAAAAATAATAGCGATAGCACAGTCATTCAAAGGGAAGATAAAGTTCAAAATCAGCTAGTTCCAAAGATACCAACATCCCCGGGGAAGTGGCGGAGGCGGCGGGGAGGGTCAGGGTGCGCTGTCTCCTCCGGGCTGCGCCTCGGTGCCTTTTACAAATCACAAAGGGCAGAACGCCCTCGCAGACATTTTTGCTCTAGGGCCAGAACTGAAACAGAAAGGGAGAGAAGAATATCATAATTGGACGAAGCCTCTTCTTTTTTCCCTGAGTTCTAGGTGTGTATAATACTATATTGAAAATTTAAAATTTTCAGTATCATTAGGACATAGAGATCATTGATTTTTTTCCTCCCAACTTGGTTACATTTCCTCAGTGTAAATGAAAATCACCTGAAAATTCATCAGCTCTTTTCCACTTATTACCTCACGTTATTTCATTACTGCCCCAGTTTCTTGGCCAGCCCGGAATCATCTAGGGGAGCCTGGCTCCCACTCCTTGCCTGACTAAACATTGTGATCTTATGGTTTTGGGTGTGCCCTGGGCACCAAGATGTTTTAAAGCCCTCAGGGTGATTCTGACATTCTAGCATTCTCACTTTGTAGGGGAATTATATAATCCTTCAAGACATCTCAGAGCCTCAGCAAACTGCATTTAGCCTTGGCGATTCTCATCACACTGATTAAAAGAAGCGACTCCCCTTTCTTGAATGACAAAGCAATCAGCACCTGTGTTAATTAACATGTATTGTTTGGGCATGTGTTTTCTACTGAGAGTCCAAGACTTGCTAAAACCATGGAGCGTGCATTTGTGATACTACAGTTGAGAGAAATAAGACGATTTACCAGAGCTAAGAGATGAGGTAGTTACTGCTTTTACTGTTTCCTTCCCTTGCAATTTCAGGTTTGGGCCCCTGGCACCTTTGATTAAAGGAGAGAAGAAGCCACGCAGCAAGGGTAGTCCTAGGATGCTGTTCGCATCGTCCAGAATATTGATGAAGTCGGCTGGAGTGGGAACCCACGGTGTGGGGCAGATACAGAAATGGGCTCAGGCATCAGATAATTCAGCCAGATATGACTGACACCTTAGAAAAGACCTCGTCTATATGCTGGCTTCTCCGTCTCATCCATAAAGCGAAGCAGAGAGCCCCTGCCTCAAGACTTAAATGAGCTCATAAACAAAAGCACTCCACAGGGTCTGGGGCATATAGCAGCTGCTCAGTAAATGAAAAAATATTTATTACTACTTTGGAGCAGCCGTTTATTTTTTCAGGCAGTGACAAAGTATCTTTTAGAATGCAAAGATCTTTTTCTTTTTTTCGTCTTTCTCTTCCAAAAGAAGAAGGTGAAAATGTGGAGGTGAATGTCTTTAAAAGTGACATTCACACCTAAGTGTGAAGTCTAGGTGTTAACCTGAGTGAGAAATCTTCAAAGAACAGAATAAGTTCACATGGAGCTCTGTCGCCTGCCCAGAGCACAGGGTTCCCTGCTCGGTGTTCCTCCTGGTGTTTCTTGTATCATGAACTTGGTGCTGGTTATTTCTTTACTTCTCAAACTCCCATGGATCATCCTTTCTCTGTATTGCTCTTTCTCCATGGATTGGACATTGCTAGAGACTGAATGTGTGTCTCTCCAAAATTCATGTTGAAATCTAACCCCCAAGGTGATGGTGTCAGGAGGTGGGCCTTTGGGAGCTGCTGAGGTCATGAGGGTGGAGCGTTGTGAACGAGATGAGTACCCAGAGAGCTCCCTTGCCCTTCCACCCTGTGAGGACAGAGCGAGGGTGCACTATGGCTCCAACACGCATCTATGAACCAGGAAGTGAGTCCTCACCAGACACAATATCTGCTGGTGCCTTGATCTTAGGGTTCCAGCCCCAAGAACTGTGAGCGATTAATGTCTGTTGTTAGTCTATGGTGTTTTGTTAGAGCAGCCTGAATGGACTAAGACAGAAATTATTTGCAACTCTTCATTTTGCTGTAGCTGCTATTACTTTTGTTATTTCTTTACCCTTTTTTTTTTTTTCTCCTTTAATTGCTCTCCGATGGATGAAACTTGGTCAGGACTGGACCCAGAGTAACAGACCCTGGACCTCAGCCTTGTCCTGCCTGAGTGTAAAGCAGAGGCTCTTCTCATCAGTGACCCCTTGGTGCTTCCTGTTATTTACAACCTGAAGCTGCCAGTGTCATATGAAAGCAGTGTCGTTGTATTTATGAAGAATTCTTTAGGGATCTCCTTCAGGGCAGCCAAAGGACACTGCAAGGTTAAGTCAGCATTTGAGGGAACAACATTTTCTATCCTTCTGAATATCTGTTGGACATCTGCTTTTCTGGGATCTCAAAATTTGAAGCAACTGGGAAAGTTTTAGGCAGAGGCATATCTATAGCTAGGGAACTGGTCAGGAAATCACTTGGTTTAAGAATTGGGTCCCTAAGATCTCCTGAACTGTCTGTCACTCTTAGATGGTGGAGGAGACCTAGAACAGAGAACAGGAAAGGATGAATGTATTGTATGGTTGTCTCAATTCTGAACGAGTCTTCCCTTTTAGTGGAACCCATTTGGGCACGTACATGATTCCTTGCACTCTACGTGTATATTTTCAGAGCATTTCTCACCTGTTAAGATCATTTCCTAATATGTGTAATATGCTTCACAGGATGGTCTCGTAAAATGATAGCACTGTGTCTATTTGTTAATAGCAAACCCAGGAGTGACTCAGCTTTGCTTCATTTCTGGAGTATGTCAACTGGAGTAAAAACTTGGCCATGAACACTGATGATCTTTATCTTTGCATCAGCAAGTTCTAGATGAACAAAATCCTCTATTATCTCCATCACCTAAAGATATTGACTGCTAACATTTTAGTGAATCTGTTTCCAATCTTTGAATTTTAAAAAATCTGCATTCTAAGGTTGTGATTACACTGAATATACAGTTCTGTATTCTGAATTTTAAGTTTAATATTATAATGTCTTTCTTCATATTTTTACATATTCATTTCAAACAATATATTTAATGGCAACATCATTTCTTAAATATTTTATTCTACCTTTCCCCTTAATATTTCCTTCTGTTCTGTGTCTGCTTCAAGGATTCAGTAAATTATGACTTATAAAGTTAATGCATATTAAATAGGATTTTGGCTAATGTGGCCTGTATTTTTGTGATCTAGCTGGATCATAATGGTACCAGAAATAAAATACGGTACCTTGGAGAGATTGCATATTCAGTTCCAGACCACCACAATAAAGTGAATAGCCCAACAAAGTGAGTCACACGAACTTTTTGGTTTCCCAGTGCATATAAAAGTTATGTTTACCTTATACTATAGTCTATTAAGAGTGCAACTGCATTCTGTATGAAAATACAATGTCATTACCTTAATTAAAAAATAATTTATTGCTAAAAATGCTAATGGTCATCTGAGCCTTCAGCAAGTCATCATTTTTTTTTTTTACTGGTGGAGGGTCTTGCTTTTACGTTGATGACTGCTGACTGATCAGAGGGGTGGTTGCAGGAGGCTGGGGTGGCTGTGGCAATTTCTTAAAATAAGACAACAATGCATTTCACTGCATCAGTTGACGCTACTTTCATGAAAGATTTTTCTGTAACATATGATGCTACTTGACAGCGTTTCACCCGCAGCAGAACTTCTTTTAAAATTGGAGTCAATCCTCTCAAATCTTGCCTCTGCTTTATCACCTAAGTTCATGTAATAGTCTAAATCCTTTGTTGTCATTTCTACAATGTTCACAGCATCTTTACCAGGAGTAGAGTGCATCTCATAAAACCACTTTCTCTACTCATCCATAAGAAGCAACTTCTCATCCATCCAGATTTGATCATGAGGCTGCAGCAATTCAGTCCCACCTTTAGGCCCCACTTCTAATTCTAGTTCTCTTGCTATTTCCACCACATCTGCAGTTACTTCCTTCACTGACATCTTGAACCCCTTGAATTCATCCATGAGGGTTGGAATCAAAGTCTTCCAAACTCCTGTTAATGTTGGTATTTTGACTTCCTCCCATGAATCACGAATGTTCTTAATGATATCTAGAATGGCTAATCTTTTCCAGCAGGTTTTCAATTAACTTTGCCTAGATCCGTCAGAGGAATCACTATCTATGGCAGCTATATCCTTATGAAATGTACTTCTTAAATGATAGGACTTCAAAGTCAAAATGTCTCCTTGATCCATGGGCTGCAGAATGGATGTTGTGTTAGCAGGCGTGAAAACAACACTAACCTTGTACATCTCCATCAGAACTCTTGCATGACCAGGTGCATTATCAATTAGCAATCATATTTTGAAAAGAATCTTTTTTCTTTTTTTAAGCAGCAGGTTTCAACAATGGGCTTAAAATATTCAGTAAACCATGCTGTAAACAGATGTGCTGTCACCCAGGCTTTGTTGTTCGATTTCTAGAGCACAGGCGGAGTAGATTTAGCATCATTCTTTAGAGCCCTAGGACTTTGGAGATGGCAACTGAGTGTTGGCTTCGATTTAAAGTCACCAGCTGCATTAGCCTCTAGCAAGAGAGTCAGTCTGTCCTTTGAAGTTTTGAGGCCCGGCATTGACTTTTCTGTAGCTATGCAAGTCTAGACGGCATTTCCTCCCAATAGAAAGCTGTTTCATTTACATCGAAAATCTGTCGTTTAGTGTAGCCACCTTCATTAGTGATGTTACCCTAGGTCTTCTGGAGAACCTGGAGAACTTGCTGCAGCCTCTCCATCAGCACTTGCTGCAGCACATTGCACGTTTATATTAGGACGATGGCTTCTTTCCTCAAATCTCATGAACCCCTGCTAGCTTCCAGCTTTTCTTCTGCAGCTTCCTCACCTCTTAGCCTTCATAGAATTGAAAAGTTAGGCCCTCGCTCTGGATTAGCTTTGGTTTAAGGGAATGTTGTGACTAGTTTGATCTTCTATCCAGACCACTCAAACTTTCTCCATATCAGCAACAAGGCTGTTTCACTTTCTTATCATTCCTGTGTTCCCTGGAGTAGCACTTTTAATTTCCTTCAAGAACTTTTCCTTTGCATTCACAACGTGGTGTACCGGTCCAAGAGGCCCAGCTTTTGGCCTGTCTCAGCTTTCAACATGCCTTCCTCACTAAGCTTGAGCTTAATTGTTGCTAGCTTTTTATTTAAAGTAAGAGACATGTGATTCTTCCCTTCACATGAACACTTAGACGCCATTGGAGGATTAGTAATTGTCCTAATTTCAACATATTGTTGTGTCTCAGGAAATAGGGAGGGCTGAGGAGAGGGGGAGGGATGGCTGATCTGTGGAGCAATCAGAACACACGCACACAACATTATCAATTAAGTTTACCATCTCCTATTGGTGGAGTTCATGGTACCCCAACATAATTACAATAATAACATCAGAGATCACTGATTACAGATTAGGATAACAGATATAATAGTAATGAAACAGTTTGAATTGAAATACTGTGAGAATTTCCAAAATGTGACACAGAGACACAAAGTGAGCACATGCTGTTGGAAAAATGGTGCCAATAGACTTGCTTGATGCAGGGTTGCCAGAAACCTTCAATTTGTAAAAAATGCAGTATCTGTGAAGTGCAATAGAAAGAGATATATGTGTGTATAACTAATTTGTCTAAACAATAACTCACAAATAGTTAATTAGTGCTACAAGTGAGGACATTGGAGGTTTTGTAGTGTGTAGGGCCCTCACAACTCAAGCCAGTGGTTCTCAGACTTGAGTGTGTGCCAGCCTCACCTAGGGAACTTGCTAAATACTGATACATGGGCACCAGCCCATTATTCTGGTCCTCTTGGTCTAGGGTGGGACCTGAGAATATGCATTTCTAACAAGCTCCCGGTTGGTGCCACTGCTACTGGCCCAAGGACCACACATTGAGTTGTTCTGATGCATATCATTGAGTCTTCTGGTTCACGATGATAATTTCTGCACACTTATCTAATTTTGCTGATGGTACCTAAAGGAAGGCAAACAAGCTAATAAACTGTAAACATGAGTCTTGGACTGTGTTGGTTATAGTTGGCATCTGTTGTGAAACGGATCATGCTAATATGAAGTTTTTCTAACAGTAAAAATTGCATTTGAAGTCAGGCATGGTGGCTCCTGCCTGTAATCCCAGTGTTTTGGGAAGCCAAGGCAGAGGATTGCTTGAGGCCAGGAGTTCGAGACAAGCCTGGGCAATATAGTGAGACCGAGACCCCCGTCTCTGCAAAAAAAAAAAAAAAAAAAAAAATTAGCCAGGTGTGGTAGCACATACACACCTGTGGTCCCAGCTACTTGGGAGGCTGAGGTGGGAGAATTGCTTGAGCTCAGAAGTTGGAGGCTGCAGCTATGATTGCACCACTGCACTCCAGCCTGGGCCACAGAGAGAGACCCTGTCTCTAACTAAAAGAAAAAAAAAATTACATTTGAACTTTAAGGCCCCTTTTATACTAATTTCCTGCTTTGCTAAATAGAGGGGTTGAGGCAGAGGTCTCTTTCCTCGGCCATTTGTTTTTTTTTTTTTTTTTTTGATTTAATGAATAGTATTTCATTCTTAACAGTTCTTCAACTGTCAGCAAAAGATTGCTCTCAAAATACTTTAAGGCACTGAAATAGATGCACACATCAACATGCTGAAATGTCATGAAAAATTATACTGAGAGAAGTATATAAAATAAGATTATTTTTTAAACTGAAAAAATACATAGTAATTAACCAATAAACCAAAATCTGTAACATTAGATATGTATTTCTTTTTTTCTTTTTTTTTGAGATGGAGTCTCGCTCTGTTGACCAGGCTGGAGTGCGGTGGCTGATCTCGGCTCACTGCAACCTCCGCCTCCGGGGCTCAAGTGATTCTCCTGCCTCAGCCTCCTGAGTAGCTGGGACTACAGGCACACAGCACTACGCCCAGCTAATTTTTGTATTTTTAGTAGAGACGGGGTTTCACCATGTTGACCAGGATGGTCTCGATCTCTTGACCTCGTGATCAATCCGCCTCAGCCTCCCAAAGTGCTGGGATTGCAGGCATGAGTCGCCGTGCCTGGCCTAGATATGTATTTCATATCATATCAGCCCTAACAATTATTTTCAAGAAACTGAAGACGGTTTTGATATGTATTTCATTTCATATCAGCCCTAACAATTATTTTCAAGAAACTGAAGACAGTTTTGAAACAATTGCTTAGGTCAAATTGTATTCCACATCTAAGATGATTATTTTCAAGTTTTCCTTCCCTTAGCAAATTCAGTTTGTTTTCCAAAGTCAACCTGTTTTGATAATTATACACATTTAACTAACAACTTTACAACTTTTAAATTCTCAAGTAAAAAGCTTTACTGGATGATTCTCATTGTAGAAAACCTTTGAGAATATTATTCGCATTAATGAATGTTTCACAGTTAGAATAATGAAGGTTATTGCTGACAACAGGTCTTTCTCCATAGGACACTTACTGGGATGTATTCTACAGGTACATACAAAAGAACTTCCCGTGTATCTTCTGATTAAATAATTATAAACCGGAAAATCTACCAAAGAGGCTTTTCTATGGGTACACAAGAAACATTCTCAATGAGAGACCCCTATATGGAGAATCATATGTTGACTATAATTATGCAAATAAAAATGCTACATGATAGGCCTATATGAAACATTTTCTTAGATTCCTGAACATGTATTAACAATCATCCTGTTATTTTCTATATCAGAAAGATAAGCTCATTGATTTTACCATTGCCTCGTTTTTTGTTTTTTTGGTAAGAACATTATTTTTGTCGACCATTTGTAATCCAAATTCAATTCTTACTTCTTTTTGCCATCCCAGCTAGGATCATTGACTCTTTCTTTGGTTGCTTTCTGGTAGGTCACACCTAAGCATAAGACAGAAAGTCTGTCCCTGTTGAACATCAGCGTCCCCTTGCTTCACTGCGTGCAAAACTTCTCTGCTTTGGGGATTATGTAGGAGAGAATCTGAAGCTGGATGTGGACCACGCCAGTTCCCCGCACAGCAGCTGTGGGCTCAAGAGAATGAAACACAGCGTTTCAAAAGTGAATTATGCAAATGTGATGTGGATTTTGGCCGGTAGGGGGGTCCGATTATCCCCAAAAGCAGAATGCAAATCACTAGGTGGTTCACAGTCGTTTTCCGTTCTGGGCACAATGGCCTTTCTAGTACAAAATGTGCCACTAGCAATTGATGCTGCAGAGAAACAAGCAAATCTACCATACGCAAACGCCATATTTCAGAAGCCTTTTTAGGGTGTTCTCTCCTATGGTAAAATGTAGGCTGCCTACATGGAGGAGTGATATGTTCCAGGGCCCCTGAAGATATGAAAACCGTGGGCAGTTTCCCACTCTGCTGGTGGATTCCCTTTTATGTTTTCAGGCAGAAAGCTCCATGGAACTGAACATCATTATTTTTTATTTTGTCTTCATCACACAAGGGGTTCTTTCAGGAAAACGATTTCCAGTTTGATGGGCAGGACGGATCTTTGTATTTCTCCAGAGTCTTCTGTGCACAAACGACAAAATAGCACCTTATAAAACACACCTAGTGAAAATGGGCATTTTGTTTCACGAGGCAAACTTTGTGGACTACTCTGTTTGGCACAGGCCAACTGTGAAAACACAGCAAAAATTCAGCCCTATTCAGTCAGTATTTCTGACTTGCTTGGAATCATATAACATCCTTGGAAAATGAGTGGCCAGTGTGACAGAGGAGAAAACTGCCCAGGGAAGATGTTTATTTCATTTGAAGAAAGAGGGGAAGAAAGATTGTGCCCTGGTTCTTTTGAGATGCTAGAATCATCCGTGCTTAAGAAAAAAAAAAAAAAAAAAGTTGTTTCCCTAGCAACAACACATAAGAGGAAATGCTCATAAATTTTCTTCACCTACTCTTTTTTAAAATGCAGTGAAGCAGATGGTTTGGATGTTGCAGGTATTCCACATTCTAATTTACTCAGTGTCGATAGAAGGAGCATAAATATTGAAAGGTGTGCGCTCCGCAGTTTGCAAAACTATAGCCTGAGAACTATTTCAAAGGTGAGAGCTTTCCAATATCCAGCTTCTTTATCAATAACCCAAACAGGATGTTGGCAAGGAAATAGCATCTGAAGACCCAAACCTTTGGCATGTAAGAAGGAGACAGGAAGGGGAAAAAATTCAGCCTGGTTGGGTAACACAGAATAAAAGAAAGCAATGCTCTTGGAAGGATAGCTAGGGAGAAACAAGGGCCCACTGTCAACCCGTGGGTATCAGCAGGAAATATTCACCAAATCTGTTGACTTTATATGGCCATTCAGTTTAGTATTCCACTATGTAGTCTACCTACAGGTGCTTATCGCTTGTCAAGCCTCTGACTACGCCTTCACCAGCATGATGGGTTTTCTTTTCCCAAGCCACCTCTGTCCATAGTGGAGATGAGTCTCTTGATTTTTATCACTGAAGCCGCCTTACCCATGTGCATAGAAGTGCGTGAGAAGGTAGGAGAACCTTGAATTTCCGATAGGAAAGGGCTCAGGTATGAGAATTCTGCTCATAAGGCCAGATGTGGGAAAGCTCTTTGTCCCTTGCATTGAAAATTATTTTTGAGACCCGGCTTGTGTTTGTACTGAAGGAACATTTTGGTTCTTTTAGTATTTTTTTGGTGCCTAGTACCTAGATTCACACCGTATCCAAACAAATAGTGATGCATGTGTAAACCATTTTAAATTAAGCAAAATGATAAGTCAGGTTTTGGAATGTTGAAAACAAAATTTAGAAGCATTCACATTATATATATAATATATATCATATATATATATGATACGTAGGATATCCACCTGGATCATATATATCTCTTTTGAAGACATACAGATTTAATTTTCTTTCATATCCATTGCATATAATATACTTAAACCCATTCTTTAGTTTATTTCATAAAAATGACATATGAAGATAACAGATAATCCAACTTCGAGAATGAAACACATAAAATAGCTTGGCAGGCAGGATGGCTGGGTTTCAGCTGTTGTCAGCCCTAAGTACAGTGTTTATTGTTGTTGGCTGCTGGTCATATATGTTTGGTGACTATGAGGTAGCTTTGCTGAGATTTGCTGCATCCTGGACCATTTTCAGACAGTTGTCAAGTGTGACTAATAAATACGATTTATTTCCTATTTTTAAAAAACAGCTTGAATGCACACTGATATCTACATTAAAATTGTGTCTCTAATTTTCTATTTTATTAGGGCTGTGAAGCTCACAATTGTTTGGCTGCCTGGGAATGTGTGCCTTCCAGCCACTCTCAGGCACATCATCACTGAATGATGCCTTTGGGTCCTTGAACGGAAGTGGTCTGTCTTTCAGCTCTGATCAATCACGCCTGTTTATTAGGCAAGGTGATTAAAGTGGTGGCGAACATAGAAGAAGAATTCTCCAGATGGTAAGCACATTCACGAAAACAGTTGGGAAGCCTCCCACTTCTATTTTATTTTATTTTATTTTTTAAGGGATCAACTTACATTGTTTCATGGATGAAGTGAAACTTTGGACTGAAGATAAACTAATTTAATGCAACTCTAAGCAGCTACAATACTTGATTGAAGGCATCTGGATTGCCCTAAAATATCTTTTAATTAATAGCTGTTGGATGGTTGCTTTTTTGGCTATGAGCAGATTAATGAATCTAAAATGAGATTTGTATTTTGTATTTTGGGGCATTAAGAAAATAGGCCTGATGTGAAGTCTATGTTCAGGCTGACACTTAAGTTTAAAGATACTGTGTATACCTCCCTGGGATACTGTTGTTCTGGGAGGAGAATTTAAATGCAAAATGATTGCGTGACAAGGATTCTGATTTACAGGATAAAGATGTGCATTTATATGCGGCGGATGAAAATCATTTCCCAATAAGGGTGTTTGTTTATGGACAGAGATACGTGTCCAGCTATGGTATTAGAAAACCCTTTCAGTGGTGAGTTTTGGCAAGCTTTTAAAACAGGTTGATAAAAAAATTCACCTAACGGATGATTGCACCCAGGTTTTTCCATGGAGCCAGGTAATAATCAGAGGAATTGGGGTCTGTGTTATTTGAAAGAGCCTTTCAAAAGTTGCCAGGAAGGAATCAAAGTTGCGTTAAGTTGCGCGAGGAGGTTTTTCTGTCTCTTTCAATTTTGCTTTTACTACATCCTATTTTAAGATAGATTGCAAATAGTGATTTGCAACCTGGCCAATGTGGAGGATTAGATGTTTTCATATAGAATCTTGCTTTGACAGGGAGTTATGTCCCTCTCTTGGACTCATTTATGCCTGCACCATTTTTCTATTTATTTTTACAGTGATGTGTTAATATTTTTTGAAGTTCTATTTATTCCCTCCTGATTGTTCCCTTATCTGTCCTTTCCCATGCTTAAGCAGTGAGGTTCTCGTGAACCTGTGGCCTCAGTGCAGAAAGCAGAAAATAACGGGAGGGTTTCCTGTTGGCTTTGGTTTCTAGGAGGCTAAGATGCTAGGGAGAATAGAGGACTCATTCTAGACGGAAAATGTGGGAATATTTGGGGGTTGAGGAGAGACAGCTCTCCTAAAACCTAGACAATATTGGCTAGGGCTCCAGGAAGGGGAGAAGAGGTATGCATAGAGGTAGAGTGACCTTGGTGACTCTCCTTCTTGGTGACTCTCCACCTTGGTGACTTTGAGGAGCAGCCCTGACTCGTGCTGCCCAGCCCCTCCCCAACACACAGATGACTGCGTGGGGGCCCAGGTGGAGGGAGCCTTGGAGGACTCTGCAGAGGTTTTGGCGACCTGCCAATATAAAGAAGAATGGTATCATCTGATAAGACAGCCACTTCAGGTGTAGCCATTTTGAGGTCTCCAAACAAGGAGGTGCAGGTCTATTCTGGCCACAGAGGAGTGGAGCTGCTTCTGGGTGCTCAGAGTGCCTGGGGGGATGGAGGGGGCTTACCATTCTTAGGCTGGTCCAAGTAAAAATCCCCTCCTGTGTCTCAGAGTCCCATCCTTTCTTCAGCAGAGCTCTGGCTTTGACTTAGAAGTCAGACTGCATGTTCAGTCTTTTTTGCAGCTCTGCTACCTGTTAAATGAAACCCTGGATCTTCTTTTTAGCACCATCTGCTTGCCCTGTGGTTGCTGGAGATGAGTGTCATAAATTGGTGGTTAACTACCCTGAGCCTATATATTTTTTTGCAAAACTTCCAACGGCATCCTTCACTTTGTCCTTATAAATATCACTGTGCCCCCTCAGAACACTATCTCCCACCCATGTCTCCACTCTGGCAGCCACAGGTAAAGCCTTCATACTTATGGATCCACTACTCACCAGGAGTGACTTCCTCAGGGACAGAGAGGCCAAGAGGATCCAAGGTGATGCATAAGGCACATCATCTGAATTGGGAAGAAGAAAGTGAAAATGTTTTAGAATAGGTCCAGAAAATAATGTTCATCTTGGGTCCCTCTGGAAAAGTTTTCAGAAACATGTATTTCAGGGAAAAATTATTATCATTCTTTTAAAAAATCCCTTATTTTCCAAAGTGCTCTTTCAGTTTTTTTTTTGTTTTTTTTTTTTTTTTTTGAGACGGAGTCTCGCTCTGTTGCCCAGGCTGGAGGCAGTGGTGCCATTTCGGCTCACTGCAACCTCTGCCTCCTGGGTTAAAGTGATTCTCCTGCCTCAGCCTCCCGAGTAGCTGGGACTACAGGTGCATGCTAATTTTTTTTTTTTTTAACTTTAAGTTCTGTGGTACATGTGCAGAATGTGCAGTTTTGCTGCATAGGTATACACGTGCCATGGTGGTTTGCGGCACCCATCAACCCATCACCTACATTAGGTATTTCTCCTAATGTTATCCCTCCCCTAGCCCCCCGCCCCACGACAGGCCTCGGTGTGTGATGTTCCCCTCCCTATGTCCATGTGTTCTCCTTGTACAACTCCCACTTATGAGTGAGAACATGTGGTGTTTGGTTTTCTGTTCTTGTGATAGTTTGCTGAGAATGATGGTTTCCAGCTTCATCCATGTCCCTGCAAAGGACATGAACTCATCCTTTGTATTTTTAGTAGAGACAGAGTTTCACCATGTTGGCCAGGATGGTCTCAATCTCTTGACCTCATGATCCGCTCGCCTTGGCCTCCCAAAGTGCTGGGATTACAGGCATGAGCCACTGCGCCCGGCCGCTGTCATTTCCTTTTTTAAAGTGTTTTTCTTCTTGCAGCCTATCTTTATCTCGTAGATACTGCTGGTGTCTGGTGATGGATGAGGTGGAGCCAGATAGTTGGGACTTTTCTGCTGAGTTCTCTTTCTTCAGCCTGCCTGTCTGTGACTGGTGGTTTGTGTCTTGGGATCCACCCCTGTGGAGCTGAATCGTGGTGCTTTCCTTAACGATGTCTCTTGCCGATGCCAGGTGTTCCCTCTTAGTCCAGCATACCTGGCTCAGGACTTGGGCCTTCTGAGCTCTTTAATAGCACAGCCGTACTCAGATCCCTGGAGTCCCTGGCCCTGACTCCTGCAGTTAGGAGCTCCATGCTGTCCTCTCTCCAGAGCTTCAGCTATCCTGTTGGATTCTTTCCTTTATATGATTGTCCCTATTCTTTGATAACTTGAAGCATTATTAATTTTCTACCTTTTTAACTAAGCTTTTCACTGTAAAATAAAACAAAGGAACAGAAAACTATACAAAACTGGCTCAGTGTGGTGGCTTGAGCCTGTAATCCCAACACTTTGGGAGGCTGAGGATTACCTGAGGCCAGTAGTTTGAGACCAGCTGAGTAACACAGTGAGACCCTGCCTCTAAAAAATAGGAATAAAATAATTAGCTGGGGCATAGTGGCATGTACCTGTAGTTTCATCTACTTGAGAGGCTGAGAGTATCACTTGAGCCCAGGAGGTGAAGGCTGCAGTGAGCTATGATCACGCCACTGAACTACAGCCTGGGCAACACGGGATGACCCTGTCTCAAAAAAAAAAAAAAAAAAAAAAAAAAAAAAAAAAAAGGAAAACGACACAAATGTGCATAGGTTAATTTATGATTCTGTGGCAAGCACCCTTGTAAATATCACCCCGGTCATAAGAAAGAACATTGGCAGATACTGTAGAAGCCCCATTCATGTGCCCCGTCCTGGTCATATCCCTTCTATCTTGCTGTGTACCCACTATGTTAACTTTTATAGCAATTGTTTTCTTGCATTTCTGTGTAGTTCTTTCTCTAAGATATGTATCCCTAGACACTATAGGTTCTGCCAACTTGTATAGTTGGATCTTTTAAAGGCTTTTAATGTACAGTGCTCTCCTCCATTCCTTTATGCTGCTGTATTGTTCTTTACAATTTACCTGTTGAAAAAGCTAGGGCATTGGACCTGTCGAGTTTGTCAAAGTTTGGACATTTGTGATTGCTTACTTATGGTGCAGCTGAATATTTTCCTGTGTTCTCTGTATTTCCCGCAGCTAGATGTAGAGGCTTGACCAGATTTAGAGTCAATTTGTTGGCAACATGAGGCAGTGTTGAGTTCTCTCCTCAGGAGCCATAATGGTAACTGAGTTGTACTCATTTTGTGATGTTAGCAGCTGCCTAGATCTGTTAATTCACTGGAAGTTGCAAAATGGTGATATTCTGACTCTATCATGTTGTTCGCATTTATTAGCTGCAATAATGTTACTAGGCGTCACTTCTCATCTACTCTGTGTTGCCCAGTGATGTAATTCCTGTGGGAAAGGCAGGATAGAAGCTTAATTCTTTAGTTTTATTTACTAGTCTTCAAGATAATGGATTGATTTCTTATAATCCTCAGAAAGGGACCAATTAATTTTTAAAAATTTAATCACAAACTCCTGATTTTAAATAAATACGTTTCAATCCATTGCAGTTCTTATCATTATTGAACTTCAGTTTGTCCCATCATGGTCAGTGAGAGTCTCTTCCTATTGGATTTTGAGTCCTTTTGACACAGAGCAGTCATTGATGGTTTTCTTGATATCTTCTATAAGATCTTTGATGTTATCTTGTACATATTCTAGCTCCAGGCTAGAAACTGACCATTTCTCCAAAATTCATTGGGGTATTTCACTGGGAAATGATATTTCAAGAACATAATCTTGGTGCTAGGGATGTTCATTGCCATTGGGTAGCCATTGTTTCCAGGAAATTGTGGGGGAAAGAGCTGGAAATTTTTTTTTTTTTTCTTTGAGATGGAGTCTTGCTCTGTCATCCAGGCTGGAGTGCAGTGGCCTGATCTCGGCTCACTGCAAGCTCCGCCTCCCGGGTTCACGCCATTCTCCTGCCTCAGCCTCCCGAGTAGCTGGGACTACAGGCATCTGCCACCACACACAGCTAATTTTTTTTTTTGTAGTTTTAGTAGAGACGGGATTTCACCATGTTAGCCAGGATGGTCTTGATCTCCTGACCTTGTGATCTGCCTGCCTCAGCCTCCCAGAGTGCTAGGATTACAGGCGTGAGCCACCACGCCTGGCCTAAGGGCTGGAAATTTTTTTAAGGCGACGTAGTTTATGAGTTTACAGTAATACTTGTCTCTATGTGAAATTTTAATCTCCCTTTCCAACACCAAGGATCCGCATTCTCCAGAACACTGGGAAGGCTAGAATTAAAATATTGCATAATTCCTCATTTGTTTTATCTTGCACCACACACATAACTGTCTCAAAATAATGATACAAATGCTACCATCACCACCAAAATGGTTACCAAAAACAGTTCAGAAAATTTTTTAACTCTGTTGTCTTCAATCTTTCCCCATTTTTCATGGTTGTGCTGTTTTTCACATGGTCTGAGTGTATAGCCATTGCATGTTATGCTCTCTTCCTTTTAACTCCCGGTTAGTTTTTGTGTGCAAGTCATATATTTAATGCTCAACACCAGCCTTAGGTCTGTGTCTCTCTAGTCAATCATTCTGGTTTTCTGTAACTCATTGTCTGGCAGACGCCTTCTGAAGGGCTCTTGGGAAAAAACATTCCCTGGCTTCTTACATCTTTAAGTTTGTGCTCTTTGTGCTTGAAGGCCAATTTCGCTCAATATAAAGAACTTGGACACGGGTTCCTTCCTTGGGTATCTTAAATCAGCGGTCCCCAACCATTTTGACACCAGGGACTGATTTTGTAGAAGACAATTTTTCCATGAATGGGGTGGGGCGGGAGGGATGGTTTCTGAATGAAACTGTTCCACTTCACATAATCAGGCATTAGAGCCTCACAGGGAACGTGCAACCTAGATCCCTCGCATGCACAGTTCACACCAGGGTTTGTGCTCCTGTGGGAATCTAATGCCGCCGCTGATCTGACAGAGGGCAGAGCTCAGGCAGTAATGCTGGCTCGCTTGTCGCTCATCTTCTGCTGTGTGGCCCGGTTCCTAACAGGCCACGGACCAGTACTGGTCCACTGTGCAGGGGTTGCGGACCCTGTCTTAAATATATTACTCCATTTTCTACTGGAAAAAAAAGCCTCGCTGTTCAAGTCTGATAATGATGTAAATTTATTTAAGTTATGTGTCACTTTCTATTTTTGCCTGTAAACCCACAGGATTCTTTTCCTTTAAAGTTCAGACATTTTAGTAGATAACATCTTCATGTCAGTTTTCTGGGTCAGTGGTCTCAGGGATGTTAGTTGCTCTTTCCATATGTCATTTCAAATCCCTATTTTGCAAAATTTTCTTGAATTATAGTTTTTGGTACTTGTTGCCCTGGTTGGGTTTTCTTTCAGGGATTTCTATTGTCAACACGTTCAATGTTCTTTGCTCATTTAAATACTTGTCGCTTTCTTTCAAATACTTTTTGTATCTTCAACTTTTTTTAATTTTAAATTTTCTTCCTTTTTGTACCTTTTATTTTTCTTGTTATTTTTAATGTGTTCTCTCTCATATTTTTTCTAGTTTACTCTTTATTTCTGAGATTATTTTTCTTATTTCTCATTGTCTTGAATTCTGCGTTGTGATTTCTGAGTATTTCAGTTTCTGATTTGTGTTGTATTTTAATGTTGTATGTCATTTCTATGAGTATTTTTTAGCTCTCTTCGAAACAGAAAATTACAGTTTTCAAGTGATTTATAAAAATGTATCTTCTGGCATGCTTTTCTTGTCTGTGGAGATGTTACTCTGCTCTTTCTTCTTTCATTTCTTATAATAAATTTGAGTCAGATTCAAGCATGATCCTTTTCCATTGTTCATTTTCACATAAAGTTAGTTTTCCTGAAGCATTAGAAGTAGTTGTGTTGAGTAGCATTTTAATCTTACTGACCTCACTGTTGTGTTGTTTTCATGTAGATTTTACAAGATTATGAGTCTGCTGGAGATTCTCTTCCCTTTGTTTCTCTTGTCCCTGCCCTGCTTAGCTTGGATTCTACTTGCAGTGTGAGGGCCCTGCCTAGAAGGGAACCCGGTGTCAGCTCCAAAGGCGTGTGGGGGCCAGAGAGCTCCCCCTGCCCCTTCAGACTGGCGGGGATGTCTGTTGAGTTCAATGAGACTCCTCTCAATTTCCACTGCTATTCTCACATGGGCCCACTATGCTTTCCAGCACAAGCCTATTGGCTGTTTCCAGGTTCTTCTGTTTTTGGGTCTGCCAGAATCCCTGATGTTTCCCCTGCTTCCTCCCACACAGACACTGATCCTGCAAGGCTTGCAGGTTGCTCTTCACCTGATTTTGCTGTGAATCTGCTGCATGTGTGGTTTTACTAACTGCTCATTCTGTCTGTGTTTCTGTGGAGATGTGGGGACCTTTGGAAACTGTGACACTGCTGTGGCGGCTCCCTCCCCAGATCTTACTGGAACATTACTGAACGGTGATCATGCATGAATTTAATGAACACAGTCACAGAGACTTGATAAAATGGGTCAAACAGCATCCCCAGACAGGCATTGCAATCCATTTTTATCACCTAGTAAAATTAAACCCTGAACGTGGATGATTGTATGGCCCCGGGAACAATAGCTAGAGGAGGGCGGTGACCTCGATGTTTGTGTAAATAAGAGCAGCAGCTGGAGGAAGGCAGGGATCTCAGTGTTTGTGTAACTGAGAGCAGCAGCTGGAGGAGGGCAGTGGTGATCTCAGTGTGTGTGTGTGTGAAAAAAGGATGCACGGTGAAGCCACGTCGGGTCCCAAGGCATCCGTAAACACCACACTTATAGAAAGAAGCAATCATGAAGCACCCCCTCTGCTTAACACTCTCCCGAGAGTTGGGGATAAAAAGGATGAAAACAAGTTGTAGCCCTTCCATGTGCTCTCAGTCTCAATAGGGAAACTAATTTGGAGACAGAAGGATTCATCAATGTTAAGCAATGGAGGAAACAAGCCATTCCCTTTCTTCCATATTAAAACTGGAAAAATAAACCTACACACCTGTATCCTGACTCCCTCACCCAGGAATTCCATTAAATCCTTGCTGCAGCTATATTTTCAATGTTTCTCTTTGTGTCATGAAAGATTCAGGATTGAAGGTGTTAGTGGCCCAGAAATAGACTCCCCCACCACCTTCATTTCTAGCTATTTCCAAAAAGACATGAAAGGAACCAAAGACTGTAGTCTATAAAACTGCTACTGACAAATGTTTCTTCTTCTCATCATTGGTTTAGGCCTTCTTGTTTCAGAAAATTAGATGTGTGTGTGTGTGTGTGTGTGTGCGCGCACATGTATGTGTTTTTGGTGGGGGTGGGTTTGGTGACACAGCCCAATAATTATCCATAAGATAATCTTGGAGAATAAGCAGGTATGGCTGGATCCCTCCCTGATGGGGGGATTGATGGATTGATGGCCTACGACAACTCTTTGTGTGTGTTTTTATGAGGAGAGATGGGATGAACTAAAGAGTTGATTTGATATCTTGGTGTGGTCATTCAAAACCCATCCTCTTAGCCACACAAGACTACAGTGTGGAGAACAAATATATCTCCATGGACTTTCTTGGCAGTGAAAAAAATGTTCATTTGGGAAAGTTTTCAAATTTTCAGCTATTTTAATGTTAAGAGTTAGTGCCAAACTTTGGCATTTGCCCATCTTTTCTCAAATTTGTCAATGTAGATCAAAACAGGAAGATAGAGCCTGGAGGCAGGTGAGGGACAAGAGAAGAAACCAGAAATAACATGATTGATGATATTCAGGGGGAAAAACCCACTTGACAGACTCATTTTTATGGCTGGGATACGTGATATGTAGCAGGCTTACTCAAGAGGCAGCTTTGTTCAGGGAATGAGATTCTATCTGTGTTATCTAATTAGGCAGGTCATACGCCATCTGTTTTTGTGAAGCTGGTTGCATTAAAAATCAGCCAGTTTTTGGGTTTTTTTTAAATACTCATTAACCTGTTTCAGGGGAACAAACATCAGGATCAAACGTTTAGGGGCAGCTTAGCCTTTCAGAAAAAGTTAATGCTTTAGGCACCTTGGGTGTGCTGAATAGAATTAGCTTGAATGTATCAGTACACAATGAATAAATAAAATAAGAAACACTTATATATAGCCTTATTTGCTTATTTACAGATTTGCGGATTTTTTTTCCACAGTCTTTTCAAATAGGGTAAAAGATAGATGTAGGTGGCATTTAGGTGTGGAAGAAATGGAAGGCTTGATGTGATTTGACAAGATTCAATACATTAATAAGTGCAAACACTTTATAAGGTGGTTTTGGCTTTTTGTATTTACAGCATGTGTGTTTGTGCACATGCATGTGTGTGCATCTGTTGCCTTAGGCTTGTGGATTCTGCAGGAATCAAGGTGTGGGAAATGCTGGAAAAACATTTATAGGCATCAGAATTTGGACCTAGGTTTTACTAATGATGTTTTCTATTCAGCTGGAAAGTGCTGCTCAGCTATCTGGAGCTATTTTTAAGAGCATGTAGTTGTACAGTCCCTAAAGCAGTGGAAAACAGCTATTTTACATACGGGAAAAATCTAGATAAGGAGATAATGATATTAGAAATATGTGTGTCTTGTGTTTTCTCTATGAAAGAACAGTTTCAGTGAGTTTTTTAATAAATAATTTTGAAAATAGCTTTTTATTGGACACCTATATGTTAGGTGCCAAAGACATCCTGTGATCTTGAGAGTTACTGATTTGTTCCCTTACGACCACTCTGAAATCGGCCACTCTGCAGAAAGAGAAGGACAGCGTAGAGAATGTTGCTGTAGAGGTAGGCGTGTTAATGATGTTTCCGGAGCAGAAAAGACAGAGTCAGTACTGTAGGTGATGCTTTGCACAATTACTTCGGGAACAACACGCCACTGCTCTAGAAATTTTCCTTTGTGTGAGGTCCAGTAAATTTCCTCCATAACTACACATTATTGCTCAATTATGTTCAACTAATTATGTGGAATCCAATTCACTGCCACACTCGGATATTACAGGACTATCTCTGTGATTACACAGCACAAGTGTTCTGGCAAACATGAGTTAAAGGAAGAAATATTTTATAACAGCAGCAGAGAGAGGTAGAGGCAATTTCCGACCAATTATACAGAAATCAGTAATCAAATTCTAAGAATTTAAGCTACGTGGGGCTAATACTTGTTCTGTTTTCCAGCACTTGGGGAGGTTGCAGCAAAAAAGCGAGGTATGGCAAGACAATCTTTTTAGGGAGTTAGGGCAAGGAGTTTGCCTGGAAGCTTTCTGCCAGGAGAGTTTGATTTCTGTGTTATTGCTAAAACGCCTCATTTTTGTTTCCGTGAAGAAGCTTTCCCTAAAGCTCCCTGTGCAAGGCTCGGAGCTGATTTTAAACGTGGGAGCTGACTTACGGGAGATTCTGGTTTGTTGAAACAGAGCTCCACAAGGGCCGAGAAGGCCTCCTCCTATCCTCAGAGATCCTGCCTGCCTTCTTCACGCTTCGCCTTTGATCTTCCCGGGAAGCTTTGAAGCTGCAGTCATCTTTGATTTTGATGTGCCGATCTGGATTTATTGTCTGGTTCTTTGGAAAAGGCAAAAAAGCTTCTCTTCCTCTGCGCCTGCGTTTCTTTCCTTTAAGAAAGTTTACATGCAGTTGTCTCGATGCCCCTCTCTTCCACGCAGTGTGGCACACAGCTCACTGGACAGGCGGTGGGAGCCCCATGAGGGAGTGGGCGACAGACGTGTGAAGAAATAATCTTGCTGATTCTCTCCTTTCTCCATTCCTGCTTCCCTCCCTTCTCACTGTTCCTTTTCTCTTCTTTTTTCTTTCTTTTGTCGTCCTCCTTCTTCTTCGAAGAAAGAAGGAAGGAAAGAAAGAAAGAAAGAAAAAAACCCTAATCAACTTAAAAAACACAGGCGTCAATTCCCACGGTATGTTAGTAGAGTGAAACATATTCTGTGGTGGTAGGTGACAACCCTGACATGGGACACATGAAAATCACTTTTGAAAACAGCTTCTGACACGGGTGCTGGGGGCGATGGGCAAAGACTCATGTGGACTGATGGAACACTGACTTCGTTTTTGGAGCAGTAGGAGTTGGAATGCGGGTTGACATCAAATAGCCATGGCTAGCATTCTAGGACAGATCATATTCCCCCAACAATATTGTTTTCTTAAACCCTAACTGTCCACATGAGTTAGGAGAGTAAAGCCTCAATAGCGCTGTTAGCCTACACGGAGGTTTCCTTGATTGACCTGTGCTTTTATCAGGCCTAGTGGGCACATATGTGTCAATGGTGTCTGGGGAAGGGCAGGGGCACAGAGGAGAAGGAGCAAAGCCCAGCCCTGCGAGTCCCAGGGAGTGCTCGCTGCACCCTGTCTCAGCTAATGTGTTTGTTTCTTGGCTTCTCTCGAAGGATTGTAATATGTGCTCTCTCAGGATAAAAATGACAATATTCTGAATATCACAGAACAGAGTGATCAGCAAAATGACTCTGCATAGGTTCAGATAGTATTTAGGCTTACAAATATTTTATATTTAATTATTATGGATAAATATGAATTGTATATATTCTTGAGGTTCATGTGATATTTTGATACAAGTATACACAGTGTCATAATCATATCAGAGTTATAGGATATCCATCACCTCAAGCATTTGTCTTTGTTGAAACTATCCAGTGATGCCTTTGTGGCACTGGAGCAGCCATAAGCAGTAGTAGCCAGTAGGCATGAATGAGTGCCAATAAAACTGCATCTATAAAAACAGGCATGGGGTCACATTTGGCCTATGGAAACTATGGGCCCTACTTGGTTGATTTGAGTGAAAGGAAACCAGGAAAAGAGGTTTTGTTCATGCTTGGAGGTCATGAGATTATTCACAGCTGTAACTATAATAAAATTTTAAAAATAATATTATTACTATATTATGGTTGTAATAAAGTTACTATTGTATTATCCCTTATAATGCCAAGCATGTGCTAGGTATTGTGCTAAGCATTTGACATTCATTATTTACAGAGATGCACGACCATTATAATAATCTAATTCCAGAATATCTTCCTCACCCCAAAAAGAAACCTCATACTCATTAGCCATGACCCCTCATTACTCCCTTCTCCCAACCCAACTAATCTATTTTCTGTCTCTGAATTTACTTATTCTGGGCCTCTCCTTGAAATGGAATCATGCAATATGTGGTCTTCTGTGTCTGGTTCTTTCACTGAGCATCATGTTTTCAAGGTTCACCCAGGTTGTGGCATGGATCAGAATGTCACTTCTTTTTATTAACAAATAATATTCTACTGTATGCTAGACCATATTTTGTTTATTCATTCATCAGTTCATGGACATTTGGGCTGTTTCCACTTCTTGGCTATTATGAATAATGCTGCTATGAACATTTGTATACAGGTTTTTGTGGGGACATATGCTTTCATTTCTCCTGGGTGTATACCTAGGAGTGGCATACTTGGGTTCCATGGTAACTATGTGTTTAACTTTTTGAGGAACTGCCAGACTTTTTCCAAAGCAGCTGCACCATTTTACATTCCCACCAGCAGCAATCTATTAGGGTCCCAATTTCTCCACATCCTCACCAACGTTTATTACTGTCTTTTTTATTATAGCTTTCCTAATGGGTGCACAGAGAAATTTTCTTAATAACTGGTTAAAAAGAAGACATCAGTCAAAGTTCTTGGTTTGCAATTTACCATAGAAACGTACTGCATGCCTTGCATAACCCAATAACGTGCCCATTGGATTGGAAATATGTGAGAGATGACTCACATATGTGTATTTTGATGTTCCCAAATGAAGACCTGAGTTCTTTTGCAGAAAAAAAAGGCACTTTGGGTTGGAACCTATATTACACATATGTTTAATGTGAACCCCAACCTCTCATCATCTCCAGCTCTTCTATGAATAATACGTGTCAATGCAGCTTTGCCTCAATGATGAAAATTATGTTCCTCAAAAAGTTTTTAGGAACATATTTTTGGGAGTCTGTCTTTTTTTTCATTTGCATCATTTTACATGTTTACAGTGAGAATAGAATAAATTGCAATGCCCCCGATTATTAATGCTTAAGAACTAATTTAATAAAGCAACATTAGTGACCAATTTTTTTGCAGGAACTGAATGTGACATAGTGAACAAGAATGAGAAGAAAACCAGTAGTCAGGAGAATGGAGTTCTGACTGCAGCTCTGCCTCTAGTATTTGATAATTCTGGATAGGCTGGTGATTTTGCCACATCAGCTTCCCCATCTCTAAATGGTGTGCCAGCCTCCTCTGTTTCTTATTTTACAGAGCTGTTGGATGGGATGTAAGGCAATGTATACAGAAGCACCTTGGAAAAGATGTGGAAGTGTGAAAGTGTACTGCAAAATCAAATTGAAGTTGAATCATCAGGAGAGTAAATAGCAACCGTGTGCTAGTGGCTAGGAGGAATAACCAAGCCACAGACACATCATGGCATTTTGATGTTGGGATAAAACTTGGAGCCCATCCAATGTAATTCCCTCATGTTTCTGATGAGAAAGCATGACATGCCCAATGTCCTTTGAGTGGCCAGGGGCAGGACTGGAATTAGACGTGAGCTTGTGTGAAGCTTAGCCCTCTTGTGTCTCCTAGAATTTTCATCCAAAGAACACTCTTTCCTTGTGGTTCCAGTAAAGCTCAGAATAGCAAACATTTAACCATCCACTGGTACTTTCTCTTCCACACTGACCTTTCTCTTGTACTATTGTTCTTTTGACGTAGCCACAAGAGACTGCAAGAGAGGCTAGGAAACATAGTCCACCTGTGGCCCCAGAAAGAAGAAGAAATAGCCTTGGGGAACATCAGCCAGCAGCAACCACAGAGACCCAAGTGGATGGGATGGTTGAAGCAGTTGGCTGGGAACTCTGCTACACCACTAAGTCAAATAGTAGCTCATCAGTGCCAGTTTTAGAGTGAAGGAGAAAAATGGGGGTGGGTTGGGTACATGCATGAATTGGGCTACCCTGAAAGCATGATAGCGGCTGTTAACATTACCACGTACAGGACGGAGCTGAGAGAAAGCTTTCTTCCTGGCACCCAGGAGACTTTGAGTGGTTTGCATGGGGCCCACCAGGCTCTCCCCAACCATCCTCTCCCACAGACTCCCGCGCACCTAGGAGGCCTGAGGGCCAGGGCAGGGCCATCGTATAGTGGCTCTCTGCTGGAGATGAGGACTTCCAGACCTCAAACTCAGATAGTTCTGCTACCCGGGGGTGGTGCTGGCAGCAGGGAACATTTTTCCTTCAGAGGGGGTGTGTTTCCCACTCAGGAGAATCCTGTTCTGAGATTGTGGAACCTTTTTTCCCTCTTGATTGAGCTCAGATATAAGACTCAAGCTGATATTTAATTACCTTTTACCTATGAAATTCCTTAATATAGTACCTATTTGCAGAGTACACCCACATTCTGTTAAATGCAGTGATCATTTTCTCCAGCTAGCTTCATGCCCAGAATGGTCTCTTTCTTTGTAGCTTTCCTACATCCTAGGCATCTTCACTCTTCCCAAATCTCTTTGAGTGCGCCTGTCCTGGACCAGTATCCACAGTGTGAAGGGTTTTGGTTTTGTACACTGAGGACCCTGATTTATGGGTCACATTTGAATTTACCTATTTTAAAGTTTCACATTCCTTACTGTAATAGTAATAGTATTTTAGGTCCACTGATTTATTTTCCTTCTGCTTTCTATGTCTTTCTAGATAATCTGACACTAAGTTGCTTAATTTTTGTAAGTGAACTTGAAAAAGGTCAATACTTCTAGGATAAAAAAAAATCCCTCAAAACTGTCTTTTCCTGGATAAAGTGTGTGCATGCATTTTGCAGATGCAACAGGGTAAAGGACACATGAGACATCAAAGAAACAATTCCTAGATGATATGTCAGACACGATTGCCTTTGAAAGAGCAAGGTGAGTCGTATCCTTTCTAGAGTTCAGTAACACTGGAGTTCAGTAGAGATCCCTAGGGTCTTAGCAAGGAAGCTTCCACTTTCCCATTACTTTAGTTTCTCTTTGGGGACTAATTATAGCAAGAGTGGCTTTAGTGCATTTAGTAAGAGAGCAGAGCGAAACAGTTGCCTTCTCTGCCAAGGCCCCCTCCTGTAACCCGTTCTTGACGGGTTGCAGTGGCCAGGTGGCATGCATTCCTGTGAGTTTCAGGGCAATGGTGGGGAAAGAATCCATGGGCTATCTTCCATGACCTGTTCAGTGAATGGATTCTACGTTGTATTTGATGATAGAAACAGTCTTGCGACCTGGTGTCAATCCAGACATGATGGGGAAGCATGACAGGATCCTGCGCAGAATCCTGGTGGCAGGTGTTTTTGTTGCCTTGTCATCGTGCCTTTAAAATGTTTGATGCTGTGTTTCCTTTTGGGGTTGCGCTGATCTCCTCAGGAAAGGGGCCCCATCCTAAATCCCCCCAGGACCGTGACTCCTCTCACACCTCAAGGGGGATCTATGCACACCAGTTAACATGCCCCTGTTACTCCTACTACAAGCATGGATGACAGCACAACTCGTGACTCAAGAAGCCAGCTATCCACTTTTGACTACCAGGGAGAAAAAAGCCACAAATCATGCCACAATGATAGGGCTAGGGGCAGTTCCCCATCAGAATGTCATGTCGTCAAAAACTCAGGGTGTATATCAGGATGGAGCGGGAGCAAGTAAAGTCCTCGAAAAAGAAGCAGTTGACCTTTGCCACTTTCCCTGTAGCACTTGAGTGTCCTCTGTGTATTCTCAAAGCCCCTCTAGTTACATCTCATCCCACGCTGGACTGCTGGAAAGGCACTTCTAAGTCATTCTCAGATGCCAAGCAGCATTTCAGACACATTCTGGGGCCAAATGCATCTCTGGCTGCTGATATTTTTGTTGCCTTCACACATAGATTCATTTAGCTCCAAACGTTATTTCAGTGATATTATAACTGTAATATCATGATTATTTTATTCTTTGGGAACATAAGGATGATTTTCAAATATTTATGATGGAATTGGACTTGATGCCTCATAATTGATATGACAGTAATTGCGAGTAAAAGCTGTATGATTTAGTGCAACTAGATTTTTGGGGAGCTGGTCTTCTCAGAAAACACTGGGTGGGGAGGGGGAAAACAAGACAGGAAAGGGAGGGCACCCACCAAAGGGTCTGTCATCAAGCCAGGTTCCACTGAGGATAAATGGAGCTTAATGCCCCACGGGAACTCTAGGAGTCAGGAGCATGCACGTACCCAAGGAACAAAGGAGCTGGGGCATTGATACACCAGCTTCCATCTGCCACTGGTTGAGGGCTGCTGGGGGGTGGAGCTTAATTCCCTAGCTCTTCAGGCCTGCAGGTGCACATTCGAGTCACTAGATAGAGCCCTCAGGTAATGAGCTGGCCACTCATGAGGCTAAGGGGCTATAGATGGGACACAACTAGCATCTACTACAACTCCTTACAATAAGTCCCTCAATTTAAAGTTTTTAAAAAGTAGGAGAAGCATTGAACAAGTCAAAAAATGACTTGTTTTAATGAGACAGACTACAAATGGAAGTAGGAACTCTGCGAAGGGATTTATAATGACTGCAGTGTTTGCAAAGGCTCCTCAAGGAATGGACATTGGATTTGTGCTTTGAATGAAGCAAAGACTTTTTTCTCTGATTCAATGATGTATCTTTTATTGGAGTATAACATGCCTACATGGTAAGTACTTGATAAATGTGCTGAATGACCAAATGATTCCTAGGATAAACTAATCAGCTGAAAGTCCAAACATGGGGGCTTGGGCTGGTAAGCCACTTAGGCTTTGAATCAAACAGCTACATCTGAAAGTTTTGTTGGAATAATAATCCCATACATTACATTACTGTGGAATAAGTGAACCCATCTCTAGGTCCTGTCCCTACCATAATCACAGCAGTCAGATCAAGTTGAGGAGTTTATTAGGGAAATTTGAGAGGCATAGACACCCCAAGTGACAGAAAGAAATGTCTGAAAATGTCCCTTTAAGCCAAGTGGGAGCCTGGCCTCGACCTCCCCAAATCAACAGGAAACCGGCGGATTAGCAACAGCATTCTCTGGTAGCCACATTGCCAGAGCATGAGTGTCTTGGCCAGGACTGCCTCACACTTCCCACCAAAGGTGGGGAGGAGACAAAGACTGTTCACAGAAGCAGTGCAGAGGCAATGAGAACTTTAAGGAAAGTCTGAGAGAGAAAGAAGGATAGGGGTGGGGAGGACCTTCACAAAGAATCCCAGGCTTTTGGCTGTGAATGTCTCAAATACATTGACAAGTAATTCTACAAAATGTTACTGGAAAGGTAAAATACCTAATGTTGTTTCCAAGAGTTCCTCTAGACTTTTCCTCATATACCACATCACACCCTCAGATGTACATGGAAGAACCCAAAGGCCACACTTTTGAAAAGGAAAAACAAGAATAAGCCCTGTTGCTCTTTAAGGAGAAAGGAAGGAACAGAAGGCTGCTGGGGCCTTTCTCACGTGGCCTGTGTTCTGTAAAGCAACTTCCCAGCAGCAGCATGGCACTGTTCTAGGTAAGCATCTCACCTTTTGTCACCCATGCTTCAATGTACTCTATTCTCTGTTCAAGGGCTGTCAATTTCTCCCTTAGTGTTGCAAATCTTGAATAAGACATATTGAACGAGTTGAGAAAGTCTGCAGTTTTCTTGATGCTGCTGGTGATTATCTCAATGTACTCCCAGTTCGCCCAGTCCTACTGAATCTCCTGCTGCACCAGATCCTCTTGTCCTGCCATGGTGAAAGCCTGAGGAAGACTGAAGTAAAGACTTTGGATCTGTGAAGGGGACAAGGAGAAAACTCCAGGCAAGAGAAATGGCAAGAGCAAGGAAAGGAAAATGAGTGGAGATCTACTGACTTCTTATTGGGAAATATTAATAACTCTCCAAAGGTTTTCTGTGTTTCAGCATGTCCTGCAAATGTGGCACAAAATGCCATTTTATTCCAGACTATCTTGGTGTTTATGTCCATTACAGTTTGGAAGATGAGATAGTGTCTCTGTCTAGAGCATGCAGCAGATTTGTTTGCTTACTCTGCAGTATTGTAGAGATAATGTCTCTCTCCAGGGCAAAGATCAGGCAGGTGTACTGCCTATTATAATATACTCAGTTTCTCTCTCCTGTAATGTAATGCACTGTGTGTGCAGGGGTCACATGGCCTTTGCATTGCCTCTTGAAATTGGAGATTGAGGAATAGGCTTAATTGATGATACTCTGGCCGCTGATATTGCTGTGAGTAGTAGAGTCATTTGTCTCTGACCCAGGAATTTCGTGTCTTCTGCCAGCATCCCTGAATCTGTGGCAAGCTAACTTGTTTGCTAAAATCTCAGACCCTTCACAGTGGTTGACACTTCTAAGTATGATGCTCAAATAAATACTCTAATTCAAGCCTCAGGTCATCCCCATGAAGTAGGAATTATTATTGTGGTTCATGTTTTATATCTAAGGAACCTGATATCGATCAGCTGTTTACCCATGTTCTCTCTTATTTTTACAGCTATGAGCAGGCACTCATGTTGCCGTGAACTACGCACTGAGTACTGGGTGAGTCAGAACAGGTACCTGTGTGTGAGGTTGGGGCTCTGTGCCCTTTCCATTTAACCCTGTTTCGCTGATTCCACCGTAGGTCCTGTTGACTCTCAGGCAAAGAGATTGACCCTTGTTAATTTTTTTGAGCAGCTGCCTAGGAAAGCAGAAATCTAGAACAACTTTGTTAGTCAGATCCTGAGTCTACCTTGGTCCCAGAGCAAAGGGTTTAAAGGATCTTAAATGATTTCTAAACCCTATTAAAAGTAATGGCAAAAACCACAATTAATTTTGCACCAACCTAAAATACGAATCAGATGCACACAGATCTAGGGATGCTCATGAATTTCAACTTTTGGAAGGACAGCTAGGATAGATCTCATCCAAACTAGACTTGCTGATGGGATTCTAGAGCTCGTTTCAAACACGGTCATAGAAAAACAGGCTCAAAACAAGAGAAAAGCCACAACCCAATGCAGACAATTTATCAGAGCATGGTGGTGGCCTGGGATAAGAGAGATGTGTGAGTAAGTCAGTCATGGGACACTGAGAAGGAAATACCACCTTGAATTCTTCCTTTGGTGATAGAATTGTGCATGATTTTGGATGTCTCCTTTTCTTTGGTGCTCACGTAACTGCAAGATGTCTCAACAAATAAGACTAGCTTCATTTTTCTCCTCTCCCATAACACTATCTTCCTCCTTTGCTGTATTAGTGTGACACTGGAGCATCGGGTCAAAGGGAGAAGGAAAACTTCTGGTAATCACGTTTTGTCTGTGGCGCCAAACATGTAGATACATGAAACTGATTGAGTGATGATTAACGTTTTTACTTTACATCAGGATGTTGGATATTGTGTGGACACTTGAGGAAGAATGAAGAATTTAGCCATGATGAATTTATACTAAGATGTAAGTCCTTGCAACTCAAATGCCTCAAAAACCTGCTAACATTTGCAAGATCAGTACTGAGAAGGTAACTTTTTAAAACGATGAGAACTATTGGAAATACTTGAGACTAACACAAGTACTTCAAGTCTAATGCTAAGGAATAACGCCCTCTATTTTATAAACAAAAGTTAAAAGAGAAGTATAATCACATATTCAGCAATGTTTCAAAAAGTGTGATTTAGTTTAAATGAAAACATTGATAAGCATAATTGTCTGTTTAAATATTAAGATATTTCAGGAATTATCTAATGTCAAATTTATATTGCCAGTATAAATATAGATACAAACAGAAAATGCATCAAAGGATTGTTCTTACAATATAACTGAATGTCATAAATTGACATTTTAAAACCATTTATCCACTCTTATGATTACTGATAATCATTATGTCTTAATCACATTTTATGTATTGTCATTTAATGACGTTTATTCAAATATCTGTTGATTAATTGCTCCTGAGTGACCTAAAGCCACTGATTTTCATCAGCCAATTTGTCTTTGCAAAAAAGAGAAGAAATATTTCTAACACTTTGGAATGCTATTTAAAATTTGATTAAAGTCTAAAAGCCAGCCAAATCAGTTTCTCAAGTGGATCGAACATAATTTATTAATTTGCAATTTTAGAATCATTAAATTATTAAAATTGGTAGTTTAAAGCTCACTATAGGATATGATCACTTAGCAGATTTAGGTTTGTTTTTTTTTTTTTGAGATGGAGTCTCTCTGTCACCCAGGCTGGAGTGCAATGGAGCGATCTCAGCTCGCTGCAACTTCCGCCTCCCAGGTTCAAGCGATTCTCCTATCTCAGCCTCCTGAGTAGCTGGGATTACAGGTGTGTGTCAACATGCCCAGCTAATTTTTGTAATTTTAGTAGAGATGGGGTTTTGCCATGTTGGCCAGGCTTGTCTTGAACTCCTGGCCTCAGGTGATCTGCCCACCTTGGCCTCCCAAAGTGTTGGGATTACAGGCTTGAGTCACTGTGCCCAGCCAGCAGATTTAGTTTTAATCAAACAACTAATCTGAATGTTCTCACACTCCTATGCCCACTGACCGAGTTGTCTCTGTCAATGTACACACACTGAGTCTTTTGACCAAATTTTCTAAAAGCATGGAACTGACATTTTCCCTTTGGTCACAGCACATGAATATTATTGAGTCCCTGCTCTGTGCCTCATGCTATGCGAGGTGAGTTAAGAAACAAAATGATTGTGAAGTGAATTTGGAAAAACATGGAATAATAGGACAGTAATATACGCAGTGCTATAGTGCTAAGTTGTACCGTTTGACCTCTCAGGTTAGAATATATTGCACATTAATTAATATTAATATTAATGACATATTATTGATAATATTGCATATGAATACTGTGGCTCTCAGCCAAGGGCCATTTTACCCTCCAGGGGCTACTTGGCAGCGCCTGGAGGCGTTCATGTTTGCCACAAATAGGAAGGGTGCTGCTGGAATCCAGTGGGTAGAGGCCAGGGACACTGCTCAGCATTCTGCAATACACAGGACAGCTTCCTCTCACTCAACAAAGAATTCTCCTGCAAAAATGTCAGTAGTGGGGCTGGGCGCTGTGGCTCACGCCAGTAATCCCAGCACTTTGGGAGGCCGAGGCGGGCAGATCACAAGGTCAGGAGGTCGAGACCATGTTGGCTAACATGGTGAAACCCCGTCTCTACTAAAAACACAAAAAATTAGCCAGGCGTGGTGGCGGGCGCCAGTAGTCCCAGCTACTTGGGAGGCTGAGGCAGGAGAATGGCATGAACCCGGGAGACGGAGCTTGCAGTGAGCCGAGATTGTGCCACTGCACTCCAGCCTGGGCGACAGAGCAAGACTCAGTCTCAAAAAAAAAATGTCAGTAGTGCTGAGGATGAGAAACCCTGGGCTAGGTGGAAGGAAAGAAAGTAGAAATTCTAGGCAGGGAAGAAATTTGGATTCTGAGAATAAAAGTGATCCTGAGTGACCATGGGGCCACTTAGGAGACTTTCTGGTTGTGGGGAAACATGTGGAGAAATAGAAGTAAGATCAGAAAGCAGATGGGTCATTAGTAGAGACATTTTAATTTCTTATTTGACTTGATTTTGGTTTTAGTTTTGGCAATATAATGCACTAGATATCAAAAAATTCCTTATTAAAAAACCTGAGTAGGATGGATAAATGAATGACAAATATATTTTAAGGCTGGTGTTTTAGTCTGTTTGGTGCTCCTATAACAGGATACCACAGGCTGGGTAGTTTATAAAGAGCAAAAATTTATTTCTTACAGTTCTGGAGGCTGGGAAGTCCAAGATCAAGGTGTTGGCATCTTGTGTGGGCCTTCTTAGTGTGTCATCACACGATGGAAGGTGGAAAGGCAAGAGAGGAAGTCTGTCTTCATATGGCAGAGAGTGGAAGAGTGAACCCACTCCCCAAAGCAGCCCCCTTTTTCAGGCGTGATTTCTTTTCTTTTTTTTACTTTTAGTTTAGGTTCAGGGGTACAAGTGCAAGTTTGTTATATAGGTAAATTGCGTGTCATGGGGGGTTGGTATACAAAATTACTTCATTGCCCAGATAATAAACATACTATCTGATAGGTAGTTTTTCAATCCTCTCTCTCCTCTCATCTTCCACCCTCAAGTAGGCCCTCGTGTCTATTTTTTTTTTTTTTTTTTTCAGACAGGGTCTTGCTCTGTCACCCAGGCTGGAGTGCAGTGGAGCGATCTTGGCTCACGGCAACCTCTGCCTCCTGGATTCAAGTGATTCTCGTGCCTCAGCCCCCCAAGTAGCTGGGACTACAGGCATGTGCCTCCACGCCCAGCTGATTTTTGTATTTTTACTAGATATGGGGTTTTGCCATGTTGGCCAAGCTGGTCTTGAACTCCTGATCTCAGATGATCTGCCCACCTTGGCCTCCCAAAGTGCTGGGATTACAGGTGTGAGCCACCACGCCCGGCCCCTGGTGCCTATTGTTCCCTTCTTCATGCCCATGTGTTCTAATCATTTAGCTTCCACTTATAAGTGAGAACATGCAGTATTTGGTTTTCTGTTCCTGGGTTAGTTCACTTAGAATAATGGCCTCCAGCTCCAACCATGTTGCTGCAAAGGACATGATCTCATTCTTTTTTATGGTTTTATAATATTCCATGGTGTATATTTTCTTTATCCAGTCTACTGTTGATGGGCATTTAGGTTAATTCCATGTCTTTGCTATTGTGAATAGTGCTGCAATGAACATACACATGCATGTGTCTTTATGGTAGAATGATTTGTATTCCTTTGGAAATATACCCAATAATGGGATTCCTGGGTCAAATGGTAATTCTGTTTTAAGTTCTTTGAGAAATTGCCACTCTGCTTTTCACAATGGCTGAACTAATTTACATTAACACCAGCAGTATATAAGCATTCTCTTTTCTCTGTAACCTCGCCAGCATCCCTTATTTTTTATTATTTATTTATTTATTTTTTGAGACGGGATTTCGCTCTGTCACCCAGGCTGAAATGCAGTGGCATGATCTCGGCTCACTGCAACCTTTGCCTCCCGGGTTTAAGCAATTCTTCTGCCTCAGCTTCCCAAGTAGCTAGGATTACAGGCTCCCACCACCACGCCCAGCTAATGTTTGCATTTTTAGTAGAGACGGGGTTTCACCATGTTGGCCAGGCTGGTCTTGAACTCCTTACCTCAAGTGATCCACCTGCCTTGGACTCCCAAAGTGCTGGGATTACAGGCTTGAGCCACCACACCTGGCCAGCATCTATTATTTTTTTTGACTTTTTAATAGTAGCCATTCTTACTGGTGTGAGATGGTATCTCATTGTGGTTTTGATTTGCATTTCTCTAATGATTAATGATGTTGAGCATTTTTTTTTTGCATATGCTTATTGCCTGCCTGCATGTAAATCTTCTTTTTAGAAGTGTTCATGTCCTTTGTCCATTTTTTAATGGGGTTGTTTGTTTTTTGCTTGTTAATATGTTTAGGTTCTTTAAAGATTCTGGATATTAGACTTTTGCCGGATGCATAGCAAATATTTTATTCCATTCTGTAGATTGTCTGTTAACTTTGTGGATCGTTTCTTTTGCTGTGTAGAAGCTCTTTAGTTTAATTAGGTCCCATTTGTTAATTTTTGTTTTTGTCACAATTGCTTTAGCCAAAGCCCTTTTCATAGCAGCATTAATCCACTCATGAGGATGGAGCCCCCAAGACCTAAACACCTCCCAAAAGTTCCCCCCCCCCCGCCCCCGACACTGTTGCATTGGGGATTAAGTTTCCAGCCTATGAATTTTGGGGGATACATTCAGACATAGCAGCAGGACTCAGCTGACAAGAAATGCTCAGAGTTCAAAACCAGTAAGATAGCAAGGTAAGTTGGTTAGTGACAAAAAGTATGAGTGGTTCTGAACAAAATGAGTATCAAGACAATTCTTTGATGACATCAGATTGCAGGAATTCAAGGAGAAAGTGGATGGACAGTTCAGAGAATTGACAGTAAAAGAAGAATACTGTTTTCTTGACACTCATACAACTTCTGATACCAATGTGTGGGTTTTTTCCCCGCACCAACCAATTCTCCAATTCTTGGTGGACACCAATGGGTGTTCTATTACTTACTCTATTATGACACTAACTTCCCATAGTTGGCACAGACCCCACAGGTTAAGGGTTGAATTCCACAAGACTTTCCCCGACATCAGATGACAATTACAAGCTCCAGGTTGTCACCTGTGCTTCTGACCCACTGGCTATAAATTAGAGGTTCCTCCAATCACCTCCTCATGTTTGATAATTTGGTATAATGGCTCACAACACTCAGGGAAACATTTACTTATGTTTACTGGTTTATAATAAAGGTTATTAACAAGGGATACAGATAAAAAGTCAGATGGAAGAGACGCGCAGGGCGAGGTGTTGGGGAGGGGTGTGGAGCTTCATGCTCTCTCCAGGAGTGCCGCTCTCCCAGCTCTTCCATGACTTCACTAGCCTGGAAGCTCTCCCAACCCTTTAGTTTAGGGATTTGTAGGGAGGCTTCGTCATGTAACCATGATTGATTATTAACTCACTCTCCAGCCCTCTCCTCTCTCAGGGTCAACTGCATATCTATACGTTAACCACACAAGGCAGTTTCTATTTTGTCCCATTTAACAGATGGAGAAACTGAGTCTTAGAATATAAGTAGCTTGCATCTGAAGTCACAGTGAGCAGAGATAGGATTCGACTCAACCCCACTTCTCAGTATTGAACTCTAGGTTGTAAGACTCAACTGTCGACTGCTGCTTTGCTAATTTGACAATGAATGTTTTAAAAGAAATTATTAGAGGGCATTTTGTGCACAATAAGCACTTCATTGGAGCCTGAGATAACACAGCATGAATCGTGGTCAGGAGAAAGATTACCTGATCATTTTTTTTCTCCCTCTGAAGGTTTTCATTTCGTTGAATCATCAAGCTGAAAGAATCATATTGCCTTCCCAAAATCAATTCACATAATTACTTGGAAAATAGCTTTTACAAATGCTGCTGGTCATAAAATACATGATTTCCTTCTTTTGAAAACTCCCCTTTGGTCTTGCTCTTTGCACTGTGCGTCAGGCGATGCTTGGCATTGCTGGAGTAAGATGCACTCAGGGCCAAGGGCTCCATGCACATTCTGAGGATGCTGTGGCTTAGTCACGCCTGTTTAATCAGGCAATCATTTTCCTGATGAGCTGTGAGAATTGCTAAGAGCAGAGCTATGTGATGGATTGGAGAGAGTTGCATTGTTCTTCAAACAAATGGCAAACATATATTTTTACAACTGGGAAATAAAAATGGTAATAATCAGACAGAAAAGAGGAATATAGCCTATTCAGGCAAAATCATTTTTAAAAGCTTACAATAATATAAATAAAAGCTTTTCTATTTTTCCCATAGCATTTTTTTACCCCAGCAATGAGAAGGTTTACCTTCTCTCTGGGAGTAGTGAGGACAGTGTAATGACATGAAAATTATCCCTTACAAATAAATGTACAATGGGCCGAGGCTTCCCAAGCTCTCTGAGTGAAGAGAGGAGACGCCTAATGGTCAGGGGAGCTGAAGGCTGCTCTCAGTTACGTCCACCCACCCCATGGCTGAAGCCTTAGCTTCTTGTGAACTTGCCTTCCTTAGTTATAAAACATCCTGAGTAGTGTTTGCTCCTGCCTCTGTGATTGGGAGGGTCAAATGGGAGTGCTTTCTAAGCAGTGAAGGGCATTGATGATGATGATGATAATGATGATAGCAATAATATCATCACTAGAATTTTGCCATGTTACTTTCACAATGGTGTATGGCGGAGTTCAGCAAACTACAGTCAGTGGAGCTGTCACCTGTTTCTGTAAATAAAACTTTATTGGGACATAGTCATGCTAGTTGTTTTGTACTGTCCATGTCTGCTTTCACATGATCACAGCAGAGTTGAGTGGTTGTGACAGAGACCCTGGGGCTCCCAAAGCCCAGTGTGTTTACCAAATTACTCTTTACGAAGAAAGTTTGTTTCTACAGGAGGCCAGGTAGATGTTTGGATTTCCCAGATAAGTTCAGAGAAGTTTACTCACTTCTTCAGGGTCTGGCAAGTGAGAAGTATTGATATCTAATTTCAAATTTAGCTACCTAGTGATTCTTAGTTGTGTGTGAGTGTATGCACGCATGTTTTACTATGGTCTACTTTGACAGAAAAAAAAAAGACTGTATTCATTCTCTCATCTCTACTACCAACCTTTACTTTCCAGTAGTGAGCAAACAAACCAGCAACCCCACCCCTTCCCCCTAAAAACCAAACACTGGGTGCCAATAGTGAGAATATGAGAATATTTTGGGAGATTGTGTGCATGTGTACTATAGCCATCAGAATTTGAATGATTCCCATTGGAACCATGTTATACATATACAACTTAAAACCAAATCGTTGGAAAATTATAGGCCAAAATATGATTGATACTATTGTTGTCCTCAGGTCCATTGAATGACTCTCAGTAAACAAAATTGATAATGATGAAACCAATTATAAAATATAAATCATCAAAGTTAAGAGTAACAACAATCAAAACCATCCCTCAGTCAAGACAATGCTGATGATGCTGTGATAACAAGCATCCTTCCTCCAGTCTAGAAGATGCCAAGTATCTGTAGGCATGAGATGCAAGTATCTTGTGATATTGCCATGGGTTGTTTGGCAGCAGAGTCTGAGTAGAAAACTAATTAGAGTCATGGATAAAATCAAGTAATGTGCTAATTTTAGTTTGGTAACTCTTAATAACTCAGTCAATTACCAGTTGTAGCCCATAGTCATACATTAGAAAATGAAAGTCTATGGAATTGCACATAATTTGCTTTGATAACATTGCATTTCTGGATCTCCCAACAGGAGGCACTTCAGTTGACTTCAGTGGATTGCAGATGACACTTTGACGATACTCTATAGAATCCAAATTTCTAAGGAGGCTGACTTAGAAGCCTTGGAAAATGGCATGAGTCAATTTTTCTTTCACCCTCTAGGTGATACTTATTGAGGCCTTCCAGTGACAAGGCATGATTAAATCCTAGTAGCACTTTTTTTTAAGAGTCAGGGTCTTTCTCTATCACCCAGGCTAGAGTGTAGGGGTGTGCTCATGGCCAAATGCAGTCTCAAACTCCTGGGCTCAAGCTATCCTCCTGCCTCAGCCTCCCAAGTAGCTGGGACTACAGGCATGTGCCACCACAGCCAGCTAATTTTTAAAAATGTTTTTGTAGACATGGGGTCTGGCTATGTTGCCCAGGCTGATCTGAAACTCTTGGTCTCAGGGATCCTCCCACCTCAGCCTCCCAAAGTGCTGGGATTACAGGTGTGAGCCACTACGTCTAGCCCCTAGCAGTACTATTATTTGCACTTTGTGGATGAGCAAACAAAGGCAGAGAAAGGAAAAATACATGCCCAACGTCATACAGCCGTTAAATAGCAGTGCAAGGGTTTGAACCAAGGGTTTCCCTCAGGAGCTTGTGCTCTATATACCTGGAATCCTGAAATCCACAGGACTCAGAAAGCCCTTGAACCTCTGACATTGTCACCAGAATTGCGTATGTGGGGGTATTGCTATGGTTTGAATAAAGGTGTCTCCTTTAAAATTTAAGTTGAAACTTAATCCCCAATGCAAAGGTATTAAGAGGTGTGGCTTTTGGGAAGCAAGTCACAAGGGCTTCACCCTCATGGACGGGATTAGCACCCTTTTAAAGGGCTCAAGGTTGAAGAAGCACTCTCTTACTCTTACATCCTTTCTGACATGTAAGGACACAGTGAACCTCCCCTCCAAAGGGTACAGCAACAAGGCCCCATCTTGCAAGCAGAGAGCAGTCCTCACCAGATGCTGAACCTATTGGTGCCTTGATCTTGGACTTCTCAGCCTCCAGAACCATAAGAAATAAACTTGTATTATTTATAAATTACCTAGCCTCGGGTATGCTGTTACAGAAGCACAGATGGACTAAGACAGTATTTATGGTCTTGTTTTTGTTTAAACCTTTTCAAATAGAGTTATAGCTTACATCGTATTCTCAAAGGAGTACATCACCCTAAAAAGGTAAAAAACACTATATGAGAGATATTTTACTGGAAGTTTTTGGAACAAAAGAGATTGTAACTAAACAAGGAATTATTTGAAGGATCATGTCTTTCTAGACAGTCCAGATGTCACAAGAACAAGCTTTGAGGGAGAGAAAAGGATACGTAAGAGATGGTGTTTATCAATGATTTCACCTTTAAATAAAAAGGAAGTTTAAAATATGATCAGCAAAACTTAAACAGTGAGATATAGAAATACGGAAAAATAGACTGGTCTATTTTTCTATTAACTTTGCACTTCCAAATGAGAGAAAAATTAGAATGCCTGAAAGCTAGCTGAATTGTCAAGGAGATGAAATTCCAAGACATTATTTTTACACTCTTTTCAGGGTTTTCTGTCTCTCCACATTGTCTTTGTGTTATGAATTTCATAGTTATTCAGGTTTATCTTTCCTAAAGAAAAATTATAAGATTTTTTGTGCCACATGTAATACAAACCTATTCTAGTCCTTGGGAATTAATTACTATTTGTTTTTTAAAAAGTGAAAGAATCTTTTTTTTTTTTTTTTGAGACGGAGTTTTGCTCTTGTTGCCCAGGCTGGAGTGCAATGGCCTGATCTCGGCTCACCACAACCTCCACTTCCCAGGTTCAAGCAATTCTCCTGCCTCAGCCTTCCAAGTAGCTGGGATTACAGGCATGCGCCACTATGCCCGGCTAATTTTTTTTGTATTTTTAGTAGAGACAGGGTTTCTTCATGTTGGTCAGGCTGGTCTCTAACTCCCGACCTCAGGTGATCCACCCACCTCAGCCTCCAAAAGTGCTGGGATTACAGGCGTGAGCCACTGTGCCCGGCCACAAAAAGTGAAAGAATCTTTATGTTTCTAAAACTGGAAAGGATCACAGAGATCTTTGATTGATGACTTCACTCTTCAAAGTGATGGATATGTTAATTAGCTTTATGGTAGCAAATGTTTCACAATGTATATCAAAACATCACGTTGTACACCTTAAATATATACACTTTTTATTTGTCAATTATACCTCAAGAAGGCTGGAAAAAAATTATTTTTAAATTTGCATATTGTAAAGTATGCGTTTGGTGGTATACAATTCTGTGGGTTTTAAAAATGCATAGATTTGTGTATCCAACACTACAATGATGACACAGAGCAGTTCCAATATCTTCTAAAATTTCCTCATGCTCCTGCTTTTTAGTCAACCTCTCTCCCTGCCCCAGTCCTTAGCAACCTCTGATCTGTTTTCCATTCCTTCAATTCTGCCTTTTCCCAGAACGTCATATACATGGAATCATGCACTGTGGAGGTTTTTGAGGTTGGTTGCTTTCACTCAGCATTGTGCCTTTGAGATCCACTCAATTTGATGCATGTATCAATCGTTTGTTCCTTTTTTATGGCTGCATAATATTCCATTGTATGGATGCATAATAGTCTCTTGCATGGATGTACTATAGTTGATGAACATTTGGGTTGCTTCTAGCTTTTGAAGACTAAAAATAAAACTGCTGTAAACACTTATGTACAGGTTTTTTTGTAAACGTAAGTTTACAGGGTTTTCTGTCTCTCCACATTGTCATTGTGTTATGAATTTCATAGTTATTCAGGTTTATCTTTCCTAAAGAAAAATTATAAGATTTTTTGTGCCACATGTAATACAAACCTGTTCTAGTCCTTGGGAATTAATTACTATTTGTTTTTTAAAAAGTGAAAGAATCTTTTTTTTTTTTTTTGAGACGGAGTTTTGCTCTTATTGCCCAGGCTGGAGTGCCTGGCACTCTTGGATAAGTACCTAGGAGTGGTATTGCTGGGTTATGTGGTATTGGTTAAGTGTATGTTTAACTTTATGAGAAACTGCCAAACTGTTTTCTAAAGTGGTTGTACCATTTTGCATTTTGTATAACAGCAATGCGTGAGAGTTCTAGTTGCTCCATATCCTTTCCAATCTGGTATTGTCAGGTTTTTTAAATTAAAGTTTTAGCCATTTTAAAAAATGCACAGTGGTATCTCACTGTGGTTTTTAGGAATCTGAATATCCCTGATGGCTAATGATCTTAAGCATCTTTATTTTTGTTCCTATTGTTGAGTTTTGAGAGTTAAAAACATATATTCTGGATATAAGTCCTTTGTCAGTTATGTGATTTGCAAATATTTTCTCCCCATCTCTGCAGCTTGCCTTTTCTTAATGGCAGTACTCCCATCTTATCTAAGAAGAAACTGACACATCTACAGCTTTTGTTGGCTCTGCAGTAAACTGACTGCATGTGACATTGGCTAAGTCACTTAATTTATTCTGTGCTTCTGTTTCCTATTCCATAAAACAAGTGTGGAATGAGAATATTTCTGAGATTCTTTGCAGCCAGAATAGTCAATGATTCCAAGAGACTGGCCCAAGTTCACCCAGTTAATTAGTAGCAGAGTTGGGCTGGAGCTTGGGCTGCCTCCCACGCTGCTGCCTTTGTTTGCAATATAATTATTCTCACTTTCTTAAATCTAATTTTTAAAATTAGGTATTCCATTTACATGGTTCAAAATTTAAAAAGTATAAAAGGATAAGCTGTTAAAAAACATCCCTGTCACCCTGAATAAGCAATGCACGTTCTGGAGCTTTTAAAAATATCTATGAGCACATTTTTATGTGTTGTAATGTGTATGTGTGTGTGTGTGTGTGTGTGTGTGTGTGTGTGTGTGTTTCTCTCCTTTTTAAAGTGAATTATACACTGCGGCTTTTTTTTAACTTCTAATAGAAATGCAAGTTAAAACTACATGGCAATCCATTTTTTCCATTATTATGTTTGTAGTTGAGGATAATTGTATGGGACTAAAAACCATTTGTCTTCTGTTGAATTATTTGTTCGTATTGTTTTCCATCTTTTTCTTTCATTGTAGCCATAAGCTACTTGTTTATTAGAGAAATTAACTTTATGAGATCTCACAATCTTCCCCCAGTTTGCCACCTGTCTTTTGAGTTTGCTTATTGTGGTTTTGCTTGAAGAGTTCTGACGTTTTTGTGGTTGAATTACTCAGTCTGTTATCATGTCTGGCATTTGGGTCATAGTTGAAAGGATTTTTCCCCCTTAGTATTAACAGAAGAATTATCCCATGGTTTCTTTCATTTATCACTGAATTCTACATATTTATATATATTTAAATATTTGATCATTTGGGAAGTTATCCTGGCATAAGGTGTGAGGCATAGAACCAAATATATTCTTCCAGAAGGCAGCTCATTTCTCTCAAAACTATTAAATAATCCATTTCTTCTCTTCTGACCTGAGTTGCCACTTATAACATATACTAACTTTCCATATGGGGGGTTCTGTTTCTGAATTTTCTACTATGTTCCATTGATCTTTCTGTCTACTTAAGTTAAATATTAAGGTTTTATTTATGTTTCAGCATGCTATATACAGGGCTAATCTTCCTTCATTACTGTTTTAGTTTCTTCGGACTTTTTCCAACATTTTATTATACAGATTTTTAAGCATATGGAAATGTTGAAAGAATTTTACAGTGAACACCCATTACACACCACCTAGATTCTACCATTAACATTTTACTAACCTTCCTTTAACATGTATCTATCCATCTATTTGGCCCTCTATACACTAATCCATCTTAGTTTCTGACGCGTTTCAAAGTAAACTGGAGATACCAGTGTACATCCCATTAAATACTTCAGCATGCACATCATGAACTAGAGTTTAGTATTTGTAGTATTTTTTATTTCCAGCTGAAGTTTACATGCAGTGAAATGCACAAATCTTAAGTGCACATTCACTGGGTTTGGACAAAAGCATACGCTTGTGTAATGCTTATCAAAATACAGCTCATTATCATCACCCTAGAAGGTTTCCTCATGCCTCTTGCCAGTTAATCCCTATGCCCACTCCCTCAGAGCCTACCACTGCTCTGACCTTTTACCACCATACATGAGTTATTTGTTCTAGAATTTTGTGTAGTATGCACTCTTTTTGTGGACGCCTTCTTTCATTCACTAAGCATAATGTTTTTGAGACTTCTTGTTGTTGCTTTTCACTGGCAAGTGCTGTTCCATTACATGACTATCCTATGTTTGGTTTCTCTGTGTTCCTATTAAGCAACACCTGGGTTGTTTGCAGGTTTTGTTGCTTATGAATAAAGCTGTTATGAACATTCTTGCACAGCTCTTTTTCGTGGTCCCGTACATTTTGTTTTCCCTTTCCTTGGCACGGGATGGGGCAAATACCTATGAGTAGAACTGCTGGGTGATACAGTTTAGATATGTGTCCCCGCCCAGATCTCATATTGATTTGTAATCCTTGATGCTGGAGGTGGGGCCTGGTGGGAGGTGTTCGGATCATGGGGGCGGATCCTCCATATCTTGGTGCTGTCTTCATGATAGTGAATTATCGCTGGATCTGATTGGTTGTAAGTGTGTGGCACCTGCTCCGCCCCCACTCCCCTTGCCCCTGCTCTGGTCATGTGTTGTGTATCCTCCTGCTTTACCTTCTACCGTGAGTCAAAGCCCCCTGAGGCTTCCCCAGAAGCAGATGCTGGAGCTATGTTTCCTGTACAGCCTGCAGAACTGTGAGCCAGCTGAACCTCTTTTCTTATAAATTACCAGTTGCAGGTGTTTTTTCGTAACAATGCAAGAACACTCTAATACAATGGGTCATGGGGTAGGTTTTTAGCTTTTGAAGAAACTCGGACTTTTTTCCAAACTGATTGTACCATTTTACACTCCTACCAACATGCATGCCTGAGATTCGAGTTGCCCCAATTCCTCAACGTCATTTGGTATTGTCGGTCTTCAATTTTTGTCATCTGGTGGGTGTATGGTGGTATCACATTGTGGTTATATTTTGCATTTTCCTGATGACTAATGAGGCTGAACAATTTTCTTGTGCTTACTGGTCCTTGGAATATCTTTTTTTTTTTTTTTTTTTTTTTTTGAAATGGAGTCTTGCTCTGTTGCCCAGGCTGGAGTGCAATGGCGCAATCTAGACTTACTGCACCCTCCATCTCCCGGGTTCAAGCGATTCTCCTGCCTTGCCTTCCTGCGTAGCTGGGACTACAGGCACCTGCAACCATGCCCAGCTGATTTTTGTATTTTTAGTAGAGACAGGGTTTCCTATGTTGGCCAGGTTGGTCTCGAACTCCCGACCTCAGGTGATCTGCCAGTCTTGGCCTCCCAAAGTGCTGGGATTACAGGCGTGAGCCACTGTTCCCAGCCATGTATAAGTTTCTTTAGCTTTTGTTTCTCAGCCAACAAAGGCTAGTTTTTCAAATTTCTTTGCTAACAACTTAAATTTCTCCTTTTCTTGATGCCATAAAGACAGAATAATGCCTGCAAATATAATTCATTTAATTCACTTTTTCTGCTTCTGGAACCTAATTGGGTGCAGGAGGCTTCCGCTGCAGCTGGTTCACCGTGACTTCTATTCTTGCAAACACATGATTAAAGTTGTGTGCCTCTGGCTGTGCCCCTTCTATTTGGGAAGCGTGCTTCTGCTGCTCTTTGGCAAATCTCCAGCTGCTGTTGGATCCCCGTGATGTTTGTTTACCTCTGTCTCCTCTGCAACACACCCTGATCAATCTCCACTGACATTTGTAGTCATTTTGACACTGAGGTCTGGGGTTTTAACTCCTTGTTTTACTAAAAATGAATTTAAGAAAAACTTTTTTCTTCTTCTCCTTTATTGCTTCTGTATTTCCATGAAGAAAATGGTAGAAATGCTGAGTTTACATTTCCTGTGAAAACTTGAATCCTACTCGGAAATGTTGGATTGTCAGGAAGTGACTAACAACACTTAGAAGCCAAGTTATTTTGTCTGATTATCTGAGATTTTAATCAGTCTTTTTTTCTTTTTCCAAGAATGATATACTTCCTACTACACTCAATATAACTAGATTGGCTGGTGAAATAAATGGGCTTTAAGTTTGTCCTCAATGTTTTTGAAAATTAGAGAATAGTTTTTTAACAAAATATTTAAACAACATTATCAGTTATCATTTTGGTACTTAATAACTCTTAGACATCAAGGTATTCTCATCGCCAGCACACTTAACTTTATTTTTCTTTTTTAAAAGTATATTTTATTGATACATAATAGTTGTACATATTTTCACACTTTAAAATGCTGACCATACATTTGCTTGGTGTTTTGTTGATGATGAATACTAGACTGATAATGCAGTCTCTTTCATATCTGCAGGCAGATGGAGTTATTGCCATGGTGTTAGGACAAGCTGATTGTGTTAAAGCATGTGACACACCTAATTTCAGAAACCAGAGGGGAAATCGCCGCTCATTAAAGTTCAAGGTAAGTGTGTGAAACTCATTGCCTGCTACTTATTTTCTATATCAAAGCATTTGCCATTGGAGTTAAGGGGAGGCTTACATATCACAGCAACAAAGTCAAAATTCCCTTAAAACTGAAGCTGGAATGAGTGTGGAAGAGCTTTGGTTTTCCGTACACCAAATTCACTGTGATAACTCCCTGTGAGCAGAGATGTTAGCCCCTCATTGATCATCTTTTGGCATACTTCTTTGATATTCATTTATCATCCTAGAGATGAGTTGGGGAAGATTCACAGCCCTGTATTTCGTATTTTCCTTCATGGAGGTGACATAGCACTTTGGTGAAAACATTTTTTTTTCCCTTTCAGGTGTAGATACTGGTTTCTAGTGATGACTAAATCACATTTGGAAGGCATTCCAAGGAAATAGGATTGGGAGTACAGGGAGGAGAAATCTACATCTTATCCCTGTAATAAGGCAGGTCCTATGTATATGTTGATTGCAGGATTTGAAGATTATCATGAAGAAATATTCCCCCAACTCCACCATCTGAATCACTGAATCATAGTTACTATTCTAGACTTTTGAAGGACTGTGTCTTCAAGAGGCCCTTGTTAAAATGCAAGTACCTCCAAAGTGGGTGGCCTTTTAAGTTTATATGGGTCATTACTCCTCAGTGGATATTATCATGACTTACCAAGGTTCTCAGGTAATAGAATTTGAGAATCTAGGGTATAGACAAGTGGACAATGAGGCTGAGAGGCAGGAAGGGTGCACAAACTAAGAACATCATGGATGGTTCTAACTGGACCCAGTGCATGGGATCTAGGTTAGAAAACAGGATTTTCTGTCAATTCAAGACTTGCCCAACTTAGTTGACTCTCTCTCTCTCTCTCTCTCTCAGAATTCCTATTTGTAGCTTTGACCACCCTCGCTGGGTGAGAATCTGCACAGTTTAGAGGGAAAAAGTGTGGCACATTGGGATGAAAGCAATCCTAGAAGATAGAACTCTGGGAGTTCTTGGTCCGGCTCCAACATGCAATGGCCAAGCAACCTTGACCTCTTGGTACCGTGGAGATGAATGTACCTCCCAACCTAGCCCACAGACTGTTGTTAATGTCCTATAAAATAATAGGCAACGTGGTATATCTATTAGTTTGACCTTTACATTTATAGCTCTATTCTTGGAACCCGAGTCCCAGCCTTGATAGCCAACAATCAATCATCCCAATGTCAATGCCCCCATGGCATTCATTGTTGTATCTATGTACCTTCCTCCCTAGTTACTCCAACTCAAAATTGGAGTCATCTTTATTTTCTGTTTCTGATGTTCACTTGGTGTCTTGTCTTTTAGCTACAGTACTACCACCCTGGTGGTTCATCATTATACATTTAAGCTAATTACATGTTGTTTGGCCATTTCTTCTCTTTCTGATCCACCTCATGTACATGTCTAAAATGTTCTCCTTATACTTCTCTCTCTTTCCATACCATTCTCTGTCTCCCTGTTGCCTATGGGATAAAGTTCTAAGTTCTCATTCTGGTTGTTAAGGCCCATCACAAAGAAGTTTGTCCAGTTGCTACACCCTCCTCAACATAAATGCAAAGCCTTGGCAAGTCAGCTCGTACGACTGTCTCAGTCACAAGCATCATACTTATTTCAGCTCTGAGAATTAGCTTACTCTGCTTCCCACTTCCGTCTTATGCATAACATGGTTTTTTATTGGTCTAAGTTCTACCTTTATTTCCATGCCCAAGTATGGCACCTCACTGATTCTGGTTTTGACTCTGAACTCTCATTTGGAATTTGGAATATCCCTGTTCATTCTCATGTTTCAATATGTAATGTTTTCAACTGTCTGTCCTGCCTTTTAAGGTGGATCTTTAAGAAAGGACCTGTGGCTTTTTCTCTACCATCCAGCCCTGCCCCTGTTGTGCTGTGTTTAGAAGGGTTGCTAGTCTGATGACTAATCATTTTAACAGATCTGCCTAATTTTTGTGCTCTTCTCAGGTTTATTCTTTTTAATGAGCAAGATACTGTGCTTGACTCTCCTTGGAAATATAATATTTGCTTGCTGTTGAAAGCCCTGTTTCTTTGCCTTCCAGCTTTTGAATTTGTCGACTTGGACAGTTTGCTAAGGGGTCAATTCCTTACCATTTGGGCATAAAGGAAAATGCATCTCCATGCTTCATTTGCTTCATCTCAGCTTGGTTTTATAATAAACAGAAATAGGGAAACTTTAATTTGTACTTCATGTATCTTTGATCTGATTAAATAACTTGGCACTTTTATTTACCCTATAAGAATATAGCTAATGGGTGCTTTTTGAATTTAAATTTACTTTGAGAGAACTGCTTATCGCAATGTGGGTTACATGGATAGAGACAGCACATCATCAAGGAAACAGAAGGAACCCCCCAGCCTAGTATTGTCCAGAGGGAAATGCAGGGCAGCCACATATGTATATTACATTTTGTAGTAGACATTAAAACAGTATAAAGGAAGAGATGAAATTAATTTTAATAATATAACCCTTCATCCAACCTATTATTTTAATATAAAATTTCATTATCAAATATTAAGGTATCCTACATTCTTTTTTCATACTAAGTCTGAAATCTGGCGTGTATTTTTTACTTAGAGTACATCTCAATGTGAACTGGCCACATTTTAAGGGCTTGATAGCCATATGTGGCTAGCGGCTGCCACATTGAATGGTACAGATCTAGAAATTACATCTGTTAACCTTCTATAAGGCAGGACTTCTCAACCACCAGCACTATTGAAATTTGGGCCAGGTAATTTTTTGTGGTGGCAAGGGGCTGTCTTGTGCATTGTAGAATGTTTAGCGGCGTCTCTGGCATCTACCCACTAGATGCCAATAGCACTGCTCTTCCGGGATACAGCAACCAAAGATGTCTCCAGACATTCCCAAATGAGAGGTGCTGCTGCAAGGAATAGTCACAGACATCATGATAAACTATCTTCTGTTGTGCTTGTTAAAAGTCATTGATAGCCTGAGTGTGGTGGCTCAAGCCTGTAATCTTAGCACTTTGGGAGGCCAAGGTGGGAGGATTGCTCAAGCCCAAGAGTTCAAGACTAGCCTGGGCAACATAGCGAGACCCCATCTCTACAAATAATTAAAAAATTAACCAAGTGTGGTGGCATGCGCCTGTAGTCCCAGCTACTCAGGAGGCTGAGGTGGGAGGATGGCTTGAGCTTGAGAGGTCAAGGCTGCAGTGAGCCATGGTCACACCACTGCATTCCAGCCTGGGCAGCAGAGCTGGTTCTGTCCTCTGAAGAAGCCAGTTGGTAGTGATGAATTAGTTATTGATCGGAAGGCACAGTGGATTGTTGCAGTCCTCTTGCCAGCTCCTTTCAAAGTGTGTTGGATTATCATATTGAAAGTCCCAGTAAATACTTTAAAGAATAGAGCTGCCAAATGCTCTTTCTGAGAATCTCTGTCATCGTGAGTTTAATATTCATTGAACTTATTGTAATGCATTGGGAAAATGGATATATTCTTTTGGAGAAAAGCAGGATCATTGGTTTAGTTTTGATTAATGGATTTATGATTAAATGCTTATTTTCAGCAATGGCACTATATAAACAAGTCCCTCAAACATAGTCTAGCTGCCTGTAATTTTACACAATGAACGGTGAAAGACAAATGTACAGTGTATTTGTATTATTAGGCAGCCATGGGTTTGCTACAAGCAATTAACTTACGAATGAGCATTCAGTCACCCTGTAACATTTTATTCTGGAGCTTTGTTAGGGGTGAGCCTGAGAAGGAAAGTTACCAGCTTGAATAAAACTGAGAGTTTCAATTTGGAGTAGTCAGTCTCCCATGGGGTGACAATGTTCCTTAAATGTTAAAAAATATATCCTGACCCACAAAATGCGCCAGCTACAATTTCTAGTTTATTTCTGGTCCGTATAATGCATTTTTTGCACTACAAAAATCCCAGAGAAAATCAGATGATCTCCAGATGAATGGGCAGATGGTGAAGATTGAGTCAGAGCTCACGTGTTTGATTTGAACTTGTAACTCTCCATGAGCAGAGCGTACACTAAGTTATATTTTTTAAACAGAGAAAAAGTGGGGAAAGAGAAAATGCCTACATAGTATGGTCAGTATCAATGTGTCACGAAGGATGGGCTACGACGTCTAAATCATTCATCCAGCAGACATTTACTGAGTTTTTGCTGTATACACCCGTCTAGGGATTAGGGGTGCAAAGGTGAGTAAGAAGAACAGGGTCTGTGCTGTCAGAGATTATCATGTGAGAAGAAAGACCAAAGACAGTTTCCCAGTGTTTAACAGGTGCTATGCTGGGAGAATTCAGGGGCATGGAGACCTAAGGGAACACCTGGCATTCTGGGTTACGGAGACACTTCTAGGATACAGCAGTTTGGAAGAATGAGCAGGAGTTAGCCCGGCACCTGATAGAGGTGGGTTTATGGCATAAGGGATGAGAAAAGTGTGGGAGGTTACTGTTGGCAGAAAGACGACATGCTTCGGCGTTCAGCAACCCCGGAAGCTTGTTTTGGTGCCTACTGCTGAGCATTGGCTTTAGCCATTCTTGGAGGTCAGCAAAACATTCGCCTTTCAGGCTTTCTGGCATTAAGAATAACAAGAAAGATTTTATGTATTCCTACGAAAGGATGGGCCCATTCAAGGAGGTATTCCTACTCCTTTACAATTTATTTGCCACGTATGTGTTTTCCTTCCAAATATGATCAGTTTAAATGTTTTAAAGAATGAGAACCAAAAAATTATTTATTGATGTATTTCAAAGACCTTAAAGTTCCCTTTCTCCTGTAAAGATATATTTGATTTTTTAAAATTTTTTTCTAAAAATGCCCCCAGTCATGACTTAATGTACAGAAAATTCAGTTTTTTTTTTTAAACTAACTTGGAAAATACTGATTTGGCTAATAGTTGATAAATTTAATCAAGCAACTTTATTTAAAAAATGCAGCCATTTTGACAAAAAAAGAGCTAATCTTGTAGCAGCCAAGTCAAGTGTAGACAAGAAGTTGGGGCCATGCATTAAGATTTTCTGCTACATTAGAAATTCCAGCTGCTGGAGAACGGTGTGAACCCAGGAGGCGGAGCCTGGGCGACAGAGCGAGACTCCGTCTCAAAAAAAAAAAGCAAAAAAAAAGAAATTCCAGCTGCCTAGGGGTCAGACCACCCCCCACTAATCTTATTCTTTTTGGTTGAATATGGCAATTGATTTTTTAAAAATAACACTAGTTATTTCAATTGTATTCTTTCAAATTTACAATCAGTATTGTCATTCTGTAAATCCTAACAAATTGTGGATTCCACTGAGCAACTAGCTAAGGTTAAGCAGCTATTTCTTAGGTCAGGAAATTTCCTGTTTTGAATGCCATTTTTACCACAAATTCATGCTAACAGAGTTAAAGTTCAATCTGATTACGTATCAGATGGTGGAGTAAAGGATTTCTTAGTAATTTATGCTACCACAGCCTTTAAACATTAAGAAATTTTGCTGAAGAATTCTTAACTTTTTATTCGGAAAGACTAAAACTTATAAAGGAATCACAAAAGGCCTAGAATGTATTCGCAGGAACCCTCAGCAAATTCGCCAAATGATAACATTTTGCCCCATTTGCTTGTTATCTGTGCATTTTCTGAACCATCCCACCATCCTTTTGAAAGTGAATTTTTGACATTATACCTGTACCCCTGAATATTTTAGAGCATATTTCCAAAGCCCACCATGATTATCAAATGAAAGAAATTTAATATTGATACATTACTCTTTTTATCACAGCATCGTATAGTACTGTCTAATCTTTTTAAAATTTTTAATATTTGTGGGTACATAGTAGGTGTATATATTTATGGAATACATGAAATGTTTTGATACAGGTGTGCAATGTGAAATAATGACATCATGGAAAACTGGGTATCCATCCCCTCAAGCATTTATTGTTTGAGTTAAAATCAATCAATCCAATTTCACTCTTTCTGTTATTTTAAAATGTACAGTTATTATTGACTATAGTCACCTGTTGTGCCATTCAATAGTATGTCTTATTCTTTCTAACTATGTTTTTTTGTACCCATTAACCTTCCCCACCTTCCCTGATACATTACTATTGTCAGATATACAGTTGATATTCAGATTTCACCTATTTTCCTGAGAATATTTTTCATGGAAAACTTTTCCCCCATTTAGGATTCTCTGATCCACATTGTATTTAGTTTTTGTGTTTTCTTTGTCTTTAATAATATTGGCATTTTCAGAAGGTACAGGCCAAGTGTTTTGAAAAATACGCTCAAGTTGGGCTGGCCTGAGGCTTCCCAGGATTAGGTTCCAGTTCTACATTTTTGGGGCAGACATGCCACCGACACGCAGCTGCATCCCTTGCAGGCATCACATGGGGAACAGCAGGCCATTAAGTCCAGTTGTTGGTGGTGATACCAACTGACAATTTTCTTTTCAGTAGGCTTCCTAATGCTTCTTTTTGCACGAATTGTGAGTACACTCTTATTAACTATATAAGTAAAAGAGTAACTTGCATGTCACGACGCCTTCTTTAACATCTATGCCTCCATTACTTTTCTCTTCTACTTTCCTGGAACACATCGGGTTCTGCCCATTCACTTTCACTTCCCTTGAACAAAATGGGAAGGGATAAGTAGACTGATACAGATGGTTGTCAGTGTGGTGATGACTGCAACTGAGTCTGGGTCTACAAAAATATTCCACTTGCTAAACTTTCTGTAGGAAATGCTGCCTGTGTCTGATATGCCAAAAGCAATTGGACTTGAAGTATATTTTTAGAAATCGATTATTTTAGCTTATTTCTGAAAGCAGACTAGCTGCTACAATGGAATACACATTAAACAATCCATTAATGACCTCAAATGTAGAGCCAGCTGAATTGAAAATGGGAAACAAAACCCTGCCCAGGGATAGTCATTTTTTCAGAGACCAACCAGAGAGTCAGAGGCTCTTACAATTACTTGGTTCTGCTCTCCAACCTCCATGGGGCAGAACTGAATTTCAAACTTTTCCCCAAGGCTATTTTCATACCCATTGCCTACATATCTCCAAGAAAAGGATGTTCACAGCTCTCACTGGGAAGTGCTTCTGGAGTCTCAGGATACTTCTGGGCATGCAAATTTAATTTGGGGCACCAGAAATCTCTCCCTTTTTATTTTCTCTGGTCTCAGCCTGTGAAGAAGTAGAGACTGATTGGTCATTGCAAGAAACACAGTGATAAGAACACAAGGTGGGGAAAGAGCAAGGGGCTGGAGCATGGAGTCCAATCCATTGAGTTTAATTTTTCTTTAATCCTTATGAAATTCTCACTGCAAACCTCTAGATCCTCTGTTATTACCCTCACGAGGATAGGATAATGTCTATCCCATGACTGTCTTGCTGGTTTTTATCAGTATTGGTTGCATTGTATTTTTCTTACCAATAAACATTGTTGAATGAATGTATAAATGAATAAATACCTTATTTTGCATTCTGACAGTACTATTTGTGACCACTCAAATTATAACCTTATTTTATCCTATTGCCTTAACATATTCATTTTCCCCTCTTGTCAGTACATTATTTGTTTTATGATGAACTTTGGGCAATGTACCCATGACCTTAAACATGCTATCTGTACACTATGGAATTTATTTTTGGATGAGAGATGGAAATAATCAAGTGATTGGCTGAATCATAAATCAGCAGTCTGGTACTCTAGTGTATCAGTCAGCTGCTGCTGTATAACAACCAATCACAAAACTTCAGCAGCATACAATAATGAACATTTACCAGTGCACAAGTCTGTGGGTTGATGGGGGGTGGTGTTGGGGTTGGCTGATCTAACTTGGATTCACTTGGGTGGCTCTGCTGATTTCTCTGGGCATATCCACAAGTCTGGGAACCAGCCAGCACACGTTTATTCTTTCAAGCCTCTACATATCATGTCCGCTAACCTCCCATTGGCCAAAGCAAGTCATAGAGCCAAGGTTAACTCCAATATGGTGGGAAAGTATATTTCCCCTAAGAAAGTAAAGGGATAGCTGTGCATGGTGGCTCACATGTGTAATCTCAGTGCTTTGGGAGGCCGAGGTGGGAGGATTGCTGGAGGCTAGGAGTTTGAGACCAGCTTGGGCAACACAACAAGATCCTGTCTCTACAAAAAATAAAAGATTAAAAAACAAAAAGAAAGTAAAGGGACAGAGTGAAAGTATCTGGAAAATAATTCAACTTATAACACCCTAGCAACACACAAACTGGCTCCTAGGTTTTTTTTTCCCACTTGTTGACTATAGAACTCAACTTCAATTTTCCAAAAATATCATACTCTTTCTAACCTTTGGATGAGTTGATAAATAACCACTGCTTCTAGCTCCTGTGTGCCCATCCATAACCCTGGCTTGTCCCTGGGTACCTTGGACCTCCCTAAAATCCAGCAACTGAGGAGTTTGAGCCAGGCAAATCAGGGAACCTCTAACACCTAACGGGAATGCAATCTGAGGTGTTGGTGCCCTCGTTAAATACATTAAATATGATACCTAACTCCAAGTGAGTTCCTACTCACTTCAGGGAATGGGGGAGGATGAGAAATAAGACTTTCAGAAGGGAAGAATCAAATTAAGGATTTAGTTTGAATCTTTGGATGACACAGGCCTCCAGAGAGACTCTTCTCTTTTCAGCCAGCATGAGAGAAGGGATTGTTGCCAGCCAGCAGAAGCAATCTCTTTGCGAACTTAGATGGCAGCAGACAGAATTGCCTCTTAGGTGAGGCGGGAGGAAGATGACCATCCAGAAAGACAACGTGGCTCACAGCTGGAAGCCAGTCTGGCCCTCACAGCTAGGCCATGATGCTGTCCAGTTGAACAGGACCCTCACATCAGACAAGGCTACTCTATGACCATGATGGGTCAGGAAATACAAGGTCACTCCATAATCTCATCCGAATGTGGGGAGAGACATGAACATTGTCCAAACCACCCAAATGACCAAACCTCCCACTTTCCCAACTGCTGCTTCTTTACTAATTATAGTTGTAGCCTTACTTCCTGCCTTCTGGACAAGATGTATCAAGATGCCTAATTAGGTAATGGCCTCTGCCTTCTGATAGCATCCAGCCAGAAGCAAAGCCCTGCTTTCTTGAATCCTTCCCTAAGTCACCTAACATAAGCCTGTGTTCTATAACGAGCTTTTTCTAACCTTTTACTGGGATGCTCATGGTCCCCCAGGATGTGTGTTCTTCCTGCTTGCAGTGAGTCAGTCAACCCAACCATAATTATCTACAAGTGATTTCCTGGTGAGTCTTTAGCTGGAAGACATTGACATCATTGTGGTTCTGTAATGTCCCCAAAACACATTCTTAGAGCCTTTAAACAAATAAAAGGTACAAAATTCCTTTCTCAAGCACCATGTGACTAGGAGATTTGTAAGGTAATGTCTTCTGGCCACTCAGAATCAGCAAAAATAAAGTTCACTGGCCACTGGCTTGTAATTGCAACTTAGGTACATAGAAGATTTGGAGATTTACTGACTCATCTAGGCTTGTATTTTTGGGAGTTGTAGGAAAGTAAAAGATATATTGATTGTTTTCTTACCTTTTTATCATTTCCATTATTTTAGCCAATAAATAATAGTGGAAATTAGACATATAAGAAACAAGTTTTGATTTCTTATGAGTGTTATAAAAAATAAAGATTAAACAATTAAAAAGTAATTACATTGTAACATTCTGCTAGGGGTTTGGTTTGCAAACAAATAAATCATCTTTTACTGTTTATGAAATATAGATTTAGTAAACAAAACACATAGTAGAAATTAATATTTGAAGTTTACCTATTTAGAAAAATAAATCTGATGTTAGTTTATGTAAAAACATTGTAGTAAAAATGGAAACAAATGAACCCAGGGAACTAGACTGATGCTTTGAAATGATCATTGTATAACACTTAACTAGTCATTAATGCTGAGCATTTGGGAGCAGCTACTTGTGTTAAAAATATTCTGATTATTTGAAAAATAATCAAGTTGTAGTTTATGGCATTTTGAAATGGAAAACACCTCAGCATGCCCTAATGTTGCAGATTGCAAATTGGGGCAGAGAAAGACTGGCAGGTGTGACACCCTGTTTTAATTCATTGATCTTTCCACTTTGCCAGTATGCAAACATTTTAGTGAGAAGGTGTGGTTCAGGAATCCACATGGACCTTTTCTTCGATTGGTCCAATGGCAAATCTTATTATATATTATTGTTTTAGATTTGATGATATAATTATGTAGTCTAGGTCATGTTTTCTCAACCTTGCCTCTCCTGATATCATGGGCTTGGTAGTTCTTTCTTGTAGGGATGGGGAAGGGCAGTGCTGTCCCATGAACTGGAGGACATCTAGCAGCATCCCTGGCCTCCACTCTGTAGATGCTAGGAACATCCCTCACCCCAGTTGTAACAACCAAAAATGTCTTCAGGCTTTGCCAAATGTCTCCAGAGGGGCACAAGTGCCCCCAACTGAAACTGACCCAGTAGTCCCATAGATAGTTTTTTTTTTCTTTATAAACAAAGAAATGGACCCTTATGGTCTTAAAGCTTGAAACTTGTATTTGTTGTATCTGAGATCCTTCAGGAAACAACCTTCAGATCTCTAAATATAGTATAAAAGAACTGAAACTCACCAGATCACTGCATTGTGAGATGCTGCACCCCTTATTCATCATGATTGCTTCCTTGCCCTTCCCTAGTTCCTGTTTCTCACACATTGTTACATTTCTTCTCTGCTATGTAAACTCCTAGTTTTAGTCAGGGAGATGGATTTCAGATTGATCTCCCATCTCTTTGGCTGTAGCACCCGATTAAATCCTTCTTCCTTGGCAATAATCGTCATCTCAGTGATTGGCTTTTGAGCAGTGAGCAAGTGAACAACAGGACCTAGATTGAACCCCTGGTATTTCTGTAACAGTATCTGCCTCAATTTGCAGACCAAATATAAAGAGAAGACAGAAATCATTTACTTCTCTCCTATTTAAGGTCTCATGTTTGCATACATGGTTTAGGATATGTCAATTCAAAGAAGTGTAATTTTTACATTTCTGCCTATTTCAGGTAGGGTTATACAATGTTGGCAATAAATAAACACATACATACCACATGGTTCATGGAAAGGGACTGGGGTCTGGAATTGGGAGGGGTCTGGTGGGCTCCCCTTCACGAGTCCCCATGTTGACTGGTCATATGCTCTTGAGAAAACCCTTTACCTCATGGACTCTGGTTATAGGTTCACAGAAGACAAGTGCTTTGGAGAAATATGCCATTTATATTAAGCAGGAAGGTGTCTCCTCTTGGGGATAGTTCACAAACATCTTCACTTATTACCATCCATTTTGCTTTCATTTCAGTTATTGCCTGATGCCTGATCCTATTTCCTATTAGGCTGAGTGAATGCTTCTATCTCTGATCCACACTCCTTTTTGTCTTGACCTTGACAAAGTTAAGGCACAGAAATTGCCATCTAAGGACTAAAATGTAAAAGCAGTTGGTGCACTGTTTCTTATGTGACAGGGGAATGTGATGGGGAATGGCTGGGGCCAGGTGGATGGAAGGCTGGCATGTCCTACTGCCCATGCAATGCCTTCATAGTTTCCTTCTGCTCCCGCATTCCAGAGTAGAGTTTCCACCATAGAGTGATCGGGTGGTTTGTGCTCTTCAGACACTGCTCCCATGGCCCAATATCCTGTGGTCTTTAGCCTGCCAAGTTATCACAAAGGACTTTTAGGGTTGCACACCGGGTTTGAAAACCATTCCTCTGGCAAGCCAGAGATAGAAAGCCTTTCTTGGCTTCCTTGGAGTTTCAAAACTAAAGTCATTATTTAGCACATATGAAGGCCAGTTACTTAACCTTCCTTGAAGAAACCACAGGCTTTACATCTCTGATTTAGGAAGGACAGTGGAGAAATGGCAGATATTTCAATGACAAGCCCTCTAAAGGAGGGATACGGATCATGTCCATGCTTCAAGACCCAGCCAGCTGTAACTGAATTTGTGTGACGGGGTTGACTGAGTGAGGGCCAGATCTGTCTATGGTGCATTTTCAGCTCCTCTGTGCTCCATGAACATTAGATTAATTAATCTTCACATTGTCCTTTTGAGGATAGACTAGTAAATGTGGATCTGAGAAGTACAGAATGTTCTATTGCTCAGTAAAACTCCGAGTTATGCAGATGTTCCGATAGGCAGGTCTTCCCCTTGACAACTTAAGGGCATAGAAATAATAATCCTGCAATTCTGGAGCTCAGAGAGAGGTCAGATGTTTCCATGGACAAACCCTGTCCAAGTGCCATTTGCTCCAAGTTGCTCTGCTGTGGATATTTCCATTGTTGCTTTAGTCACTGGTTTCCATGAAAGGCAACATTATAGATAAAATGGATCCATGCTGCCTGCAGAAAAACAAACACCTCAAAATCTCTTATGTTCCTTTTTTCAGGAGTGAGTCTCTATGTTGCACAAGGGCACCAATGCTTACAACGGTGCTCCTCCTTTTTCAGGCTGTGGGTTGTAACCTTTCTGGCTCTTTGGCCTTTAGTTTTGTGCCTGGACCCATTGTGGACCAGGATTCCAAGTCATTGATAAGATCCTAAGGGCAGAGTCGAGTTTCATACTTCTTTGACTCCATCACCATGCATAGTAGTCTTAAACATAGTTTGTTGTTAATCCGATACTTATATTTGATGGCACCATGCCATGCTCCTTTTGGAGTGAGTGAACCAAGAATTGCCACATTGTAAAGTTGTGTTTCCATGACAAATATGCTCACAGGGGCTCCATTCTTTGCCTCATGTGCTTTGTATTTCTTGTCTCAAGTCTGTCCTTGACCTTGTCCCACCCCAGAATTTCCATTGCACTTTGCATGGTGTGCAACAAAACCAAATAGGAGAGTCAGGAAGAAGTGTTAAAAGAAAAACTGTAGCTTAATTCAATTTAAGAGGGTTTAATTGTGCAAAGAATGATTCGTGAATTGGGCAGCCTCCCAAGCCAGAGTAGGCTCAGAGACTCCAGCACAGCCACGTGATGGAAGAAGATATATAGACAGAAAAAGGAAAGTGACGTACAGAAAACAGAAGTGAGGTATGGAAACAGCCAGATTGGTTAGAGCTAGACATTTGCCTTATTTGAACACGGTTTGAACAGTTGGTCACCTGTGATTGGCCAAAACTCGGTGATTGGCACAAGAGTAGGTTATAGTCTGTTTACACTTCCATTTAGGTTATAGTTCACGATTGTACAGAAAAACCTTTAGGCTGAACTTAAAATATGTAAGGAGGCAGCTTCGGGCTAAACTTGATTTAACAGAAGCAACTCAGAGCCCGAAGTACATATGGGAAAGAAGTTGGTTGGGACCATGAGGATCTTCTATAGACAACTTAGAATGAGCCATGAGTCTCTTCAGGTGATATTGGTGTTAGGATGTGCATTTTTATATTACAGAGGCTTACTTTTCAACGTGCACTCCTTCCCTGGGCGCTTGCTCAAAATGTCAATGCTTAGCCCCATCCCAGAACCAATGAGTCAGCATCTCAGGCATGAGCTCAGGAATCTGCCCCATCACAGGCTCTCCAGGGGTTTCTGATGCATGTCAACATTTGGGAAGCACTGCTCTATCTCCTGCTTTGTGAATCTGGGAAGAACTCTGCCCTTTAAAGGCCAGGCCTGTTCCCTCTGAGGACTCAGCTCCTTGGGCAGGGAGCAACTGTATCACCTAATGAAGGATTTCACTTCTAGTTCTCTTTTGTTCAGGTGATGTTGTGCTGAGATATATTCTCTTAAAATTGAAGAATGACCCAAATAAAACAAAAACCCTGCAATTTCATTGCATGAATCTGATTCATCTCTTAAAAAAAATACCCAAACTGTACTGCAGGAACTCGGCCTGACTGCACCATCGATTATCCTAGGAATAAACAAGCAGACTTTCCCTCCTATCCTAGCAACTTCCCGAGCAAAACAAGGAAGGAATGTGCCCAGAGGCTCTGTAGCAACCCGCGGTGCAAGTCCCAATTAGACTCAAGGCAGAAACAAATTCAGGAATGAAAACATACGTAAAGAACGAATAGATAAGAAAAATTTCTATGAGTTATGGTTTTTTGTTTGGGGGGCAGGGAGATGAATGTTTAAATTATTGGGGTGTTCCTCTAAGTCAAGGTTTCTCAGTTTCAGCATAATTGACGTCTGGGACCCCTAATTTATTTGCTGCAGGAGGATGGGGTGATCCTGTCCTGTGCACTGCAGGGTGTTTGGCAGCATCCCTGGCCTCTCCCCACTGGATGCCAGTAGCAACCCTCCCTCCCCAATTGTGACAACCAGAAATGTTTTCAGACATTGTCTCAGATCTCCCGGGAGACAAAATTGCCCCAAGTTGAGAACCACAAATTGTAAATAAATCTAGAACCCTTGTGATATTTGCTCAAAATGCTTCTTATATTTAATAGGGCCTGTAATCCCAGCTACTCGGGAGGCTGAGGCAGGAGAATCGCTTGAACCCGGGAGACGGAGGTTTCAGAGAGCCGAGTTCATGCCACTGCACTCCAGCCTGGGCGACAGAGTGAGACTCTGTCTCAAAAAAAAAAAATTTAATAGGAACACTACACTGCTTATTCCCATTAAGCCTGGCAAACTGACAGTGGCAAGGAAAGCCTTTGATAACCTAAGTTTAATGAGAGCTGCCTACAAGAGCTGAGGCCTGACCTCGGTGAGCTATTACAGGAAAAGTTTTTAAAAACAAAGCCGGCTTCTGTCAGTGGATGGGATGCATTTGAAAGGGGCAAGCAAAGGCTGTGTTCTGCAAATGCGGGCTGTGGCTGGGGGTGGGGGAGGGAGATGAAGCGGGCTAAGGTGGATGGGGAGGCGGAAGAAGGCTGCTGCCTGGACAGCTTGCTGGCCTGCAAAGATTTTCCATCTTACAGGCGTTCATGGGAGACATGAGAAGGTTCAAAAAGCCACCGTGAAGTTTGGCAGTCTTAATCCCTTTGTTTTCTCAGCTGGCTTAAGGGGGTACACTAAGTGTGACTGCAGCTAGCCCTTTATGAAGACCATAAACTCAGCCAAGTATGTTTGCAGGGCTGCAGTTGTGGAAGAAGACAAAGCATACGCGATCTGTTGTTTCAGCTTCTTTTTGAGATTCTTGCTGTCGAGTTTTTTATAAGACAGAAATTTTGAAAACAATCCCACCAGTTAAATAGAGGCTGAATTCTCACAGTGAGTCCCTTGCATGATTTGAAAATATTGTTTGAATATTATTATAGCTATGCTTGTGGTCCTTCAGTTAAGCATCAGGCTTTTTTACGCTCTATAAGTGAAGGTTACACTTAGCGGTATGAGTCCTTCACCTAGAAAACCATGGCCAAAAAAAAAAAAAAAAGCTGCAGCAGATTTTTGTTACATTCTGCAAATGGTGAGCATGTAATAAGGCTCCTGCTGGCTATGAAGAAGAGCTTGGTATGCTGCTGAGTGGAATGGAGCCACCGAGGCCAGGAGGGCCGCCTGTGAGCACTGAAGGGCCTGCTGTGTGCCAGGAGCTTCCATCTGCCTCATTCATTGTCTCTCAGGACAATCCTGGAATGTACTTTGCAGAAAAGGAAACCCAACTGTAGAAAAATTAACTTCTCCATGCTCACCTCACTTATACGTAGTAACTAGGATTTCAATCCAATTTGCTTAAACTCAGAGATTTTTACTGCATTTTGCTCTCAGCAGTGTGGGAACACCTGGCCCTCGGCTCCCAGAGTAATCTGATTTCCCAACACCAACAGAGTTCTTTTTCTTTTCTTTTTTAAAAAATGGGGTAAAATACACATAAAGTTGACCATTTTAAGCATACGAGTTTCCGGCTCAGTGGCATTAAGTACATTCACAAGATTATTCCTCTGTCTAGTTCCGGGGCATTTTCATCATCCGGAAATGAAATCCTTATCCACTAATCAGTCACTGCCCTTTTCCTCCTCCGGCAGCTCCCGGTTACTACTCATGTGCTTTCTGTGTCTATGCATTTACCTATTCTGGACATTTCATATCAATGGAATCATACAACGTGTGGCCTTTTGTGTCTGACTCCATTCACGGAGCATGATGTTTTCAAGCTTCATCCATGTCATAGCATGTGTCAGTCCTTTATTCCTTTTCTGGCTGAATAATGTTTCATTGTCTGGGTAGACCACATACTGTTTATTCATGTGTAGATGGACATTCTGCTGTTGCATATGTGAGTGTGACAGAGTATGTGTGCATGCGTGTGCATCCAGATGTGTGTGCATGTATGAGTGTGTTTGAGGGCATGTATCTGCATGGGTGTGCATGTGTGTGCATGTGTATGTGTATGTGTGTGTGTGTATGTACACATGTATTTATTCTTTTGTTCTGTCTACAGACTCCACTCAGTCTCAGTATTCTCTGCTCCCTCATTCCTTCCATCTCTCTGATCTTCTATTGCACAGTAGCATCCCTGTTAGACTTTCTCGGATGCTCTGATGTGCAGCTTGCCTGTCTTCTGCCCTGTGGTACCCTCTACAAATGTTCTAGGCTGCAGCCTTCTCTTCTCAGTTGTGTGAGTAAACATTCCTTCATTTTCTCTCTGTCTTTAGACCATTGGTTCTTCACGAGGGTGATGGTGCCCCCAGGAGCTACTTGATAATGTCTGGAAGAGATTTGGGGTTGTTGTAGTTGGGGGTGAGGGAAGATGCTACTGGCATCGAGTGGACAGGGACCAAGTGTGCTGCTAAACACATATTACAGAGATGCTGCCCTCATAATCTAGAATTATTCAAATGTCAAGAGCGCTGGGATTAGGAAACTTTGACGTAGAATTTTGTTGGAATTGCATATCTGTCAATAGCTTTACACCATAACATTTTTGTTGTCATGGATTTGTTATTTTGATCACCCATTTACCATCAATTTGAGAAGTCTTAAGAGAGAAACGATGTAAAATATGCGCTAAGTCTGCTTTCTTGAATGGGAAGCCTGTGAGCTATATTGTTACTTATTTCAGTTCATATTTCCAAAAAGGGGCATGGAGTTCTGCAAGATTATAAATAATCTAATATCTCTGTCTTAAATATATGCAATGAACCAAATAGGACTTTATAAATTCTTATTTTTCACTCTTTCTTATTTTCATTCACATTATCATTCTTCTGTACACATTAGAAGGTAAGAATTTGGGGGTATGGAATTTTGTGTATGGAAATATGTCAGACATAAAATTCAGTCGTACTCCAATGCACCAATGCCATCCCAAGAAAAAATAGTTGTTTATAAAAATGTGCATGAACTAGGCAGCAGTATATTCCTTCCAAACAACATTTTTGTGAAACTTTTTTTTTCCAGTGCCACAAAGAAACTTGGACATTATCTCAAAGCATTTGTAACAAGAAGCATTTGACCTTTCATTTCCTTTTTAATTGCCAAGATATTGTTTTCCTTTTACATTATTCCACAGAGATAAACTTAGTGCTACCCTTCGCGCGTGAGCCTCTCACTCCACCTTACATTCAGGGCTCCAAATAGTATCACCATGAGCATAGCTGATTTCCAAGCGCTTCCTCGTCATGGTTTCTGATAGGGAAATTCCCTCTGTGCTTCCTCCTATTGGGAACATCTGTTTTGTGTCTCTCTGGTGTTTGGTGACATAACATAATAAGATGGCAGGAGGCAGAAAAAAAAAACAACATGTTGCAATAAAAATGTCCTAAAAAGACACTTAGTTCTATTTATTGCTTCACAGAACATGCAGGAAGAGAAGTTAGAATGAGTGCTAGCATGGAAAGTCAGAGGAAGACGTCCTGTGGCTCAATTATGATTTGGATTTGGTTTTGTGTGGTGTAAGGCGCTGAGCAGGACACCAAGCGGAGGAGTGTAGCCCGGGGGTGTTTCCTCACGCAGGTCAATTGCTTTATTTCCGTTTAGGAGTCACAGAAGTGAAGTCCAAGCCCCAGTGTGTGGCTCTTGTCAGGCAAATCGGATGCATGGGTAGAAGTTCATCGTTAGGATCAGAGAAGCAAAGCAAGTGCTCATTCTGATCAAAGGGTATGCCGCCGACAGGCATGAATGAAACCGAGCTACCATCTATTAAAATGCCCGGAAACCACGGATGTGTCTTAATAAGTCAGCTTTGGTCGTTTGACAACAGCGGAGGCAGGTTTGTGAATTGTTTGCCAACAGGGACACTTTAGGTGAGTGCTTTGGAAGAAAACTTGATCTTCAGAGAAGATCTTTACTGCCATAGGTAAAAAGTAGCGCACAGAAATGGATAGCAAGTCAGAAATGGTTTTCTGAGTTTCTGAGGTTATCTGGGATTTTTTTTAGAGTTAGGAGAAAAGCCTCCTTTCTTCCCAAAATACCTGGACCTACCTGGAAATGTGAGACTGGCATGAGGCTATTTTGGCTTAATTTTTTCAGAGAATGAGCCTGAGGTAGGACATTTTATTGCGGAGAGTAACCCCCATGGGCAGGAACCACGGACAAGGTGGGTTGGGCAGGAAGAGAGGAGGATCTAATTCAGGAGCGATTTACCCAATGGGTCACTACCATGGGCTACTGGTTACTCCATTCAATGACACTGTCTCTGAAGGGTAGGAATGTTTTTCAGACCAGCCAGCCAGGGTGAGGAAGGGAGAGCATCTGTCACCTGGCTCCAAACCCCTCTGGTCAAACATTCGCCCTCAGCAGGCAACTATTCCCCTGCATCGCGGAGTGTGCAGTCAGCTGACACCCATGACCCCAGCAGAGATGCCCTTAGGGAGAAGGAAGGCAGGAGGCTCCCGGCATGAATCTGACAGGTATCAGGGTGCAGCTGCATGGAGCTTCTCAGAGCCTGTGCAGAGCTGGGTGATGGCACAGGAGACCAGAGAGGCCAAAAGCTTCTGAAGAGCTGTGTAAGAGACATCCTACCCAAAGACACAAGTGCTCAGCTTTATTCATCACTTGGGGGACCTGGAGCTCTTAGATCAGGCATGAATCTAATAGTCAAGCAGGGACCATAAGGGCAATATGAACAGAAATAAGCATTAGCTCTTTCATAGTTACAGAAAAATCTTGTATCATTTTATCTTACCAAGTTTTAAAATAATATATTTGTTTTCTAGAATATGCTCTAGGAATTACAAAAACCATGGATTAATGTTTCCAGAATGGTCTTCTCCATGCTGTGCATAAGGGACAGATTTCCTTTTGCCACTATGAGGCTAGGAGTGGACACCAGGCTGACATGATGCATCCCAGGGCTCCTTGACCTATGCCCTGGGCTCTGTTTTGTAGAGAATCATGTGCGTTCTGCAATGCACATTTGGTTTTACATTTTAAAAGTGGTAGAGCTAGTTAGTATTAGAGCTTTTTACTTTTTCATATATATATATATATATATATATATATATATTTTTTTTTTTTTTTTTTTTTTTTTTTTTTGAGACAGGGTCTTGTTCTGTCCCCAAGGCTAGAGTACAGTGGTGCAAGCATGGCTCACTGTAGCCTTGACCTCCTGGGCTCAAGCAATCCTCCTGCCTCAGCCTCCTGAGTAGCTGGGACTACAGGTGCATGCCACCACACCTGGTTAATTTTTTATTTCCTCTTTTGTAGTGATGGGGGGTCTCACTATGTTGCCCAGGTTGGTCTTGAACTCCTGGAATCAAGCAGTCCTCCCACCTCAGCCTCCCAAAGTACTGGGATTACATGTATGAGCCACCACACCTGGCCCTCATTTTAGTACCTTTAAATTATAAAATATGTGTGTGTGTGTGTGTATGTATGTATATACATTGAAAGAGAATTAAGAACAAATTTTTCAGAATTGCATATAAAGACTGTGGATCTATACAGCAAACTTCTGTACCCAGCTGATGGAAGGAACACATGTTAGCATTTTTACATATTTTCATAAGATTTAAGAAATTCTGCTTCAGTTCCTCCATCCTGCTTCTCCTGAGTTAAGCATTATCCTGAAGATTATATGTCAGTGCCCGTTTGTATTTTACACATGTATATGTGCTCAAAGCAACACGGATTTTATGGAAGTGCTGGATATATCATTTTGTGGTTTAGCTATGTTCACCTAAAAATATATTATTGATTGGGAGGCTGAGGCGGGCAGATCACGAGGTCAGGAGATCAAGACCATCCTGGCTAACACGGTGAAACCCTAGCTAACACGGTGAAACCCCGTCTCTACTAAAAAATACGAAAAAAAAATTAGCCGGGCGTGGTGGCGGGCGTCTGTAATCCCAGCTACTGAGGAGGCTGAGGCAGGAGAATGGCGTGAACCCAGGAGGCAGAGCTTGCAGTGATCCGAGATCGTGCCACTGCACTCCAGCCTGGGCGACAGAGCAAGACTCCATCTCAAAAAAAAAAAAAAAAAAAAAAAATATATATATATATATATATACATACACATATATATGAATATATATGTATATATATATGTGTATATATGTATATGTGTGTATATATGTATATATGTGTATATATGTATAAATGTGTATATATATATATGTGTGTATATATATATTATTGAAAATTTTTTTTTTTTTGAGACAGAGTCTCGCTCTATCTCCTAGGTTGGAGTGCAGTCGCGTGATCTCAGCTCGCTGCAACCTCCACCTCCCGGGTTCAAGTGATTCTCATGCCTCAGCCTTCTGAGTAGCTGGGCTGACCTTTGTATTTCATTTTGTATTTCGAGTAGAGATGGGGTTTTGCCATGTTGGCAAGGCTGGTCTCGAACTCCTGACCTCAGGTGATCTGCCCGCCTCAGCCTCCCAGCGTGCTGGGATTACAGGCATGAGCCACTGTGCCTGGCCTATTATTGAAATTTATCTGTGTGGATACCTGCTGTTTTAATTTATTTATTCTGTTCTTTGGCAGCCTGTTGTATAACCACTTCAAAATTTTATTTACCCATTTCTCAAGAACTGAGGAGGGTCTAAGATTTTACCCTACTTTCATGTGAGGAGTTTTGCCAGCCACAGTACCTTGGATACTGACAGCAATCATGAGACTCTTGGATCAGACAATGGACTCTGTTACTCACGTCACAGTGAACAGCAGGAGCTTCATGTTTTTACCAGTTCTCTTTGTGCCTGGAATTCCATGGAGGTGATGTGGAGGAGTCCACGTGTTTGCTACACATGCAGTCAGTTGGTGTCATAGCAGAGGAACCCTGAAGTTAGAAAACTCAAATCTTTTACAATGGTCAGTAAGCCAGTCTGCTTAAACTTTGCTCCAGAGGGAGACACTATTACTATCTTCTGAGGCTGTTCACCATACAAATACTCTTGAAAAGATCATCCAGAACAAAAGCTGCCAGTGCCTCTGCTGAAAAAATGTGCAGACATCTGAGAGAGCCTCATGGAGAATTGTCTCCTATCCCAATACAGTAATTGGCACACGTCTAGTTTGTTTGCAATTTTCCCCATTACAGAAAGTGTTTAATGGACATTTTTCTGTATGTTTCCTGGCAAGAGTTTTTCTGTGATGTGTACCTAGGAATGGAAGTGCTGAGCTCTGTGTATACGGCCCTTCCTCATGGTTCTAACTACTAGAGCTTTATAGTAAGTCTTGGTATGTGGTAAGACATGCCCTTCCTCCCTCTTTTCAAAGTGTCCCCAAAAGGCTATACCTAGGTCTTTATTCTTCCTTAAGAATTTTTCAACTGCATTAGATGTTGCCACCTTATCTTCCAAAGCTGTTGTTGCAGTTTGTCTTTCTCCCAGTGATATATAAGAAGCCCATTAATTCATAATTGCCAAAACTTGTAAGAAACCAATATGTCCTTCAGTGGGTAAGTAGATAAACAAACTGTGGCACACTGGGACAATGGACTATTATTTAGCAGTATAAAGAAATGAGCTATCAAGCCACCAAAAGACATAAGAGGAAACTTAAATGCATATTGCTAAGTGAAAGAAGCTGGCCTGAAAAGGCTACATACTGTATAATTCCAAAGATATGTCATTCTGGAAAAAGGAAAACTATAGAGACAGTAAAAGGATCAGTGATTACCAGGGTTTCAGGGGGAAAAAGGGAGCAACAGTCTGGACACAGGGAGTTTTCAGTGCAGTGAACTTATTCTGCGTGATATTGTAATGGTGGACCCAAGTTATTATACATTTGTCAAAACTCATAAAAACTATAACACAAAGAGTGAACTTCAATGCAAACTATGGACTTTAGTTAATAAATTTCTTAATGTTAATTCATCAGTTGTAACAAAAGTACCAAAATGTTGACTGTGGAGGTGGTGGAAGGTAACAGATGGGAAGTCCATACTTTCTGTAGCTTTTCTGTTAATCCAAAACTGCTGTGATAACGTCTGTTTAAAAAGTTCATTTCTTCATCTTTGCCAGTGTTTTGAATGCCAAACATTTGCATCTTCACATATTTGATGGGTGTGAAGTAAAACTGTATTGCTTTAATTTTTATTTGACTGATGGCCCTTGGGGCATACTTTTTTCATATCCTTTATTTTTTTCTGTCATATTTTTTTCTTCTGGATTTTTAGTACTTTTTTTATGTTTTGCATTTCACCTTTAGGAATTTAATCTGATTAGAATTTATTTTTGTGCCTGGGGTATGGTTAGGTAGATAGATAGTTGATAGAAAATAAATAAATGATACATAGATGACAGATGATAGATAAGCAACAGATGATTGCTAGATGATTGAGAGATGATAGATAGATGATAGATAATAGAAGATTGATAGATGATGAGAGATATTTGAATCTATGTAAATGAACACCAATTTATATATTTTTTTAACTTGTATTTTAAGTTAAGGGGTATATGTACAGGTTGGTTACATAGGTAAACTTGTGTCGTGGGGGTTTGTTATACAGATTATTTCATCATCCAGGTATTAAGCCTAGTACCCATCAGTCATTTTTCCTGATCCTCTGCCTCCTCCCACCTTCCACTCTCCAATAGGCTCCAGTGTCTGCTGTTTCCTTCTATGTGCCCATGTGTTCTCATCATTTAGCTCCCACTTATAAGTGAGAATATGCGGTATTTGGTTTTCTGTTCCTGCATTAGTTTGCTAAGGATAATGGCTGCCAGCTCCATCCATGTCCCTGCAAAGGACATGATCTTGTTCTTTTTTATGGCTGCATAGTATTCTGTGGTGTATATGTACCATATTTTCTTTATCCAGTCTATCACTGTTGGGCATTTAGGTTGATTCCATGTCTTTGCTATTGTGAATAGTGCATGAACAGCAATTTATAAATTTCCTGGTGTAACTGTACACACTGTCAGGTTTTGTTTATCTATCTCTATCCCCCTTTCTCATGGTTCTAACTACTAGGGCTTTATAATATTTCTTGGTATGTGGTAAGCCGTGTCCTTCCTCTCTTCAAATTGTCTCCAAAAGGTTATGCCTAGATCTTTATTCTTCATTAAAAATTTTAATATAAATTTGTCAAGTTTTATTAAACTCTGCTGGGTTTTTGTGAAATTCATTGAATTTGTAGATTCATTTTGAGGAAAATGTCATCTTTACCATATTGAATTACCTTCCCATCACATCAGATCCAGTTTTTTTAAAAACTGGATTTAAAAAAAGTTCTTGTACTTTATTTATTTATTTATTTATTTATTTATTTTTTGAGATGGAGTCTCACTCTGTCGCCCAGGCTGGAGTGCAGTGGTGTGATCTCGGCTCACTGCAGGCTCTGCCCCCTGGGTTCACGCCATTCTCCTGCCTCAGCCTCCCGAGTAGCTGGGACTATAGGCGCCCGCCACTGCGCCCAGCTAATTTTTTGTATTTTTAGTAGAGACAGGGTTTCACCGTGTTAGTCAGGATGGTCTCGATCTCCTGACCTCATGATCCATCCGCCTCGGCCTCCCAAAGTGCTGGGATTACAGGCGTGAGCCACCGCGCCCGGCTGTTCTTGTACTTTAAAATTTTATTTTCTCAATTAACATACAGTGAAATTTACTTTTTAATGCACACAGCTCTATTAATTTTATACATGTAGCCACCAGTCAAATGAGGATATAGAACAGTTCTGCCAGCCCTGAAACTCTTGAATGCTATTCCTTTGTAGTTACGTCCTCTCCATCCCAACTCCTGCAATGGCTGATCTGTCTTCCAGCGCTACAGTTTTTTCTTGGAGAATGTCATATAAATGAACTTGTGTTAAGACTGGCTTCTTTAGCTCATAATGCCTTTGAAATTCACCCAAGTTGTATCAATAGTTCATTTCATGTGATTGGTGAATAGCACTCTGTTGTATAGATAGGCCACATTTTGTTTATTTATTCACCAAGATGAAGGAGATTTTTGTTGTTTCTTGGTTTGGGTGATTATGCTTAGACCTGCTCTATACATGCATATACAGAAGTTTTCATTTCTCTAGGGGTATAACCCAGGAGTGAGATTGCAGGATCTTCTCTTATGTCCATACCATAATCTCCGTATAGATCTTGTACCTTCTTTATGTGATTTGTGACTAGGTAACTTACACTCTTTGTTGCTATTGTGAATGGGATTATTAACATATTTTTTCTGGTTGATTGTGGCTGGAACCCTGTTGATGTTTGTTTAGTGACCTTGTATCCAAAAATCTTGCCAAACTCTCTTATTAGTTCCAAGAGCTTCTTTGTAGATTCAGTTAGAATTTTTGTGATTTGACAGTCATCTTGTCTGAAAATTATGAAGATGTGAAGTCTTTTATTAAAACTATGTGTGTGTTCTGATTCCCAGAACAATGGTGAGTAGAAAAGGTGACAGAAGGTATCCTTAGCTTATTTTTTCTTGAGCAAGTTAGAGTGGGTCAGTGGTCACAACTTCCATGTGTGTGTCCTTCTCTTTTGCTTTCTTTCCCTTTTCCTTTCCACTCAGATCAAGTCCTCTGGACTAAGGAGCGGGCAGTAGAGTTAATTTATCTGTTGTCTGTTCTCACCACTGTACAGGGCAAGGTCTTCTGTGGGACCCATTAGATTTCTCTTAGAATGAGAACAAAAGGCCAGGTGTGAGTTCCTAGTGTCACAGTGACGTGAAGGCGTGCACGAAAGGTTTGGTGTCTGATACCTATTTTCTTCCCTAGTCCCAGTGTGCGCCTAAAAATCAGCCCGGGAGGCCTCCACAGCTTCTGAGGTCTTCCACGTTTCCAGGTGATTTGAGATACTACAAGCAAGCCGGTTCTTTTGTTGCTTTCAATGGGAGGTTGACTTTAGCCTGTATTATTGGAAACTGGAGCTCCTCCATTCCTCGATGGAGTTTTTCATGCCAATGAAGCTATGTACGTTTCTGTGTGTGGGCATGCGTGCGCATTTCTAGAATTCTGTGTAGTGTTTCTCTAAATAGTTCTTTTCTTAAAAAAAGAATACCTTGTTATTGCACTGTGGTTTCTATCCTTTCTCTTTCCTCTTCCCTCCTTTTTAGAAGCTTATTGTGTTGTCTTTTTTAGGTGGCATGATGATTCCCAGTCCTCGGCTGCTCATTCTCCCTGCTTGTCATGTTTGTGTGCTCTCTCAGCTCCTTTTGTGCTTGCCTTCTTTCTTCTTTCTTTTGCTCCTGCTGGTCCCCCTTGAGTTTTTAATGTTAATTTCTTGGTTTCAGGTTCCAAACGAAATGAACAAAGCTGGGGGCCTGTACCCTCAACATAGCACGATGCCAGATTTTCTATGTCATATGAAGCCTCTTTGCTTCCACCTGTGTCACCCAGGCCCTGGGGATTTGAAAAGCCTCCGTGTCCCTGGGCCAGTGGATAGTTCTTCCCATCTCTATTTCATGGGTGGGTAACACATGTGGACTTCTGGATTTCCCTGAGACCAGTACTAGCTTAGTCACTTTGTATAGGCCCAAGGCCATGCCTCCTGTCTTCTTGCGAGCACCGAGACCCCAGTCCACAGATCCGATCATACAAGTCACACACTCCACTGTGGTCTTGTTACTGTCTGCCACTTATGACTCTACTTTGATCGCTTCTTTGTGTCTGGTACCTAGGACATTCCCCACCCAGTCTGCCCTCTGCCCCAAGCTGGAATATGCATATATTTTGTCCAGTTTTGCAAAGTCTTTGCAGAACGAGTAGGGTCTGTCTGTGTCAGCTTAGTCTGCCGTATTGCCTAGAATTCCCTTTTGCCTTACCAAGTGGCTCAGCAGCTATTTTAGTGACGGGGCAATGGCTATATCATAAATGAGGATAACAATGGAAAAAATACGACTGTCTCCTTAATAGCTTCCTCCTGGTCTTTCAAATCCCTTGGGAAGAGAAATGGGATGTAAATAAACACCAATTTCCCCTTATAGTTTGCTCAGGCAATGTGGACACTGTGCCAATTTGGTGCTAAATAGACATTTTCGCTAATGAAATAAATTTCTACTTCACTTTAGAGGAAGTTTGCTCTTCAAGGACGCTGAACTACTTTCATTCTTAATAAATGTATTTGTTTGCAGATACTGTCATCGCCCGAGCTTAAGCCTCTTTTGGTTAATGGGCCCCACATGCCTCTTGGGTTTCTAAGCCCTGCCTGGGGATTTAGCTCTTATCATGATTAGTGTTAGTTTAATATTTGGAAATGAAAGCACATTCATTTCAATTATCTATGCAAAATATTTTCTCTTTATTTTGAGTATCTTTCTCATTTCCTTGTACATGACATCTCTATCTTCAACACTGTTTGTTATATGGATATCTTAAAGACTTCGGCACATTCTGGGCTGGCTCTTTCTTTAAAGCAATGAGTCACCGAGTCTCCATCACAGAGCCATTTGGCAAGATTGTACTATATAAATATCTATTTTAGAGTTTTGTCTAGTAGTGTAATAAATAGAAGAACATTTTTAGATTTTGGTCAGGAAACAATATACTTTATAAAGATTTATTTTCTGGAATTTCATAGGTTTCAATGCTTTGAACATTTGATATCTAGATCCATACATTGATGTTCATACTCAGTTTTACAACTTGACTTATGTTTTGGTATATCCTTTTTTTTTTTTGAGACCGGGTCTCACTCTGTCGTCCAGGCTGGAGTGCAGTGGCACAGTCTCAGCTCACTGCACCCTCTGCCTCCAGGACACTTTCACATAAATTTCATCTCATCCAAGGATGATAAAGAAGAACCTTGAATGAAATGAAGTTCATCTTGAGTTAGAGCCTCCCAAAACTTGAACCAATTTTCCTTTGCTACCAATGTCTGGTAATAAGTTTGGGGCTTTAAAAACTGTAATAACTTTCTCAGGCCGAGAAAGGTAGTAAATCTAGTGCAAATCCATTTAAAGGTTCTGGGCAAGACATGCTTAAGAATCCAAAAATGGATGATGAAGTAGCTATAGTGGCTGAAATTAGATGGTATTTCGGGTACTAAAAATACACACATAGATGTGGAATAATTAAACATAAGTACAATATTACAACATAGCAGACAACTGGAAGTCTAAATTAATATCAATTAGATAAGAATAAGTTTAAATATGTGAAAAAATACAGTGCCATATAATATAACTCTGAAAAGGACAAAAATGGGAATTCCTTAGTTATATAAAATGGGATACTGAAGAACAAACAAAAATGGAATCAGAGCAATGGATAAAAGAAATGCAAATCTCTAAAAATTTATACAGAAATATAAATATTGAGAGAAAATAAACTTCTTTTTCCCGAAAAGCGATTTAAAAGCAATCTTCCTGATTGGTCACCTACACATTAAAGATACCGTAAGATATTGTTGCTCAATGTGTCAACTTGTGTCCTGGAAATTCTCAGACAGGTAAAATCACTCTCGGAAAGAGAGTGTATGGCTGGAAGGTGGGTTTGCACTTCATAAAAAACACAAAGGCCTGAAGGAAGTCTCAACATCATATGCATGTTGAGGAGACAGAAGGGGACATTCCAGGAAAGGAAAGTGGTGAGAGTCAAGGGGTGGGGGCGGGGATGGTCTGCATAATCCCTGCATGAAGCATTGCACCAGGAGGTTTTTGTAAGACTCCTTTCTGGAAGCTAAAAAGAGGTCTGGCAAAGAATAAAAAATTGAGGAGAGGACCGAGGAACTCTTTTGAAGTATATGAGCTATCTGTTGCTGTGTGACAAATGGCCCCCACTTTAGAGGCTTTATCTCAAGTTTTTCTGTCAGGAATCTGGCGGTCATTTAGCTGGGTCCTCAGCATCTGAAGATGTTGGCCAGGACTGTGGTCATCTTTAGACTTGACTGTGGAAGGATCTGCTTCCAAGCTCACGCACGTGTTATTGGCAGGATTCCTTTGCTTGCAGGCTTATTGGCTCGAGGGCCTCAGTTCCTTGTTGGTTGTTGTCCCAAGGCTGCCTTCGGTTCCTTGCCATATGGGCTTCTCTACAGGGCAGCTCACAACCAGAGGCCTAGGATAGAAATAAACGAAACTACCATGTGAAAAGAAACAGCAAGGAAACTTTCATGTCTCAATCATAGCACTAGGTAGAGGGAGGGGAAAAAGATTTTGAACCGCAAGCAGATTTATATTCTGAGTTGACACCACCCATGTGGTCTAAAATCTCATGAAGAAATTTTAATTTAAAATGCTCTTAGTCTATCCCAACAGTGATCAAAAGACATTATTGATTGTAAAATGCAAACTGATTTAAGAGACGTTAAAATGCTTTTTACAGTTACCTTATATTTAATAAAATGTGATCAAAGTTTTGCTATGAAAAAGAGATATAATTTACATACCATACTATTCACCCATTTAATTTGTACAATTCAATGGTTATTAGTATATTTGCAGATTTATGCAACCATCACTACAATACATTTTAAAACATTTTTGTTACCTTCAAAAGAAACTTCATATCTTTTCATTTTTATATTTATTTATTTTTTAAATTTTATTTTATCTTATAAAGCTTACAGCACCCAGCATTCTCAGGTGGTCTCCCATCCAAGTTCTAACTAGGCCCAACCCTGCTTAGTTTCCAAGATCAATTGGGATCAGGCATGTTCAGGGTGGTCTGGCTGTAGATAGACACTTCATATATTTTTAGTTATTACCCCCCAACCCCTAGCCCTCGGACCCCCATCCCAGCCCTCAGCAACAATGAATCTGCTTTATGTATTTATAGATTGGTTACAGACATTTACAACTGATGTTAGAAGTCACATTGCTTTTGTCATATTCATTGCTTAAAAGTGAGTCATTAGGTCCAGCCCACAGACAGGCAGAGAGGCTTCTACAGGGAGGTGGGATTCTTGGAAGCTGCTTTAGAAGCAGCCTACCATAGGAGGGAACCAGGAATGTGTCAGGAGCCTTGAGTAGATTTAATGTCCTTGCTTTTAAATTGAGAGCCCATGAATACTTGGAAGGAAAAGCTTCCCAAATGGTCAGGCCTCCTACTGAGAACTTGTTAAGAGGCTGAGACCATCTTATCTCTTGATAGTTATGCATATATGAGGGCAGAGAGACCATAAGGGATGAAAGGATGACATGGCTTCATTCTCTGCAGCTCATAAGGCTGTCTTGTGAACAAGGCAAAATGTAACAAACCTGCACGTTGTGCACATGTACCCTAAAACTTAAAGTATAATAATAATAAAAAAATGAGATACGGCAAGACACAGGAAGGGAGATGATATGGTTTGGATGTGTGTCCCCTCCAAGTCTTATGTTGAAATACGATCCCCAATGCTAGAGGTGGTGGAGCCTGGTTGGAGGTGGTCATGGGGGTGGATCCCTCATGAAAGAGTTGGCGTCCTCTTCATAGTAATGAGTGAGTTCTTGCTCTGAGTTCGTGTGAGATCTGATTGTTTAGAAGTGTGTGGCACCTTCTCCCCTACCTTGCTCCTGCTTTCACCATGTGACACGTCTGCTCTCCTGCCTTCCGCCATGATTGGAAGCTTCCTGAGGCCCTCACCAGAAACAGGTGCCAGCACCACACTTCCTGTACAGCCTGCAGAACTGTGAGCCAAAATAAACCTCTTTTCCTTATAAATTACCCAGTCTCAGGTGTTTCTTTATAGCAGTGCACCTGGACAGACAGAGGGAGATCCTCTTGAGCGTATCCTGTGCTGCATCTGCCTTTCCCCTCTGGGTGTGCTCTGGTTAGCCAGAATAACTTGGAATTTTCCAGGCCCTTAGAACTGACCTCTGCAAGACAGAAGTCTTGTGTCCAGGGCAGGTGACCTTTGACTTTTAGCTTTTTAAATATAGACATTGCATACTAATGAGGACAGCCTGGTGTTGTGATAATTTAGTTTTTCCCTGAGTGCTTCCAGAATCTAGTTCCATGAAATTCTCAGTGAAATCATTGTCCACCCTTAGATATTCAAAATACATGCTGACATCTGGAAGGATTACAGTAATGAAACTTGCTTAACTTCATTTGACTGGACACTTTCCACACATATCTGACCATGAGACACCCGCCCCCCCCACACACACCCATTTATCCATCTGTTCGCATTGTAGGGCACAGGCAATGTCCACTGCTGTAACTCTCTGTAGACTGTGGATTCTCCCTGTTGGCTCTTGTTAATACTGTGCCTTAAGGCCATTAGAACTATTGATGTTTGTCACATGAAAGCTGTTAAGCCAGGGATTCCTCATAGTGTACTTCCTTGGTGGAGTTCTGAGCCTATATAGAGGAGTTTACTTCGATCTCTGTTAAATAGTATTGAGTTAAAGGTCAACTGTATGCGAGGCAGCATATGATATGAAAGCTCAATTGATTTTACTGCTGCCAACTGGCTAAGCTTGTAGGGATGATATTGAATCTCCAGGCCGTGATTTATTTTATGGACCATTGTTCCCAAAATAGGCAATCCACAAACATTCCAAAACATCCGTTTTAGTATTGAGTGGGCCAGTGCTGAGTGCACAGTCCTTCCTCTCACTGCAAAATGCCATTCTTCAGATTAATATCCATCCCACTTTATAGCTGACCCACTTCTAGGTAAAGCAGTTAAAAAAACAGCGAGCACTTTACTTCAGATAATATTTCTTCACTTTCCCCACAAAGAGCACCTGTGTGAGTTATCTTACAGTCAATGGGGATCACGTTTTCAGTATTTTCTCAGCTATCTACTGAAGGCTGCATCAAGAAAGAACTGGGTTAGACTGAAGGGAATTGTTTTAGTGAATCAGCATTAGCTCCTGGTAATCAATATAACATTCCCTAGGAGCTTGAAAAAAAATTTGTCTAATGTATTTTAGAATTCACAACTAAACCGTGAGTCTTTGGTTTGGAGTCTACTTCTTTGCCTTATTTTCAAGTTGGTGGCAACTCCAGACTTGAGGAGATGTGCCTGTATTTCGGGATGACTAGGAGTGGTTCTCTGCAGTTTTTGGGTACAGCCTTTCAGTGAACTTGAATGGATCTAGAATTCTCACCTGCATCTAGAATGCTGCACTAAGTTTAAACTAATTGTAGATTACATCTTGTGACCGTTCTTGGTTTTGGCCCTCTTAATCATGTTGTGTCTTCCTGTCTAGCTATGAGAGGCTGAACCCTAAGCTCCTCCGGTGATTGGTATATGCATCATGCATGCCCTGTCTAATCATCTCCCATTGAGTGTGGGTGAGACCGGTGAATATGATGAATGTCATTCTCTTGATTACGTTACCTTAGATGGCAAAGATGAGTTGTCACCCACTCATGATTACATTATGTCATATAAGACTCCATGGTAGCAGGCTGGAGAAAGAGAGAGAGACACTCTCCTGGAACAACTGAAAGGCACTGCAGAAACAAACTATCATTTTGTGAGAGGGTCACAGGCTAGGGCCTGAGGGTAGCTTCTGGAAGCAGTGACCCCTGCCTGACAGCCAGTGAGAGCACAAAGGCCTCAGTGCTACAACTGCAAGGACTTAATTCCTGCCCAAAACCATATGATCTTGGACAAGGACCCCAGCTCCAGACACCACAGCCTGACACCTTGATTATAGCCTTGCAAAGCCCTGAGGGCTGGACTTGGTTAAGCTGTATCTGAACTCCTGATCCATGGCAACTGTGGGCTAACAAGTGTGTGTTGTTTCAAGGTCCTAAGTGTGTTATTTGTTGCACAGCAAAAGATAACTCACACACCAGCTTAAAACATTCTCCTTAGTAGCAAACATTTCTTGCTCTGATGGGATAATATTGTGCCACCTATGCCACCCAAGGTATCTATTCCAAATGCTTCCACTTCGTCTCTTGCCTATCCTTGACAAAGTCTCTGTAGATGCTGCAGATGGACTTGGCACACTTCACAAGTCCCAGCTCACTGTGGCCCTGCTCATCTCCATTTGCAGACTCCTCCTTCCTCATGTTCCTTTAAAATTGGAGCTCATTAAGGAGATCTCTGCAACCAGGGATGGCACCCTTTCTTTTTATGAAGACATTTGAGATAATACTATCAATGAAAAGGCCTTTTTAAAAGGCAATCATGCTGCTCTTTCCTTGCTGTATTAGCATTTGTGATGTTGCCCGAGACTTTTTTCAATTTGCTGCAATTAATTTTTTAGTGGCCTCCCACGCTTACCGAAGAAACAGAGGCTTGCTCTGAAGGGAAGTGGTGTCATCCCCTGCCACACCCACACAATGTATTAGAATCCGGGAGTGGTGAAGAGGCAGTTTATTCAGGTGAATTAAAAGGGGGCGTTTTTCATGGGGAATCACAAGTAGGTAGAGGAGGCACCGGCAGTGAGAGAAGTGGGACTGAGACCTGGCACAGACACAGCCACCTTCTACCCTGCGAACGTCAGCAGTCTGTTCTTGGAAAATCAAAGATCTGCAGGAAAATGCCAACAAGGAGCCTAAAATACATCACAAATGTTGCATTGGAGAAATGTGAACATTCTCTGAAGTTTGGGTACTCAAGGTTAACAGGCCTTCTACTGGGAAAGTGTTAACCAGGAAGACATCTGCTGCACATGCCTCCAGTATGCTGAGCTTCTCTCGGAGATGGATGGAAAATATGTGAGCTATAGATGCAACTAGTCCCCTGGCTAGAGGAGAAGGGAAATTCGGGTTCTTGCTTTTAAGTAAGAATGCAGTTTCCATACCCGGAAAGGAATACGTGATTTAACAGGGAAAAACAGAAAACAAAAAGACCTGGAGTCAACGAGTCGTCGAAACTTGTGTGGAGATGATGATGAGCAGAAGCCAATTGTGCAGAAGCATATCTCAGAGAGAAGAAATTCCCTGTTAGGGGGAGCATAAAAATACAAGTAAGCCCTCCCCACGGGGATGCAACTGTAGCTACTGAAAAGCCACAGATGTCTGGCAGGGAGGATGCCCGGACCCTTGCAGATTGAGGAGACATGTTGCCAGCTGCAGATGTCCTGCTTTGAGATCTTTACTGAGAGTCTGGGGCTGCACACATTGAGCTAGGAGTTTGTAATCTTAATCCAGGACTGAGAGAAAGTAGAGCAGTTTCCAAAGGTGTGGTCCGCACAACACAGATGACACCCCAGAAAGCCAAAATGACACTGGCAAATGTGGCCTCCTGACCAATGTACCATTAGTGTGTCAAATAAAAGAATTAACACATTTTCTTCTATAGCACACAGTTTCTGAACAGAATTTCTTTAATAGTGCAAATTACAATTTGTGACTATATTGTGTATTGGCTTACTTTTATTGCAGTGGGCTGTTTTCTCAATATAATGTAATCGCTATTAGGGCAGGTTGCATGTGTCATTTGTCCAACACTACATCCTTAGGACCTGAGTCAGTTCAGCCAGTTCTAGGCTCAATAGGTCTTCCTTAAACATGTACTTAATAAATGCATAGAGGAAATGATTGTTTTTTAAAATATTTGTTTATCATTATTTTTTCAGCTTTTATCTTAGATCCAGTGTGTAGACATGCAGGTCTGTTACCTGGGTATTTTGCATGGTGCTGAGATTTGCCATCTTTATATTCTTGAGCATCCAATGTTTAGCTGCCACTTATAAGAGAGCATATGCATTATTTGGTTTTCTGTTCTTACGTTAATTCACTTAGAGTAATGGCCTCCAGCTGCATCCATGTTGCTGCAAAGGACATAATTTTGTTCTTTTTATGGCTGTGTAGTATTCCATGATGCATACGCACCACATTTTCTTTATCGAATCCACCACCGATGGGCACTGGGGATGATTCCTTGTCTTTGCTGTAGTGAATAGTGCTGTCATGAACTTGTAAATACATGTGTCTTTTTGGTAGAACGATTAGTTTTCTTTTGGATATATACCCAGTAATTGGATTGCTGGGTCAAATGGTAATTCGGTTTTAAGTTATTTGAGAAATCTCCAAACTGCTTTCCACAGCGACTGAACTAACTTACATTCCCACCAACAGTGTAAGCATTCCCTTTTCTCTGCAGCCTCAACAGCATCTGTTGTTTTTTGACTTTTTAATAGTAGCCATTCTGACTGCTGTGAATTAGTATCTCATTGTGGTAAAAAATGGTTATTAAAAAAATGTGTTAGTCCTTCTTCCCTCCATCCTTCCCTCCTTCTCTTTCTCTCCTTCCTTTCTTCCTTGTCTCACTCTATATCAGTGAAACAACTGACAGTCCCCTGTAGCATTCAGCATTTCATGGAATGCCAAGAGTCTACCGAAGCCTCTACGGCCCTAACATCTTCCCCTTTCTGCTGATTCAGATGCACCCAGATGGCACTGCCAAAAGTGATCTGCAATGCATCGCTTGTGACTGAGTTTCTGCCAAGAAAACTAAAGGGCTTGAAGCCAGACTTCTCTGTTTTCCACTTGGATATTGTGGTGGTAGAAGAAAATGGAAATTAGTTGGGCAGAATCCTGAGGCGGTCCCAGAGAGTCCCATTCCCTGGTATATACGCCCTATATAATCTCCAACCCTTATGCATGGGCAGAGCCTTCGGATATGATGGGATATCACTCCTGTGATTAGGTCACTTGTCAATCAACTTTGATTTAATCAAAAGGGAGTGTCTTGGTCTTTTTTCTGTCGCTTATAGCAGAATACATGAAACTGGGTAATTTACAAAGAAAATGAATTTGTTTTTTACAGTTATAGAGGCTGAGAAGCTCAAGTTGAGGAGTCACATCTGGTGCGGGCCTTCTTGCTGGTGAGGACTCTGCAGAGTCCTGAATTGGCACAGGGCATCACATGGTGAGGGGGTTGAGTGTGCTAGCTCAGGTGTCTTTTTCTCTTCCTATAAAGCTACCAGTCTCACTCCCATGATAACTCATTAATCCATTAACCCATTGATTTATAAATGGATTAATCCTTTCAGGAGGGCAGAACCTTCATGACCCAATCACCTCTTAAGGCCTCCTCCTCTCAGAATGGCCTCATTGGGGGTTAAATTCCAACGTGAGTTTTGAAGGGGAGAAATATTCAAACCACAGTGGGGATACTATCTGGTAGGGTGTGATCCAATCAGGTGAGCTATTAAGAGGAACTCAACCTTTCCAAAGTCAAAAAGATTGGAAGTGTGAGGAGGGCTATAGAGTGGGCCAAGCACCAAGGAATGGAGAACAACCCCTGGTCAACAACTAGCAAGACAATGGGAGTCTACAGCTACAAGGAAATGAAATGAGCTTGGAGGAGAATCCCAAGCTTCAGAAAGAAACACAGCCCAGTTAATATCCTGATTGCAACTTTGTGAGGCATTGAGCTAAAACTGCAGCTAAAACAGAGCTAGACTTTTGACCTACATAAACTGTGAGATAATAAATGTGGATTTTTTAGCCATGATATTTGAGGTAATTTGTTATGCTGGGATAGGAAACCAATATAGAGATGTTGACATTTGGTTCCATTGATGGTGTCAAGGAGTAGAAACTGATTTTCAGGATGATGGCTTACTCTCCTTCTGGCAAGGGAGAGCCTGAAGAACCAGGTCATGGTTGGCAAGGAAATTATTCACAAACCTGGTCCAGTAAGACATTTTCTCTTGGGGCTTAATGACAGTGCTAATGTTTTTTCCATGATCCATTTTTTTCCTTCACTGGGTTTATGTTTGCTTTTCAAAATAAGGCAATGGTTCACTGAAGAAGATAAACCACCACCACCACAACCACCAAGTACAACAGCATAAATCAAACCAGAAAATGTTCCTAGGTTTTAGTAGGGAAGTTTTGATCCTCAGGTAGAAAAGTAGGGCTATGCTATCTACTTTCCCCTTGAGATTTATTTTTCATTGGGTGCATTTCACTTTGACTTTCACAGTCATAAACTTGCCCTGAACCAAGGAGCACAAACTTGAAGAAAGGAGCACAAACTTGGACAAAATCCCTCTCCCGAACAGGCTGGGATTTAAAAAAGTAACTGTACTGAGTATCATGGCTGAACCAAAAGGAAGTAATTATTTAAAGCAATCATAAAATAATTTTTTAGATTAAGTTTTTTCATATTTAGATTACCTTTCTGGTCCTCTGAAAACTGAGCTTTAGCCACATAGACAGAGCAGCTTTCTTTTACACAGAATCCTTCATCCTTGTCTTTAGTTAGGCATCTACTGAGCGTAAGCCAGAATTCTCGCCCCCGAATGAGCACAAAAGGCCCACTTTTGAAAAGTACGTATTTTCTTTTTCTTTCTTCTTTCTTTTCTTTCTTTCTTTCTTTCTTTCTTTCTTTCTTTCTTTCTTTCTTTCTTTCTTTCTTTCTTTCTTTCTTTCTTTCTTTCTTTCCTCTCTTTCTCTCTTTCTTTCTTTCCTCTTTCTTTAACTCTCTCTCTCTCCCCCCCTCCCTTTCTTCTTCAGGGTCTCACTCTGTCACCCAGGCTGGAGTGGAGTGGTGTGATTACAGCTCACTTCAGCCTCAACCTCCTGGGCTCAAGTTTTCCTCCCACTTCAGCCTTCTGAGCAGCCGGGACTACAGGCATGTGCCACCACACCTGGCTAATTTTTGTATGTTTTTGTAGAAATGGGGCCTCACTATATTGCCTAGGTGGGTCTCAAACTCCTGGGCTCAAGTGATCTGCCCACCTTGGCCTCACAAAGTGCTGGAATTACAGGCAGGAGCCACCATGCCTGGCTGCATTTTCTACTTTGAATAGATAATACTCTCACGTATTTCAAAATAAAAATAACACAAAATACATATAGGGAAAAGTATGGATTCCACACACTCCCTGTCATATCCCCAATCTCTGGTAATCACTTTTCTCTTTATCTTATATATGCTTACTGAACTTCTCTATGCAAATAGGATATATGGATATGAATCTTGTTTCCTCTCCTTCATTCATTAAAAGTAATTTCGAGGGTGGGCACAGTGGCTCATGCCTGTAATTCCAGCACTTTGGGAGGTTGAGGCAGGTGGATCACCTGAGGTCAGGAGTTCCAGACCAGCCTGGCCAACATGGTGAAACCCCGTCTCTACTAAAAATACAAAAACAATTAGCCAGGCATGGTGGTTGGACCCTGTAATCCCAGCTACATGGGAGGCTGAGGCAGGAGAATTGCCTGAACCCAGGAGGCGAAGGTGGCAGTGAGCCAAGATCGTGCCATTGCACTCCAGCCTGGGCAGCAAGAGCGAACCTTTGTCTTAAAAAAAAAAAAAAGTAATTTTGAGAGAAACAGAAATGAAATTAGCTTTCATAGGAACTGTGCAAATTTGTGCTCCCTGTGTCAATGTGCAAGAATCTAGAAGACCCCTCTAACTGAAAATTCATTTATATTAGTCTTTTGGTAGGTTGGCCACTCCCACACAGATCTTACTTCTGATCTGATACAGAGGAGAAAGCAAAAAGGAGAAAACTTGAAGCTACAATAGGCTAGGCCATTCCTGGGTGATTATATATACATACCATCTCTTAAGTCTTCCAAACAGTGGTATAAGATGGGCCTGGCTAATCTCATCGTACAGTTGAGGATACTAGGCTCAGAGAGAGTCAGTAATTTGCCCAAGGTCCTGCAGTTAGGATATAAGTGTGTTTGCCTTCCAATCTATGGACTCCCCACATGGCCCTGAAGGAAATGCCCAGTTCATAGGAATTAGTCCCTGTTGGACTCAAAGAAATAATTTAATTTCTGAGGGTCCTGGGTTCTACTCCAGCTGCTTTTGGAATCTTTGTAGTTGCAAACTTTGTGTAAGACTACAGCACATGTTGGAAAGTGGTCTTATCCAGTGCGGACCCATCTGTGACAACACCTTGAGCAGCAGTGGCTCCAATGCATGGATGATAAGTCTTTGCAAGTGCCTAAGGTGGTTCTTTCTTGTAGCTTCTTGAAAGATATAGTAAGCTATGGGTAGGAAGGGGTTAGGAGATATGACCTATATTCTTTTCTCTCTCTCAATGTCTAGAATGACACATTCTTCTGAAGTTTAGAAGGAAAAAAGAAAGCAAATTTATTCTTTTTACATTGACAGTTTTGATAATTAGACATTCACATTGTGGAAGAAACATTTAATTTGTGGACCCCACCTCTATCCACAGCTTGCATCCCTTTGGTCTCCTCCAACTAGAGCCATGATATGATGGTCCTGCCCAGGTCATGTAAGTGAGAGTCTGCCAGGTGGGGTCCTGGAAACCTTTTTCTCTCTTGATAAAGAGAGACTCCACTGATGTCCTTTCATGTTTTGCCCATCCTTCTTTATGCATGGAAGCCTGGACGCGAATCAGCCTTCAAGTCTCTAAGGTCACAGCTGTGATGGACATGGAACAAGGTGCTATGGGTTGAGGGACAGATGCAGAGAGAGCACAGGACCCCAGAGGCATCATTTTCACCAGCTCTTGGCTACCTGCCTCCTGACTTCTTGGTATATGAGAAAAACAAACTCTCATTGTTCAAGTTATTACTTTCTCCTTGCCGTATTTTTCTCATCCAAATACAAAACTACCTGAGGCTATTATAGACTTGTAATTTCTCCCACCCATGGAAAAATGTGATGATTGTTAAATCTTTAGAAATAATGAATAATGGTAAAAAGAAGTCATCCAAGTTTTAGCATCCATTATGACAAAAAAATCAGAATATGTGTTGCTGTTCTAAGAAATTTAGTATTAAGAGAGCCATATGTTTATGCCTATGTTTAAAAACATAGGGATTAAAATTAGTCTTACTTTCATAAGGCAGCCATTGGCACCTGATTTCTGATGAAACCACTGGTTATTTGCTGTACCAGGTTAAAACAAATTACTTTTATTTGTATATTATATATATATATATATAACATCAGGACTGCTTGTGAATTGCCATCTGTAATGAAATTTTATTCTATGTAAATGATATCTAATTATTAAGAAGAATTGTTGTCAAGATAAATGAGTAAATAAAGCTGTCTATGATCTTAAATTTTGAGAAATATACTTAATCTGAGTTTCTATTACTTTCAATTATGTCAGTGAAAAATAACTCTAAAATGTTATATTCCGGGATGATTTCGTGATTGGCTTCAAGGCTACCATTTCTTGTGGAAAGAAATCAGTGAGATTAAAAGGAGCACAGAAATATCATGATAAATATTTTAGAGCTTTTAGTAGCTGAAAGACACAATTTGAAGAGAGTTCAACAGAAAGAGAAAGAAATGATGAAATAAATTCAAGGGCTGACATATGATGGAAGATCAAAAAGATGCAGTCCATGTGTTTTGGTGGGGCCATAACTCAGAATGATATATCAATCTATAATTATATGAAAGGCAACACCTGGGAGAGAAAGACATAGAAATAACACTTTTACTAGGTTTTGATGTGTCTGGGCACAACTCTCATTCATTTCTTCAATAGTATTTATTGAATGCCTGCTGTGGGAAAGCACTGCCTTAACCATTGAGCATACAAAGAATAAAGACTCAATCCTGGCCCCAAGGTTTCCACAGTCTGGTGAATGAGTCAGAGAATGAATGGGTAATAAAAACAGACGGAAGAGGAATGTATAAAGTGCTGAAAGATGCAGAGGCAGCAGAAGGCTAATCCAGCCTGCGGGTGTCAGAGAAGACCATGGGGGAGGTGAGGCTACGTGGGGTCCTGATGAACTGTGAGGGACTAGCTAGATGGGAGAAAGAAAACACAGGTTGTCAAGGCACGGGAGGTAACTCACATAAATGTACCAAGAGCATGGTGCCTTAGACAAATAAGGCACCCTTGCAAGTAGTTTCAAAAGGCTAGAATAGGGTGCCTGTGGGTAGGTAGTAAGAGGATGTGCTGGGAAAAGCAGAAGGAAAGTTGCTAAAGGAACCTGCACGTGATGGTAGGTCATGACATATTTTCAGCTGGGGAATTGCACAATCAGATTAATGTTTTGGATAGACCACACAATCATATTAATGTTTTGGATAGAATAGATTCTAGATACCCAAGAATCCATGTGTAGAGACACTAGGTGGAAGCCCAGTCCTGTATTCCAAACAAGATTTAGTTGGTACCAGGAACAGTGCGGCTGGAGATGAATAGATGGATTAGAGAGATTACTAGGTACTCTGATGAGGGGTGAGAGAGGAGTGGGAACTTAGCACAAGATCCAGTGTAGACGGTGATGCCTTTTAACACCCACCTGTCTTTTGATCGCATTTTTGGATATATCGAGTTTGACGTGAGCATGCCCCCTTGGTGCAGTTGTGTTTATAGACCTTCTAGCACCATTGAGAGATCTGGGATGTGATATGTGTGTGTGTGTGTGTGTGTGTGTGTGTGTGTGTGTATATATTTGAGAGCTATCAGCATATACAATGTATACAATGGATGGGATCCCCCATGGAAAGTACCCAGAGTGAGGAGAAAAACAGGCTAAAGATGGGATGCTCAGAATCACCAGGAGAGCATGTAAGGAGACTGTGTGGCAGAGGAAGTAGGAGAACTATGAAATAGCGATTTCATGACATGAGTGGAGAGTGGAATTTTTAAGAGGAAAAGAGCTACAGGATCCAAAGTGACCTTGCCGGCAACACTTGTACTGGAATACGAGGGGTGGAAGTTGGTGTGAAGATTGTACATCCAAGGTAAAGTAAGTATCTTAGTCCATTCAGGCTGCTATAACAAAATGCCATAGACTGGGTGATTTAGAAACCACAGAAATTTATTGCTCACAGTTCTGGCAGCTGGAAGTCCAAGATCAAGGCACCAGTAGACTTGGTGTCTAGTGAGAACCTGCTTTCTGGTTCGTAGATGGCACCTTCTCACTGTGTCTTCACATGGAGGAAGGAGTGAGGGAGCTCTCTGGGGCGTCTTTTATAAGGACACTAATCCCACTCATGAAGGCCTCACCCTTATGACCATGTCACCTCCCAAAGGCCTTACCTCCTAATACCATCCCTTAGAAGTTAGGATTTCAACATATAAATTTTTTGGAGTGGAGATGCATTCAGACCATACCAATAAGTTTATTTATTTATATATTTTTTAGAAATCCCAAATTTTGTTTTATTATATTATCATTCTCTTTGAAACATTCTGGAGTTCAGTGAGCAGGGATACTTATGAGGTAATTCGTAAAATGTCTTAAAAGTGGTGAGATGGTTCACACTACATTTTTTCTGTGTTTGTATCTTTTTTTTTTTTTCTTTTTTGAGATGGAGTCTTGCTTTGTTGCCCAGACTGGTGTGCAGCGGTTCAAGCGATTCTCCTGCCTCAGCCTCCTGAGTAGCTGGGATTACAGGCGCCCACCATCATGCCCAGCTAATTTTTGTATTTTTAGTAGAGACAGGGTTTCACCATGTTGGCCAGACTAGTCTTGAACCCCTGACCTCAAGTGATTTGCCTGCCTTTGCCTCCCAAAGTGCTGGGATTAGGCATGAGCCACCACACCCAGCCTGTGTTTATACCTTTTAACAACTTTTTTGCAGGTATAATTTGCATATCATAACATTTACCCATTTTAAGTGTATAATTCAATGACTTTTAGTAAATGTACTCAGTTGTAAAGCCATCACTCTAACTCCATTTAAAACATTCCCATCACCCCATTGGGATCCCTCTCACCAGTTTACAGTTATACCCCATTTCCCCTGCTCCAGCCCCTGACCACCACAAATCTACTTCCTGTCTCAATGGGCTTGCCTCTTCTGGACACTTCAAATAGATAGAATCATACAATATGAGGACTTTTGTGGGGGGCTTTGTTCACTGAGCCTAATGTTTTCAAGCTTCACCCATGTAGCATGTATCAGTACTTGGTTCCTTTTTACCACTTGTTCACCAAGTATTGACTGCTTGGTTTTGTTTCTTGGAATCCAGAGCTGGATAGAGGTGGATTCACCACTCTCTGGCTACACAGCTCAAATGTCTACCCTGACTCCATGTTGAACTACTGCCTGTGGTCTCTGGGGACCTCAACTATTCTCTTCCCATCCGTGAATCACTGTGCTTTTCTCTGGCCTTGCAATCATGCGGGTATGTTCCCCTTGCTGGGCTGGGGAATGAAAGTGATACTGAAGCTCATGCCCATCTATGCATTTATTATTGTTACATGGTTTATTGTTACATGGTTTATGGAGTACAAGGTGTGTGAATATTGGGGAGGGGAGCACTGTCTTAAATGGTTTCTATTCATTTGCTGAACAGACTCACATGACGCTACAGACGAAGAAACTGAAGCTCAGAAAAATTAAGTACGTAGCCCAAGATCTCAGAGCTAAGTGTGGGGAGTCAAAATTTGAACCCAGATTTACCTGTTTCCAAAGCCTTTGCTTTTTCTGCATCACTGTGCCATTCTGCTTAAACTTGTTTACAGGAGATTACATTTTAGAAGGGGAGGTGGCATCCATACAAATATTTACAGCACAGAGTACCATGTAATGAGTTTTCACAGCACTGTGGAATTCCAGAGGATGGAGAGTTCCCTCCTAGTTGGGAAATAAGGGAAGGATTAGTGAAATGGGTGTTATTTCAACTAGATGTTGAAGGATGGATTGGAATTTTCTCTGTCAGAGAGAGAACAAATTGGAGTTTAGTAAGATGCCTAACTGTGTAGATGCTGGCACCATATACTAAGAAAGGCACCACGCAGAAGAACACACAGCAATTTGGGGTTAGATTGTGGACATATGGAGTTCAAGAAGAGCATTTCAGCAGAAGATAGACATAAAAGCAGGAGACGCCAAACCCTGCTCTATATTCCAGTGTTTCAAAAAAAAAAGGGCCAGGTGCGGTGGCTCACACCTGTAATCCCAGCACTTTGGGAGGCCGAAGGGGGGCAGATCACTTGAGGTCAGGAACCTGAGACCTGCCTGGACAACATGGTGAAACCCTGTCTGTACTAAAAATACAAAAATTAGCTGAGTGTGGTGGTGTGCACCTGTAATCCCAGCTACTCGCGAGGCTGAGGCAGGGGAATCACTGGAACCCGGGAGGTGGAGGTTGCAGTGAGCTGAGATTGCACCACTGCACTCTAGCCTGGGTAAGAGTGAGACTCTGTCTCAAAAAATACATATTTCTAGATATGTTCTATAGACCAATCCTGTACAGGCACCTTCACCTATGTCCTGTGGATCTTAATAGCTCCACATCTTTCCGCCCCTTAAATGGGCAATATCCCTTCTCTGCTGCATAACTCTGTTGGTCTCCTTTAGGGGTCCTAAGCTCAGTAGGGCTCTTGAGACCAGCAAGGAACACGCACTGTCTGCTGTTTGCCTATCAGAACCCATTCTTCTGCACTCTTCATGGTGCTGACTATGCAAAGGAAACTCAACGGGTGCAAACTCAATAGGTGAGCTCTGTTGGGATAAAGATGGTTTTCGTTGTCAGAAGGATTTGCTAGTCTTAGAATCAGAAGTCTTGGATTTGAGTCCCGGCTCCACATGTATTGTCCTTGTGAGAACGAAATAGGATGGTACCTTTAGAAGCAGTAAGCATGTTCACTGCAGCTAGCCCTGCAGAGTGTTGATTCCTCTGAGTCTTCAAGCTATTTCTACACTTTTCAATGTATTTTGGTAATTTAAGAGTTCTGACCAAATATTTAATTCTGCATTTAAAAATGTTAAGTGTTTAGTTTCCTTTTTCTTTAAACTCACTTGAGTGCTCTGATTTTTGGAAGTTTAGCATGCTAAGAAATTTGCATTCATGGGACACATATTCTTGGGCATGTTGATGAAAAATTGATCACCACTGTATCCAACTTGTTTCCTTACACTGAGAAACCTATGTGATTACCTACTGGAAAAATAATGGAACACGTGGTTTTAAAAAAATAACAGTGAGGCAGCAACTCTGCCCTTCCTGCTAATAGACTGCAGGAGACTTCCATAAAGGGCCATATCAGGCAGTTAAGTGATGGCCGTGCAAGGAAGGGAGAGAGGCAGAAAACACACAACTCTAGCATATTCAGCTTCTTTCCTGCTCTTAGAATATTTTATTCACAAACAATTTATTAAAATGTCAGGATGTAAGATTCAGAAGGAGTAGGCAGTTTGGTGGCAAAAGTTGCTCTGGGTGATTGAAAACAGTGGTTTCCAAACTTTGATTGTGTACCCTATTAGTAAATGAGACAAAGAGACGTATCAGTACTATGAAGAGCATATATATATATTTCTAGTCTTCCAATATAATGTAACACTCGATTATACTGATTCAAGAGAAGGTTTTAGTGTGTATCTGGAACTCTTTTTGAGAGTAGCAAATGAATTTTTTTCTTAGTTATGAATCTTTAATCATTCCACTGTTATTATTACAGCTGCATGAATTTCTCCAGGGATTTATGTCCTCATTCAACATTTATTGATCCAGAACTAGGCAGTGTAGATTTAGGGGTCTAAAGTTTATAATAGAGTTAGGAAAGCTTGGAGTCTCTTGAAAGTAACTAGTAGGGAAGGGTAGGGCTGGTGACCAGCTTAAGAGATGGAAGAGAGTCAGAGTTAGATAGGAGCAAAGAGTCTTCAAGTTTCTTCTCCTACTCACTGAATGCCTAAGGCATGACTTTATAACTCAAGGCAGGCATGGTGGGTTGGGTCGGTGACAGTAGCTGTCTCTTGTCCAGATCCTGGCTGTTGCTTCTACCATATATCAAAAGCTCAGATGGGCTAGAACACCTATGAATTCAGGGCTCCTTTCTTAGATCTGGAGAAATTTTCCTGATTCCCAGTAGGCTCCATGGTTTATCACAGATAAGGAACAACTTTCCATACCAGCCAGGGACAGGAAGGCTGGAAGAAGCAGACTATATTGCCTTGTGTCTCTGATGGGCTTGTAGCTTGTACAGTAGTTACTGTTGGAAGCCAGGATCGGTGAGAGAAATGGCACTTCATGCCTGGGAATTTTTGAGGCAAGGAAGAAAGTCAGAAAGAAATGGGAGTTAGGAGAAAAGCAAAAAACTCTTAAATTACCACAAAGCACAGATGAAAAGTTAAGAATAATAAACCTCAGGTAGCCTTGGTGAGAAAGCACTGTTAATTAGCCTCTGCTGCATAACAAATTACCACAAACTGTAGCAGCTTAAAAAATAACACACTTATTATCTCACAGTATCTGTGGGACAGAAATCTGGGCACAGCCTGGCTAGGTTCTCCACATTGGGGTTTCTTTCAAGACTGCCATCAGGGTGTCAGCCAGGACTGACATCTCATGTAAAGGCTGGACTGGGGAAGGATCTGCTTTCAAGCTTATTTTGTTGTCATGCAAATAATTCTTCAAGGACTGTTTGACTGAGGGCCCCAGTTTCTAGCTGGCTGTTGCTTGGGGGTGCCTTTGGTTCCTTGACATATGGGCCTTTATAACATGACAGTTTGCTACATTGAAGTGTGCAAACCAAGAAGGCCATTGAAAGTTGGTGACCAAAACAGTCACAGTCTTATAACCTAATCACAGAAGTGTCATCCCATCATTTTTGAAAGATGCTATTGGTCTGAAGCAAGTCACTGGGCCAGTCCACACTCAAGGGGAGGGGATTACACAAGGGTGTGAATGCCAGGAGGTAGAGATGATTTGGGACTATCTTGGAAGTTGAGGGAGCTTGGACCTCAATAGCCAGTAGGGAAGAGGAAGATGATGTGTAGGCTGGTGCAGAGCTTCTCACAGATGTCAGATGGTGAACAGGCAGGTGGCTTTGGGGTAGAATTGGACTATGCATTTTAAAGCAGTGTTCTCCAAGCTTTATTGATTATGCACCCTTGTCTGTTAAAAACCAGGAGCACCTCTACCAGATGTGTATGAGTATACATAAATATATACACATATAATTATACATACATACATCTATATGATTGTATATGCATATATGTGAATGACATATCTGCAAATACATACCTACAGTTAAATGTATTTTATATGAAACATTATACTAATATACATGATAAAATGTATGCAAAAATAGAAGTTTAAAAAGGGCCACGTAAACTAACATAAGTAGAAAATATAACAACTTTTTTCTATATCCCAGTGGATTTTCTTGTGCACCCATGTTGCAGTGTGTTGCTCAAGGAACAGTTCCTAAGGGTGTAAAAAGCTTAGGAAACTTGGTAAAGAGACAGCGAATTTAATGATGGGAGGGAGGAAGGAAGGGGAGAGGGAGAGATTGGGGAGGAGGAAGCGTTGTTCGATAGCGGTCTCATCTGACATCAGCAGGGCTGGGGATGGCACTGAGGGTGCAGTCTACCTGTGGCAGGTAGACTGTGGCAGGTAGACACCACAATCTCTTTGTGGTCCCCATCAATGATTGCTCTTTATCAGGAATTGGAGGAGTAGGCTGGCTGAATGATTAGACAACTTTGGAGGAAGCACAAGGATTACAGTGTCCCAGTACTTGGGCAGCAGGTGGAGAAAGGCCTGAGCCCAGAAGTTGGAGCAAAGCTATCAAAACCTAGCTCCAGGCAACATGCATGTATGTCATCTAAACCCCACTGGAGTGTTAGGTTTTGGTGCTGTGATTGTTGCCAGATTTTTTTTTTTTTTTTTTTTTTTTTTGCCTCTGTCGTCTTTGTCTCATCAATCAGGGTGCAGGTCTACACAAGATTCTGTCAATAGATAGAGTGGTGGGGCAAGAAGAGGATGTGGGGACATGAGGCTGGAGTCAATGGGGACTTCTTCATTGGGATATGGATGCTCAGAAAGCTGAGGTTGGGCTTCTGCCAGGCAGGCAAATTAGAGGAGGCTACGTATTTAAGCAATTCCAGGGTGACTATGAAGGAAATCTTTGGTGCGAAATTCTTTTAAGAGAGAATTATTCATCAATAAGATGCATACATCTCTGCTGCCTTTTTACTGGGGTGAATGAGGATTTTTCTCACCAGAAATGAACCTAGGCTTTAGGGACTGTATCTTGGGGCTATAATTTCATGGCCCAGATCACATTCAATTTAAGTCTTATGGCCTCGAGTTTGGAAGATGCATGTGATTTCCTCTTTGTTTCCATCTTAGGTCCTGTGCATGTACTGATCATCACAGATACTTAAGAAATAATTATGGGCCGGGCGTGGTGGCTCATGCCTGTAATCCCAGCACTTTGGGAAACTGAGGCGAGTGAATCACTTGAGATCAAGAGTTCGAGATCAGCCTGGGCAACATAGTGAAACCTTGTCTCTACTAAAAATGCAAAATTTCATGGGCATGGTGGTGCATGTCTGTAGTCCCAGCTACTTGGGAGGCTGAGGCAAGTGAACCACTTTTAAACTCTTCGGGGTGGAGGTTGTGGTGAGCCGAGATCGCTGCACTGCACTCCAGTCTGTGCAACAGAGTGAGGCCCTGTCTCAAAACGAAAGAAAGAAAAAGAAAGAAAGAAAGGAAGGAAGGAAGGAAGGAAGGAAGGAAGGAAGGAAGGAAGGAAGGAAGAAAGAACGAAAAGAAAAGAAAGAGAAGAAGCCTGAGAAGTCCCAAGATTTGCAGCCAGCAAACTGGGGACTTAAGAGAACTTAAGAGAACTTATGATGTAGCTCCCATCTGAAAGCCAGCAGGCTCAAGACCCAGGAAGATATCTGACGTTTCAGTTTGAATTTGAAGGCAGGAAAAAGACGATGCCTTAGTTCAAACCTGTTGGGCAGAAAGAATTCTCTCTTACTTACGGGAAGGATAGCCCTTTTGTTCTATTCAGACCTTCAACTAATTGAATGAAGCTCATCCACACTGGGGAGGGCATTATGGTTTATTCAGTCTATGGATTCAAATGGGAATCTCATCCAGAAACACCGTCACATACACCCAGAACCATGTTTGACCAAGTATCTGGGCTCCCTGTAGTCCAGTGCAGTTGACACATGAAATTGACTACTCTACTCCTCCTGCATTTAAGCCTCTCAGCAAACTTTTGAACAAAGCTTGAGGACATTATGTGATTTGCTCAAGAGTAAATGAGCAGCAAGTGGACTTGTCGGGAGTCAAATGCAATTTTCCCAATTTCAGTGTTCTTTTCTCTCTAATCCTCTGCCATTAAAGAATATACTTACTATAATAAACCAGAAATCAACAGTCTACTTTTAGCAATAAACTATAGACCAGAGGTTGGCAAACTATGGCTTCCAGCCTGCTTTGGTAAATACAATTGTATTGAAAGAGCCACACCCTTGTTTACCTATTGTCTACGGCTACTTTCATGCTATAATGGCAGAGTTGAGAATTTGCAACAGAGTCCATGTGGCTCACAAAGCCAAAATTATTTACTATCTGATTCTTTACAGGAAGCTTGCTGACATCTGCTGTAGATCTTCATGATTTTCCTAAAGAGGCATGCTTGCTTCATTCTGCACTTTGGAATTTAAGTCACATTACGCAGCCTACTTTTAGCAGTGAGAGTTCACAAGGGCAGAAAGGGGAATCGGGGTGTTAATTAGTATATTTGTGAATACTGCATGCTATGTGTTCTAATGCTTTGTTTCATCTTCTCAGAGTCCTAGGACAAAGGTTTTATTATCTCCATTTGAAAGACGGAAGCAGGCCAGGTGGTGCAGTGGCTCACGCCTGTAATCCCAGCACTTTGGGAGGCTGAGGCAGGTGGATCACTCGAGGTCAGGCGTTTGAGACCAGCCTGGCCAACATGATGAAACCCCATCTCTACTAAAAATACAACAATTAGCCAGGCGTGGTGGCAGGCGCCTGTAATCCCAGTTACTTGTGAGGCTGAGGCACAAGAATCACTGGAACTGGGGAGGCAGAGGTTGCAGTGAGCCCAGATGGTGCCACTGCATTCCAGCCTGGGTGATAGATCGAGATTCAGTCTCAGAAAAACAAAACAAAAACAAACGTACAAACAAAACCCAACCAACCAACCAACCAACCAAACAAAAAAGGGAAGCAGAGGCTCAGCAGAAATGGCAATTTGCTCAAGGTCCCGCAGCTAAATAAGTGGCACAGATGGGAATCAAACCCAGGACTTTATGACTCCACAGTCTTTGTTCATGCCCAGCTGGAAGCGAATGGAGAGGGAGCCTGGAAAAGTCAGGAGGTAAAAAAATAAGATGCTCTGGGAGAGCTTACACTGTTGCATAGAGATATTTTGCCAGCTGAATTTCCAGGAAATGCTCATTTTCACCCTGGTGCTCTACAAGTGAATGCCTTAGGACCTTGTTTAAAACCATTTTCTTGTCTTCTTTTGAATTTGCTTGACATTTAAAATTTTCTCCTGTCACTACTGGCTGCATTTAAAATGTAGCACCAGGCTTATTGTGCAGACAGCCTGGAGACAATATTTGCGGTAAACAACACTCTTGCATCCTTAATATCTCTGTTTCATACTTTTATTGCTTTTCTGGTTGGCTCATCTGTGTCTCTAGCAGCTCAGGGACAAGTCTGCACAGTCTGGGTGACCTACTGAAACAGTCTGGTCCTTACCATGGAAACCATCCTACTGCTGACAATACTGTATTCCACAGATTGCGTGTCTTATTTCTAAGTTGGAGGCTGCAGAGAGGTTTTCATTATCACTCCTGAAACTATCTGGAACAGAAGACGACCCCATTGGGTTAGATCTAGATCCTCAGCTGAAAAAAAAAAAAAGAAGAAGAAAAAAAAAAGAAAAAGAACAAACCCTAAGCCAATTAATGGAGGAACAGAAAACCAAATACTGCATAATTTCACTTAAAAGTGAGTTCTCACTTATAAGCTAAACATTGGGTATTCATGGACATAAAGATGGCAACAATAGACACGGGAGCCTGGAGGGGGGAGAGTGAAAGGGGGAAAGGGTTGAAAAACTAACTGTTGGGTACCATGCTCAGTGTCTGGGTGATGGGATCATTTGTACCCCAAACCTCAGCATCACGCAATATACCCAGGTAACAAACCTGCACATGTACCCCCTGAAACTAAAATAAAAGTTGAAAAAAGAAAGAAAAATAAGTTAAATAACCTAGAACCTGAGTAGCAAAAGAGCAGACAAAAAGATGAAAATAGCTCTCCAGGCCATCTGGTTTTGAGACAGATTTCAGACTTGAGTCTGCTTTTCCAGTCTAATTTTCCAGATGCAAGCTACTCACGTCTTCCTGAGGCAACACGACAAGGGCTAGAAGTTATGCAGACACCAAAACACACGGTAGATACGCCCATTTGGTGGAGGTGACCATCAGGTTTGTCTGGGCTCAGGTCCTCTGAAGGAGGGTGGCCAGCGTCTCAGCTGCCCTGTGGTAGTTATAAGACAGACACATCAAGTTTAATGGACCAGCCCTCACGGAGATTGAAATGCAGCTGTCCTTGCGAATCACATCACAGTAAGTCTGCATTCAAGGTGCTGAAGCCAGGCTCGGAAATTCCACACGCCACCTTTGAGGTCGTCCATAGTGAACCCCAGGGACAAGGATCCGTGACACCAGGATGTTGATGGCACAGGATGCTGTTTCCACATGGTTGCCATCCACAGTAGATTCTGCTGTTGGTTATACTTTCCTCTGTTTCCTTTCACCTTTAAAAATATATTTATTTAGGCCGGGTGTGGTGGCTCAAGTCTGTAATCACAGCACTTCGGGAGGCTGAGGGGGGCAGATCACTTGAGGTCGGGAGTTCAAGACCAGCCTGGGCAACACGGCAAAACCTGGTCTATGCCAAAAAAATACAAAACGTAGCCAGGTGTGTTGGCTTGCGCCTGTCATCCCGGCTACCCAGGAGTCTGAGGCAGGAGAATCCCTTGAACCGGGGGGGTGGAGGTTGCAGTGGGCCAAGATCATGCTACTGCTCTTCAGCCTGGGCAGCAGAGTGAGACTCTGTCTGAAACAAACACACACGCACATAAAAATTTATATATATATTTATTTAATGAACAAATAAAATAGTATACGCTTATTGTGTAGAATGTGATCTTTTGAAATATGTACCCATTGTGGAATGTCTACATTGAGCTAATTAATGTGCCTTATCTCACTTATCTTTGTGTGTGTGTGTGTGTGTGTGTGTGTGGTAAGAATACTTAGAAATTACTCTCAGTGATTTTCAAGAATATGATACATTATTACTATCTTGGCCATGTTGCACAATGAAATTATTCCTCCTGGTCTAACTGAAAGTTTGTATCCTTAGACCAACATCTCTTTTACCCTCCAACTCCGAGGCACTGGTAATCACCATTCTCATCTCTGCTTCTGTGAGTTCGACTTTTGTTGATTCCACATGTAAGTGGGACCATGCGGTACTTGTCTTTCTGTGCCTGTCTTATTTCATTTAGCATAATATGCTTCAGATTCATGCACATTGCTGCAGATGTGGAGATTTCCTTCTTAAAGGCTGAACAGCACTCCATTGTGCATACATCCTTTTACATTTTATGACCCTCTCATCTACAAACAAGGCTCCAGGAAGCTTTTCACTCAATTCAAAATGTCACTCTCATAGAGTGGGAAATATACCACTTTATGTTTTGAGAGCAATTAGTCATGTTTTCTGTTACATGTAGAACAAACGTGTTATGCATTCTTCTCATGTCAGAATAGATTTCTTGGAAGCACTGTGCTTCCTGGGTTGTTTTCATTGTTAAGATCTTACATTATTTGAAAGCCACTTAACTTTTAAATGGAGTGGTTACTTACCAGCAGTAAAAGGCATGCGGTGTACATGCCCTTAATCTTAAGCATACAGCATGATGCATTTTACATCTGTCTACACCTTCGTAGCCAGCAGTACCCCTCCTGCCCTTGGCCAGTCTCTGTCTCTACACCTGAGGGAGCCACTCTTCTGACTTCCGTCATCATCCATGTTTTCCATTATCTGTAAAGTCCACGGAGGTGGGAGCAGGTTGCTTGGACTCTTGTATGTCTGGCTGCTTTTCCTCAAAGCAGCAGCTGTGATACTCATCCAGGTTGATGCAGGGACTGGTAGCTCGTTCTTTCTGATGGGAAAACACCTTGCATTTTTGTCTTAGAGAGGGAAGTAGCAGGAGAACAAATTGGCTCTACTGGCCTGAAAGTAAAGTTATTAAACAAGTGAATCCTAGGTTTTTGGATATGGAAATAGGTCAATAAGTGGGAGAATGCCCTTGGCTCCCTGGCTCCATAGTGTTCTACTTCCTCTGCTTTTCCGTTTCCCAGGGTCTCTTGGTTGCAGGGTAATTTACTCTAATAGGTGCATGTGAGTGCTGTCAGGGGTTGGAAGAAAGCTAGTCATGTGGACAAATATAAGGCTTCTCAGAGGGAAGGAGTGAGTGGAATGTTTTCACACAACCATACAGAAGATAAGCAAAGCGGTGAGGGGGAGGTGAAGCCATTTTCATCAGCCCAGCACCCATCTTTCACTTAAAGTTCACTCATCTCTGGCCCTGGGCCCCATCAAAAAGGCTTTAAGGAAACCAAGCCTGGCCTCACAACCTGGGTGTGACCCAGTGCTTTTGGTGGGTTCATGGCATGCATTGTGATTCTTTGACTTTGCCACTGTGGATCCAGCCTGCTTGAACCTGGGTCATCTGGCCATGCCTTTCCCATTCAAAAATTGGCTCCCAGAAATGCAGATCTATATTATGTCCTGATGTTCTGCACTTGACGGGTCTGTTCTGTCTGAGCTGAGTCCTCTCAAATCTCCTCCCCGGCCTGCCTAGTGTGCAGACTCCATCTACCCCTTTCAATCACAGCTGCTTCCCCTGTAGCATCCCCTCCAAATGCCAGGTCCCATCTTCTCAGAGGGAAGTCTGGGAGACTGTGACTGTTCTGGAGGACAGTCTGCATTCTCTGTGCATTTCTCCTGTTCCCAGTCACACCCATGCTGGTGTCTACACAAGGGCTCCCCTCAGGGGTCTACACAGTGGTCTCCTCGTCAGCCCAGGTGAGTGCTTTCTATAAAAATCACACTGGAGGGATCTGAGAGGCCCTTTTCCTATTGACTAGGTAGTGAGTGGTTTCAATGAGGGTGGGAGGGGAGTTTGATTTTTCTCCTCTCCTTAGGGCACATTTGACAATATCAGGGGACTTATTTAGTTGTCACAGCTGGGGGTGGTGGTATTGGCATCTAGTGAGTTGAGGCCAGGGTCACTGCTAAACCTCCTACAGTGCACAGCACAGCCCCCAGAACAAAGAGCCACCTGGCTCCAAATGTCACTAGTGCCAAGTCTGGGGGTCCCTGATAGACACATAGCTTGGGATGCAAGCTTCCAGGGAAAAGGAAGGCATAGAAGAAGTAGGTGCAGAGAGGGATAGAGGTGAATTATCACGTCAATAAGCTACGAGCTAAATTGGCAGGGTGAGAAGTGGTTTCAAATATGCATAGAAGACAGGCTAGATTGGCTAAATGTAGACAAGGGTCAACATATACAATTTCAATTATGTAAGTAGCATTAAGGTCTAAGAACCTCAAGGAGATGCTTACAGAACTTTGCATTCAGTGGATGTAAAGTTTAAGCTATGCAAAATGAGTAAGTTCTAGTGATCTGCTTTACAACATAGTGACTATCATTAACAATACTGTATTATGCACTTAAATATTTGCTTAAAGGGTAGCTGTCATGCTAAGTGTTACTACCTCAGAATAAAGGGACAGGAAAATTTTGGAGGTGATGGACATGTCTGCCACCTTGATTGTGGTGATGGTTTCACAGGTGTATGTATATGTCCAAACTCACCAAATTGTATACATGAAATATGTACAGTTTTTTTTGTATATCGATTATACCTCAATAAAGCTGTCAGAAAAATTTTAAATGCCCAAAATACAGATATAGCATTTCTTCAGGAAACCAGTCTCTGTCATAAAATAAAAATTAACAAACAAAAACCCAATAAAACTGTAATGAGAGTCTGGAAGTGGGAGGCCTCCCGGTGATTTGTAGGGAGAGACTCATCATGTGTTTTTTTCCTGGCTTATGTTGCTGGAAGGCAGGAACAGGCTCATTTTTTTATTCTAAATTAACTGTATAAAAGCAAAGGCAAAACTATTGAACTCTTATTTGTGCCACATTAAAAAATGGGTGAAGGGAGGATAAGAGGGAAGAGAGAAGCTTTCATGATCTGCCATGAACTTTTAAAGGAAACCAAGAAGGTCACAGAAGAAAAGCAAATGCATCAACTTGTTTCTTCCTACTGGCCCTAACAAACTGCTGCCCAGCTCCCAGTGATGCTTGGAGAGGGAGTTACAACTTGTGGACGTGCCTCTGTGCATTGTCTGAGGCAGAGGATGGTTCCTCCTCAAGATGTTCAGACCTCTCCTCTGCCTTCAGTAAGGAAGACTGAATTGCATTCAGTAAGGGAGATGGTATTGAAAAGGAAAAGCAGGCATGAATCCAAGTATTCCACACCAAGAAAATGGTATGGCATTACAAATCTAAGAGTGGAGAATTTATGGATCTGCTCACATCATTGTATGCTTTTGTTGGCAAGGTTAACCAAGAGCAGGCAGAAGGCTTTGAAGTATTTTGTTTAGAGAGGAGGAATGTGGAATTCAGAGACTTTGCATTGGAAAGGACTTCAGAGGGTTTCTGCCTGGTCTCCCACCCGATGGAAGCATGGTGATCAATGGACAGTCACTTTTGGCTCTCCAGCCTTGGCTCAGTGTCCCCCCTCCCAATATTCCTGCCTTTCAAGGGTCATCAGGGCACTCTGTTAGGCAGCTCTGAGCATTAGGAACATTTTTCTTCTCATTTAGTAGAAAAGTTTCCTGGTAATCTTACCCTTTTGCTCTGGGTTTTCTCTCTGAGCAGGAACAATGAGTATGTCTGTGCATTGATAACTCTCTATGCAGCAGGTAAGGAAGGGCCCCAAGCTGGACTGAGGAGTCTTGATTTGCTGAGAATAACATGAAATTGCCTTATGTTCTCTATTGCCTTTATTTTCTCCACTAACAGCCGTCATGGAACTTTCCCCATTATCCCTAACCCCTGACACCTGTTAATCTGTTCTCCATCCCTATAACTGTCATTTCCAGAATGTAATGTAAATGGAGTCATGCCATATATAACCTTTTGAGATTGTCTCTCCACCCTCACTCAGCATGATTCGCTTAGATGCCTCTCCCTTGAGAGCTATCCAAGTTGTTGAGTGTATCAATAGTCAACAGCTTGGTTTTATGAAACGATGTGGGACAAGATATATAACTAGAATAGCATCTGCGTCTCCTCTAGAGGCTCAGCAGCTACCCAGGTACACAGGTTGTCTTGTCTTGGCTACTGTATTAGTCCATTTTACATGGCTATAAAGAAATACCTGAGACTGGGTCATTTACAAAGAAAATAGGTGTATTTGGCTCACGGTTCTGCAGACTGTACAAGAAGCATGGTGCCATCATCCGCTTCTGGTGAGGCCTCGGGAAGCTTCTACTCATGGTGGAAGGTGAGGGGGGAGCAGGTGTGTCACATGGTGATAGAGGGAGAAAGGTGGGCAAGTGACAGGCTCTTTTTAACAATCAGATCTCCAGGTGACTAACAGAGTGATAACTCACTCATTACTGCAGGAAGGGCACCAAGCCGTTCATGAGGGATTCACCCCATGACTCAAACACCTCCTACCAGGCCCCACCTCCAACACTGGGGATCACATTTCAACATGAGTTTGGACGGGACAAATATCCAAACTTTATCAACTACTCAGAGTGTGATGATTTTCAAACTTATAAGACTCTGCAATCATACAATTCGTGCTTGGAAAAGTTAGAAGGCCACAGAAATTTATAATAGGTAATCTGTTATTAAATAAGACAATAGAAACGCAGAGCTCTTTGACATTGTCCACATCACACATTCTAATCTATAAGACATCTCAGAGACAAGTTGCTTTCACTTCACAAGAGGCAAAATATATCTTTGTACACCTGGTACAGGGTTACATCAAGAGATAGTGATTGCACATTGTATAAGTCTGTTCTCACACTGCTATGAAGAGATACCCGAGACTGGGTTATTTATACAGGGAAGAGGTTTAATTGACTCACAGTTCTGCATGGCTGGGGAGGCCTCAGGAAACTTACAATCGTGGCAGAAGGCACCTCTTCACAGGGTGGCAGTAGAGAGAATGAGTGCCAGCAGGGGAAATGCCAGACGCTTATAAAACAATCAGGTCTCGTGAGACTCATTCACTATCATGAGAACAGCATTGAAGAAACTGCTCCCATGAGTCAATTACCTCCACTTTGTCCCAGCCTTGACATATGGGGATTACGATTACAACTCAAAGTGAGACGTGGGTGGAGAAACAGAGCTAAGCCATATCACACACGTCTCAGATGGACAAGATGTAGGCACTATTAAGGTCTCCCTGATATGGTAACTGGCATGTCCCCTGCTTGCACTCACTGTCCTGCCGCCCTGTGAAGAAGGTGCCTACTTCTCCTTTGCCTTCTGTCATGATTGTAAGTTTCCTGAGGCCCCCCAGCAATGAGGAACTGTGAATCAATTAAACCTCTTTCCTTCAGAAATTACCCAGTTTCGGCTATTTCTTCACAGCATTGTGAGAACGGACTAATACACTCCCTTAGACATTTATGTAATCCCTTATATGGATGATACACTCATTAAAAGAAAATTTATGGGGAGTTAAAACAATTTTGGCTCACACTATTCAGGCACTAAAAAACAGAGATGAAATATTTCATGGAACTCATAATTGATTATAAGACATTAGGTATAATTTGGAACTCTGTGGCAATTCACACTGTAAAAGGGATTAAGGGAAAAATGGCTAAGTTAATGGTCTTTCCTCCACTTCCCCTAAGACACAAACAGGAGCAGCTCTTAGCATGCTTATTTGGTCAGTAGATGTCTGCTCTCAGTGTGGGGATTCTCCTCACATTAATTAAAAATGTCTTGAGGAAACAACGATTTTTTTTTGCAGTCCAGATGAGTCGCTGTGCCCAGTGTATCTGTGGCATCCTGCTCTCACCTGAATTCACTTTTGAAGCGTCAGTCAACAGGTCTTTGTATTTTGAAGTAGGTGGATGGTGTTTTTTTGTTGTTGTGTTTGTTTGTTTGTTTTTTGAGACAGAGCCCCTCTCTGTCGCCAGGCTGGAGTGCAGTGGCATGATCTCGGCTCACTGCAACCTCCGCCTCCTGGATTCAAGCAATTCTCCTGCCTTGGCCTCCCGAGCAGCTGGGACTACATGTGCGTGCCACCATGCCCAGCTAATTTTTGTATTTTTAGTAGAGACAGGGTTTCGCCATGTTGGTCAGGATGGTCTCGATCTCTTGACCACATGATCTGCCCGCCTCGGCCTCCCAAAGTGCTGGGATTACAGGTGTGAGCCACTGCGCCAGGCCAGTGGATGGTGTCTTTAAGGTTAGAAAGGATCACAACTTGTGAGGTTTTAGCTCAATTCCAGGGGCTCTAGGCAAACTATGCAACCTTGAAAACAATGACTATCTGAAGCCAAGGCCCAGTGGGCCGGTTGTTGCAGCTGTATGAATGGAACACCTAGTTAGGCAAGCATCTGATAAAATCCAGGACAGTCTGGGGGAGGGGGGTGGATCAATTTCTGCCCCACTGCAACATCAATGAGGCTTCTAGGAGAGGGCCCTGAGAGGTCCCAGAGGTGTGCCTGCACTTTCGGACGGGGTGTGGTGGTCAACCCCAGCATTGACCCACGATTCCATGCAATGTCTATGTCCCCATAGGGAAGGGATATCTGCCCATAGGTAGATGGGGAAGATTAGCTATGGAAGAGAAAGGGCAAATGTACATTTATAGCAAATAATGGGTTATAATGGAAGAGGCTCTTCTCTACCCCATGACGGGGATAGTCCCTTGAAATAAAAGGCCCCAATGGCAGAACAAGAGGCAGATAATTTAAATTACTCAGCAGTTTTTATTTCCAAAGGTGTGCAGTGAGTGGAGATAGAAACAAAATAGGAAGTTGTTTGGAGGAAGGAAATTGGGGAAGCAGAGATTAATAGAGCAGAATTAATTTGGGTATTTCCTGAAGCCCTTCTAAAGGGTAAAATGGAGGACTGAAAACACAATCATTAAGTAGATAAACTCATTAGAGCCATGATAAGTCCACAAAAAGAGAGAGAGCAAAGGGCAACAGAGGTGGTACCTTTCCCATCTGAGCCTTTCACAGAATGGTTAGAAGGTTGAGCTCGTCAGAAAGCTGTGTATTTAGATTTTAGCCTTGTAAGCAAGCAGAGTGCAAAAAATAAGTAAATACATAAATAGGCTGGGCATGGTGGCTCACGCCTGTAATCCCAGCACTTTGGGAAGCCGAGGCAGGCAGATCACTTGAGGTCAGGAGTTCGAGAACAGCCTGGCCAACATGGTGAAACTTCGTCTCTACTAAAAATACAAAAATTAGCCGGGTATGGTGGTGGACACCTGTAGTCCCAGCTACTTGGGAGGCCGAGGCAGGAGAATCAGTTGAACCTGGGAGGCGGAGGTTGCACTGAGCCGAGATCCCACCACTGCACTCCATCCTGGGTGACAGAACAAGACTCTGTCTCAAAAAAAAAAAAAAAAAAAAAAGAGAGAGAGGTGAATATATAAATAAAATAAAAAAGGAGGGAATGGCGGGGGGCAATTCCAGAGGCTGGGAGTGAGTTTTTGCAATGTGATAGGAGAGTGTTCGGGATGCCAGTTGGTTCTGAGGTTTATGAGTTAAGTCTATGGCCTTGGTTTCTAAGAATAAGTTTTAATTTTCATTTTCTTTTCATGCAGGAGGCTGAATCTGCTTTAAAATATTGAGCTAGCTTTGGATTTCTATGTTTATTTTTTTCCTTATTGATGGGTAATACTCTTTATATATTAGACTAGCCCTTTACCTATGATAGAGAGTTGCAAGACTGTTTTCAGTTTGGCCTTTGTCTTTGCTTGCTGTGGTGTTTATTTTGCTTTGCTCTGTTTTTGTCATCAAGAGGGATTTTAGCTTTGTACACGTAAAGTTGACAATTTTTGTTTTCTGTCAGGTCAAGCTGATTTTACATCAGAGTAAAGAGGCCTCCTCTACTCCAGGGTTCTGAAGACATTTAGTCATGTTTTCTTCTAGCACTCTTACGGCTTAGTTTTTTCAGACTTAAATCTCTGATCTAATTAGAAGTCATCCTACAGCATTCTAGTGTGAACTATAAGTCCAATACCTCATGCCTAACCAACGTCTCACCATCTTTTATGGGAGAACACATTTTTCCCTATTAATTAGAGATGCCACCTTTATCATATACTCAATCCCTTTATGTATTGAGTCTGTATTTGGACTTTCTATTTAATCCCATTAATCAGTCTCTTGATGAGCCAGTTCAAATTTGTTTTCATTTTTGAGGAAGCATAATATATTTGAATATCTGATAGGGCCTGGACTCTCTCTTTGTTTTTCTCATTTAAAGTTTCCCAGCTGTTCTGTTTATTTTTCTACATAAATATCAGAATCAGCTTGTCTAATTGCTCTCTACTGCTCCATCCCTCCCCACAGCCCACAAAGCTGGTATTTCTATTGAAATGTTAAATTGGTAAACACGATAGGGTAGACCGACATTTTTATAACATTATGTCTTTCTAGCCAAGAACACAGTGTGCATTTTTATTTGTTCAAGCCTGTGCCATGTCTCCCAAGAGAGTTTTAAAGTTTCCTATTAATACGTGCTCACATTCCTCGTGTGTTCCTACATATTTTACCTTTTATTGCTGTCCTATCATTGTTGCAGCCAATGGTTTTCCTAAGTTGTTGTCTTTGTACATATCTGAAAGCTATTGATTTCTGAATATTAATTCGTGCTCTATTGTGTTTCTAGCTCCTCTTTTCCTGCCTTGTAATTTCTCAGTTGGTTTTCAGACCTTTCTTGGTAAACAATCACATCATCTACAAACAAGGGTGATTTTTACCTTTATTCTTTAATTTTATGCCTTGCATTTTTTTCTCTTCTATCATTGAATTGGCTGATTAGTCCACTAAAATATTATACAATAGTGGTGACAGTGGTGGGTGTTTATTTTTCCTACCCATTAATATTTAGGGTAATTTTATTATATTCTATCAAGTTAAGGAATCTCCTTCGATTTCTGTTTTATTGAGTTCTTTTTATAAAGAATGATATTTGAACTTCAAAACATGCCCTTTTTAGTGTTTGTAAAATGACTATTTGCTTTTTCCACTTAGGTCCATAATATGAGAAAATATATGCCTAATATTGAGTTAATGTTTAACTATCCTCTTTTTTTTTTGAAGAAAACATGATTGATTATGTTGTATTATTTTATTTACCCGCTGCTGGATTGTGATAGAAATACTTCATGTAGAATTTCTGCATCACTATTTATATATTATATAATTTACTGTCTTTGCCACACTTAGTATCAATATTGTATTCACTTCTTTAAAAGAATTTTTTTTTTTTTTTCTTGAGATGGAGTCTCACTCTGTTGCCCAGACTGGAGTGCAGTGGCGTGATCTCAGCTCACTGCAAGCTCTGCCTCCTGGGTTCACACCATTCTCTCGCCTCAGCCTCCAGAGTAGCTGGGACTACAGGCGCCCGCCACCGCACCCGGCTAATTCTTAAACAGAATTTTGAAGTTTTCCTTCCTTTTCTATGCCCAGCAACAATGTAAATAATTTTGGATTTTTCTTTTCTTTAAGTGACAAATAAAAATTGTATTTATAGTGAACTTATCTATTCTTTAAAGGTTTGGCAGAATTTGTCTGTGAAATCTTCTGCCTGTTTTTTTTTGTTTTTGTTTTGGTAAATAGCTCTATTTTCTGTATTACTTGCATTTAAATGATCTTATTTTGTGTCTTTTCTTTGTCCATTTTGACATTATATATTTTTCTAGAAATTACTTATTTGTTCCAAGTTTTAAAATTCGTTTACATCGGGGTATGAAATATGAAACTTTTATGCTTCTTTTTACTTCTTTTACATGTATGATTGTCCTCATTATTCTTTCTTTCTTTGGGTTTATATAGTCTCCTTTTAAAATGAAATTAGTAGTTTATCTTTTTAAATGTATTTTCCAAAAATAGCTTTTGAATTTATTAGTTATCTTCTTTTGTGTTTGTGATTTATTTACTTCTCTCGTTAGTAATTCCTTGTGATTTTTTTTTTGCTTCTTCTATTATTCTCTTTCTGAGTGTTTGAAAATGATGTTTAAATTATCTGTTTTTATTTTTTTTGTGAAGAATAAATGTTTAAAAAGAATGAATATTTAAGAATATAAATTTTCTTTTGACATTATTTTAGGTTATGGCCCTGATAAATAGTGATTTAATTATCATTGTTTTCTATAAATTCTACATTTTCATTCTGAATTTCCTATCCTATGTGATCAAAAAATTACAAGTTGTTTGCAAATTTTTGGCCCCCAAGGGCCTTTTTAATTTTTGATTTTGTTATTCTGACTTTATTCACATTCTGATCATAGAATGTTTTCTGTATTATTTCTGTCTTTAAAAATAAATTGAGGTTTTATTTATATCCCAATCTATGGTCATTTTTTGTGATTGTCCCACAGGCAGTTGAAAAGATGGTGTTTTCCATTTTTAGGTTGCTAAGTTTTATGTCAGGTACCTTTTAATCATGTTAATGGGGTCTTTAAAAATATATACTGTAGTTGCTCTTTCATGGGCTGAGAGAAATAAATCGTTATCTCTGACTCCTAGTGTGTTTCTGTTTCCTGTAATTTCTGTTTTTTGAAGGTTAATTTTTTTGGTATATTGGCATTTATAATGATTACATATTTCCTAAGACCTGAAGCTTTTAGTAGTATAGAATGCCCTTCTTTGTTTAGTGTATGCGATTTTGCCAAATTCTACCCAGTTCCTATTTTAGATGGCAGATTCTGCTTTCTTTTTGTTGGCACAAGGCTGGCATCTTGACCTTTTTATTTATTACTTTTCTGAAACACATTTATGATGTGTGTCATTGTCACTAGCATCACTAGCAGATCCCCCATGAAACACGGTCCAGCCTGTCAATGAACCATCCCCCCTAAAATACCCTCCTTGTGTCGACCCTTCCCTTTGATCTTGGGCTGGCCCTGGACTTGCTTTAGTCCAATAGGATATAGGTGGAAGTGATGCCACAAGACCTCCAAAGTGATGTCCTAAGAGGTCTGCAGCTTTCACCTTTGAACACACTTGCAGGAAGCCAACTGCCACTTAAGAAGATGGACTATTCTGAGACCGCCATGTTGTGTGGAATCCCAAGCTAAGCAAGCTGCTTGGAGAGGGAGGGATGCCTGACCAACCCCTAGGTATTCCAGCCTTCTTGGCTGAGACACCAGACAGGGAAGAAACTACCCTGCAGGTTCAGCCCAGCTGAGCCTTCAGATGACCCCAGCTCCAGCCACCATTTGACTACAACCTCACGAGGACAGACCCCACGAAGTTCCCAGAAGAACCTGGTCTTCTGACAGGGCTGTGAGAAATAATAATGAATTATTTTGTTAAGCCACCAAGCATAAGGCTATAGTTTTATAGCAATTGCAGGTTACTGAAACTGTGCATTGTAGAGAGTTTGGTTTTAAGTGTGTGTTTAGTAAGTGGTGACCCCTTTTATACTTATTAATCAGTATTGTTTTCTGTTCTCTTGAATTATTTTATATTTTCTGTTTCAATAGTTTTTTTTTTTCTTAAGTCTTTCAGTATGTGGTCTGTGTGCTTTGCTTCCAGGGTGTAGTTCTGATATCTTAGAAGTGATGTATTTTTGTTTTAATGGTTCTCTTGATAGAATATACTTAATCTCTAGTTTTTAAATATATAATCTACCGTTTTTCTACTCTAAGTAATGAAAAAACAGCATTCCTTTTCCTTCCTCTTTTCTGTTCTACTGCCTGGTGTCAGCTAATAAAGTAATCTTTTTAATGCTTGTTACTTTTCTAAATGTTTATGTGTCTGCTCTTTGTATTGTAATCGCATATGGTTTTTACACAATGATACTCTGAAGACAGACCACTACAGGGTTCTCGTTAACGTGGGGTGATGGAATTGTCACGAGGTGCCCATCCTGAGCCACTCTGGGGAAATTTACCTGCCCAGTTGGCTGATTCTCATACTTTGTGTATGCAACTGCACGTATCAAACACCACTCATGTCTTTAATTAATATGCCTTCTGGTGTCCATTTCAATAACCATATTTGAAATGCCCCAAAGCTACCTTTGAAGTGTGAGTTCCTGAATACGCTAAGTGGCCACCTTTAGTGTGTGGATTAAGGGACACTTTGCACACATATGTTATGCTGTTTTATACTGAAGTATTTTTAAAGTAAGTTACCTCTCAGTCAATGTAACTTGCCACCCTCAGAATAGTTCAGTATGCTCCCAGATTTTTCATGTCCTAGGTCATATAGAAAATGATCTATTTCTTGAATTGGGTGAAATTACTTATTACTGGAATCAGGTCCCTTAAACAAATGTGTTTTAGCTGTTAATCACTAATATACTTTTCTAAACATTGAAAATTCCAGGCCGGGTGTGGTGGCTCATGCCTGTAATTCCAGCACTTTGGGAAGCTGAGGGTGGATCACTTGAGTCCGGGATTTCGAGACCAGCCTGGGCAACATGGTGAAACCCCGCCTCTGCTAAAAATATAAAAATTTGCCTGGCATGGCGGCGCACACCTGTAGTGCCAGCTACTTAGGAGGTTGAGGTGGGAGGGTCACTTGAGCCTGGGAGGTCAAGGCTGCAGTGAGATCGCACCACTGCACTCCAGCCTGGGCAACAGAGAGAGACACCCTAAAAAGAAAAGAAAAGAAAAGAAAGGGAGAAAGAAAGAAAGGAAGAAAAGAAAGAAAGAAAGAAAGAAAGAAAGAAAGAAAGAAAGAAAGAAAGAAAAGAAAGAAAGAAAGAAAGAAAGAAAGAAAGAGAAAATGCTAAAAAGAAAGAAAGAAAAAGTAATGAATATTTAATTAGCGCTCACCTGTGAGCCTCGTTCTTTTGTGAAGCATCAATGAAATTACATTCCTTAGCTCCTCCCCCTTGAAAGTGAGCTCATATGCAGATCGCTTATCCTCTTTTTCATCTTAGTGAGGAAACTCAATCTAGTGAATCTGTTTCTAGCAGCTACACGGTTGGTAGGTAGAAATGGCTGGCCTCCTCTCAGCGATCTCAGAAACTTGCTGCAAGAATCTACAAGATGCTAGGGATGCTATAAACACAGGTGGCTCACAATAAAAGGAAAATGAGAAATGGGAATGGGATGAGGTGACACCGCTGTTCTGCTAAGACAAACTATTACCTGTTTTTGGAAAAAGTGGCATAAGGGTAAACAAGTCCTGGGCACGTATGTTCTGCAGTTTTAGAATTATCAAGAAAATAGATTGTTTAGGCAGGTCTGGGAAAAGCATATTTTGTGGTTTGGGGTTATTAAGAAAACAGGAGATTTATAGCTAAAGTATATAACTCTTGGTTACGTAAGTGTCACTGACAATCTCAACTTTTTACACTGGCACATGGTAGCCAGACAGTCTGGCTTTGAAAAGTGATCCTGGATACTTCTCACTCAAAGTAGATAAGCAAAATAAAGATGATTGTGAAGTGGCTTCATTTATCTTAACAGAAATCACATTATCAGAATGAAATACATTCCAAGATGTCCTCATCTGTTTCTGACCAAAAATTCTGATCATAAATTCAGTAAGAAATCTTTTAAAAGTCACTTTAGGAGACTTTACTCTCTGACAAGACCTGTGGTATTTAGGATTTTCACTTGTACCTCCTTTAATTCTCTAAACTGTAAACTTCTCAGGTCGATGTCTTTACCTTCTGTGGGTTTTTTTCAGAATCATGTTACAGATATTTTTATGACCTGAAGAAATCTCAGAAGTGATCCCAAAAGTCAAGAATTTAGCTTTAGAGGCGAGGAAACAAGAGGAAGGATGATACGCTACTTGCCCAAGTCATAAAGCTATTAGATGGAATCTTAAGAAACTGCCATTGTTGTAGGTCAAAGCAAGTCCAGTATTGGTAGTTTCATACATAGCTCAGCCTAAATGTTCAGTGATTAAAGCAGGAAGGAAATGCAGTGTGGGGTGTATTCCACACCTTATCCCCTTCACAAAGTCTTCTCCACCTAGAATGTTTGCAGCAACACGGTCATAACATAAATATTTGCAGATAGGTTAACTGAAAATTCAGAAGCCTCCAAATGGAATATTATTTCTGTGGCATGCTGAGTTTCAGAACGGGCCTGCTGGAAAATAAAAATCTAAGCACCAAAAGAATATTTGAAGCTGGCATTTTTATAGCTGTGTCCTAATTGAAATATACTTTGGAAATTAAATAATTTTTCGTTGTTGTTCTTCCACTAACTTTATTGTGATCTGTTCCTTGGTTGCTTCAATCTATCATGACTGTAACAAAAATCATTTTATGAGATACAATTTAGATTTATAGAACTAATCCTAAAAGCAGAATCACATAGAAAGAGCCATAAATATCTCTTGAGGCCAAGAAGTCTTCTGATCCCAAACATGAGTGAGTTACATGGAGTAACTAGTGACACAGACCATCACGGGAACCAGGAGGTGGACAGAGATAGTAACGGCACATTCTTTTTATAAGGAGTGGAACTATGACTAAATCTTGGTTTTTAAACCTACAGACAAATTGTAATAATTTAAAACTTTATTTTTATCATGGGGACTGCGTTACTGCAGGTTTCCTTAAGGCTTAATTTTGGAAGACTGGGAGGACTGATTTGATCTCTTTGGGAACATTCAGGTCATGCTGATGAACCAGACTGATCATGTGTTTTTGTGTTGATCCGTTTGACTTCTGTTCGGGGACTAAAATCAAATGAAATGAAATTACTTTCACTAAGCTTTTTAGAGAAGTTTTCAATGTTTTCTGTCAGCAATTAAAGGTCAAAGAGAAAGAGGTATTTAAAATTTGGGTCAGGAATGAGTGAGTCAGTGTGAAACTGAATTGCAATCATTAGCTTAAGCTGCTAGAGAGATAATGTGAGCCCATTGATTAGATGGTTTGTTCTTTAAATAGAAGTTACTTTGTATCACGGATTATTCTTTCAAATCTTCAAGCACGTCTGTGTAATTAGTGTTTGTTCTAATAGTTTAAACTTAATTTTTAAAAGACAGGTGGTTAGTTTTAGATTTTATTGGTGACTTGCTAGTAAGATACTTACAGCCTAGCCTGGGTCCTGAGTTTCTACGTGCTTAAATTTTTAAGAAACAGTATTAGGCATTTAGGAAGCCCCAGTTTCTCCTTAATTCATGGTGTATCTATTATCTTATTGGCTTTGATTCATTATTTTTATGATTGAATTTTATCTCTGCTATTGCCTTATTGATTCTTCCTAACATTTTACTGGTTGTCTGATGGTTTACAACACAACTCTTTAATTCATTACAGTCCACCTACAAATAATGTTATACCACCTCCAGTGGCATAAAGACCTTGCAACAGTATACTACCTTCCTTCTTCTCATCTTTTATGCTATTTTGGGAATATATTTTACCTTTATATGTAACACAAACATATAATACATTGTATATATTTTTGATTTAGAAATCAATTGTCTTTTAGATCAATTAAAAATAAGAAAAAATCATTTATGTTTATCTTAATATGTCCATTCTGGAAATCTTCATTATTTTGTTTATTTTCTTTTTATCTGAAGAACTTCCTTTTGTGTTTCTTGTAGTGTAGGTTGTCTGCTAATGAACTTTCTTGATTTTTGACATCTGATGATTTTTACTTCTCTCTCATTTTGAAATATGTTTTCTCAGGGTATATAATGTGGGTTGGCAATTTTCCTTTTTTTCATTTTAGCATTTTTTAAGGATGTCACTCCACTATCTTCTTGTTTGCATAGTTTCTGATGAGAAGTCTGCTATAATTTTTATCTTTATTCCTTTGTGTAATGACATAATACATGTTTCAAATTTCACTCTGGTTGCCTTTAAAATTTTCCATTTGTCTTTGGTTTTTTCCAAGTTGACTACATTGTTTTTAGGTGCACGTGCAGTGTGTGCACGTGTGTGTCGTTAACATGCTTAGGGGGTCTCTGAACATATTGGAACTGTGGTTTTTAAATTTTTCTCTACTTTTTGAAAATTGTCAGGCTCTATCTCTTCGAATAGTTACTTTTCTATGTTTTGCCTCTCTTCTTGTTCTAGGATTCCTTATTTGATTATTTGATGTTTTCCTGCAACTCTTCCATCCTTGGTTCTGTTCTGTTCTGCTTTTTTCTTCCACTTCTCTTTGTCTTAATATGTGCAGATTGGGTACTTTCTATTGACCTGTTTTTCATTTCACTAATTCTTGCCTTGGCTGTGCTGAGCATGCTAATTGATATAGTTGAAGGTGTTCTTTTTGTCGCCATGTTTTAAAAATAATTTTTTTTTAGCTTTTCCATATGACTCTTTCTAAGGGTTTTTGGCATATCCCTGCCAAAATTCTGCATCTCTTCATGCTTGTTTTTCTCATATTCCACTGGTTCCTATTCATAGTTATTTCCTGTCTGATGGCTCCAACACTCCAACACATGGTTATCTCTCAGTCTGGTTATGTTGATTGCTTTTTCTCTTGATTGTGGGTTGGTATTTTCTTGCTTTTTGGTGTACCTCATAATTTTTTATTGAACATTGGACGTCATGTGTAGAGAAATAGGAGCTGAAATAAATAACATTTATGCCCGGAAATGCCACACTTCCTCTAATGCTGGGCCATTAGCGTATGGGTTGAATTGATGTAGTCAGGAGAATCACTAAATTTTTGGGGGTTGCTTGTTTGTAGTTGTTGCTATGGTGTAAATTCAGTGGATCAAAGGCTTCAAATTCCTCTAGCATTATCCTTTGCTCAGGGTTGGGGCAAGTTTGCTGGAGGTTGTTTCTCAATGTTCCTGCTCCACTCTCAGCCTCAGACTTTTCTTATGTGTCTGCACCTCCGAGAGGGCCTCTCTCATTGTTTTTGTGCCCCTCTGCCCAGTGGCAGATGGTGGTTGCCTCTTACATGGTATGGTGCTTGCTATTCTGGTGGTATGAGTATGAGTTTTTTTCTGTTTTACAGGTCCAATGGGCCATGTGTCCCAGTTTCTCTGGAGGGGGAGCCGTGCACTTTCAGCGACCCTGCCCTTCTCTGAGCCACAGGAAACCTCAGATGTTCTCAGTCCAGAGGGCTTTCTGTGCCTCCCTCGATGATAGAGGACCTTTGTCTTTTCCCTCCTCCCCACTGCCCTCAAGTGACCGGTTTGCCAGTGTTCTCCCAGTAACTTAAAATTTTTGTTCCTTAGTGAAGGAGGATGTGAGAGGGGCTCATGCTTTTCCCCCAGTGGTGACTGTTCCCCTCTGCCAAGCTTGCACAGCCAAGGGAGGCTTTCTCCTATCCCCTGCTCTCTCCCATTTTTCTCATGAGCACACAGTGGGTGCCCATAGAAAGAGTCTGTGAGTGGTGCAAATCCCTATGTCCATGATCCCAGAGATTCCCAACTTCTATGCTAGCCTCCTCTTGACTTTTAGGAATTCATTAAAAAACTAGCTGGATTCTTTCTACCTACTCTTATGGAGGCACTATCCCCCTCCCGTGCTAATGCTTTTTTTTTTTTTTTTTTTTTTTTTGGGATGGAGTCTCGCTTTGTTGCCCAGGCTGGAGTGCAGTGGTGCAATCTTGGCACATTGCAAGCTCCGCCTCCCAGGCTTAAGCGATTCTCCTGCCTCAGCCTCCTGAATAGCTGGGACTACAGGCATGTGCCACCACACCCGGCTACTTTTTTGTATTTTTAGTAGAGAGGGGGTTTCACCGTGTTAGCCAGAATGGTCTCAATATCCTGACCTCATGATCCACCTGCCTTGGCCTCTCAAAGTGCTGGGATTACAGGTGTGAGGCACCGCACCTGGTCCCATGCTCTCTAATACTTGAGCCAGTGCTTATATGTCATCTCTCATTGGAGGCACCTGCTGGGCAAGGTGTCCGAGACCCGGCAACGGAAAGTGATTGGCTCGCGGGTAGTAAGAAGAATTTACTAACAACAGTATAGGCTTGAAAAGGAAAGTTTTATTAGGTAGAAAGAACACTGCAGCAGAGTGCAGCAGGGCACTTCAGTAAGAGAGGAATGAGTGCACCTGGTGGACTTTTCCTTAGTGTATTTATGGACTTTAAAGCAGGAGCTGCAGGGTAATTTGGACCACATTAGCCACGTAGGTCACGATAAATGATTAAATTTGTGGACATTTAGGTGCCTTGATGTCAGCAAGGGTTGCACAATGAGACTTGACATGCATGCATTCCAGAGATGTATAGAAATTTTAGTTACTTATACATTTTTGGGAAAGAAGAGTGGAACTGATGCCAGCTTTAGATAATAGGGAAGTGTAATTACTTCTGAATTCCTCGGATAAGGAGTTTTGCCTCAGGATGGCCTGCTTCATAGCCACCAGATGATCTTTGCTCTCCTTAGTACCTATCTGTCTTTACATTCAGTTTCCTTGGTTGCCCTGCAATCTTAACTCTCTGATGAGTTCAAGGAGATTAATGATTTTGTAGATGATCCGGCTTTTTAAAAAAGATGTGTTATGGGAATGGTAATAATGCTCTCTCCAGCTCTATATATTCTAGGCTGAAGCTGGAAATGCCTTCATGCTTGGGAGGACAGAGGACAGATGCATATTATTTGTGGTTCCATTGGAATCTTGCTTTTATTCAGTTTGATGATCAGGAGAGTGGGGACTGTGCAGGCAGCCACAGTTGGTCTCTGCCACAAAGGTTTTATGACTATTTAGAGATGGAGAGTGCTCCTCTTGCCACTTGCTCTTTCATAGAAGACAGCAGAGCTGCCTTGCATTGCTGCAATTGATCATAACCCCCTGCCAAATCCCTGATCCCACCATAGTATATAAAGATTGAGATGGCAGGACATATCAGGGTTTGTATTTTGCAAATTCTTCCTAATAATGTGCAAGTGAGGTCTCTTCTGAAGCAGGCACGTGGTTCTTCTCAATGCAATGAGTGAAAACTCAATGGCCCACAGGGGCCAGGTGAGTAATATTCATGGCTGAAGTTGACATTACGTATAAAATATGTAAGAAGGGAAACATCCGGCTCTTTTGTTGTTCCTTTTGTTCTCCGACCTTTAACAGAGACATAAGGACACAGAAATATTTTTCTATTCTGATATGGTTTGCCTCTGCATCCCCACTCAAATCACACCTTGAATTGTAATCCACAGGTGGAGGTAATCGAATCATGGGGGCGGTTTCCGCCATGCTGTTCTCGTGATAATGAGTGAGTCTCATGAGATCTGATGGTTTTATAAGCGTCTGGTATTTCCCCTGCTTGTACTGTCTCTCTCTTGCCGCCCTATGAAGACATGCCTTCCACCATGATTGTAAGTTTCCTGAGGTCTCCGCAGCCGTGAGGAACTGTGAGTCAATTAAACCTCTTTCCTTTATAACTCAGTCTCAGGTATTTCTTCATAGCAACGTGAGAAGAAACTAATACAGTAAATTTTAAATAAAAAAATAAATCCAACTAAAATTCAGAGATCTTCTACCTCAGCGGAATTTCTAGGGGTCCAGTGGTGTGGGACCTGTCAAGATGTTCCTTCTAAGGTAAAGGATAAGTTGCTGCATTTGGTCCCTCCTATACCCAAGAAAGAGGCACAATGCCTAGTGGGCCTATTTGGATTTTGGAGGCAACACATTCCTCATTTGGTGTGTTACTCTGGCCCATCTATCTAGTGACCTGAAAGGCTGCCAGTTTTGAGTGGGGTCCAGAATAAGAGAAAGCTCTGCAACAGGCCCAGGCTGCTGTACAAGCTGCCCTGCCATTTGGACCATATGACCCAGCAGATCCAATGGTGCTTGAGGTGTCAGTAGCAGATAGGGATGTTGTCTGGAGCCTTTGGCAGGCCCCCATAGGTGAATTACAGCAGAGGCCTCTAGGATTTTGGAGCAAGGCCCTGCCATCTTCTGCAGATAACTACTCTCCTTTTGAGAGACAGCTCTTGGCCTGTTACTGGGCTTTGGTAGAAATTGAATGTTTGACTATGGCTTATCAAGTCACCATGCGACCTGAACTACCTATCATGAACTGGGTACTTTCTGGCCTATCTATCCATAAAGTTGGGTATGCACAGCAGCATTTCATCATCAAATGGGAGTGATATATACATGATCTGGCTCAAGTAGGTCCTGAAGGCACAAGTGAGTTACAAGAAGAAGTGGCTCAAATGCTCATGGTCTCCATTCCTGCCACCCTGCCTTCTTTCCCCCAGCCTGTACTGATGGCCTCATGGGGAGTTCCCTATGATCAGTTGATAGAGGAAGAGAAACTAGGGCCTGGTTTACGGACGGTTCTGCACGATATACAGGCACCACCTGAAAGTGGACAGCTACAGCACTACAGCCCTTTTCTAGGACATCCCTGAAGGACAGTGGTGAAGGGAAATCTTCCCAGTGGGCAGAAGTTCGAGCAGTGCATCTGGTTGTGGGCTTTGCTTGGAAGGAGAAGTGGTCAGATGTGCAATTATATACTGCTTCATGGGCTGTAGCAAATGGTTTGGCTGGATGGTCAGAGACTTGGAAGAAGCATGATTGGAAAATTGGTGACAAAGAAATTTGGGGAAGAGGTATGTGGATGGACCTCTCTGAGTGGTCAAAATTGTGAAGATATTTGTATCTCATGTGAATGCTCACCAAAGGGTGACCTCAGCAGAGGAAGATTTTAATAATCAAGTAGATAGGATGACTCGTTCTGTGGACACCACTCAGCCACTTTCCCCAGCCACCCCTGTCATGGCCCAATGGGCCCATGGTGGCAGGGATGAAGGTTACACATGGGTTCAGCAACATGGACTTCCACTTACCAAGGCTGACATGGCTACAGCCACTGCTGAGTGCTCAATTTGCCATCAGCAGAGACCAACATTGAGCCCTCTCATATTCCCAAGAAATATTTGTGCTGACAGTAGACTGATTTTTTTTTTGGTTTGAATTTAGGCAAATAGACTGGGTTCTTTGAGTACTGAATATGCTTCAATGTCATCAATCCTCTTTGACCACCAAAAATGCCAGGAAACATTGTTCAGAGGCATGTGGCTTGTTCCCAGGGAGGGTTAGGAAAATTAAACTCTCACAACCCTGTCCAGGAAGCAGGAGGGTATTCTTGAACTGAAAGTCAACTGTTTCTTACACAAAAAGGGACCTGGGCATTAAACCACAATAGAGAATGATTAAAATCTATTTTTGATTTTTGCAGGTAAATGTTTAACATAAAAGGTGGTATGTAGCATGTTCTGGTCATTTTTTTCTTATTCTCTTAAACAAAGTCATTTGTTTGCAGATGTTTGACTTTACATCTTTCCCCTCTTGCTTCCTAAATTCACCTTCCTCCCAGAGACTTTTGCAGGAGATCAGAGTGATTTTTGCAAGCTTGAAGATTCATATGCTTCCTGGGGGTAGACTTGTGGTTTTGATTCGAAGGTCGTTGTGTATTGCTAGCATAACTCTTGAGTACTGGAGTAAACAGCAAACATCCTTATCATAAATAATTCCTTAATTGTATTAGCCATATATTCATGGAAAATTGTTTTGCTAACAGTAAGGTCTTCAAAAAATTATGAGGCACGGTACCTTTCTTTAGTGAGTTTATCAATCACAGTTGAGAGATGAAACTTAGATACATGGTGCAATGTGGGATACAGACAAGGTGTGATGTCTGCTCAGGATTTGTGAAAGATATAATGATCACAGAAGGAAAATCTTTGATTTATCTTGCTCAGGCACTTCCTCTCCAATTGCTATTTTTAGCAAAATGCTTGCTTTTTCCCCCTCTACTTGCATAAGCTGTCAAAACCGAGTTTCAACACTATGAGTTGTCACGTTAAGGCAGCAGACTTTAAAATCCATTAACCTCCCATCTCAGCCTGACATGTAGGCTATCCTCAGGGGGATGAAGAAGTGTGCCAGGGATCTGAAAAGCCATAGGATAAACAATCCTAGAGCTACAGTTGCAATTTAAAACATCCTCACCATACTAAAACTCACATGGCTGTAAAATTACTTAGAAGGCAAAATTTGCATTAATTTCTTGAATAAAGCATGATTTATATAAAACATACAATTTCCTTAAAAGAAATGTCTTGCTGCTAGGATTGCCATGGCCTGCCTCTCTCTCTCTCTCTCTCTCTCTCTCTCTCTCTCTCTCTCTCTCTCTCTCCAGTTCCTCAGGGAGATTCATTCGGCTTTGCTGCTGTCAGGAGGAGCACTCGAAGGAAAGATTTGAGAAGCTCTGTTAGTTAAACTTCTCATTGACCTCAGACGTTCTGTGTTCTGTCTCTGGCCAAGGGTGGGGGTGGCGAGAAGTCCAGGCAGTTGTGTCCTTTCTTGCAAAGGGGTGGGTAGGGGGTTGGGAGGAAACTTTCCCTTGTCTCAATACTTGGATCATGAGTCCTTTTCCTAAAATATTTATACACTAGATATGAAGTGGCAGGTGAGTGGGTTTGAAATTTCTCCTGGCTTGGTAGTCTCAAAATGGCAAATTTCTCTGAAAAAGAAATGGTGTAGTCTTATTCTGATCTTGTGTTTATTAACCCCACCCACATTACATTTCTGTGTTTTACTTGATTTTACAGATTGGTTAATTTCTGCAGTTACAACACAGCTACTTCTTTTCCCATTACTTTTAAAAAGGGAAATAAGCACAGCCAACTCTGCCAGTTTTGTCGGAAGCATCTTCTTGCACAGAAAAACAAGTCATTAGAAATGGCACCTGAGTCCTCAGGGGACAGTCACCACTATTCCTGTCCTACTTTCACCAGAAAGCCTTTCTAATGGGAATTTGGATGATTAATCCCACCAGGAGGTTCCTTCTAGCGAAATTTGCATTCGTGCTTGTAAATATAGCAGCAAGAATATCATCTCCTATACTATAAGCTGTACTCTCTCTAACTCCTTGTGCTAACTTGAGATTAAACAGGGTGAAGGCACAAGAGGTGAAAGAGACCATTTCTACACACCCAGTGTCTAGGGCATATTTTCAGAAAGTTATGTTACATTTTAGCTGAATAGGAGACAATTGGAGCTAAACATTTGGAAATACTGTTTTTAAAGCACAGAAGATTTAGAATATCTAGTTTATACTTACTCTTGCTTAGATAAAGTGCTACTCAATACCTGGCGCGGTGGCTCATGCCTGTAATCCCAGCACTTTGGGAGGCCGAGGAAGATGGATCACTTGAGGTCAGGAGTTCGATACCAGCCTGGCCAACATGGTGAAACCCTGTCTCTGCTAAAAATATAAAACAATTAGCTGTTGTGGTGGCACATGCCTGTAATTCCAGCTACTTGGGAGGCTGAGGCAGAAGAATTGCTTGAACCCGGGAGGTGGAGGTTGCAGTGAGCCGAGATTGCGCCACTACACTCCAGCTTGGGCAACAGAGTGAGACTCTGTCAAAAAAAAAAAAAAAAAAAAAAAAAAAAAAAAGCTGCTCAGTTGTTAGTGGCTTATGAAAATATTTATTGCTAATGAAGTTCTAATTCTCAGGGAATATGCCCCAGTGTCCAAGAAGTATTTTTCAATTCAATTACTACACCTGCAGCTATTTAGCTTTAATCTTGTTTTGGTGAGTCATTTAAGCTATCTCATCCCTTAATTTACAAATATCCTTTACTGTACATAGGGCATATACAAATGAAAACTGTACCACAAAATTAATGCTGAATTGTAGAATAGATATAAATTCTACTTAGAACAAATAGGAACTGTGTCCAATACACTTCACTGAACAGATGAAGAGAGTTAGGGCTGCTCTCTGCACAGATGAACATATCTGGGTTCATAAGAGCTTCAGGGGTTCTAAGAGTTAGATTTCCTCATTCTCTGATTCTGAAAGAGGTGCCAGGGAGAGGAACCAAATGTTTCCATAACCTTGAGTGCAGTTCCCCATATCATAAAATATAAATGAGGCCATGGAAGGAGCGTGGCCTCAGAAGGAAAGAAATTGTGCTTTAGTAACGGTTGGAAGAAAAGTCAGCTCTACTTCCTAGTTTCCTGGCTATTGAGGTTGTCCCATACTGAAGCCAGTGCATATCAGAGGAGAAAGTCAGCTGTTACCTTAGCTATGTAATGCATTGTAATAAGGAAAGTCTCCAGTTCTGGCTGGGTGCAGTGGCTCATGCCTGTAATTCCAGCACTTTGGGAGGCCGAGGCGAGTGGATCACATGAGGTCAGGAGTTCAAGACCAGCCTGGCCAACATGGTGAAACCTCATCTCTATTAAAAATGCACAAATTAGCCAGGCGTGGTGGCATGTGCCTGTAATCCGAGCTATTTGTGGGGGGAGGGCTGAGGCAGGAGAATTGCTTGAATCTGGGAGGTAGAGGTTGCAGTGAGCCGAGGTATTGCACCACTGCACTCCAGCCTGGGCGACAGAGTAAGAACCTGTCTCAAAAAAAAAAAAAAAAAAAAAGTCTCCAGTTCCAAAGACAGTACTGTTTTTACCCATTTCAGAAAGGTTGTCTTGCAAGCCAGTGTTGTCTTCTATTACTACATTGTCAATGACTGTATTTCTATATTTTCTCATTTCTAGAAAGTTATTTGACTTATTTTCAAACAATCTTGTCCTTTTCATATAGTGTCCTATTCTTTTGTTACAGTTTGTATTTTTTTTAAATCTGTGTTAAATATAATAAAAAGAGCTTAAAGGACCTCTTACATAATTATCTGGGGATTTTAGGACACCAGTTGTGCTTCTTATAGTGTTCCCTTTCCTTATGTACCTTTGAATTTTTTAGTATGAGCTCATTTTCAGTGGGGGTATTTTTTTCCCTTAGTGCTCCCTGTAGGCTTCTGGAGGGATGTTATAGAATGATTTTTGCATTTGCTTCTGTTGTGCTGATGAATTTTCTTGTATTTTGATTCTTATACTGTGCATTTTATCCAAATTTTGACTGTCATTTCTTGTAGTGGTAATTTCCCCCCAACTCAGAGGTCCAGGAAGATGGTAATAGGGCATTTCCCTCTAGTAGAAAGATGTTCTAGTCGATCTTTTATGGACAGACAGCTCCTTTAGGATTGAATTCTATGTTGTCACCTCATAAGACCTAAGGCTATGTGTCCTATTCCACTAACCCCTCAGCTGTATTCCCTGAGATACACTTTGGTCTAATAACCCTCTCTCTTCCCCAGAATTTAGAAACCATGATTACCACCTGATAGTGGAGATGAGCTGCTAAATCAGTTGGGATTATTTAATGGCATCACCCCAGATGAGAACATGAAGATCTCATCCCAACTGTACACATGGCCAATAGTTTTTCATTAGCTGTCAGAGCTTTAGGTAGTTTCATAATTCTAGAGTAAAGGCAGCAAAGAAGCACAAAAATGCAGTCAAGAATACCAGAAATCCTTAGAGACACCAAAGTCAGATTATGATGCTGTGTGATTTCAGGGAATTAGGGTCTTCTTCAGAGCAGGTAGACTTAATGGCATGGCTCTCCAGATGATGGGTGTCTGGAGATGCTACAGATAGATTCTTAACCAAATGTGTAATTAGTTTTCTTGAACAAGAAGAGATACAGCACACGGAGATGCTGGATTGCAGGTTTTTAGTTTTCACCGTATTACTAAATATCCCATTTGACTTTACGTCATATATATCCAAGGATATGCTTAGGAAGGAAGGTTAATAGCTGGACTCTGTGGGCCACAGGATACAATGATTTGAATCTGGAAGGCAACCCAGAGAAAGCAATGATTTGGATCTGGAAAGTCGGATTACAAAGCCTGTTCAGAGGACCAACTCTTTCTCTAAAACCACAGTTCAGAAATGAAGTAGTAAGACTGTGGCAGGTATTGAAGTTGGCATTTTTTATTATAACTTTTATTTCAGGTTCAGGTGTACATGTATAGGTTTGTTATATAGGCACACTGCATGCCATGGCAGTTTGGTATACAGATTGTTTCATCACCCAGGTAATAAGCGTTGTACCCAATAGGTATTTTTTTCTGATCTTCTCCCTCCTTTTACCCTCTACCCTCAAGAAGGCTGTGGTGTCTCTTGTTCCCCTCTTTGTGTCCATGTTACAGGAATCAGCAGCTGTGGACATATCTGGCAAGGCCTTGATCAAACACAAAGAATGTCAGGCAGCAAAAGTATTAGGCAGCCCAGAAAACAAAAGAAGGGAGGATCACAATATGCCATAAGTTTAGTGAATTGTGGCTACCATGGAAAGACCACAAGTCATGCTATGGCTGGTCTTGCCTTGGCCCATCTTGAGTGGCAGAAGAGAGTAAGTAGACTTGGAGTTATGATGAGTGTTTTGTAGTCATTGTCCTTTTATGCTTTTCTCTGTACAGCAACCACTACAGATGTCCATGCTATTTAGAAAACCTGATGGTTAATATATGAGGTTTGACTCTAACTGAGGTGCCATTACAAGCAAAAAGCAGAACCACACTACCTTCTAGTACTAGCATACGGTCATCCCTTGGTGTCCGTGGAGAATTGGTTCAAAGACCCCCCAGGATACTAAAATTCGAAGATGTTGAAGTCTTAAAGTTCCCCTGGGAAACATATGGGTATGAAAATCTAACCCTCCTTATCTGCAGGTTCTGCATCCAGCACATATTGTACTTCTGATCCTCAGTCGGTTGAATCCAAAGATGTGGAATCCATCCGACTGTACTTGGCTAAATTGCTTAATAATGGTTTGTGCTTAATCTTACATGATAATTCCAGACCTGGGGGTTCTGTGGATGTTAATCTAGCAACAAAACCATATTATGGTTGATGTCTCCCATACTCTAGACTTTTCCCTCATGGTAACAAGGTGGCTGCTGACATCCCATATATAGTCAGGTATCACTTGAAGATGGGAATACATTCTGATAAATTCTTTAGGTGATTTATTAGTTATGCAAATGTCATAGCATGTGCTTAGGTTTCTAGATGGTATAGTCTACAGTAAACTGAGGCTTTATGCTAAAGCCTATTGCTCCTAGGCTACAAACCTGTACAGCATGTTACTGTACTGAACACTGTAGACAATTGTAACACAGTGCTAGTATTTGTGTATCTAAACATAGGTAAACACAGAAAAGGTCATGCATTGCACTATGTTGTTTCAAGGGCTGTAAGCCACTAGGTGAGAGAAATTTTTCAGCTCCATTTTAGGGACCAGCATCATATACGTGATCCATTTTTCACTAAAATGTTATGCTGCGCATGACTGTAGAACATTTTCAAATGTCAGCATCAAAGACCAGATGGAAGCAGGGAGGATTTCCTCTTGATTGTCTCTCTTTTATCAGGGAAGAAAGTATTTTTTTTAGGATCTCATCCTGCTTGCCCCAATATAATCCATGACTTTACTAGGTGGGATTGGATTACCTCTATGTCCCAGCTTCAAGAAAAGCAAGGAAAAGAGGCAATTGACATTTTTTTAGTATCTATGTCAGATTGCTTGATTTGCTTTGATCTAGAGCATTTAGCACTTTTGGTAGCCAGATTAAGGGTTCCCAGAGTTGTGCATATCCTAATCCCTGGAGCCTGCAAATATGTTGCCTTGCATGGCAAAGGAAACTTTGTAGATGTGATTAAGTTAAGGATCTTGAAATTTGGAGATTAGCTTGGATTATCTAGGTGGGCCCAGTGTCATAACAAGAGTACTTAAAAAAGGGAGGTAGGAGGGTTACAGTCAGAGAAGAAGATGTGAGGATGGAAGCAGGATCCAAGTGATGTGATTGCTGGCTTAGAGAAGGGAAAAAGACTGCAAGCCAAGAAGGCAGGCAGCATCTAGAAAATTGAAAAAGGCAAGAAATGGATTCTAGAAGGAGCACAACCCTGTCAACACCCTAACTTTAGCGAAATGAGATTGATTTTGGACTTCTGACATTGAAAATTGTGCAATACGACCCTTGCGTTGTTTCAAGCTATGAAATCTGTGGTAATTCGTCACAGCAGCCCTAGGAAACGAATACACCGACATCTAAATTTTTAAATCACTCTATTTATTTTGTATATTATCTGTCTTCAGCTGCTGGAATGTGGATACTGGGACGGCAGAGAATTTTGGCTACTTTTTTTTTTTCTGACTTTGGCCCCAGTGGTTTGGACATGGCGTGGCATAAAGGAGGCTGTCCACACAAATTTACTCAATGGATATCCTGGTGGAGGGCTGGCTCAATAGTCCACACAGAAGGATTGAGGAGTCTACCAACTTACCTCCCAGGTCATTTATTAGTTCCTTTCAATTGCATTTGGATCACACCGAAGTTTAAGAACTGCTGCTTCTCAGTTTGAGCTGGATGTATTTAATTTCTTTCTTTCTTTCTTGTTTTGTTTTGAGACAGAGTCTCACTCTGTTGCCCAGGCTGGAGTGCAGTGGCGTGATCTTGGCTCACTGCAGCCTTGACCTCCTGGACTCAAGTAATCCTCCCACCTCAGCCTCCTGAATAGCTGGGACTGCAGGTGCATGCCACCATGCCCAGATAATTTCCGTATTTTTTTGTAGAGATGGAGTTTCTCTATGTTGCCCAGGCTGGTCTCTAACTCCTGGGCTCAAGCGATCTGCTCCACCTTGGCTTCCCAAAGTACTACAATTATAGGTGTGAGCCACCATGTTTGGCCTAATTTTATTATAATTAACTTCTGCTAAATGTGTAGGTTAAGTTAATTTGTTTTTCTTGTTTATATTTCAGACATGTATGAGAATTTAAATGAATCTTATCTACTCTCCACATAGAAAGGCTTTTGAAATTTGTGGGCAATGTTAAGGCAGCAATACAGACAGATTTTAAGGACAGCAGGGAAATTTAGAATAATCTTATTTTAAAATAGTTTATTTTTAACCTGTTATAACTATGTCCATCTTGTTTAGAGAAGTTCAGCTGTATACATCTTTGTTTCCATTGGCTTACTTCCATCTTGAGTCTCGTTGATGACTCTAGAGAGTACACCGCTCTTTTTCTTGAAGCCCTGGTGAACATTTCCATTGGTGGAGTAGAGTTTATAAATGTGCTGGTAATTTCTTTTTCAGGAACATATCCTGGAGGCTTAGTGAAACCAGCTCTCTCTTCCCATCAAATGAGAAGTCTCTGTGTCTTCAAATGAAAGCCAAGAAAGCACACCCCAGAGTCGAATACAACAAAACATCAGGCAATGCCTTTGAAGAGCAGTTTTCTTTGCCAACCAAGGTACCCCTGCGTTTGTTTCTGCATTGGTTCTCTCTCTCTCTCTCTCTCTGTCTTTCTCTCTCTCTCTTTCTCTCCTCCTCCTCCTCCTCCTCTTCTTCTTCTTCTTCTTCTTCTTCTTCTTCTTCTTCTTCTTCTTCTTCTTCTTCTTCTTCTTCTTCTTCTTCTTCTTCCTTCTTCTTCTTCTTCTTCTTCCTTCTTCTTCTTCTTCTTCTTCTTCTTCTTCTTCTTCTTCTTCTTCTTCTTCTTCTTCTTCTTCTTCTTCTTCTCCTTCTTCCTTTTTCTCTCTCTCTTTCTCTCTCTCTCTCATAGTGTATTTTACTGGCCTTTCCCTGGAGTTTGGCAGGTGTTAGCTAAGAAACTTAGATTTAAATATAGCTTTCATTATTATGACATACATCCCACTTGAAGCACTCATTGCTTCAATGTGTTGCCTTGACTGAAATAATGCTATTCTGCTTTTATTTTTTTTCTTCCATAGTATGGGTCTTTGATAGTCTTCAGATAGTGTTGCAAATTTTTAAAATTATTATTCACTGAACTTAGAGGGCTCTGTTGTTTCACAAACTGTTTCCATCTATTTTCCCTCATCCTTTCCATGGTGTTTTCTGCTGGGGTGATTGCATCATTTTGCTTCATTCCACAAAGTCCAGCCCAGTGGGAACTGGAAAGCCTTGGTGCAAGCCCTGCCTTCAGCAGCAAAGACATCCACGACACTACTCAGCTTCTGCGTGGTTTACCAGATGGCCTTGGGGGAAGACAACCCAAAATCTTTGGTTTCAAGGGCCTTGATCTTATTAGGGGAATCAGGACCAAATGGAGTGAGGAACACACATAGGAACATACCTGAAAAGTGTTAGAGCAACAGTAGCTCCCTATGCATAAAGAAAATGGATCTGGTTCTGGAACACGGGCTGGATTTCTGGATTTCTGCAGTCGGCTACTACACCTGACCCAGGGAAATTAAGTCTTAATTTGCTGGAAGGGCTGCACTCAGTAGGAACATCTTGCATTGCTCTGGTTTCACTTGTTTCATTTCTACTGCATTGTCAGCTATTGTGGGCATGCCAGTGAGGATTGTTTATGAGTTTTGGAATTGTATCCTAGACTGTGACCCCTAGAATAATTTTATTATCTTCATATTTCATTATGGAGAGATTCAGTGGAGAGCCAGGCTCCAGGACAACTGAGATACCACTTCCATTTGGGATTTTAATTAGCTTAGAAGTGATTTATGAGGATGTACTAAAAAGTTCATCCGTAAACAATGCTGTGATTGAACTTAGTGAAGCCACATTAAACTGGTGGTATCTTATGCCAAGTTGACATATTTGCAGCATTTTGGTTTTCATTATTTTTTAAAAACTGATAACAAGAGAGCAAAACCATAATAAAGAACCCCTCCAGACCGTATCAAACCTCACATTTACATAAAGACAGGCAAGATAAATGAATGTTACAGCTATAGCCTTACTTTGAATCAAGTAAAACAATGGGCAAGAATTATTTGGGGCTGGAATGAACTTGTGATTCCAAGCATGGAGTCTATGTCTGGATATCTAGTGACTTCATTTTTTCCCTAACTGTGTGTTATGGGTTAAATTGGGTCCCCCCAAAATTTATGTGTCAAAGTCCTTCCCCACCCCAGTAAATCAAAATGTGATCTTATTTGGACATAAGGAGATAGGGTTTTTATAGAGGTAATCAATTCAAAGTGGTTGGGCCTGAATCCAATATGATAGGCACATACAGAGGAAAGATGCAGTGAAGAGATGGAGAGAGAAAGAAACCATCTATGAGCCAAGGAGAGAGGTGGACCTGTTATAGCCCTCAGAAGGAACCACTCAGACTCCAAAACTGTGCAACAATAAATTTCTGTTAAGTTATCCAGTCTGCGGTACTTGGTTACCACAGCCATAGCAAACTAATACATTATAATAAGTTCTCCCTTCTCCACTGACTGTTGGCCGGATTGTGGATTTTCTATGCCTTTTCCTCCCCTGGTTTGTGAAGTATATTTTTAATTTTTTAGATACTGAGTAGTGGTTCTATTTCATGGCAGGTAGACAGATCAACACTAACTGTATTAGCTATGCATTGCTGCATAACAAGTTACCCCCAAACCTAGCAGTTTAAAACAATATACATTGAATATCTCTTTATTATGATTTATTATCTCACCACTTCCATGGGTCAAGAATCTGGATGCAGCTTAGGTGTATCCTCTGACCCTGGGTCTCTTACAGGCTGTGCCCAAAGAGTTGGACTGCAAAGTCTCAAGACCCAAGTGGAGGAGCTGTTTCTAAACTTGTTTGTGTGGCTGATGGCTGGATCCAGATCCTTTTTCCTGCCTCCTGTTTGTGTTGTTGAAAATCAGCTGTTAGTATGTCACTCCTTGGGGGCAATCTTTCTTTTTTTCTCTCTTTTTAAGATTTTCTTTGATGTTCTCAGATTGTATTGTAACTTGCCTAGGTGTACATTTTTATTTATGAATTTTCCTTGGGATTCACTTGAACTCTTGGATTTGTAGATTGATGTCTTTTATACATTCTGAAAAAAAAAACTTCTCTTTTCAAATAATTCCCCTGCCCTATTCTCTTTTTTTCCCTTCTTCTGGGATGCTGAGAAAATGTTTTAGTCAATTTCTTCAACCTTTTCTATCTTCTATAGGTTTAAACTTCTCTTTCGTCTTTTTAGTTACTTCGTTTTGCTGTACTGCATTCTGAATAATGTCTGCCTTATCTTTCTGTTACCTGATTCTCTCTTCTGCCATGTTTGTCTGTTGTTAAACTCATCTACTGAATTGTAAATTTCTGTTATTTTATTTTCCATTTCTGTTGGGTTTGTTTCAAGTCTCCTGGGTCGCTTTTTATAGTAGTGAGTTACACATTATCACGTTAAACATACGAGCAAGTTTGTTTTAGATTCAGTGTCTGATGATTTCAATACCTGAAGATTTTGCATGTCTGTTCTTTCTGTCTTTTTACTTTAATTCTCCCTCATGGTGCCTATTTTTCTTGTGTGCTTACGATTTTCTTTTCCTTGTGAAATGTGTTTTTTTCCCATGGAAAATTATTTGAGAATTCTCTAACACTTAAGTGGGAGGTGTGTTCCACAGAGAGCACTTGAACTTGTTCTGCTAGATACTGGGGGTCAGGTGTTGCTGTACAAAATGCTTGTAAGCCTTTTGGGATAATTATGGAAATCAGTAGTGACACTCAAAGTTTTTTATAGTATCTTGATATTGCTGCAACATTAATATGCTATGTTTGTCTTCACTCTTTTTCCATATCTTTTTTTTTTTTTTAATTTGAGATAGGGTCTCCCTCTGTTGCCCAAGTTGGAGTACAGTAGCATGATCTCAGCTCACTGCAGCCTCCACCTCCTGGGCTCAAGTGATTCTCCCACCTCAGCCTCCTGAGTAGCTGGGACCACAGGTGTGTGCACCGCCATGCCTGACTAGTATTTTTGGTAATTTTAGTAAAGATGGGGCCTTGCCATGTTGCCCAGGTTGGTCTTGAACTTCTGAGCTCAAGTGATCCACCCACCTTGGCCCCTCAAAGTGCTGAGATTATAGGTGTGAACCACCGCACCCAGCCTCCATATAATTTTTGAGCACTTCATTTTTATTGTATTTTATTAAAGTATGAGTTCCCATGGGCTGGAAATTAAACAAAGAGCCCATCTCTTCACCACAGATTGTTTTATACATATTATTTTGAATTAACTAGGTAGCTTAACATTTTTGAACATCCAAAGTGACATGAATTTGGGTTGCACACCCACATGAGTACTAGTTTGTGTTATAGCTTTTTAATTTATATTCCTTCATTGCTTTCCTTGGGACCTGGGAAAGTGTCCTATTCATCCCTTCATGGTGGAGGTTTTGTGTGAGTTTATTTTGCCTCAAACTTACACTAAGGGTGTAGGGCTTTGGAGTCCCAGGTTTGAGGTAGAAGGGTTTGTTAGATTTCTTATACTGGATGAGCCCTGGGTTTTAAAATTTTATTTATATATATTTTTTATATATTTGGGGAGTAAAAATGCAGGTTTCTTACATGGATCTATTGTGTAGTGGTAAAGTCTGGGCTTTTAGTGTACCCAAATAGGGTACATTGTACCCAGTAGGTAATTTTTCAACCCTCCTCTCCCTCCCACCTTCCCATCTTTTGGAGTCTCCAGTGTCTATTATTCCACACTATATGTGCATGTGTACCTGTAGTTTAGCTTCCATTTATAAGTGAGAACACGTGGTATTTGACTTTCTGTTTCTGAGTCATTTCACTTAGGATAATGGCCTCCAGGCACATCCATGTTGCTGCCAAATACATGATTTTGTTCTTTTTTATGGCTGAGTACTTTTTCCATGGTATACACACACCACATTTTCTTTATCCAATTCCACGTTGATGGACATTAGGTTGATTCCATGACTTTGCTATTGTGAATAGTGCTGTGATCAACATACCAGCACAGCTGCCTTTTTGATAGAATGATACATTTCCCTCTGGGTAGATATCCAGTGGTGGAGCCCTGCATTTTGTTTTCTACTTTTTGAGTCCTGTGAGGAATTAGAATCTAAAACTTAAATTTTCCCAGTTGACCAAATGCCCTTAGGGGAAAATGTCTTTAGTATTTTACTATTGTTTCTTGATTCTTAGCTTCACTTTGATTTTGGCCTGTAAAATTTATATTGTCTTGTCAGCCCTTTGATATGAGGTTAAAGGACTCTCACAAGTTGGCAGGTTAGGGGGCAGAGTGTAAATCCCAAATCAGATCTACAGAGACCATTTTTTTTTTTTTTTTTTTTTTTTTTTGGAGACAGGATCTCACTCTGTTGTCCAGGCTGGAGTGCAATGACACGATCATGGCTCACTGCAGCTTCAACCTCCTGGGCTCAAATGATCCTCCTATCCTCCTATCTCAACCTCCCAAGTAGCTGGGACTGCAGGCACACGCCACCATGTCCAGCTAATTTTTATATTTTTTTGTAGAGATGGGGTTCACCATGTTTCCCAGGCTGGTCTGGAACTCCTGGACTCAAGCAATACACCTGCCTCGGCCTCCCAAAGTGCTGGGATTACAGGTGTTAGCCACCATGCCCAGCTGGAGTCTCTTCTTATTAATAGTGCCCTTCCTACTGCATTCAGTTAAGTAGAGCTTTCTGATTTCAGCTAAAAGGGTGACATCTTGGGGGTGCATATTGCTTACCTGACATTTGCTTTAGGTACAGAAATATTATAAAACAACGTGAAAACAATAACACATATTACCGGAAAGTATACGGAAAAATGGGAATTTTCGTATATTGCTGATGATAATCTGAATATTTATATCCCTTTTGGACATGAATCTATTGATTACTGTTACAATGTTAAACATATACACAAAGTGTAATTTAACATAGTAATTTAACACTGGCATGCACACACATGCACAAGACTGTCAAAATATGAGCTAGTATATATGAGATAACCACATTAGGACATTACATAAAATTATGTGTGCACACGTATACATAGATTTTAAAATAAGATAAACTGGCCAGAAAGACATTCTTTAAGGTACCCAAGAGTTGTCTCAGTGACTGGTCTGGGGCTCAGGAGAAGGAAGCTGTTTCTCCTCTCGCTGTTTTCCAGGTAGTGAAGGTGGGTACGAGCTGTCTGTGGGCCTCCTCTGCAATTTTTCCAGCTCTCTCCTCCCTTCCAACTCTTAATCAATACCTGGTAATAGAGAAAACCTCACATGCACAACCTCTCCCCTGGGGCACAGCCCCGGGAGCACTGCAGAAGATGTATTATTAGCCACATGTAGTTATTACATTTGCAAACCCATGGTGAGGTTTGAGATGCTACTTCCTGTACTTGATAAGCACATATTGAGGGCCAAATGTGTGCTAGATGCTGTGCCAAACGCTAGGCTCACACAACCAAATAATATAGAACTGTTGCCTCTAACTTGCTCATAGATTTGTTAGGAATTTAGAAGACAACCTTTAGAAGACAAGCAAAAAAGGTTTTCCTTAAGAAACTGAGTAGCAGGTATATCTTACAGACCTTTCGATAAAGAGAAGAAAGAAAATGTAGTCTCTTTTTCCGTTATTCTCTAAAGCAGCAGAGCTGACCATAGTTTAAAGCCACTAATGGTGCGTCACCACGTGGACGCCTCTGTGTTTAAAGACATGATTGTTGTTCAATTAACTTTAAATAGTGCAGAGGCAGGTGTTGGGTTATAGGCCTGTTTCTGTAGCACCTGAGTGCAGTAAACATGCCTGTTTCAATCAAGTGAATAATACACATGCTATTGCTTTATTTCTGCTGCCATTTGTAGAATCATAAAACAATAACAACAAAGAGGAGCAAAACGTTAAGAGCTTGAAGAACCTTAATAATCATGTAGAGTCATGTTTCCCATCCTTGTAGAGTGTGAGAGGCCACTTTAAGATTGGGATTTCTAGGATGATAGTCACCGTACTTCCAGTGTTTGTTTACACACACACATATATGTAGAATGCTCGTTTCTTTGTCTATAATACTGATGTCTTCAGAATCATTGCCTTACCATGGAGAACACTGATGCTCTCCAGCCTTCTTGATTCAGATGATGAATGTTGGTATCAGAAAGGCAAGGTGACTTGGCCAAGATTACCTGGGAATAGATGTGGACAGTGAAGTTGATGCTGCACCTTTTAAACCTGTGCCGTTCGGTGTGGCAGCCACCAGCCCTACAGTGCTATTGAGTGCTTGAAAAGGGGTGAGTCAGAATTAAGGTGTGATGTAAGTGTAAAATGCATACACGAGTTTCAAAGACTTAGTACAAAAGAAAGTGAAATATCTCATTAATATCTTTTATATTGATTACACATTGAAATGATAATATTTTGAGTATGTTGGATTAAGTAAAATGTATTATTAAGATTAATTTCATCTGTTTGTTTTGACTTTTAGACATGGTTACCAGAAAATTTTAAATTGTGTATGTTGCATGCATATTTCTATTAGACAACATTGGTTTAGAGAGTACTGATTGTTCTCTACTGGATTCCTACCCAAAGTACCTTCCTATATCATTAATTTATTCATTCATTCACTCATTCATTCATTTAATAGCAGAGGTAACTTGTTTCTTGATGAATCTGTATGGTGTTTTGGTGGTTTGTTTTCAACCTCCACTATTTGGAAAAGTATCACCATAATCTTTATTTCTTGAAATAACTGGCTTGAAGTGGTTTAAGAAAACAGTTCACTCCATGAACAAAAAGCAGTAATAGATACTGTAGCCATGCCCTCAGGGGGTAACCAAGAAGAAAACCAGAGTGGCCAAGGGCTGTCAGGTGGGTCCAGTCGCTGGAGACAGCCCTCTACCCCTGTGATCCTCAGGGGTGCACAGCACAGACTGAACCTCATGTGTGGCTTAGGGCTTCTCTCTCCAGCCGTGCCTCTGCTTTTCATTCTGCACATCTCCTCTCTTGGACATGCTAGAGGCCACATCACTATGTAACTCCTAATTCTCTCCCTAGGTCCCCTCACCCCACCACGTGCCACTCCACCTACCTGCTTCTCCTGCCTCTGCTGCCATGGGCTGTGCAGGCATCATTCTTTCAGATTTCCACACTCTTCCATGTTTGGCCTTTTGACCATGCTTTTCATCTTCCCCCACTGTCTTTTCCCACCTGTTTCCCTAGTACATTCAGATCTATCCCCAGACATATCTCAGGTATCCCTTCTATAACCTTATAGACTGAGTTAGGGTCAGGAAAGTCTCCTAAAAGTTTGATATTCAGAGTGTGTTCCACGGACCACTGACAGCATCATCACCTGAGAGGTTGTTGGAAGTGCAACATCTTTAGTTGCACTCCTGAACTTCTGTATCAGAACCTTCATTTTACCCAGATACTCTGATGTTTCAGCTGCACATGACAGTGTGAGCCGTGTCATCCCTGAGCACCACATTTATGCTTTAATTGAAACACATATTATGTGGTGGTAACTTTTGGGGAGATGATCAGTATCCTCCGCTGGGTTGTAATCTGAGGTCAGAGGCTATCTGGTTCATCTTTGCACCCCCCGGTTCTCAGGAACTTAGTGGTTATTTAATACATGTGTCTAAAGAGATAAAAAGATGTGGTTTCCAGTGGAAAGAGCTTGGCTCGTGGATACGGATTTGGAAGTCAATATGCATTAAAAAGTAGACCTTTGCAAGTGGCTGGGATTGGCCAGGGAGATCATGCAGAGCAGCAAGAGAAGGTCCAAGTCACAGACAATGTCAACATTGAGGCAGAAGGTGGTACATTAAAAAAATAATAATAATAATAAGAGGATTCTATCAAAGTAGATTGGGAAGAGATGAGAAACATTGGAGGCAAAGCACAGTGACAGTGGGAAGAAATGCTCAAGAAAGAAGGGCTGTGCAACACATAGCAAGCCTCTGGTCAATGATGTTGGATGGTGCTTAAAGTTCTGGGTTTGCAGTACATTAGGAGGTCTCAGATGGTTTAACAGGGCTTTCATGCAAGTCATATGTAAAAAAGAGTGTTTCTCATGAAAGTGAGCAGCAGGTGGAGTGATAACATTTGGCAACTTAAGGAAGGAGGCATTAGAATCCTAGTTTGAAAGGCAATGCAGGGTCCAAGCAAGGTTTTGCTCAGGAAGAAAATATTGTGTCTTCTCTGTGCAATTGGATTATAAGCCCCTTATCACTGTGGCTACATCTTAATGGTCATTATTTCTTCAGGATGCTCTGTAGAGAGTCCGTTAACTATAGGAATGCATTACCTGTGTTTTAAGTTGTAATGAATTGAGGCCAGGCATGGTTGCTCATGCCTGTAATCCCAGCACTTTGGGAGGCCGAGGTGGGCAGATCACTGGAGGCCAGTAATTTGAGGCCAGCCTGGCCAACATGTCGAAACCCCATCTCTACTAAAAATAAAAAAAAAAAATAGCCAGGCGTGGTGGTGCACACCTGTAATCCCAGATACTTAGGAGGCTGAGGCAGGAGAATTGCTTGAACCCAGGAGGCAGAGGCTGCAGTGAGCAGAGATCATGCCACTCCATTCCAGCCTGGGCACCAGAGTGCTGCTCGGTCACCCCCTAAGCACTTGCCTCAACTTAGCTGTGGCCCTGTGAAGTCCAACTAATGGAAATATTTTTCTTGGAGATGATTGGGTTACATAGCACGTGGGAGAGCTGTCCTGTTGCAAATTTTTCAGAAATATGGATCTCTCCTCTTTAGTATTCCACATCCTCTTCTCTACAAACTGAGTATTTATTGTTGTCTCATTTTTTATCATAAGAAGATACATTTTATCATAAGCAGATAAATTTTACGACTGACAATTTTTTTTTTGCAGAAGAGATTAACTACAGAAATAACTGGCAATTTCAACATATCTGCATCAAGGAACAAGGTCACATTATCTCCAATTAACTAACAATGAGCTTCTCTCGGTAAGCCATATAATGAGTAATTTAGGGCTTTCAGCCTATCTTTGGAGGATAAAATGTTCCATGATGTGCAGCGTGGGTATGCTCCTGAGAGACGAATTTAGAAAAACGTTTGTTCGGTTTCATGATAAAGACCATGTTTACACAAGGGGGAAAATTTGAGTATCTGGAAAAACTTCAGCCGACAATGGAATTCCTTCCATTGTGTTGCATGCTTCATTTTTCTCTAAGACCTGATTTAGCTTCAATTACTATAAAAACAAGACAGCAGGTTACAGATGTTTTCAAGGGGTTTCAAAACCTGAGGGGAAATACATTTTCTGGCAAATGTAGACATTGCCACACTCATTTTGATCATTTCTGAGAATGTAATTCCCCCCAAAACATAAATAACAAAACTCCTATTAAAGAACATCAGGACAAAAAAACTTTCTTTTTCTGCCTTAAAAAATGTTCCCATAAGGCCCCTGTGGTCTAATGGCTTGAAAGTATTTTAAGAAACTAAGATCTCACCAATCTTTCGTTTAAGTATTTAAAGATGGCACTTTACGACCTAGCCATATTTTAAAATGTCTGTTATTATGATGCTATTCTTGATTACTGTCATATGATCTAAGTACAAAAGTGGACTCTGCCAAAACCTTGCCGTTATTAGTTTACTCATATGCCAAGAAAGCAGAAGCCTCCAGAAATGGACGTGGGGGAGCAAAGCATCACTGGAAAGGCATTTGAAAACAAGGTTGGATGGGAAGACTATTGGTTCATGGAGAAAACTGATTAGGACAGCATTATCAGCCCAGTGGATGCAGCTTTCTGGGGAGATCAGGTAGATCAATAATAGAGAAACTAAGGTACGCATATAGATATAAAAGTGGTGGGATGAGAGAAGCAAGATAGAAAGATGTTGTCTGAGCTCTGTAAAGAACTGGGTAGGCTCACAAGAAAACAGCAATTTGGCCAGATTTTCCTGACATTCGTGGTTATTGAATTTCTGCTCCACCCGTTATTAGCACATGCCTCAAAACCTTGCAGTTTAACTTAGTTGTGGCAATGCTATCTCTCCTATTCTGAATTGGATGAGAAGATTCCCTTACCAAGATGCTAAATAATTTAATGATATTGGTAGTCTGGTAGTGGTGCTGCTGGTCAAAAGAGGAAGAGAAGACTGCGATTAATGGAAGTGGTGACTTTTAACAGGAAAGAGATAGGTTGAGAAGAAAATGGGAGAATATTTGTATGAATGAAAGAAACAAGGAGAGACGATGAGTGATTGGGGAAACGCTTGGAGCATTGGGACAGGTTGCAGAGGGGGTGAGAACAGCATAGAATGCTGAAAAGTCACTGCCACTGTCCTCCATGAGACAAGGAAATTGAGGGGTCTCATGGGGGACTATGAGGGTGGCTGTGAAGTCAATACTTGGCCAATGGACACTGCAACTTAGTTTCTCAGCTGCATCATGTAAACTGTCATCACATCAATTTCTACATCCTTGTAAAAGCCAAATTCCTTCCAATGACCCACAAAGCCCTCCGTGCTCTGCCACACTGTGCCAAGCGGACCTTTAAGATGGCCTCTAATGATTCCTGCATCCTGATATTCATAACCTCATGTGTTCCCCTCCCTTTGAATGTGGTCTGTGACTCACTTTTAAAATACAGAATACAATAAAAGTGATGGGGCGTCACTTCCATGAATGGCTTACAAAAGCCTGATTGTCTTTTTAGAAGTTCCTTCCTTGCTGGCTTTGATAAAGCAAGCTGCTGTGCTGGAGATACTCATATGACAAGGGACTGAGGGTGGCTTTCAAACAAGAGCCAGTGAGACCCTGAGTCCAACATCCCTCAGGGAACTGAATCCTACTAACAACCACATGAGCAGATTATTCCATGGTCAAGCCTTCAGATTAGATGCTCAGATGATGAGATCACAGCCCTGTCAGAGACCCTGAATCAGAGGATGCAATGAAGTCTTGCCCAGACTCCTGACCCATAGAAAATGTGAGATTATAAACAAGTATTGTTTTATGCCACTAAGCTTCTGCTAAGTTGCTACGCAGCTATAGATAACTAATATAATCCCACACCTGTCTGACAACTCCAATTTCTGTCTTCTTGGTTCTATCCATTGCAGCCACAGTAAGGCCCTTACTTATTCCATCACTTCCTCCAGGCATTTCCCAAAAGGTCACATGATCAATGAAGTCATTCAGCTCCTCCTTATTATAATTACTTCCCATTCTTATCATACATTCTTATTAAAATTATTTCTCTTTCCTGCTTTATTTTCCTCCATACTATTTATCACTATGTAATATTCTATTTATTTGACTTCTTAATTTTATTTATTGTCAGCTTTCCCCCATTCATACTACAATGTAAACTAGTGAAAAGAGATGGATTTTTTTTGGTCTGTTTTTTTAACCAAATGAATTCACAGCTCCTATAATCATGCTTGCCCCACAGTATTTGTTTAACGTACTGATTGAATGAATCAACACATTTGTAAGAATGGTACAATTAAACCAAATTCTTTCCAGATAAGCTAAGAACTTTTATATACAAATAAATCTCATCTTTCTTTTAATGTATATTACATATGAAGTTCATTCAAAAACATAAATATTATAAATATATAGACATATACATACACATATATTACAAATACATATCTATAAGTTGGATATAGATACAAACCATTTCCCTTTGCATCTGAGGAAACAATTACAACAAAGGGGTTATTCAGGAATTCAGTTGGTATTTCTGCTCCACAATTCTCTGTTTCACATGATTTTTCTCTCAATTTCCAGAGTGTAGCTGTGCCAGTGCAAAACCAATTAGTGGATATGGAAAGCTGCTTTACTTTGGAAGGCAACGCCTTCAAAATCCAGGCTGTCCTTGGCATTTAAAAGTCTGATAGGTATGAAATGGAGGTCGCCACCATGGGGGTGTCATGGGGCCAAGGCTTCAGTAGCAGGGTGAAAGGACCTCTGGGGTCTGGGGCTGGCAGGGCCATGTGGGCGAAGGGTGAGAGAGAAATTGAGTTGATCTAATGAGGGCTTCTCTGTGGAGGGAGCAGAGCTCATTGTAATGCAGAGATAAGTAACAGCATCATCCCATGTGCCATGTTCTCCTTGTTTCTTATGAGGTGGGGCAGGGGTGCAGTCCCATCGCAGCTTGTATAAATTGGCTGTCCAGAGCTGGCTGGCTATCGGGAGTGTCAGACGTGGATTGTGGCAAATGAGAAAGGAAAGTTTGCATTGGCAAATGACTTTCCACGCCCTGGTCTCTTTCCAAAATAGTTTACAGAGGTGGAAATGATGCTTGGAGGGAGTAGGCATCTAAATTGCATCACTCATTTGAATATGGCTTTTTCCTTCTAGCCATAGAATACCTTAAGGAGTAGTGGAGTCACCGTCTGCAACCCTGCAAATACAGACAGTGACTCCACTACCCTGATACTGCTGTTTCTCATCCCCACTGATCATAGCAGCAAAGGCTCATGTTTGCCTAGAGTGCAAGGCCTCTGAGGCCCCACAGAGAAGTTGGATTTCCACTGCTCTCTGGCTGGTCTCCTCTGTTCCCACTCTTTCCTCAAACTCCTCTTCCCACACTATGTCTTTTTAACACTGCCCTTTTGCTTTGTACTGGCCAGTGAATGCTCAGTCATAGCTGGTGAATGCTCAAAAAAAATCACTGTCATGGGCAATGTGAGCTTTTGCACCCAGGACTCTGAAAAATGCAAAATCCTTCAATGCCCAACAAGGCATACATTTGCAGAGATAAGGGAATAATGAACTGGGGACTGGATGGTAGTAAGAACAGCCATCCAGCGTTGACGCTGTGCCAGCCTCTCTGTTTTACACACTGCATTCCATCTCATCCTCTCAACAGCCCTTGGGGGTCAGTGCCATTTTTACCCTAATCCATAAAGGTGGTAACTGAGATATTGAGAGTTAGGTGAGTGGCTCCCAGTGATACATTTAGTAAGTGGCATATACCAGATTCACATCAGTGTTACTCTGACTCCAACATTCACTTTCTTTTGTTTTTTAAATCAAAGACACACATGCACCTGGTTAGAAATGAAACTTCAGTGTGCAAAAGAGCTCATCACAATGAAAGGTAACAGTTTTCTGTCCTCTGTCTCTCTCCTAACCCTTACGGCCATTCCTCAGATGCAACTTCTTTTTAATTGCTTTGGTTTTTAATTCTCTTATACCTCTGTATTCTTCTATTTCTTGATACGTTGAGTTTAGGTAGTATCTATGACAGATGTTATCTCTGCCATCGCAGCTATTTTCAAGCTATCTATAACACATCACAAAATGCAGAGTTGGCAAGAGATGAGCACATCAGCTCTTGGAAGCTGCCAAGTCCTGTTCTTCTTTGGCTTTCTTCTTTCTTTTCTTTCTATGTTTCTTTCATTAAAATAAAAAAATTTCTACCAGCCTTTTTAAAGAAATTTCACTACTTCATGTCAGGCTTATTACAGATATTTTACTGCAAAGGTTGCCTTTTGTTTCTCCTTTTCATCAAATTAACCCGTTCAAAATCTAGATTAGTAATGAATTGCTTGGAGAACAAATATTTATTAAACAAATGTCCCTAGAGTCTTGTGGCTTACTGACTGTTTGTTCTAGCTGTCAGGCAATGCATTTAGTGGAATTATTCACAGACACACAAATACACACCACAAATCCAATCAGGGATAATTTACTCAAATAGCAATGTTAACATTTCTCCTTTCTAGCAGTGATCATAAAACATGGAGCAACTTGAAAGCTTCCATTCCTAGCCTGTTGGATCAAATTTGGCCCTCTATCCATGGTGACATTCAATGTAACCACAGGCGGTACTTTGCTGTGGCTACCGCCTCTGTCTCAGCTACTGTCCCTTCTCAGCTCTTGTTTCCTGCTGCTGCCCCTTCTTGTGCCTTCAGATCTCTAGTTCTGGGTTTCAGATTTCAGTATGCCTATCTAGCCCCTCTCATTTTAGTGATCTGAATGCTTTTTCCTTTTCTGTCCGTATGAGCTTTAATTTCTTACTTTCCACTGACTATTCACACTTGATTTTAGCATCCTCTCTGGACAAAGGTCTTCGCTCTCCATGTCCTATACCAGGGTTGGCAGTTTTTCTGTTAAAAGCCTGATGGTACATATTTTCAACTTCGTGGGCCACTTTAATGTGAAGATGGGCATAGGTAATATGTAAATGAATGGATGTGGCTGCATTCCCGTCAAACTTCATTTACAAAAGCAGGTAGCAGGCTGGCTTTGTCCCTAGGGCCACCGTTTACAGATCCCTGCCTAAACCTGTGGCATCCTCTCTGCTCTGGCTAGCACCCTGTCCAGCCCAACCCAGGGGGAAGGATTTGGATAAGAAAGTATTATAGTTATTTCTTTTTAGCTGTGATAACTTACCAGGGAGATGACTGAGAAAATGTAAAATGTTGACCCATCATGGATCAAGTCGTGTCCTGTGGCTTTTTAGCCGTATGACCCTAGATGTGTTTATTAATCTCTCAGTGTGCACACGTTGGTGATAACCTTGCCTATCATAGATGGTTGACATGGTTTGGCTTTGTGTCCCCACCCAAATCTCATCTTGAATTGTAACCCCCAGCTGTTGAGGGAGGAGCCTGGTGGGAGGTGATTCGATCATGAGGGCAATTTCCCTCATGCTGTTCTCCTAACAGTGAGTGAGTTCTCACAAGATCTGATGGTTTTATAAGTGTCTGGCATTTCCTCTGCTTGCACTTCTCCCTCCTGCCGCCTGTGAAGAAGGTGTCTGCTTCCCCTTTCCCTTCTGTCACGATTGTAAGTTTCCTGCGGCCCCCTAGCCATGCAGAACTGTGAGTCAATTAAACCTCCCTTGTTTATAAATTACCCAGTCTTGGGTAGTATCTTTATAGTAGTGATGACATGTTGGGCATGATTTCTTTTGAAAATATGGATAATCTTTTTCAGATAAATGGATGATTAATTTTCTCTGATTGTAGAAGGACTAACAAAGTATGGAGGCTGTGATGTACGGCAGAGAATCTAGCTTTGAAGCTAGAAGGTTCTGGGTTTGAATGTGTAGCTCTGTCCTCACACTGTGATCTTGGCCAAATTGCTATATCTTTTTGAAGATAAATGATTCATCTAAAAAATGGGAATAATAATTCCTACCTTTAAAAATAGCTATAAGAGTAAGAAGTAATGTAAATAAAGCTACTCACATAATGTATTGCACAGAATACTTGCTCAATAAATGGCAAGTAGTATTATAATAAGAAAATGTGAATGTGAGTGGAATGCAATATACATTGTACTATTCGGTGGGTGATGAAAATTCTTGATTTCGTTAAACTAAAGTGGTGGAGTAAACCCATTAAATTAAGAAAGTACCTTGAAAGCAATTAAAAAAATTGGACAAATTTTAATTTGTCCATTTAATTTTAAATGGACAAATTATAATTGTACATATTCATGGGATATCCCATTTGTTTATCCCAATACACAAATGTGTAGTGATCAGATCAGGGTAACTGGCATATCCATCATCTCAAACATGTATCATTTCTTTGTTTTGGGAACATTCAATATTCTCCTTCCAGCTATTTAAAACTATATAATATATTATTGTTAACTATATTCATCCCATAGTGCTATAGAGCACTAGAACTTACTCCTCCTGTCTAGCAATAATTTTGTATCCTTTAATGAATCTCTCCCTATCCCTTTCTCCTTCCCTTCTCAGCCTTTAATATCCTCTAATCTACTTTTTACTTCTATGAGATCAATTTAGTTTAGCTTCTGCACATGAGTGAGAACATTCAGTGTTCAACTTTCTGTTCCTGGCTTATTTCACTTAATGTCCTTCAGTTTCATTCAAGTTGCCATGAATAACATAATTTCATTTTTTTAATGGATAAATACTATTCTATTCATCTAGATTGTTGGACACCTAGGTTGATTCCATATTTTGGCTATTGTGAATAGTGCTGCAGTCAACATGAGGGTTCAGCTGTCTCTTTGATATAATGATGTTTTTTCTTTGAATAAATTCCCGGTAGTGGGATTGCTGGATCATATGGTAGTTCTATTTTTTGTTTTTTGAGGGACTATCGTACTGTTCTCCATAGTGGCTGTACTAGTTTGTATTTCTACTAACATTGTGTGAGAGTTTCTCTTTCTCTGCAATCTAGCTATCATTTCTTATTTTTTGTCTTTTTGATAATAACCATTCTAACTGGAGTGAGATGTACTTCATTGTGGTTTTGATTTGCATTTCCTTGATAATTAGTGATGTTGAGCACTTTTTCATATATTTGTTGGTCATTTCTATGTCTTCTTTTGAGAAATGTCTGTTATGATCTTTGGCTTATATCAAAAATTGGATTGTTTGTTTTCTTGCTGCTGAGATGTTTCAGTTCCTTGGATATTCTGGATATAAATCCCCTGCTGGATGAGTAGTATGCAAATGTTTTCTCCCATTCTATAGGTTGTCTTTTCAGTCTGTTGACTATTGCCTTTGCTGTGTAGAAGCTTTTTAGTTTGATATAATCCCATTTGTTTATTTTTGCTTGTGTTGCCCGTGCTTTTGAAGTCTTATTCATAAAGTCTTTTACCAGACCAATGCCCTGAAGTATTTCCCCTCTGTTTTTTTTTCTAGTAGTTTTATTATTTCAGGTCATACACTTAGATCTTTGATTGATTTTGAGTTGATTTTGTATAGGGTGAGAAGTAAGGGTCTAGTTTCATTCTTCTGCATATGGATATCCAGTTTTTCCAGCACTACTTATTGAAGAGATTGTCCTTTCCCCAAGGAGTGTTCTTGGCACTTTTGTCAAAAGTCAGTTGACTGTAGATGTGTGGATTAATTTTGGGGCTCTCTATTCTGTTACATTGGCCTATGTGTCTGTTTTTATGCCAGTACCATGTTGTTTTGCTTACTACAGCTTTGTAGTATATTAATATTTTGAGGTCTGATAGTTTCATGGCTCCAGCTTTGTTCTTTTTGCTCAGATTGTAAAAGTAACTTTTTAATTCATGCTAGTGAGGTAGCATGGAGCATAAGGTAGGAGAACATAAACAACACTAATTGTTCACTGTTTTAAATTCACATTAACCAGTAATCAGCAGTCTTTTAAGTAGGTTTTTGCTGACTAAAAACAGTAGCAAAACATTGCTACTTAGATTCTTACTCTGTGCTCAACTTTTGCTATATCCTGAGGAGCACAGCCCTGGCCCCAAAGCAGGGAGAAGGGGTTTCCCACTGAACTACCTAGCAGTCATGAATAGACAATTACCCTTTGAACACATGAAAAGCCAACCCTTCTTCTACCATGCAAGGGCAGCATACATTGCTTTAAGGTGACTAGACAACAGCAGTTTTGGAGAAAATGACTTCAGTTCTCTGAGTTTTAATTTTGTCATTGGTACCACAAGAAGGCTTGGTGCTTTTAGCCTCTGAGGCCTTTTCTTAGTTCCAATATTCTATGGTTCCCAGCCATTTCAATTGCTGAATTCAGGAAGGTTAGATTTTATTTCCAAACACCCATTTTCATGACTCAAACAAAATTTTATTCTTGGCTCTCTGAGGCAAGGGAACTGGTTTGTTCTTTATTCTCTCTTTCCTAGTATCTATTTCAGTGCTAGAAATTTATGGGTGCTTAGTGATAAGGAGAAGGTGTCAAAGGAACCAAATAATATAGAGTTGAACCAAATAATATAGAGTTGATGCAGGGGTTAGAGGCATGGACCACCCCACCGGTGTGGTAAAAAAATCTGCATGCATCTTTTGACTCCCCCAGAACTTAACTACTAATACCTTGCTGTTGACTGGAATCCTTACCAATAACATAAACAGTCAGTGAAGACATATATTTTGTGTTTTATGTATTATATAATGTTTCTAGCAATAAAGAAAGTTAGGGAAAAGAAAATGTTATTAAGAAAATCATAATAAAAAAATTAGTATTCATTAAGTGGAAGTGAATCATTATAAAGGTCTTCATCCTCATTGTCTTCATGTTGTGTAGGCTGAGCAGGAGGAAGAAGAGGAGGGGTTGGTCTTGCTGTCTTGGGGTAGCAGAGGTGGAAGGAAATCCACTTATAAGTGGATCCATGCAGTTCAAGCCCATGTTGTTCAAGGTTCAACTCTACCTCAGTATTGACTAGAAGAAAAGAAATTGAAATAGGACCCTAGTATTGGGATTTTACTGCCTTGCATGGAAATAGCCCTTATATATCTTGAGGCAGAATGAATTTTAGAGGCCTTGCTATATTGTCCCTTCTACCTACAAACAATGACTTGAAGCTGCATGGTTTCCAGGCATGATTTAATGATGTGACCATTACCCAACCAGTACTTATTCCTCTATGACCTCATGCTTGGAAGGACATTTGTTTGGCCTTCATTTCTTCAATTAAAAACAATTTAAAAACCTAGCATATAACTACATGTCTCCCTAACAGTACATAACCTTTCCAGTCAAAAAAAATAAAGCAAAGTATTTTGATAGATACCCTACAATTTCAACATTTGGGTTCTCAGTGCTAATACCAAACAATAGAAGGGTTGTTTGATAAGTCATTTCACAGTTCATCTTCAAAATTTTCTATTAGCATGTGAAAAACCAAAGTCTTCCATTATCATAAAGCTGTATTAAAAGTCAATTTATATTTATGTACCTGTTAAATAATAATTAAGAAAAAAAATCTCTGCAATGTATTAACTCCCTTTGCAGTGGAAAGTAATTGGTCATGGGAGATTATTGTCAGCCAACACTTGAATTTCAGACATATAACCTCTGCAGAAAAGTTCAAAAACAATTAGAAAAATGCTATCACCTGCTTTTTACAAAAGTTATGCAGGGAACATCAGGGGACACGCATTTATCTCCTAGATTATTCACCCATTTCCCCATCTTCCTGCTGTTAGTTTGGCTGATAGCTGCAATTATTCAGAGAGTGAGAATTCATCACATCGTGTTCTTTGACTAAAGTCATGCTAGGAAATTAATTTCTAATCATTGGAGATCATTTAAAATACCGTTGGCTATGGTGGACTCATTTAGCACTCGAATTGCATTTAAATCAGTCATTCCTTCATTGCTTGTTTGTCTTTTACCTTATTTTCAATAAAAAACAAAGCTTCCTCTGTCCACCTCCCACCCCCACCATGCCTCCTTTAAGATCTCTACTGTGACAGCTGCAGAACCCATATGGCAGCAAGGTTCTGACTCCTGCACTTGCTGGCTGTGCTGTCCCCGAAGCTCTGCACTGTGAACTCAACCCAAGATATTCATTGTCTCCATAGCAACTGGGGCAATCTTGAACAGGTTACCATCAAGACAACAGAGCAGCTACACGTCCTGGCATTTCCTTTTGGCAAGTGGGATTGTGGACAGATAAGTTGTTTAATAGATACGTGTTGCTTAAACCAGTTCCTCTAAATTCCTGAAAAACCAAGTAAAATGTCTGCATATCAGGAGACACATGACATATGAGACATATGAGAGGCACTCAGTGAAGAATCCCTTAATAAATTGGACACCTCCATTCTCCCAACAATTTCTTTTAGTATACACTACACTGAATATGAGCACAGTACACCTGTGGAGATCTTATCCAGTTCCATTCTGCTAAGTCCTAGTGGTTAAGGATAGACCCTGTAATTGTGGAAGAAAAAGAATTTTCCACTGACTTCTTTATGATTGTTGCGAATGGCATATGGCTATCGAAGCCTTCATGTCTATCAATGTTTTTGCTTCTCCCTGAATCTGTGACTGTAGTTTGTGTCTGGTATGGAAGTTTCTATCCATTCCTCTTTTGGATTATAAGTGAGGAGTCAACATAATGAGGTTTTCACATCCGTTTTTCAGATAATTTAGTGTCAATTAGACCTTATTTAATAGGAGGAGGCTCTCCAGAATGATGCATACAATAGCATTATAACCCTACCATGGCCAGGGACCTGATTTGGATCATGCTGACATTTTCAGGTGCATCCTGTGTTTAAGGCTCCCCTAAAGGCACTGCCTCTTGATCCTTTGACCCCACCGGCCCTGTGAACTAGGGAGAGTTGTTTGTCAACTAATGCCCCTTGGTGTGTGGCTGCCTCCACAGTGGTCTATATGGCCCATGTGATTGTTTAGTGCCCCTTCTCCTTTGTTGGTACCTGTGCCATATGATGGTTAAATATTTTGAATATCATACCTAGAAAGAGGTATTATTATACCCTTTTCATAGAATCTAAAGAAAAGCCTAAACTTACAGAAAAGGGCTCTTGTAGAAAGTTACCTTCTTATAATGACTAAACTGTATAGATTCACTTTTTGGATTCAGTTAGCAGTAATGCTTCAGTTATGCATTTTGAGAACCATATTGCATTAAAAAACTTATGTAACTTTTACCTCTTTCCTCAACTTTTAAGGATGAGGATGCTTTTTGTATTTTTACATGAATACAACCCTCAGACTCTCTACTGGAAATTACTATATATATATGTATATATATGTGTATATATATGAGTATACGTATATATGTATATATATGAGTATACGTATATATGTATATATATGAGTATACGTATATATGTATATATGAGTATACGTATATATGTGTATATATGAGTATACGTATATATGTGTATATATGTGTATACGTATATATGTGTATATATGTGTGTATATATGTGTATGCATATATGTATATATGTGTATGCATATATGTGTATACGTGTATGCATATATGTGTATACATATATATGCATACACATATATGTATATATGTGTATATATATATTCCCCTTTTCTCCTTGTTGATTGTTGTGTGGTTACATTTAGAAGAATTTAAGAAGATATGTGATAAGGAAGAAAGACTGCGTGCTATTGATCAAATGTCCAGGTGAGGGACGGTTATAATAGTGACAGATGGATAATCAATATAATTCAGACTCACAGAATGAGTGAGTCTGGGCAAAGACATTGTGCAAAGATATTTGCTACAGCTCCATTTGCTGAAAGGCTGAAATGCAAGTTGATGAGTAGAGTTAGAGAATGTAAAATTATCTTTTGATTTAAAGGAAGAATGGACTTCATTGTCTCATTGAGAACACACTCAGTATGGTTCAATTTACAAATTTAGATTGTGGTTTGATCATTTCATTTTAAAAGCACAATAGTACTTGGAGAGTCCGTGCTAACCACTTACTCCATGCCTGACAAGTAGATAAAAATGTGTAATAAATCCAGTTGCTCTGAGATGGAAAAGAATGTGCAAATCATTGGTATTTTTAGAATATCATTATACTTCCAACTCCTCATGTGCTCTCATCAAGTGAGCACAATTCACAATGTTAAGGCAATTTAAACAAAGTATTTTTTGGTAGAACCACATTTGAGATGGAATCCATAAAAATATGTTTGAAATGAGAGTTACCAGCTCTGAAATTATAGAACTAGGGTTTACATAGTAAAAACCACCCTGAAACCTCTAATATTGATTTGAATCCCTTCGGCATTGTCTTATAATGCATATTGGTCATTTGCAATGGATGACGATTCTTTTTCTATCTAACAATTGTCATTTCTAAAGAGTGGGAAATACAGCCTGGCATTTGACTCTGCAAATAAACAATTTAGAAAACTTAAGGGGGAAACTGACTTAGAAATGAAATATTCATATATGTTTTTATTGCTCATTACTTTAAACCATTCCTTGGATGCAAATGTTAACTTGCTGATTCGTGATTCTAGTTGCCTTTTCTATCAACGAGCAAGCAAAAAGGTAATTGGTGATGAAGTTTAGCAGCAAAGAAAAATCTGTTCTTCACCCTCCCATATTTGCTGACTCCCTTAAGAGGATAGAAATTGAGGAATCAGATAACCTTTGGGAAAAAGCAATTGTTGAAATGTGTATTGGTGGACTTATTTGCATATATATATTATTTTGGAATGGGACTAGCAGGAAATTATACACTGCTAAAAGTGGCCTACAGAGAGCATCTAGGAAAAGTTCACTGTAATAGTCAATGCAAGGAAAGTAAACTCTGTTGAACGATAGGAGTGGATCACAGGTGGGTAAAAGTACCCAGATAGAAAAACACAGTCAGTGGAAAATTGAGACTCTCAGTAGCAACATTGGAAAGCGCAGTCAAAAACTTTTGGTTGTGAAGAAACTAAACTAAGACAGAAGCTGACATTCCCTGCTGTGGTCACTGGGGCTGCCGGTCAACCAGAAGGCTAGGAAGTCAGTGGAGGGATGGCAGGTCATGATTCTGACCTCTCAGCAATCCATCCCTCAAGAAGACCTGGATAATGAACCCTGCTCAAATGTATACAGTTTATTAGTTTATAAATCTGAAACATTTTTTGCTGAATGGATTTCTGTTTTGGTTTTTTCAAATGCACAATTGTGGGGTGTTTTTTTGTTATTGACAATAGAAAACTCTGTCAAGTTAAATATGGCATAATGTTGTACAGGAGATGTATAGAATTTATTTATCTTGTATAACTAAAACTTTATGCTTATTGAATAGCAATTCTCCATTTCTTCTCCGCCCAATTATCAGGAACCACCACTCAACTTTCTGTTTCTGTGAGTCTGACTACTTTAGAGAGCTCATATAAGTGCGTCATGCAGACTTTGTCCTTCTGTGACTCATTTCATTCAGCATAATGTCCTCCAGTTTCATCCATGTTGTCACAGATGGCAGAATTTTCTTCATTTCTAAGGTTGTGTAATATTTCATTGTATGCACACCTGTAGTCCCAGCTACTTGGGAGACTGAGGCAGGAGAATTGCTTGAACTCAGGAGGTGGAGGTTGCAGTGAGCAGAGATCGTGCCACGGCAGTCCTGCCTGGGCGACAAAGCGACAAAATATACCACATTTTTGTTATTCATCTGTTGATGGACTTTCAAGTTGTTTCCATATCTTGGCTATTGTGAATAATGCAATAAATATGGGAGTGCAGATATCTCTTTGGGATCTTGACTTCAATTCTTTTGGATATGTACCCAGAGGTGGGATTGCTGGAGCACATTTTCAAATTTTTGAGGAACCTCCATACTGTTTTCCATAATGGCTACATCATTTTACATTCTCCTTTACATGCACAAGAGTTCCAATTTCTCCATATTTTGATAACACTTGTTATTGTTTATTTTTGTTTTGTTTTGTTTTAGATGGAGTCTTGCTTTGTCGCCCAGGCGGGACTGCAGTGGCATGATCTCGGCTCACTGCAACCTCCACCTCCTGAGTTCAAGCGATTCTCCTGCCTCAGCCTCCCAAGTAGCTGGGACTACAGGTGTGTGCCACCATGTCCAGCTCATTTTTGTATTTTTAGTAGAGATGGGGTTTCACCATGTTGGCTAGGCTGGTCTCAAACTCCTGGCCTCTAGTGATCTGCCCTCCTCAGCCTCCCAAAGTGCTGGGATTACAGGTGTGAGACACTGTACCTGGCCTATTGTTAGTTTTTTGATAATAGCCATCCTAACAGGTGTGAGGTGATATCTCATCGTGGTTTCGATTTGCATTTCCTGATGACTAGTGATGTTGAGCTCCTTTTCATATACCCGTTATCCATTTGTATGTCTTTTTTAGAGAAATGTCTATTTAGGTCCTTTGCCCATTTTAAAATCAGGTTATTATTTTTCATTTTTGCTACTGAGTTGTAGAAGTTTCTTATATGTTTTAGATATTAACTTATCAGATATGTGGTTTGCAGATTTTTTTTCCCATTCCATAGGTTGCCTTTTCACTCCACTGATTGTTTCCTGTGCTGTGAGGAGGATTTTTTAGTTTGATAGAGTCCGGCCTATTTCTGTTTTTGTTGCTTATTCTATTGGTGTCATATCCAAGAAATTATTGCCTAGATCACTGTCATGAAGCTTTCCCCCCATGCATTCTTCTAGGAGTTTTAAAGTTTTAGGTCTTATGTTTAAATTTCTCCTATGTTTTGAGTTGATTTTTGTGTATGCTGTAAGATGAAGGTCCAATTTAATTCTTTTGCATGTGGATATTCAGTTTTCCCAACACCGTTTGTTGAAGAGATCTGTCAAGCTTTTCAAAGCAGAAATAATAGAGTAATTATAACACCAAGACTCTCTGGCTAATGATTTTGCTGGTTATGTTATGCTGTTGCCATCAGAGAAGCATGCGAGGAAGCCCCAGTTACAAGTGCACACACACATTGGTTCATACACAAGCACACAACACACATGCACACTCTGGAGGCAACCTGTAATATATGCCTATAGCTGCTGGAACAGTCTTAGGTTGCTAGTTCCAAAGCCATAGACCTTCTTTCTCCTTACAGAAGATCAGGTTTTCTTCCTCTTGTTTGTTTTTGCAGATTCTGTCATTCCTTAAATCTGGGGATTCTTCTTCCCCCAGCTTTACTATACAACAGGACAAAGAAGCTCATAATGCCTTTTTCCTTGCTATGCCAAACTGCCCTAGACACACACAGAAATTTTTTGTTTGTTTGTTTCAGGTTTGTATGCTTGTAACTATAAGAATTTTTAAAAATTGATGAAACATCAGAGAAATTTTCCAGTTTCTCTTAAGGTCATCAGTTCTTGGGTTTCACTTCTCACCCTATTACCTCTGAAAACCAGTAGATAACTTATTGCCATAAATTGTGAAGAAATTCCACTAATTTCATTTGATAGAACTAGCTAGAACATTATAGATCTCTTGGTCAACACGAATGTAGATGCAAAGATCTCTCTTCTGCCACTTCCTTTCTCTTAGGCCAGAAATAGAGGGTCTCTAAATATATACAATTTTTATTAATTTTTCCTCAATAAAGAAAATGATAAAGAAAGGCAGGGTCTACAAAGCAAAGACGGAACCATACCTTTTTTAAGGTAGCTATTGTAAGCCCCCACATTTTTGTCTGAAAACAGCATTTTGGAAATATTTGGCAGGAAGAGGATTGGGTGGAGCTGGTGGCTGCATGTAATATCCTGGGGTGGATAGTCGGCATAAACCAAATCAAAATGCATCTAGAGAACTGCAGCTTTTCATGGACTCCTTTGGAATGGAGTATGGATACTCTGGCATTGGAAAACCAGGAAGATCTCATTTCAGTAGAGCAGGTAAAAGGCAAATGATAAATGAAAACTTGCTATACATTGGGGTTCAAACCAGGAGCTATGTATATCAGTCAGTTGGTCTTAATAGAAGGATGGAATTTGAAAAACATTCCCAATGGATATAAAGATGAGTGCAATCTATGCAGCCTGTTTGTGGCAGAAGCCACAAATGGGTAAGTCCTTTTTTACATATGACCAGGAAACAAGAACAAAACAAAACCAAACAAATATAGATGCTGTGGGAAAACCTGCAGAATTAGAAAACAATATCATTCTGAAACCTCAGAGGGAGAGTGAACCTCTAATATGAATCAAATCAAAAAATATAAAAGAGTTCTAGAAAACTGTTTAGAATCCCAAAAAATGATGTAAGGCAATAGGCCAGAGAATAAAGTAATAAGAGGAAAATAGGGTAAGATAAACAACAACAACAACAACAAAAACAAAGGATAACATGAGGAAACAAGATGGGTGATACCAGAAGGAATACAAGGAAACTAAAAGTGCAATAGCAGTATTAAAATTGACATCAGAGGTAGTTAAGATTGTTTTGAGGGGAAAAATGGAAAAAAAGACAAAACTGAAAAATTTCTTTAGTTTATGAAAAGTACTTCTAAGAAAATGGATTGACATTTTATGCACTTAAGGAGAAAAAAAAATTTATCTATAAGGTATTAAAAATTCAGTGGAATTTCCCTCTCTACTTGCTCCTCAGTTCTCCCTTTCCTTCTTTAGGTAACGTGGCCCTTCATTTATTTTAGGAGCTCTTCTGCCTGGTGTTGTCAATCAAATGAAACTGTCACCTAGTGCAAGATTGACCATGGGATTCAGGCTCATCAATTAGGAAGCCCTTTCTCTGAACAGAGTTGAGCACGTGACTCAAGCCAGACCAATGACATTGAGTCAATATTTCTTCTTCTTCTTTTTGGGTTATATTAAGTGAATTGGGTTTTGTTGCTTGTAACCGAAATAAACTCACATCATCTCAGCCTCTCCTCTGAAAACGTGAATATCCAAATATAATGGAGAGGAATTTACAGATTTTCAAGAAAAGTGTTATAGGAAGGGCATTCTTAGATATGCAGAGACCCAGAAAATATGGCCCCCACAAATCCTTCCTGAACAAATGCTTGATGTCTTAGTTCAGTTTATGTGCATTGATTGAAACTGCAGAACTTGATCTGGTTGACCTGTTGCTTTCCGTCTACTTGGAGAAGGTTTGGATTATCTGCTGTGTCCACAGCCCCCTCTGAGATGGTCAGAGGTGGTTATACTTGTTATAATGTGAGCCCATGACACCAGTCAATGTCTTTAGAACCAAGGAAGGGGGATTAACACAAGAGAAACATTCTGTGCTTGATTTACATCTCTGCCCATAACCAGCTCTCAGCTGGGTGTTAACAGGCTTACTGATGAGATATCATTGAGAAATTTAGGTCTGATATACTCAGAAAGAGTAGACAGAAACAGAGAAAGCAGAAGCCACAGAGTCATAGAAGAGAGGAAGCCACCAGGCCACTTGATGGAAAGGCACAGAAACCTATCTTGAAATGCTTGAAGCTGAAAAGGGAAGTTATTCTTTCACAACTGAGAAGTTCAGGAGGATTCTGGTTTTAGGCACAATGCATCCAGGGGTACCAATAATGCCATCTTTGTCACCCTCTGTTCTGCCTTGTGTGTTGGCGTCGTTCCCAGGTACGTTTCCCTCAGCCTTCATTCTCTAAATTCTAAGTCAGCAAGAAACAGATTGCTTCTCTTTACTAAGAGTTTCAGCAGAAGTCCCTGCAGAATGCTGCGCTGCCTCAGACACACCCATCCTTGGACCGACTGTGATTTCTTGGGAAGTTGCACTCTGCATAAACAGATTTGGATGGAGTATCCCAGCTGAAGCTCATCCTTCCCCACGGCCTGGGGACAGGGGAGATCATAAGGGAGCTGTTCCTACAAGATGAGGAATGGTTATCCAACAGGCAAACACTAATGAACTTCTGGACCCCTTCCATAAGCCTAAGACATTAGGAAAAGATCACAGTGTAACTAATTTATTCATACATATGGGTAATGATACACTATTCCTGGGCAGTGCTCACATGACAAAGAAAGTAAAGAAAGATGGCAGCATCTCCTCATTAATCAGCAGAGACAAAACAAGGAGGACTCATGTTTGTCAAAGCCCCGATGCATGTCTCTTTGCCAAGGAGACCCTATCACCTTCATCCCTTCCAGGTGCACAGAGAAAGCCAGGCCTCCCCTAACAAGCCATGTGGCCAGAAATCCAGGTCTGCTCCTCAACTGGGCATTTTCAGCTATCACCTGAGCAGCCATTTCCCTTCTTCAGCTATCTTATTTTGTTTTTTGAGTAACAAATTTATTTTGGAAATTGGGAAAATACCAAAAAGTACAAAAATCATGATAATAAACACTCACACTGTTAGTGCTTGAATATAGTTGATTTTTGCTATGAATATTTTATGTGTGATAATCACATGGCATATTCAAAATTGCACATCTTTCTAAAAATTAGCACCTATAATTTTATAAATAACATATGTTTACTGTTACTTTTTAAAAATTCCTCACCAAAAAAACTTTAAAAAATGGCCAAAATCAGGCTGGGTGCAGTGGCTCACGCCTATAATCCCAGCACTTTGGAAGGCTGAGACGGGCAGATCACTTGAGGCCAGGAGTTCAACACCAGCCTGGCCAACATGTCAAAACCCCATCTCTACTAAAAATTAAAAAAAAAAATTAGCTGGGTGTGGTGGTGCATGCCTGTAATCCTAGCAACTCGGGAAGCTGATGTGGGAGGATCGCTTGAACCCGGGAGGCGGAGGTTGCAGTGAGCCGAGATTGTGCCACTGCACTCCAGCCTGGGTGACAGTGCAAGACTCCGTCTCAAAAAAAAAAAAAAAAAAAAAAGGCCAAAATCAGTACCTGCAGAATAATCTCAAATATGTAGAAATAGTCCATAGGAATTCACTGGCCCTGCATGGAAGGTGATGTAATAAAGACTTGAATATTGATCACATCCATTATGGGTATTCCAGAGTACTTCCCTATTCAAAGAAAAGAACACTGAATAAAACCTGTCACTAAATATAATTTTCAAGATACATCTGAGATACTGTCAGGGTGACCACAGTTGGCTGGGCTTATTGCAATGATACATGGGGAAGTCAAAAAGACAAAAGCCAAGAGGCAGTTAAAAAACAGTCACAAACCCCAGTTATTCTGCTTGTAGATAGAAAGCAGTGGTCCTCAACCTGGAACAATTTTTGCCCCCCAGAAGACATTTGGCAATGTCCAGAGACATTTTTTGCTGTCTGGGGAAGGTGTGCCACTGGCCTCTAGTAGGTGAAAGCCCAAGGATGCTGCTCGACACTGTACAGTGCATAGGACAGCCTTGTACAGCAAAGAATGATCCTGCTCCAAACGTCCGTAGTGCTGAGGTGGAGAAATCCTGGTACTGACTACCATGAAATGCCATCTTCCCAGTCAACCAGCTTAAATCAACATGTGCTCAAAGGTGTGCAATTCTTTCACTTGTAAAACTTACGTTAATGATTCAGACACACTCTCTCTTTATCTGCTTCTAATATTCCTATCAACACCTTTCCACCCTTCATCTCTCTTCTTCCATAAGCCTAAGACCCTATGTCTAATCCCACCTTCCAAAGAGCTGGGATTATAGGCGTGAGCCACTGCGCCCGGCCTGATTTTGGCCATTTTTAAAATCTTTTTTGGTGAGGAATTTAAAAAAAGTAACAGTAAACATATGTTATTTATAAAATTATAGGTGCTAATTTTTAGAAAGATGTGCAATTTTGAATATGCCATGTGATTATCACACATAAAATATTCATAGCAAAAATCAACTATATTCAAGCACTAACAGTGTGAGTGTTTATTATCATGATTTTTGTACTTTTTGGTATTTTCCCAATTTCCAAAATAAATTTGTTACTCAAAAAACAAAATAAGATAGCTGAAGAAGGGAAATGGCTGCTCAGGTGATAGCTGAAAATGCCCAGTTGAGGAGCAGACCTGGATTTCTGGCCACATGGCTTGTTAGGGGAGGCCTGGCTTTCTCTGTGCACCTGGAAGGGATGAAGGTGATAGGGTCTCCTTGGCAAAGAGACATGCATCGGGGCTTTGACAAACATGAGTCCTCCTTGTTTTGTCTCTGCTGATTAATGAGGAGATGCTGCCATCTTTCTTTACTTTCTTTGTCATGTGAGCACTGCCCAGGAATAATGTATCATTACCCATCTATATGAATAAATTAGTTACACTGTGATCTTTTCCTAAACTATTCTAAGTTCAGTTATCATCATAGAAAGCCAACACTCTGGGATATTTTGCAATATTTCTAAATGTAAAAAGAATCTTAATTAATTAACAACTGTTTGAGTATTTACACACTTTCTTTGTCCGATACCACATGTGTTTTTAATCCAACTAGTATGACGAAGCCTTGCCCTCAAGTCAAGGAACTTAATCTAATTGGGATGACAGACCAATGTAAATTACATAGCATAGCGTCAGTCATACAAATGAACATGTCGTTGAACCTTACAGCTTATTCTAAACTCTAGACATTATGCAAATCCAGAGAAAGAAATGTGATAATGCTAAAAGTGAAATTCAAATATAATATAAATTGAATTAAAGAAGAGAAAGCGAATCATTGGAATGTGGACACTTCAGTCATCTGGGAAACTCTAGATACACATCCAGAGAAACCTAGTGAAAGTCCACACCTGTGTGTTTGCTTTTATTTTGTAATACTTTGCAGACAAAGTTTGTTGCTTGGGCATCAGCTGTTCCTGTCCTGGGGCTCAGGCAGGAGAGGGAATTTTTGTGCAGGTTTGAATGGATGGGCTAGTCAGCCTCCCACCAGGGCTCCTGACACTTTTCACACTACGAATATGATCGGATTTAATGAATCAGAAACTAAAAGAAAAATCAGTTTTGTGGCTAATGAACATTTCAAATGATACGCACTTTTCATGGACTTGATGATCTTTGCATAATTACTGACAGCTCAAATCCTAAGGATTCAAGGAAAATGAAATTCTGTCTTCAAGTTGATTAAAAAATACATAATGTAACTCCTAAGTCACACATTGCAAAGCCTTCTATTGTGAATGCAACGATGCTTGTAATTGACCAATAATTGCCTAGTCATGGCAACTAGATCTATGTCTATAAGGCTGGCAAGAAACTACTAAAATGGGTTTATGTACTAAAAGTATAATTTGATTGATTTTTTAGTCTCCCCTTCAGTATAGCTTCTTTCTATTCCTGAGTATAGACATTCCTCAAGGAACTGCCTTTTTTGTTGTAGCTTCCTTTTCCTCAGTTTACCCTTTAATGGGTGTGGTCAAACCCAAGGTTTCAAATATCTTAGTTGATTCCCCAATTTTTGCCTATAACTAATTAGCTCAACATCTATGTATTGAGTATCTGTAATGAGACAAGATATTTTCTAGGTATAGAGGAAACAGCAGTGAGCAGGACAAAGTCCTTGCCATTGTGAAGCTTACATTCTAGCAGGGCTATTTGGAGAATATGAGAAACTGTATAAATTAGTATTCCCTCCTTCTCTGCATCTCTACCTGCCATAAATGTGCTTTAGGATAATGAGGCACAAGAGAAAAAGAGAAAAACTATTTAAGTCCAGGGAGTGAACTTTCTGCTTTCTATGTGGGTATTTCTACACTCTTCCAGAACATCTCCATCTGGATATCCATAAGACACGTCAAATTCAACCTGTCCAAAAGCAGACTTTCCAATGTTGAGAAAAAGCCACAAAAGAGTCTATACTGTACGGTTTCATTTATATGAAGTTCAAATTGGGCAAAGCTCATCTGTGGTGATAGAAATCAAATTAGAATTACTTTTGGGGGATGCAGGTAATCAGAGGGTGCTTCTGAAGTGCAAGTAGCATTTGTTTTTTGACTAGATGTTATTTAAATGGCACTGTTCACTCTGTGAAAATTCAATTAACTGTAAACTGAAAATTTTTTCATTGTAGTTTAATGTACAGAAAATGCACATACTTCATGTGTAAAGTTTGACGAATTTTCACAAATAGAGCACAGTCACGTAAACAGCAACTGAATGAAGAAATAGAACCTTCCTAACACCTTAGAAGCACCTCTTCTACACCTTTCTGGTCACTAACTTCCATCCTGCCTTCAAAAAGCATAAATTAATTGTGTTCCTTTTTGTACTTTATATATGATAGAGTATGTTCTCTATTGTATCTGACTTCTTTCACACAGCATTACTTTTGAAATTCATGCATGCTTGTGCATGTGATATATTGCTCACTCTTACTGACGAATAGCATTCCATGGTATAAATATAATACAATATATTCATCCATTCAAGGTTTGATGGACATTTGGATTGTTTCTCCTTTTTTTGTCATAATAAATACATCTGCTGTGAACATACTGTACATGTCTTTTGGGGAACATATGTCAGCATATCTGTTGAGTATATTCCTAGGAATGGGATTGTTGGGTTATGAGATATGCACGTGTTCAGTTTAATTAGATACCGCCTAACAGTTTTCCAAAATGCTGCACCAATTTATACTCCAGGAATGTATAAGTATTGTTGCATAACTTTGCCAACAGTTGGTATTGTCTATCTTGAAATTTAGACATTCTGCACAGTTTGAATTTGTATACTTTCCCTTGTATATGTTACATTTCAATAAAGAATTTGTTTAAAAAAATAAACTCCTAGATCTTCACCTTTTTTGTAAAACTTTATCCTTCTTTTGCTCTCTTTTTCTCTAGTAATGGCTCAACACCATTCTTGGCTTCTAGGCTCAGCTTCCTTGAAGTGTCTTACTCATCTCACATTATCTCTTTTTATCTAAATCAAGTGAAATCTTATTGATTCTATTTCCAATGCATCTCTCACAGACCACAGGCGCATAAGTTGACCTTTCCTGGGGATTCAAGGAATGCTTCAAAGAGAAGAGACCCTTTGAAGTTATGCTTCAAAGGACATGTAGGGTTATGAGGTAGGCAAGGGTCTCATAAAGGCATATTTGGAAAAGAGAACAGCATGTGTAAGTGTGCAGAGGAAAACAATGATATGGTGTGCTCGAGGATACCATCTGTTTTTCAGTGTGACTGAGGTCTGGGGAAAGATGGGAGATGGGATTGGAAAGATAGAAGGGCAGGAGATTGTGCAGGAGATTCTATGTAATGACAATCAGTTTGGACTTTTGTGATTATGAAATGCGGATAACTAGTAATGCTTTAAATAGTAGGAGGACTTGATTGTGCTTGCATTTTAGAAAGATCAACATCACAAGAAAATGAAAAATAGATTAGAATGGCAAAACTGTTCTCAAGGACACCAATTAAGAAACAATTACAATATTCTAGATGATACATTTTGAAAATCTTAGCAAAAACTGTAGCAGTGGATATCACAAGGAGAAGGAGGACATGTGGTGTTAAGATGATGGAACTGAAAAACGTTAGTGACTGGAAAGGTGATGAAGAGGGAAGATGGTACAATGATTCTAAAATTTGGGGGAGTGGTATTAAGAGGGTGGTGGTGCCATGAACACGGATTGCATCTGGAGGGTGATGAAAGTAAGGGAGGAAGAAAAGATAATGCCTTGAGTTTTGGCTATTGTGGGGTTGAGATAGGAATAAAACATTCAAGTGGAGAAGTCCAGTAAGCAGTTTAAAATACGAGCTTAGGAGGAGAAATGGAGTAGGGGCACGTCACTGGAAATTGTAGACATTCCACGGGTGTTGGAAATGACAGATAGAATGAGATCCCTTAGAAAGGATGAGAGCAAGAAATGAGAGTGGAAGGTCGAACCCTGGGAAGCACCAACATTGAAATGGCAGGCAGTGGAATGGGAGCTCATGAGAGAGACAAAAGCAAAATGGCATGTTGCCTTGACAATCAAGGCAGTAAAAAGTTCCCAAAAGATGGGAATGGCTAGCAATGGCAAGTATTGTGGAAAGGTCAAGGAAGATAAGGGCCAAAAAGCAAAGTAGTGGTTTTGACAAAAGCAATTTTAATGATGTGGTTGGGGTGAAAGCCAGATGGCAAAGATCAGAAGAAGTGGGAGGTGAGAAAATGATGACTGAGCAATGCCTATTCTTTCAGGAAGCTTCTCTCTGAAGAGGGGTGACATGGGGATATAAATAAAGGGTCAAGGACACTTTTCCATCCCCTAAAACATGTAACATAGTGGCATACAAATAGCAAGTATTCAATACGAGAGTATCAGAGTAAAACATATTATCTCTATTCCTTTTGCTTGTTTATTGTAATGATTTTTATTGGTTAATAGGTATGAGATCACCATTTAAATATATTCTCATGTCAATAGTTCATAAATTAGAGTTGTGAACTTATATAATCTAAATTCATACACTTATAAACCTCTGGCTGGCTTTTTCAAGAAATATTATTTAGTGCTTACATGTAAATATTTTGTGGGGCATCCATATTTCATTACATAAAGAAGCACATTTCATAGTGACTGTTAACATTATAACTGAGGAATGATTTGAATTGAGGAAGATTTTGAAAAGGCAAATGTAGAGAAAGGAACATTGATTTAAAATTTTCACTAGAACCGTTTCAACATTTTAGAGGAGGTAGAATCCATATCAAGGTGGAAGCTTCTCTTTCATTTAGGAAAACACCTAAGAAAATTATTCTTGTTAATGAAAAGTAAAGCTCCTTGCCTGGATTGAAAGAAGGAGGTTAAAACAATGGGAGATAAAAAATTCTTGGTGTACTAGAGCTACACGAATTTTCCATGGTTCCTTTTTGGCCCGGGGTGCTTCAGAAGTTCAAAGGCTCAAAAAAGAAGGGCTATAGAAAATGTAATTTCATGATGGTGGAGTTTGTTTTGTGTGGTTACTGCTGAACCTCTAGCATCTAGAACCATGTCTGGCAAACAAGCTTCCAATAAATATTTTTTTGATGAATGAAAGATTCTTTATAGAGTAAGGGCAGGCCCCGGAAATATGTAAAGATTCTAATAAGGAATTTTCCGGGTGAGAATGGCTGATGGGCTTTCAGTATGGTGGTACCTGATATTCAGTTTGAAGTATTATAGTTTTTTTATTCTCTGCTACCCTTCCCTTTTTAAAAATCCCTGAGTCTTTAGCAAGTTCTGTTAGATGTGATAGGGTTGCATTAGTGGTGCCATAGGAATAAGGACAGGGCCCATGTGCCTGCAGGAGGTAGAATTGAGCCAAGCAGGTAACAGATAGATAACAGGTAGCAGAAGTACCCCACCTACTGTGAAAACAAGCAAGGAGCAGGGACTCAGGGCAAGAGGTGATGGACAATGGTCCAGAGATTCTCAGCCCCAACTCCAGAATCTGAAGAGATATTTCGTAGGAACCTGAGGTCCCCACAGAAATGAGGTGCACATTTACTTATCTGGATATCAAGGAAAACAGCGACACATGATATACGTAGGTTTATTCAACTGGAATTTTAAACACATCCACCCACATATGCATGTCACCATACACTCACTCCTGTCCACACTCAGCCACAGACACATCCCATATTTCGAAATGTTGGGGAGCAGGGAGTGATCTAAATCGTGGGGCCACTGGATTCGTGATCCATTGCAGGTAATATATTTAAATTGTAATAGATGCTTTCTTAAAACTGTATTTGCCAGGCATGGTGGCTCATGCCTGTAATCCCAGCACTCTGTGAGGCCGAGGCGGGTGGATCACCTGAGGTCAAGAGATCAAGACCAGCCTGGCCAACATGGCAAAACCTGTCTCTACTGAAAATACAAAAATTAGCTGGGTATGGTGGTGAGCACCTTAATCCCAGCTACTTGGGAGGCTGAGGCAGGAGAATCGCTTGAACCTGGGAGGCAGAGGTTGCAGTGAGCTGAGATCACACCACTGCACTCTGGCCTGGGCGACAAGAGCGAAACTCCATCTCAAGAAAAAAAGACTATATGTACTTCTAATGCCACCCCCAAAATTTCAAACACTTGGTGGGATGTGAGTGGTGCTGGGGAGGTAGTACGTGGAGAAAGAAATCTCAAAGTATTTCTTAAACTCTATATGGATACAAAAGACAACCTGCCATGTTGGGAAATGTGTATGCTTGGCTTGGATAGGCCTCTAATGAACTGAAAGAGCAAATCAATGGAATCTCTGCACTTTGATGTCTAGCAAGATGGAGAATGTACCTTCTTTTCAGATACGGTCTGACTCCTTAGCATTGTGTGAAACCAGATGATTGGGCAGAGGGTGTTGGTGGTGTTCGTTCTTCCGTGCACCAGTCTCCCGCAGGGGCCCTCGAGAAACTCCCTAGAACTACTGGGGCTTTCAGAGCATGAAGTGAAGCTCTCTGAACTAGTGGATCTCCAAGGTATCATCAAGCATTAGCAGTCCAGGACTGATTGTTACTCCATCCGTGGGTGCTTGATCTACCTGCATAGCACCTACCTAGGTTAGATTAGAGTCCCCTGGGATAGGAACTAGTGAGTTTTATTTTATGCTGGATAGGTGAAAATTGATTATCTCCAGTGATATGGTTTGGCTCTGTGTCCCCACCCAAGTCTCATCTCGAATTGTAATTCCCACATGTCAAGGGAGGGACCTGGTGGGAAGTGATTAGATCATGGAAGTTGTTTCCCCCATACTGTTCTCGTGGCAGTGAGTGAGTTCCCATGAAGTCTGATGGTTTAAAAGTGGCAGTTTCCCCTTAGCTCTCTCTGTCTCCTGCTGCCATGTAAGAAGGTACCTGCTTCCCCTTTGCCTTCTGCCATGATTATAAGGTTCCTGAGGCCTCCCTCCCCAGCCATGCAGAACTGTGAGTCAATTAAAACTCTTTCCTTTAGGGTGTCTCTCTTTGTGGCCCAGGCTGGAGTACAGTGGTGCTGTCTCAGCTCACTGCAACCTCCTCCTCCCAGGTTCAAGCGATTCTCCTGCCTCAGCCTCCCGAGTAGCTGGGATTACAGGTGCCTGCCACCATGCCTGGCTAATTTTTGTATTTTTTGTAGAGGCAGGGTTTTGCCATGTTGGCCAGGCTGGTCTCAAACTCCTGACCTCAGGTGATCCACCTCCCTTGGTCTCCCAAAGTGCTGGGATTACAGGCATGAGCCACCATGTCTGGCCTCAGGTAGTTCTTTATAGCAGTTTGAAAACAGACTAATATATCCATCCACCTCAAACACTGGGGGACAATCATTACCAAAAATGTGAAGCATGGCGTGGGTCTTATTGTCCTGTGTGTAATTCATCAAAAGAAGGATTGCATAAATTCCACCTATTATCTGAGGCCCCGATGGGGTGGAAAGTCAACAATTACCTTCCTTTTTTTCTTCCTAAGAGCCTTATTTTCTGTGCTAGGGAGTGAGTTATAAACAATGATGCAGAATGAATGACTTTCGCTAATATAAGGGATGTTTTTGAAGCATATCTGAAGAAGATAGGATACAGGAGTGTTTGGCATTTTAATCAGATGATATGTCAGATTTTGTTCCTTAAGCAATCAGTCAAGCGGAAGAAGAAAGAAAGCAAAACAAAAGCCAGTTTTTGGTAGATCGAAGAAAAATAAAATGATACTAAATATCTAGAAATACACAAACAATAGCAAAACATAGCTAGACAATTCTTTAGCCTCAAGCTGTGCATTGCAAGTCTGTAGTGAAGGGCATAAAATTATGCTTAAGGCAGAAAAAAAATATGCTTTCATGTAATTGGATTCAGGAGACAATAGGACTTCCCTAAAAGACAAAGAATGAGGATGACCTGGGACAAAAGTGGAAAACATCAACAGGGCACATCCATTCAGTGACACTGCAGGTTTGTTCCTCTAAGCACAGTTTTAGCTGTACCCCACAATATCCAATGTTTTATTTTCATTATTCACCTCAGAATATTGTCTAACTTCAGCTGTTATTTCCTCTTTGGGCTTTTGTTGTTTTAGAAGTATGTTGCCTAATTTGAAAATAATTGGAGGTATGATATTAATCTTATTTTGTAATTGATTTCTATTTTAATTCCTTTGTGTTCTGAGAACATAATCTGTAGGACTCTCATAGCTTGCGACTTGCTTTCTGGTCAAGCATACGATCTATCCTCGTGAATTTCCCAAATGCTTGGAAAAAATGTATATTATATAGTTGTATTTTGTATATATGTCTTCTACAAATGTTAATTCGAGCAACCTGGATTAATTTTTTTGTCTTAACTGAGAAGAATGTAGAATGTTCAGGCAGTCTTCAAAGATACAGTCAAATGATGAATGAGGATAACTGGATAATTTTTCAGACAAACAAAAACACCTGCTTTTTCAACAATGCCAAACTAAACCCATATTTTTGTTATTGAGATAAGAAATAAGGACATTTGATTTAGATTATGTAAATTGACTACCAATTAAACTTCCAATTTACTTTTTCTGTTAAGTTATGGTGAGATAATTATTCTGTACTTTATGGTTCAAAATATCTATTCTAAGGACATCAAATACTGGTACATAAGTATCTGTATTATGCCAAACTGAAAAAAACAGGAAACTATTTGCATAAAAATATATTTTACACTTATAACAGAGAAACATCTTATAATTCTATTACCAAGATGCTCCTGGACCATATAAAATATGACACAATTTTCAAAACTCTTACATGACAAATATTTCTTGTTCTCTGTTGTATAAAGTAGTTAGCATAACTACATTAACTAGACATATATTGTTAATGCTGGTCTAATACTGTTGAAATATATATTATAACAACATATATTTGTTATATGTTGTCCCTAATTTTGCCTCCATCTCCTCAACTTAACAAAGTGTTTTTCCAGCCGTCAGAGAAATGCAAATCAAAACCACAATGAGATACCATCTCACACCAGTTAGAATGGAGATCATTAAAAAGTCAGGAAACAACAGGTGCTGGAGAGGATGTGGAGAAATAGGAACACTTTTACACTGTTGGTGGGACTGTAAACTAGCTCAACCATTGTGGAAGACAGTGTGGCGATTCCTCAAGGATCTAGAACTAGAAATACCATTTGACCCAGCCATCCCATTACTGGGTATATACCCAAAGGATTATAAATCATGCTGCTATAAAGACACATGCACACGTATGTTTATTGTGGCACTATTCACAACAGCAAAGACTTGGAACCAACCCAAATGTCCATCAATGATAGACTGGATTAAGAAAATGTGGCCCATATACACCATGGAATGCTATGCAGCCATAAAAAAGGATGAGTTCATGTCCTTTGTAGGGACATGGATGAAGATGGAAACCATCATTCTGAGCAAACTATCGCAAGGACAGAAAACCAAACACCACATGTTCTCACTCATAGGTGGGAATTGAACAATGAGAACACTTGGACACAGGATGGGGAACATCACACACCAGGGCCTGTCATGGGGTGGAGGGAGAGGGGAGGGATAGCATTAGGAGATACATCTAATGTAAATGATGAGTTAACGGATGCAGCACACCAACATGGCACATGTATACATATGTAAATAACCTGCCCGTTGTGCACATGTACCCTAGAACTTAAAGTATAATAATTTAAAAAACCCAAAAAAAACCACAAAGTGTTTTTGTTGAATTTTATGCTTCATGAAATATTTTTTTAAAAATGCACCTTCCCAGCACCATTTGCTGAATAGGAGGGTCCTTTCCCCATTGCTTGTTTTTGGCAGGTTTGTCGAAGATCAGATGGTTATTGATGTGTGGTGTTATTTCTGAGGTCTCTGTTCTGCTCCATTGGTCTATATGTCTGTTTTGGTACCAGTACCATGTTGTTTTGGTTACTTTAGCCTTGTAGTATAGTTTGAAATCAGGTAGTGTGATGCCTCCAGCTTTGTTCTTTATGCTTAGGATTTTCTTGGTTATATGGGGTCTTCTTTGATTCCATATTAAATTTAAAATAGTTTTTTCTAATTCTATGAAGAATGTCAATGGTAGTTTCACATAGCAAACACATGGAACCAACTCAAATGCTCATCATTGATAGACTGGATAAAGAAAACATGGTACATATACACCATAGAATACTATGCAGCCATAAAAAGGAATGAGATCATGTCCTTTGCAGGGATATGGATGAAGCTGGAAGCCATCATTCTCAGCAAACTAACACAGGAACAGAAAACCAAACATGGCATGTTCTCACTCATAAGTGGGAGTTAAACAATGAGAACACATGGACACAGAGAGGGGAACAACACACACCAGGGCCTGTTTGGGGGTAGGGGAGTAAGGGGAGGGAACTTAGAGAATGGGTCCATAGGTGCAGCAAACCACCATGGCACACGTATACCTATGTAAGAAACCTGCACATTCTGCACATATATCCCCATTTTTTTAAAGAAAAAATTTAAAAAATTATCTTTTGGAAAGAAGAAACACATGCAGAAATAAGTTCAATTTTTACACTTGAGTAATTGTGGTCAGGAAATTGTTTTTTTTTAATTTTAAATACTTTTACTTAAGAGCCCCCTTCTAAATGTGCAGTTATTTCTAATATCATGAATTGCTACAGTCAATAAACTTTTATGAAATGACAAAAAATGCACCTTCCTTCTTGTTCAATTGCACAGAGTTACCATCCTCTGATATAACCTTAGAAATGTCCAAATTGCTTGGAATTCATAACTCTTTATTATATAGCTGCACTACATATAATTTGGCATCCTCCCCTTTCAAGCACTACTTTCCTGTTGCAGTAGCAAGTAGACTGTTTATCTCAGGGGTGCTTTGCCTAAGCATGAGTCAAACTAAACTAAAATTTGATGTGATGCCAAAGAGGAAGGTTTTCATGAGATCTGTCCATTTTTATGTTTTATGTGCCAATGTGCTGTCCATAGAGTTCATTTTTCAACATGTGAAATGTTGTGGACCATTCTTGTATCTTTGAACTACGTAAGATTGTCCCAAGGTCACAAAAATCCTGCTACATTAAGAGAATAGAATATATGTTTAGTCCCAAAGCATAGGTAGCTCCTATTGGACGGTTGTCTTTGCAAGCACTTGGCCTTACCTTTGGTATTAGAAGGAGAATGTAGCTCAAAGGCAGTGGTATGTATGAGGAGCCCAATCTCTGTGGCCTGTTTAACAGATGCCAGCAGTATTTCTCAATGTCAGAAACTCATTCACACTGGATAGCTTTCTAATTGATTGTGACACACGAAGCGTGTTTATCAGAGCCCAGCGTGTTTAATGCTTTGGAAATAAAAACCAAGTTGCTACTACTATTTAACCTTTATACATGACTCAGGTTGTTGAAGAGATCATTCAAGACAAAAAGAGTTTTTGTCGTAAAACCCAGATATTTAATACATTATAAGGCCATGAGTTGTAATGAAGCTTGGTGGTTCCCTGCTAGGGAACTTTTGGGTATTTATAGGGTAATTTTTAAATTGTCTTGATTATTAGAGGATTGCAGTGCATCCTATGCAGAGTGAGGTAGTGTCCAACAAATACATTGAACAATGCAGCATGACAATCCAGGTGGCATTTGACATCCAAATAAGTGAAAAACTGTTCATAATTATCAGAAGCTACAAATAAATAATTTTATGTAAAGCAAAAATATTTTCCCCACAATTTTAATATACATTGGATTTTTCCAAGATTGTAACTCTTATATAATTTGAGGGTAGACCGCACACTGTTTTGTTCATGAGTTTACCAAGAGTATTTCTTCATTTTGAAAGATCAAGTCCACAATATGCCATTCGTGGTGATTGAGATGCCCGTAAAAAGTAGCCGAAGTCAGCCTGAATTGATAACTGCTGTATTCATGATGACTCTGTGTATATATACAAGAATCAGATATTTACAATGCGTTTTTAATATAGACATGTCAGAGAATTTTACATTGAAGTACCTATTAGTGTCCTTTTAAATTTCACTTTTGTTAGACCATGTTTTTAATGTTGTTGAAAGTTATATTTACAAATTTATATTATTTCTCAGTTTCCTGTAAAATGTGAGCAATGCATTTTAGGAAATGGAAAAGTAGCCAACTTTCCAATAGATAACTATGAACTCCACACAACATACTTCAAATGTCAAGACAGTGTTGTATTGGACAAAAGATGGACACACGGACAGATAGAAGAAACTGAGTACACAAATGTCGTCATACAAATGTCATCAGTTGGGTTTTAGACAAAGATGCAAAGAAAAAATGGGGAAAGGACTGTCTTTTCAACAAATGATGCTGAAACAATTGAGCACTTATTTACCAAAAAAAGTTACTTCACCTAAACCTCACACCATATACAAAACTTAACTCAAAATGGATCACAGATCTAAATGTAACATGTAAAATTATAATGGAAAATCTTCATGACATGAGATTAGGCAAAGATGTCTTTGATATGACACCAAAAGTATGATCTAAAAAGAAAAAAGTAATAAATTGAACTTCACCAAAATTTAAAACTTCTGCTGTGTGAAGAAATCACAAATACAATAAAAAATGTTTGCAAATCAAATGGTCTAGAAAATATGGAATACAGTAGAGATGAAAGAGGAGGGTATTATTGCTGATGGGAGCTTCCTAAGTCAAACAATTGTGTGTGAGCTCAATGTGTGTGGGATGAAGTCTGAATCTCCTTGCCTGAATGGGAAGCCTGTATTATAGATTGGAAGTAGGAATGGGAATGATGTTTTTAGATGACACTGATGGGTGTAGGTTTTTCTTGCATGATTGTCACATAATCACGGAGTAGAGGGGATTGAGTTAGTGTATGACCCAACCTCCTCATTTATTGCTAAGTTTACGGATGGTGACGTCTTGGTTGATGGCATTTGGCTGATTAGTGTCTGAGTGTGGTCCAGCCTCAGGCTCCTACTTCTGATACAGCAGCTTCTCCATAGTATCTGTGACTCAGCCCAAAATATGCCCATAGTTATTGTTTTCAAGAGGTCTCAGCCAGGCAATGGCTGTCTGGGGAGTCATTAAAACCGTTGAACTGACATTCTTTCTTCAGCATAATACTACCATATGCTGATCAATAAGGTAGGTGTTGAAAAATGATATAGTTTAGCCAAATTGTGATAGGAACACAACTTTTTCCAGTTACCCACCTGTAGTAGGTAGAATAATGGCCTCTCAAAGATGTCTAGATCCTAATTCCCAGAATCTGTGACTATATTAGTTTACATGGCAAAGGAGAATCAGTATTGTACATGGAACCAAGGTTGCCAATTAGCTAATCTTAAATGGGGGAAATTATTCTGGATTACCTGGGTGGGTCCAATGTAATCACAAGGGTCCTTAAAGGAAACAGTGAGAATCAGAAGAGGGAACCAGTGAGCTGGCAGCATGAGAACGAATCGGCATGATGTTGCTGGCTTTAACGATGGAAATTGGGGCCATAAGCCAAGGAGTGCAGGAGCCTCTAAAAGCTGGAAAAGGCAAGGAACTGATTCTCCTCTGGAGACTTCAGAAGGAACCGGCCCTGCTGACACCTTGGATTTCGCTAAGTGAGATAAATTTGGGATTGCTAACAGCCAGAACAGTAAGATAATCCATCTTTATTGTTTATGACACTCACTTTGTTGTAATTTGTTACAGCAGCAGTGGGAAACTAATAGACTACTGCATTCATCAGAATTGATTAACTTGTGAAGGTTTTAGAAATACTTTTTCTTTGTCTCCCTTTTTCCTTTTTTTCTCTTTATTTGCTTCTTACATAAGCAAGAAATGCATATAGAAAAATTAGAAAATATAAATAAACAAGAATATGTTATAAAATGTATCTGAAATTCCCACACCCAGGGATGGCGAGATGTATCATTCTAGTGTTTATTGTTCCATGCTTCTTCCTGTGCTGATATAGAGATAAAAGACATGTCATGCATACATCTGCATGTTTTCACCCATGCACATTCATATCCATGCACACGAATGCATGCACATGTGCACATGCCCACACACAAGCATTCACTCTTGCAAGTGTGTAAGCGTTCGTACACACATACCAAAGTTAGGATCCTGGCCCCATAATTGATTTTTAACAACTTTGGGTATTCAGAAAACCCACATGCCCCTCATATTTTGGGGATTTGCCACCTTTAGGAATGTTTAGAAGAATGTGCCCTAGCTGCTGAAAGTACTTTCATAAGCATTTTGATCAATGATAGCGTGGATGTACTATATGTATAGCATCTCATATAACTTGGAGGACAAAGAAGTGTTCATTTACATTATGCCATCTAAGTTCTATTACTTTGTAGTCATACTTGATAAAGAGTTTTTGTTGACTTCTGAGTTCCATTCTCTGTAGTAACCTGTGATTGTGCAGGGAGACAGCACATCAGAAACTCCATCGTGTTAACAAGGAATTATGGAGACCTTCAGGGATTACATAAAGACACTAATTCACTTCAAATATACAGACCAGTGTTGTCTGCACATAATTTAGAAAGGAGCTAGCCTCTACTATACAAATCAGGAACCTGTTTTTCTAGGCCGAGAAAAAAGTTTTTTTTTTTTTAAACTAGCAGGCCAGAATGCTGTACCAACGTCTCTCTGGGAGGCCCAGGCAATTATTTGCAACCTTGTCTTTCATTAGCATAGTGCAGAGCATTTAGGACTCATAAAAATGCCACTTAGCAGAATGATGCAAGTTCAAGTACTCTGTGAGTTGTGGCTTTTTCGTTATTATTTTTCTGTTTTAAAGATAAAAAGCTACATTAATTTCAATTTTGTTGGATTCAATATGGTCAGTGTACATTGAGTGCTCCATATTATACGGATACCTTGGAAACTGTTCTGGACCTTCAGATGTAGTTTAATGGGGAATATGACTTCCCAGATAACTGCAATATAAGGCAAATTTCCCACGACAGATAAAAGCTCTAAATGGGTTGCAAAAAGAAAGAGTGTCTCACATATTTAAAAGCACTGGGTGAATGGCTACATTAAAGAGGAAACATTTAGGGTAGGTTTGAAATTCTGATAGGATTTGTCTGCCTAGGAAGGAACATTAATAATATCAGAGGCATGTGGGGTAAAGTTTGGTTTTCCTGGAGAGCAGTCAAGTAAAAGGAGAGCCATGTGACAAACTTGAAACGTGTTTGAGGTCCTAATCTGGAGGTCTTTGGAGGTTGGCATTTGGAAAATGCTAACCTACCTTTGTTCCGGTTTGGAACATTTGTGCTTTATGAAGAGCTCAACTTTGTGTCTGATATGGTTTGGCTCTGTTTCCCCACCTAAGTCTCATGTCAAATTGTAATCCTCATGCTGGAGGAGGGGCCTGGTGGGAGGTGATTGGATCCTGGGGTCAGACTTCCCCCTTGCTGTTTTCGTGATAGTGAGTGAGTTCTCATGAAATCTGGTTGTTTAAAAGTGTGTAGCACCTTCCCCTTCACTCTCTTACTCCTGCTCCGCCATGTGAAGATGTTGCCTGCTTCCCCTTCACCTTCCACCATAATTGTAAGTTTCCCGGGGCCTCCCCAGCCATGCTTGCTGTACAGCCTGTGGAACCGTGAGTCAGCTAAACCTCTTGTCTTCATAAATTACCCAGTCTTGGTTCTTTATAGCAATTTGAGAATGGACTAATACAGTGTCCAAGCCACTCATTAGTCTGGTACATCATTTTCCCTGACCCCCTTCCTCCTGGACCCGGTCACAACATCTTTATACCTCTGTTTTTCAGTATCTGGATATAATAATTTCTTTTAAATTATGTTTTAATTTAATTTCCCTATAATCTAATTCCTTAATACATTTAGATTGTTTTAATAAAACAAATGCTAATTCGCACACAAAGATAAATGAAATGTTAAAGCATGATACAAATATTCTTACTGGGAAAGTATTCATATCAGAATTTATGAAAGGAATATAAAACATAGAAAATATAAAGAAAATCTTTCTGAGATTTTGAACTTAGCCTTCTCAGATTCCTACTAACTGCAACCAGATTTAGGCTCCCTTTATACCAAAACCAAACAAACTAACAACAAGAAAAGACAATACGAAAGAAAGATAGAATTTTGAAGCACTCTTAACGCCTTCAAGGAGACATTGTTAAAGTTTCATTTTAAGAACTGTGAAGAAAAGTAAAAGGAGTTTATGTTATTTAATCTGTAGAAAAGTAGCTGAGGTATTCAGTACAATATCATGGGTCAAGACTGAACTCATTCTCTGAGTGTGCATAGCTTCTAGGGCAGGAATTCAAAATGATCTGGAACTTAAAACAGCCTGAAACAGCTCTAAGGTGGTTTTTCCAGTGCTCTGGGCAACAGTTTCCAGACCACAGCTCCCTTTCTCTCTTCTCAAATACAACACCATTATGCTTTAATGCACCAGAATGGAACATTACCTTCCATGCTTTACTCACACTGAATGTGAAAAATATATCATGTGAACATTTAAGTTTTGAAGATACTTTGAAGATCATTTAGTGCTGGCTCTCATATTAAACAAACAAACAAACAAAAAACCAGGCCAGGCGCAGTGGTTCATGCCTGTAATCCCAGCACTTTGGCAGGCCGAGGCAGACAGATCACTTGAGGTCAGCAGTTCGAGACCAGCCTGGCCAACATGGTGAAACCCCGTCTCTACTGAAAATACAAAATTAGCCAGGCTTGGTGGCGGGCGTCTGTAATCCCAGCTACTCTGGAGGCTGAAGCAGGAGAATCGCTTGAACTCGGGAAGCAGAGGTTGCAGTGAGCCGAGATCCCGCCACTGCACTCCAGCCTGGGCAACAAGAGCAAAGCTCCATTTCAAAAAAACAAACAACAAACATCACACACACACACACACACACATTTACATGCAGGTGTGTACACACACAACAACAACAAGAAAACTTTTCTCCTATTTGCTAATGTAAGTCTTTCTAATTTTTTTTAAATTTTATTATTATTATACTTTAAGTTTTAGGGTACATGTGCACAACGTGCAGGTTTGTTACATATGTATACATGTGCCATGTTGGTGTGCTGCACCCATTAACTCGTCATTTAGCATTAGGTATATTTCCTAATGCTATCCCTCCCCTCTCCCCCCACCCCACAACAGTCCGCGGAGTGTGATGTTCCCCTTCCTGTGTCCATGTGTTCTCATTGTTCAATTCCCAGCTATGAGTGAGAACATGCGGTGTTTGGTTTTTTGTCCTTGCGATAGTTTGCTGAGAATGAAGTCTTTCTAATTTTTTAATCTTTTGGGAAACTGTAGGTAGAATAGAAGATAGTAGTGGCCAAGGAAGTACTATAGGATGTGGTGAGGGTTCATTGGTTGAAAGTGAAAGAAAATGCTCACTCTACTGCCAAGAGAGCAATTTAAGATACTATGCCTGTATCCAAGACAATACATTTGTATTTGGTCTCTCCTGGACAGACGGAGCTTAAACTCTCATATCACTGTTCATTTTCATTGATTGTTTTGCTTTTATTTTCTACGGTTTTGGGTTTAGGCACATTGATGCTGTGTTAAGCACAAAATGATTCATGTGAGATTGTCAGAGTAGATTGTGCCCTTCTCTTGTTCAGTGTACTCTGCCTTTAGTTTATTCATTTATTTTTTGCATTATTTTACATTCATGAGATATCAATTCTCAGATCCATATTTTCCTTTTCTTCATATTTTTCTGATATGTACTTTTTGTATCATTTTGTTTAATTCCATTCTTACATACAGCATATACTTAGGTTTTTATTTTGATCCAAGTTGGAAGTCATTTCCTTTAGAATGCGAGTTTATCTCATTCATATTTCTTGCTCAACAGATTCACTTGGCCTTAATTCTGTTCTTTTATGTTATGTTATGGTCTCTGTAGTATTTTCTTTATTTTCCAACTTTTACTACAGGATTTGTATGCTTTGTGTGTGCTCTTTTTGGTTATATAGGCATTTAAGGCTGTGGATTAGTTTTCCTGATGACTGCCTTTATAATTTCAATAGTATAATGAAACTCTGTATCTTGATTTACAAACTTTAGGCAATATTTATTCACTCCCAACTCCGAAACAACTCTCTCCCTATTACAGGGGATCGGAGGTGGGAAAAAGCTGAGTTAACGATAAGTATTAAGGCATTAATTTGTGGGTGAAGGTTGTGGCATATGTCTGGATAAGTCTGGAGTATGAAGGTTTGTGGGCAAGTCTGGGGCATGAGGATGAGAAAGAAAAGTAGTGAGGAAACAAAAAAGGTTATGGGCTGGGCACGGTGGCTCACGCCTGTAATCCCAGCACTTTGGGAGGCCAAGGCATGCGGATCAACTGAGGTCAGGAGTTCGAGACCAGCCTGGACAACATGGTGAAACCCTGTCTCTACCGAATATGCAATAATAATAATAACAACAACAACAACAACAACAACAACAACAACAACAACAACAGGGCGTGGTGTTGGGCTCCTGTAATCCCAGCTCCTCGGGAGGCTGAGGCAGGAGAATCGCTGGAACCTGGGAAGGGGAGATTGCAGTGAGCTGAGATCTTGCCACTGCACTCCAGCCTGGGCAATAGAGTGAGACTCAGTCTCAAAAACCAACAAACACAAACGATAAAAGCACAATCCATTGATTAAAAAGGACGCAGCTGGGCATGTTGGAAGCACACAGGGCATGGGAGGGAGCCTGGGCTCCACCCACAGGGTGATGGCCATTCTAGCCAAAGGGGCAGGGGTGGCTGGAACAAGCCCCAGGGCGAGGTTCTAGGCCCTGTCCACTTGGCCTCCATCCCAAGTCCTTGTGTCTCTCCCCAGGAGGAGAAGCTGAAAGATTGTGGGGACAGAGGCCCCAAAGGGCCACCCCCACCCCAGTCCACAGCAACCACGGGCTGTCACTTAGGGGAAGGGTGAGGGCGTGCCAGCAGGGGGCCTGGCCCCACACAGCCCGTCACACGCATGTGCACTGAGCCGACCAATCAGCGAGGAGCGCAGGAAGTCCTGCCTGCAGCTCTCACGAGAACTGAGGACCCGTTTTCTTTACTTTTCTTTTTTTTTGTTTTTTTGTTTTGTTTTTTTTGGGACGGAGTCTGGCTCTTGCTGCCTAGGCTGCAGTGCAGTGGTGTGATCTGGGCTCACTGCAACCTCCGCCTCCTGGGTTCAAGCAATTCTCCTGCCTCAGCTTCCTGAGAGGACCCGTTTTCTAAGAGGTCCTAGTGGTGCCGCTGCCTGCAGGTTCTTTGAGGGCGCCACATCAGGGGTCCCTCAGGTGAAGCACTCGTGGTGGGGAGGCGGGAACGCAGGCACGAGGCCCTCTGGGAACCAGGGTGTGAAGCGCTGGGCAGCCCGCCGACCTGTGAGGAAATGGCCCCAGCGTCGTCGCCTGGGGCCTGGGTCAGGGCGAGGCCCTGAGGGTGGGCTAGGGTGGGCTGGGGTGGGCCAGGGCAGGGAGGGAGCTGGAGCTGCCTGGGTGATCCCTAGGGCCCGGGAGGGTCCTGGGGGCTTGTGCATGTGTTGGGGGGAGGGGCCGAGGGGGGGAGAAGTGGGAGTGAGGCGGGGGTGTTGTGGGGGACAGTCTGAGTGGGGCCCTCCTGCCTGGCCGCCCGACAGGACAGGACACTTGGGGTCACCGGGGGTCACCGGGGGTCCCCTGTGCGTCCAGGGGGGCGAGTGGCAGTGCAGCCCCTGACATTCCCCTAGAGGTGGCTGGGGAGATCCTGTGTCACCCAGCGGCCCTCCCAGCCACATGGGGTCGCTAGGTGACTCAGAGGTAGGGCTGAGTTCTGTCCCAAAAGGGCGGCGAGGATCCCGCAGAGGCCGTGGAGTTCAGGTGTGAGGGGCAGCTGTGAGCTTTGCAGCCAGCCCCGGGGACGGGCTGGACGGGCCAGGACAGGAGGGGACACTGGCATCTTTTCCGTCCCTTCCTGCTCCCACATGAGACCCAGGGCGGGCCAGCCCCACCCTTCTTGAACCTGTGATCCCAATGGCTTTCCTTTCCGATGCCAGGTTTCCTTAGCTTCCTTAGTGTGTCTTTGCGCTCACCAGGTTCGGGGATCGCCTCTAGCTTCCCAGGACAACCAGCCACGGATCCTGTGGGCAGGAGGGCTGCCAAGGCCCAGTTGGAGGCTCAATTTATGGCGGCCTGGGGGAAGAAGCATGCAGGTAAATACAGCCCAAGGGGACCCAGAAGAAGGTGCACGCCCAAGAGGACGGTCTGTCTGCTTTCTGCGCTGGGGGCACAGGGGCAGCCCGAGGCCCCAGGCCCCTTCGTGGCTCTGGAGTCCATTGTGCACGTGCTAAGATGCGCCAGGTTTTCAAAGCAGGCTCAAGGGCCTTAGGCTTCCCCGTGGAAGGCTCCCCCTCATAGCAGGGTTACAGATGCTCTCAGAGCAGCTCTTCTCCATGGGTGCAGTCCTGACATCCAAGGGGTCTGAACTGTAGTACGTTGTTTACTGGAACCTGAACCCGAAGGGCTTCCAAAAGTCCCTCGATAAAATGGTCAGGAACCGGTGATTCCATGTATAGCTCTGCTTTAAAGCTTTAATTGGCAGAGAGCCCCCCCCCCCCAAAAAAGTCTACAACTAGTACATTTCTCCACAAAAAATGTCCACAGCAGCATCTTCCTCTAAAAAAGGTTTGTCTTTTACATTTTAATGCAGGAAAGGATCCAGTCCGTGATGAATGTGAGGAAAGAAACCGTTTTACAGAAACAAGGGAGGAAGATGTAACTGATGAGCATGGGGAAAGAGAACCTTTTGCTGAAACAGATGAACACACGGGGTAAAGTGTTTAAGTCACTTTTGCCTGTCGGATAGGGTCTTTTAGGAAAAGTCAGCTTTGGACCATGTCATCACTGTTCTATTCTATGCAGAACATTTCACATAAGACATTTCTTTTCCCAACAAACATGGCATTTTGTGTAGTATTTTGTTAAAATTTTGATGTAACTTTTTTTACAGGGCTAATACCAAGAAGCCAGAAGATACTGCAGGTATGTTTTAGGAGTTATCTGTAGTTTATGAAAATTGTTTTCAGTCATACAACTGTTGCAGTAGGTTATATGAATTAGTGGACGACAAGACTGTCTTAAATGGCTTCTCATATGTAGCATTTAACGTACGTATTTAATGTAATCTATTTGATAAATTTTTCTTACCTTTTTGATTGTTGATGTGGAATGTGAGAATGCTTCTAATAATGGTGAAGCGAGATGGATGGCTTTTCTTTCATACATGTGGAAATTTAATTGTTTGGAGGATATTAGAGGACAGTGGAGGAGAAACAGCTCTATTCGTTCCTTTTAGTATACACAGATTAAGTCATATATCAATGGTTTTTTTTAGCTTTTACTTTAAGTTTGGGGGTACATGTGGAGGTTTGTTATGTAGATAAATTGCATGTCACAGGGTTTTGGTATACAGATTATTTTGTCACCCAGTTTATAAGCATAGTACCTGATGGGTGGTCTTTGATCCTCACCCTCCTCCTACCCTCCACCCTCAAGTAGGCCCAGTTGTCTGTTGTTCCTCTCTTCCTGTCCGTCTGTACTCAGAGTTTTTAATATGAGTTTTTCATGTTCCTAATTTAGCTGTTCTATTGTCACAGCTTTCTGATTTTGTTTTCTTTAAAGTACAAGAGAAAATTGAATTTTCTAAAATCATTTTCTATTATTATTCCAGTAATAAACTGTGTAGTAGAAAAGTAAGGACAACTTTTCTACCTAGTGAGAAACATGTAATTGGCTCCAAAAACTCATAAACTTTATATTGCTGTGTGAAATATTAGTTACACTCTTATAGGACCATATTTTCAAAAAAGTTTGAGAAAATTTCTGTAGAGATGATGGAGACAATACTCTTATTTTTAAAAAGCTCAATTCAGTTTTCAGCTCTTCTCTAGCGATGATTCATACAAGCAGTATATTTGGAAAGCTTGGTGACAAAGTGCTGGTTTTGTGAGCTGCCTAATACATTGGGCATTATAGATGGAGACTGTATGTAAAAAATATTTGCATTGTGGTACAAATCTTTTATGATTGCTGAAAATTATTCTTAGCAATTGATGGTAGAGCTCTGATGTGAAATCATGTTTAGGAAAGCATTCCTTGCAGTATTACAGTTTTCTGAAACACAGCACTATGGGTACAAATGTCATAAAAAGCTCCAAGAAAACATTTCAAAAGTGTTTTTGAATGTATTTCTTTACCTAAACCTAAATTTTTATACTCATGGCCATTGCTTCTTTTATTAAAATACAGTTAATAGCATCAATCACTAGATTGCTTAAAAATGCTTTTCTTATTGTGCATTAAGTTATTTCTACCCTTTTGAGGGTTCTATTATATAAGATACTTTTTTGTGTGCTTTACGTAATGAATTGTGCAGTATTTCATGGAAGCATCTCCTTTGAATTGTAGGACATTTTATAAATGTAGAAATTAAAGTCTGTGCTTATAACTCTTTCTGCACATTTAAAAAATAGAGACTTTTAATTATTTGCTTTTTTTCATCATCTGTCAATTAAGTGATTTTCAGTTATACCAACTGGAATTGAAATGCGAATGTTAATACCTGAAAGGTTTTACAGAAAATAAGTGAGTAAATCTTGCTTTTTGAAATGATCTTTGCATTTTATATTTTAAATATCCTTCTGAAATTGCTGAACCATAAAGTCCCATATTGATGTCAGTATATGCAAAGAAACTACTTTTCAACATTAACTTTTAATCCATTTTCATTTACTATCTAACTGACATTAAAGAGGATCTTACTGCAAAAAGAAAAAGGATGAAAATGGATAAAACTTGCAGCAAAACAAAGAACAAAAGTAAACATGCTTTGAGAAAAAAGCAACTTAAAAGGTATGACTGTTGGCTTTTTTGCATAATGATATTTATATCATTTCTTTGTATTAGTTGGTGCAAATAATTTCAAAAACTATCCTGTACATATTGGCGTCTCTAGTGAACAACATATTTTACTTGATTGTTCTCTAAGTAGGTAAGTTTCTTTAGTTTTATAACCTCAGTTTAACAGAATTAAGAGATATTACCTAGAAGCCAATGAAGATGACCTCTTTTTGCCTTCCAGATAAAAATAGCCTTCTTGTAAAATTAATGTTTATCCATTTCTAGAAATATGGTAGCTGCATATAAGATAAATGTTCTCAATGTTTAGTCTGTAGATCCTTAACGATACTCAATTATGTAGAAAGGGATAACCTTATGTTGTAAATAAGTTATCTATTTTAGTTAAATTGTTTTCACTATTTCTTTTACAAAATCATTGGTGTGCCAAAGTGGAGAAATAGTTAAGTGAAGTTTTTCTTTTGGGAAATCTTATGGGATGAATGGCTATGATATTCTTGAACCTACTTATGAGAACCCATATGTTATTCAGTAAGAGGAAATGGAAAGTAAACTGCTCTTAGAGAAAATGTTTCTGGGAAAGTTATAGTGCAGTAAACCCTCCTTTGTCTTCAGCAGGTAAAGAATGTAAGATAGCTGCTCTAGTAGTCAGGAAGAAAAGAATCCTTTCAAAATGAGAGTAACTCATTTCACTTTTTTCCAAAAAGAAGATTTCAGCTGCTATTACTCCCTTGCTACTTTATAGTATAAATTATGTCAAGTCAGTTTGGGTTTGAATAGGATTAATTTTTCATCTCTCTATGACGTATGACCGTGTTACTTATTATGTGTTACAGGCAGAAACGTGATTATATACATTCTCTGAAGTTGCTAAATGTCCTTGAAGAATACATCACAGACGAGCAGAAAGAGGAAGAAGAAGAAGAGGGAGAAGAGGAAGAACTAATTGTTGGTATCATGCTTAGCTTTATGTATAACCTGTTATGTCAGTGTCTCAGGTAGTAATAGTTCATGCAGAAATCCAGCAAAGAAGGAAGAGCGCATGAGCCCAGAGAGGGGGGCCCGTTAGTGGACTAATGGACTAGGGGAATATAATTGCCACGCAGCATTAGGGGTCCAACTGAAGTCAGCATCATAACGATGAAGAAGTTAAAGTAAGCCCAGTTGGCATATTTGTGCAAGCACAGCTGTAGGGTTGGAATTTCCTGGGTCGGGGTGTAGCCGAGCAGATTGATAGAGGGAGAGTTGGGCAGGGAATAGATGCAGAGATGGGGATATGATGACTGGCTGTGGAATTTCAGCTGGGACTGAGTTATCTGAGCACACGGGAGTGGGCAATGGGCAGTAAAAAGTGCTCCATTCAGTGGGTGTCAGGTCCCAACAGACTCCTGAGCTGTAGTACTGAAGTGAGTGACCTACGATGGCAGGGAGGTAGTGGCTGTATGTTGGGAAGTTGGAGAAACAGCTGAGTGCAGTGGTCAAGGGCTGGGACTATGCATCCACACTGCTTGGGATTCTAGCTTGACCATTGCTAGCTCGGAAACCATGGAAAAATTATTTATCTCAGCTTGACCATTGCTAGCTCGGAAACCATGGGCAAATTATCTTATCTACGAAAGGAGACATGGTAAGAGTACCTACGTCAGAGTTGTTTGGAGGATCAAAGGGTTTCTGTGTAACAGGTTTATTTAAGTTTTTCAGGATGTGATCTGACCCATGGTTGCTCTTTATCATTGCTATTATTAATATTACGTAGGTGTTGAAGTCATTGGGAATGACAAAATCTAGGGGATGACTGTGTGAGTGAGTGCCACGTAGAGGAGAGGAGAACACTGTTGTTGGAGATTAGGTCAGGGTGCAGAAAGGCAATCATTATTGGGTGGTTCATCTATGTGCATATTGAAATGACCGAGATTTAATACATGCTTAAAATCTTAGAAAGAATTTTTCTTAGTTAATTTCTGTATAGATCTTACCTATCTGTGGTCAACAAATTATAGGAAGGTTCATCAAATACTCTTCATTGGAAATCAAGAATTAGGACATATGTGTTGAATGTGTAAAAGTAAGAAAATTCTTTACTTAATGACTGATAAAAAAGGTTAATACATCATTTTAGCATGTTATTGGTGAACACAATTGTTTAAAATTGGTCCTAAATGTTGTCTAAAAGAAAGTGTTCAGAGGTATTGATTTAAACAGTATTCCTTTAAAGCTAATGCAGAATTATGTTTTGTAAGTATTAAAATTTACCCAATTTTTATCACTATTTTGTTTTGGGATTCTAGAGAATATTTCAAGAACAACAGAAGAAGTGGCAACAATATAGAAGTGTTAGGAGAGAGAGGCTGAAAGAGATGAAGCTGCTACGTGACCAATTCGTAAAGGTCTGTTCTATTTGGTAACATAATACATTATAAAATACAACACGTGCATAATAGAAGACAGTCTGCTTGTTTCTGAATGTATGGAAAGACATTTGATTATACATTTCAAATTACTTAGCATTTTCACTTTGAATGTATTGTTCCAGATATAATATAATTGGTAAATGTATTTTTAGGATTCATGAATAGTTTGTGGGAGTTATTTAGAACAGGAAAAGGTAAATTGGAAATTTTACCTAGAAATACACATCTTATGTATAAAATTGACACTTTATTAACACATTAACCTATTTATGCCAGAGGTTGCAAATTTTTTTTGTGTGTGAAAAATCAGACCTTGGCCATGACCTTGAGCAGTAGGATATATATGATTCCCACAAGCTTAGCGTTCCAATAATGGAACACTAGGCATAAATGGGTTTTAATGAAGATTTTATTTTCAGTTTTCAGGACATCAATGACAAATCTATGGTGGAAGGCAAGAGGTCCATAAATCCTTTCTGGATGGCTTTTTTACTTGTGTTGTTTCAAGAGTTTTAGTTAAATAGGAAGTAGGCAAGCGTAACTACTGTGTGTCTTTTTTATTTCTTGCTGAAACACAGGAGTGTTTTATGGCATATTCACTTACAAAATTATTAGTAATGGTTCTACATGACAATTTGTAATCATAAGAGATGGTTCAGATGTATAACAGAATGGGAAAGCCAGCAGATTATTAACACGTTGTGAATTGCGAATTATCTGCTGTTGTACAGCACATTAGCAAATTATCATCAGACAATGACCTCTTCTTCATGTAGATGTAGATAATTTAGGAAGCAGTGGAATCTTTTTTGGGGAGATCTGGTATTCTTTTTAATAACCTTGGAAAAGACATGTTCATATGTCACTTCTCTACACTAACTGAGATGTGTTAAATAAACTGGGAAAAGAGTTTGAAAATAAAATTTTCAAGCAACTTGAGGATTATCTATACACAAACAGTTATTTAAATAGAAGTTACAAGTAGAGAACATGTTGCTATAATGTTCTCCAGATACCATTTATTAATTGGTATGAACATGAGACTAGTAGTTTTCCTGTCAGTATTAATGTTTCATGTTACCACTTAGGTTAGGAACTTTGCTATCATCTTGGACTCTTCTGAGTTCATTATCCTTCCCATGTAGTTATCACGAGGCAAGTTTTACCTCTGCAATGGTCCTTTAATTTCTTTCTTTAAATTCCCACTGCGGCTACCCTAGTCCAAGACCTCATTCTTCCTTACCTGTACTATTAAACTCTTTTCTGAGTTCTCTCTTCTCTTCTGAGCCATCCTTCATTGATTGGCAATATTATCTTTCTAAAACCCTTCCCTTCCTAAAATGCTTCCCAGCCCTTCCGTCTTCCCAGCCTGTCAGTGATGCCCCGTCTCAGTTCTTAGATATTCAGAGACTCTCCCCTTTACATGACCCCCTCTTAGGCTTGTTTTGCCGCCTTCTGTCTTTCCTCCCACTTCTCCAGGTTGACCGCCTTCCCTGAAGGAACTCACCGTTACTCCCATGCTTTGCTCATGCTCTTCCCTCACAATACTTTTAAAATCTTTTTTTGACTGATTGAAACCTTTCGCCAACTAAATCAACATCAGTCTCCATTTTTGGCTACATGCCCGAGTGAGTTGCCCTTCCATAGCAGTTACACAAGTTTTGTATTACTTGTTTTTTATTTGTGCATTTGCTCATGTCATAGAAATACGGAAGATTGTGTATTCATTTTTTACATCTTCCTCAGCATTAACCTACAACATTTTAGGGAGTAGGAACTGTTGAACTATTTGTTGAGTAAAGAGTATATATTTCAAACACAGTTACGTTTTCTCTAACTTGATGAGGTCATATCACCAACCATTTTATCCCTTCAATGGAAACCATGTTATGTAGGCTATTGCTGATAATACATGGGTCGCTACCTGCTGAAAAAAAATATAATATTTCATGATATAAGCCTGCCCGTCTTTTTCTGTCTTCGCTCCATCTTGACCTTAAGATGTTCTTCAACCCATTTTATTTAAGCAAAGTACATGACTGTTAGACCTGCTAAAATAATATGTCACTGAAATCTGGCATTAAAAAATTTAATTGGGTATTTGGAGCTCCATGTATTGATTATAGTTTTTTCTATTTGAAATGAATAACTGGCATCCTTTGAATATTAAAAGCTGTTTCCTTTTGACATTTAATTAACCCTGTTTAAAATGCGAGATATAAAGTGGTGGTTTGTCAGTGAACTAGACTTTTTCTTTTAGGCTCTTGAGGACTTTGAAGACCTTTGTGACAGAGTTTTTTCCGATGAAGACAGTGAACTTGATAACTAGACATGTTTTTAAATAAAATCATGTCAGAACTGTAAGTAGTGCATATTTAATATTAAAAACTCAGGATTGATGTAGCACTGGAATATTTTATTTGCAGAAATGTGTATTACAGTTACTTAAATTTTTTTTTGAAACAGCTTTTGGAAAAGTTGGCACTTACCCAGTTGTCTCTTCAACCTCTGTTATTCTGATGACTGAAGAAAGAACTTGAACCTATGTTATATGATACAAGCACAACTTGAGCTACAGTAAACTACATGACAGTGTTTTGATAATTGTTGTATAAATCGGTATAGCTCCTCTGTCACTCGTCTGTTAAATGCCAGACCTCGTTTCTATGATCTGTTGAATGAATCCTAGACACTTCTGTGAGAAAGCAGGGATTGCATAGTTATGTACACGGTCAATTAAATTTTAACATTAAAGATAATTTAGATTTCGATTTGGCCTCTGTGGATTTGTATCAGTTCCAAAAATGTAGAAAGCACAGGCATAGAAAAGTACATTTTTCTCTAATAAAAGAAGACAATATCTGCTGGGTGTGGTGGCTCACGCCTGTAATCCCAGCACTTTGGGAGGCCGAGGGGAGTGGATCACTTGAGGTCAGGAGTTTGAGACCAGCCTGGCCAACATGGTGAAACCCCATCTCTGCTAAAAATACCAAAATTACCCGGGCGTGGTGGCACGCACGTGTAGTTCCAGCTACTCAGGAAGCTGAGGCAGGAGGATCTCTTGAACCCGGGAGTTGGAGGTTGCAGTAAGCCAAGATTGTGCCACTGCACTCCAGCCTGGGCGACAGAGCAAGACTCTTTCTCAGAAAACAAGAAGAAGAAGACAAAAGCTATCTTATCTGTGCGTTCTTTTGTATTTACTCATTAGGATAAAGAGGCAATTCCAATGAAAGTAGGACTTCAAAAAATAGATATACTCTATGGCCATATCAAAATTATTAAAAGCACCTTACTGTCTGTGTTCTTAAAAAAAATTATACTGCTGTAAATGATTAAGGCAACTGAGCAAGATATATTAATATCAGTGCTGAGCCACTGGTTTGTGGGTATGTCATTTCCACAGACATCAAAATGCTATTTAGTTTGTTTTGGTCCATCATTCAATGATACCTCCCCTTAGAATTGAATGAAAGCATTTTGTTAACATTTATGTATGCTTACAATTATTTCACATCTGTGGCAAGGTAAATTTTGTAGAGTGCTTTGTTTATCCAGTTTAATATTCGTGGATTATGTGGAAGTTTATATGGACATCTAAAAACTTGAATGATGAATTCGCCTGCCTTTCCTTTTTTTAATGTGCAGTTTTCACATGTAACAACATATAACAAACATGTAAAAAGATTTTTTGCATGTAACATGTTAAAAAGATGTACATGTTTTTACATGTAAAACAATTTTACATGTAACATGTAAAAAAAGAAATGTTCATTTGGAAACACTTTATTTAGTAAATATGAAATTCAGAATATATATGGAGTAAGTGAAGTAAATGTATTCTTTTGCCAAGTTTCTGAAATTCCATTCATGAATCCTTCAAAACACAGTACTCCCATTGGGAGGAGAGGAGTGACTTCCTCTCATTTTTCCTCGTGCTATTTATGTTAATTGGCCCCTGTATACCACTCACCTTTTCTGGGTTTTCCAAGTTTAAGAAAAAAAACAAGTTCATTCAGATTGTGTTTTTCTGCCTGCAGTCACGTATACAGCAATAAGTGAGTCCCTATGGGGAGCATTTAATTCCTAAAGTTTGCATTTTCATAAAGGATTTTCCTTTTACCCAAAGCGTGTGTTGGTACTACTAAGTACTATGAAGTACTACTTTAAGTTTCTAAAAAGATCCTTATTTGAGATCTCTTTCAGTAGTTACAGAGCCAAAATAAGCACTGCAGAGGTCCATGTCTGAGTTCTGTTGTACATCCTGGGTTATCTGACTACTATTTACTCTATAGTGGAAGGACAAGAAAGAGGCCACAGTGTACTTAATGATGGAACAGTTGATGTTTATGCCACCCCTTACTACCTCAAATGAGTAACTGTGTACTTGAAGTCATATTATTTTTAGAGACCAGGTGTCGCTCTGGCCCAGCCAGAATGCAGTGGTACGATCATAGCTCATTGCAACCTTGACCTCCTGGGCTCAAGCAATCCTCTCACCTGAGCCTTCAGAGTGGCTGGTACCACAGGTGTGTGCACCACATCCAACTTATTTATAATATATTATATATTATATATTATACATAATATATTATATATTATATATTATACATAATATATTATATATTATATATTATACATAATATAATATATATTATATATTATACATAATATAATATATATTATATCTTATACATAATATAATATATATTATATATTATACATAATATAATATATATTATATCTTATACATAATATAATATATATTATATCTTATACATAATATAATATATATTATATCTTATACATAATATAATATATATTATATCTTATACATAATATAATATATATTATATCTTATACATAATATAATATATATTATATCTTATACATAATATAATATATATTATATCTTATACATAATATAATATATATTATATCTTATACATAATATAATATATATTATATCTTATACATAATATAATATATATTATATCTTATACATAATATAATATATATTATATCTTATACATAATATAATATATATTATATCTTATACATAATATAATATATATTATATCTTATACATAATATAATATATATTATATCTTATACATAATATATATTATATCTTATACATAATATATATTATATCTTATACATAATATAATATATATTATATCTTATACATAATATAATATATATTATATCTTATACATAATATAATATATATTATATCTTATACATAATATAATATATATTATATCTTATACATAATATAATATATATTATATCTTATACATAATATAATATATATTATATCTTATACATAATATAATATATATTATATCTTATACATAATATAATATATATCTTATACATAATATAATATATATCTTATACATAATATAATATATATTATATCTTATACATAATATAATATATATTATATCTTATACATAATATAATATATATTATATCTTATACATAATATATAATATATTATATCTTATACATAATATATAATATATTATATATTATACATAATATATAATATATTATATATTATACATAATATAATATATTATATATTATACATAATATAATATATATTATATATTATACATAATATAATATATATTATATATTATACATAATATATATTATATATTATATATTATACATAATATAATATATATTATATATTATACATAATGTAATATATATTATATATTATACATAATGTAATATATATTATATATTATACATAATGTAATATATATTATATATTATACATAATGTAATATATATTATATATTATACATAATGTAATATATATTATATATTATACATAATGTAATATATATTATATATTATACATAATGTAATATATATTATATATTATACATAATGTAATATATATTATATATTATACATAATGTAATATATATTATATATTATACATAATGTAATATATATTATATATTATACATAATGTAATATATATTATATATTATACATAATGTAATATATATTATATATTATACATAATGTAATATATATTATATATTATACATAATATATATTATATTATATATAATATCTATAGCATAATTATATAATATCTATAGCATAATTATAATTATGCTTTATATATTATATATATCTAATATATTAGATATATATAATATGTATAGCATAATTATATATAATATGTAATACAAATTTTATATATATAATATATATAATATATATTTTATATATATAATTTTTATTACATATAATATATATTTTATATATATAATTTGTATTACATATTATATATATTATATATTATATTAATTATATATAATATATAATATATAATATAATATATATAATATATATAATATATAATATATAATATAATATATATAATATATATAATATATTATATATAATATATATAATATATATAATATATTATATATAATATATATAATATAATATATTATATATAATATATATAATATAATATATTATATATAATATATATAATATAATATATTATATATTATATATATAATATAATATATTATATATTATATATATAATATATATATTATATAATTATACACACACACACACACACACACACACACACACACACACACGTTTTTTCTTTCTAGAGATGAAACCTCCCTGCATTGTCCAGGCCAGTCTCAAATTCCTGGCCTCTAGTGATCCTCCTGCCTTGGCCTCCCAAATTGCTGGGATTGTAGGCATGAGCCACTGATCCTGGCTGCATTATCTCACTCCTATGTGGAATCTAAAACAGTTGAACTCACAGAATCAGAGAATAGAATGTGGTTTCCAGGAGCTGGGGGAGGTGGAAGGTTGGGGAGATGTTGGCCAAAGGGTACAAGATTTCAGTTAGACAGGAGGAGTAAGTTCAAGAGCTCTATTGTAAAACACTGTGACAACAGCTAATGATAATATTGTATTTTTAAAGATTGCTAAGAGGGTAGATTTTAAGAGTTCTCACCACAAAGAAAATTATACTTAGGTGAAGTAAAGCAATCGTCAACTAGCTCGGTGTAGCTATTTCACGATGTATACATATTTCAAAGCAACCTGGTGTAGATGGTATATACCATTTAAGTTCGTCAATTAAAATAAGTTAGTGAAATTTTTGGAATTAAAAGTAAAAACATACACTTATTGCCCTGCAGTTCTATAGTTTCATGTAAAGTCTGGACTGAGTGCCTTTGGGTTAACATTCAAGATGACAGTGGGGCAGTGTCCCTTCTGGGGGTTGTAGGGGAGGAGCTGTTTTCTTGTGTTTTTCAGACTCTGAAAGCTCCCACCATTCCTTGTCTCATGGCCTCTTTCTCCATCTTAAAAGCCAGCATTTTTGGGGTTGGATCCTTCTCATGTGGCTGTCTTTCTGGTTCCTTTCTCCTGCCTCTTTTACACTTAGAAAGACCCTTGGGATTCCACTGGACTCCCCCAGAGATAACCCAAGATAATATCCATGCTTCAGGTCAGCTGATTGGTACCTGTCAATAGCACCTTCCAACTCATTTCCTCCCTTGCCTTGTCGTCTCACATGTTCACAGGTTCCAGGGATGAGTTCCTGGACATCTTTGGAGGGTACTTATTTTGCCTACCAAATACACCCTTTCTTTAAATGCACCTCATCTTAAAAATGGCATTGTTTTAGGTGGGCACAGTAGCTCATGCCTATAATCCCAGCGCTTTGGGAGGCGGGGATGGGAGAATCACTTGAGGCCAGGAGTTTGAGACCACCCTGGCCAGCATAGCAAGATCTCATCTCTACAAAATAATTTTTTAAATGGCACCATTATAAAGAGGGAGATAGCGTGGGTTCCATCCTGGTCTCAGCCCTTGTTCAAAGGTGTTGTTGCATAAACTGAAAAGCCACAGTGACAATAAAAAGCTCATCCCTTGCTACTCCTAAGGAGAAACGCTGGCTCCCATAAGCAAAAAATGTGAGTGTAAGTCTTTGTGTGTGTGTCCATGGGCTGGGGAATGGGTTCGCTGAGTTAATGGAGGCTTTGAAGTCTGTACTGTCTTCCACCTGGCTGCAAATTGTATACAGTAGTTCAAGGGATCCTCTCACTTCAGGCCTCCCGAATACCTGGGAACACAGGCATGTGCCACCATGCTGGCTAATTTTTTTGTGTGTTTTGTAAAGACATGGTCTCACTACGTTGCCCAGGCTGGTCTTGAACTCCTGGCCTCAAGTGATCCTCCTGCCTCAGCCTCCCAAAGTGCTGGGATTACAGGCATGAGCCACTGCATCCAGCTGACCTATGTGCTTTGTTTTTTATTATTTCATTTTATTTTTATTTTATTTTTTGAGACAGGGTCTTGCTCTGTCACCCAGGCTGGAGGGCAGTGGCGCAATCATAGCTCACTGCAACCTCTGCCCCCAGCCTCAAGTGATCCTCCCATCTCTGCCTCATGAGTAGCTGGGACCACAGGCATGTGTCACCATGACCAGCTAATGTCTGTATTTTTAGTAGAGATGGGGTTTTGCCGTGTTGAAATAGACTCTCTTTATTTAAAACATATGTCTGTCTATTCCTGAGTACAGTTTAAAAACATCTTTTTTTATTATTTGAATTTGTAAGTGTCTTATGTGTAAATAGAAAAGAAAATGCTTATGATAAAATTAATCATAATTAAAATTATTGAATAATTAATATATTAATATATTTGCTTAACAAAATGTTAATATTCTCTTAAAATATCATTACTAATACATAATCCATAAAATCCTACCTTGGATTTTATTACATAGTTTAGAACTTTTATTGCATGTTCTTATCTTTGTAGTACCATAAATGAATTTTAACATCTCTAAGCACAGGAGAAGATTGCATATGTCATTGCCCTTACCTTACAGCTAATAAATGATTGATCATTTCAGAAATCAGGCATTTAAAGCTGTGTGAACATGAAGCATTCATCATTACAGATGCTCTTGATCACATAGCTACATGGTATCCAGCAGTTGCAACTTACAAAGTGTATCAGTCCAAGATCTGATTGGTTCTGCAAATTTAGATGACTCATTTTCCAATATTTTCAAGTTGCAGCCCCATGTTTTCATACATGTCATTTCTGATTTACCATTAAGCATGTTCTGGTAAATTGTTTCTCTCGACTGCTCATGCAGTGTTTTGAACTGGTGCCATAGTAGATTTATTTTCTTCCCTTCAGTATAGACAGATACATGTGCTTATTTCTAAACCTCATTAGCTGCCACTAAGGACCAGGAAGCAAAGTCCAAGTGACTGAAAGCGGTTTCAAGTTATTCTTTGATTGGCTTTCGGAGTGAGTTTGATGCAATCTCCTCACTTTTCTAGCCAGGGTGATTTGGCCAAGTTATCTGTCCTCAACCATTCCCGTTTGGGCTGTAATACTGTTTTGCCAAACACAGAAACACTAATGTAGATAGCTCACACTTACGGTTTCCAGAAATTTTTTTCATACAGGGAAGTTTTCTTAAAATGTATCAATCTCTTTTTTTTTCTAAATCCACAAACAAGATTGAATAATATATCACATATACATTTAAATACATATTGTAAATATTTGCATATGAATATATACAATATATGATTAATGTAAACCATTTTGTTTTCCTTACATTTCTTAAAATCAAAGCCAATGAAAAACATTTTAAGTACAATGATATAATTTACTGATAAAAGAAAATTATCTTCCCCTCTTCTATAAATTTACAGAGCCTGGAATTTTTATCAGATAAATTTTGGATACCTTATAGCACTAACATAGTCCTTTTTTAAAATATGTTTTTGAAATTTAGCTATTATTTTTAGTAGAGACATGATCTCACTATGTTGCCCAGGCTAGTTTCCAACTCCTGGCTCCAGTGATTCTCCCACTTGGCCTCCCAAATTGCTGGGACTACAAGGAATGAGCCACCATGTTGGCCCAGCATAGTCCTTTACAAAAAAAAAAAAAAAAAAAAAAAAGGCCACCATAAATATTTGCGGAGATATTGAGTGAGTGGATGGATTAACAAATGAATTAATCAATGAAGCAGTGTCTGAACTTAGGAGAAATTTTTTTTTTTTTTTTTTTGAGACGGAGTCTCGCTCTGTCGCCCAGGCTGGAGTGCAGTGGCGCAATCTTGACTCACTGCAAGCTCCGCCTCCCAGGTTCACGCCATTCTCCTGCCTCAGCCTCCCGAGTAGCTGGGACTACAGGCGCCCGCCACCACGCCCAGCTAATTTTTTGTATTTTTAGTAGAGACGGAGTTTCACCGTGTTAGCCAGGATGGTCTCTATCTCCTGACCTCGTGATCCGCCCACCTCAGCCTCCCAAAGTGCTGGGATTACAGGCGTGAGCCACCGCGCCCAGCCTCTTTTTTTTTTTTTTTAAGGAACATTAGTTAAAATGTACTAAACAGCTCCATACGACTTCTCCAGAATGATGGACATTGCCCTATAGACATATATGAAAAATCTATATGTTTATTTATAACAGATATACAACTTTCTTTATTACTGTATTCACTTTATGTTGTACTTATTTTTCTACAAATGACTACAAAAGCCTGTTTGGTTATAATACAATTTCTATAGGCACTTAAACAAACAAAATAGCTCCATCCTTATTTGTGTTCAAAATTTGAAAGTTGCTATTTTGGGGTCATTTTTATGTTCATATCTCTTTTTCTGAATTTGATTTTGTAATGCTTTTTTGTTACATTTATTTTAATTTTTTTATTTCTATAGGTTATTGGGGAGCAGGTAGTGTTTGGTCACATGGTATTTGGTAACACAAGAAAGTTCTTTACTTTTTTGAGATTTTGAGATTTTGGTGCACCCATCACCCGAGCAGTATACACTGAACCCTATTTGTAGTCTTTTATCCCTCACCCTCTTTTCACCCTTTCCCCCTAAGTCCCCAAAGTCCATTGTGTCACTCTTATGCCTTTGTATCCTCATAGCTTAGTTCCCACTTACAAGTGAGAACATGTGATGTTTGGTTTTCCATTCCTGAGTTACTTCACTTAGAATAATAGTCTGCAGTCTCATCCAGGTTGTTGCAAACGCCATTAATTCATTCCTTTCTATAGCTGAGTAGTTTTCCATTGTGTATATATACAACAGTTTCTTTATCTACTCGTTGATTGATGGGCATTAGGGTTGGTTCCATGTTTTTGCAATTGCGAATTGTGCTGCTATAAACATGGGTGTGCAAGTATCTTTTTCGTATAATGATTTCTTTTCCTCTGGGTAGATACCCAGTAGTGGGATTGCTCGATCAAATGGTAGTTCTACTTTTAGTTCTTCAAGGAATCTCCACACTGTAATGCTCTTTTAAAACATGTGCTTTTTATTTCTTGCTTGAATTTTTTTTTGTATTTGGAAATTGATTTAGGAAGTATATGTAATCCATAGAGACCTCAGCCCATTTTTAAAGATTCATGTTACAAACATTACAATAGCTTCCTGTGGGTCCGGCATGGTAGGAAGTACAGGTGAAAGAAGACAAATAAGACAGAACTGGTATTCTGGAGCTTGAGAAAATGAAGAACCCTGGCAATCACAATGCAGTGTGAGAAGTGTTGTGAGACATGCATTTGCGGGACCCCTAGGGGCACGTGTCTGTCTCCTAGTGCAGCCCAGGAGGTATTGTCTTGGAAGGCATCCCTCTTAAATCATCTCCCAGAGGATGGCATCTGATGAGGGTAGGATGCATATTCCAGGCAAAGGAGGCAAAGGCACTGGGTTATTAAAGTATTGCAAATAACTCCTGCACACTTCTGGTACAAGTATAAATTGGTACAATCCCCGAGGAGAAATATTTGGTAACATCTACCAGTAATAAAAATGTATTAATGATCAGATATGGGACCCAGCTCTCCCAGCTGTTCCATTTTTGAGAATGTTTCCTGCAGAGACACTTGCCCATGGATGACGTGGCGGATGCACAGTTTTGTTCACGGCAGTCCTAGCCTTCGCACAGAGTTACAAACACCCTAGATGTTCCTCAGGAGAGGAAGGATTCAATAAAATACTGTGTGTCCAAATGGTGGGAATGCCACTACAATCAAATGATAAGGAAGACTTTCTGAGATATGATGTTAGGTGAAAAAAGTGGGTTGTAAATGGACGTGTACGATATACTATATATTATGTGAACAAAGGAAAATACATATATGCCTTTACTTGTTTCTTGTAAATGTATAAAGTCATCTCAACGTGTAGGTAAGAAGCTGACAAAAATATTTGTCTCAGTGTGTGGTGTTGTTATATGGGACTAGATACAGGACTCGTTGGGGTGAAGGATGAGAGGGAGAGAATGGTCCAAGAAACAGCTACAGACCTTCTCCAAGCTTCCGCAGTCATCAACTCATGGCCAATTCCATTTCATCCCAACTCCTAGACATTTCTGCCTGCCCCAGAGTAGAATATCTTGTATATATACAGATGCACACACACACACACACACACACACACACACACACACAGACACATATTCATGTGCTTGGCTTATGGCCCAAATAAGATCCATGCATAAAAATTAAAGGTAAAATTTTTCTTTTAAATATGTACTTTGTCAACTTCTGCAATAATTATAAAAGCCTTAAATTATGAATGGAGTAAAGGGAGTTTGTTATTATTATCAAACTCTCCTAGACACAGTTTTATTTTTATTATGATTTTTCTTTTAACTCATAGTGATCTTTGTGTGTCTTTTTACATTTTTAAATATACAGGGCCATTGAAGGTTTTCTTTAGGCATTAACTTTTTAATTTTTGTATTATAGTTAGAAAATTTCAGATTCTTTGAAATTTGAGAAGACATACTTTATGTCAAGTGGGTAACCAAGTTTTAGAAAATTTTCTGGAACGCTTGAAAAGAACGTGTTCTCCAATTATTTCATGTAGTTTTCTATATATGTCCATTACAAGGAGCTTATTAAACTGTTAAATCTTTTATATTTATATTAGTTTGATCTCTATGCCAGTCATAGACCATTCTCACAGCTGGTGAGTATATGCTGAATTATCCCAGTATAATGGCGGATTTGTTCATTTCTATTTTCATTCTGTTAATTTTTCTTTTATGTATATTATATATAAATGCCATTTAATTAGATGCATATAGATTTAAATTGTTATAGCTATCTGAGAACTTAACAGATTTTCTCAAATGGATGACTGTTTTATCCATAAGGATGACTTTAGCATTAATATTTAATTTATCTGATGTTGATACAGTTAAGCCTCTTTTCCTTGGGTTAACATATATTTGGTGTTTGGTTTTCCATCATCTTCTTTTCAAACCTTTTGTGTCTTTATCTTTTCATTATAGAGTTTAATCTGTTTGTATCCATTGTGTTTGTGGACTCATTTCTATCATCTTATATTGTACTTTCTGTTAGTATACTTGCTGTTCATATCACTTTTATTCTGTCTATCTTGTTTGTGTTTGTTTTATTTTAGCTTGATTATTACCATTTTATTTTGTCCTTTATTGGGTCAGAAGTCACATCCTCTAATTTCATCCTTTTATTGGATATTATAGAAATGTTATAATATATATTTTTTGAAGTGTGTACACAAATAAAGTGAATGAGTAACCTGAGTCTTCTTCAGAAAAATATAAAGACCACACAAAGTGGGCACATAGCTGTGGAGGGACAAAGGTGATGCTGGGCACACAGACTGACCACACAGAGCTGGGTCTCTTCAACAATGTCCTATGTCTATGTGAAGAAGGATGCCAAGGCACACTCTAAGATAATGTGTGTGTGGGGGGGAGGAGGCGTGTGTGTGAATGTGTGCGGCACACCTGATGCATGCTCAGGAGTGTATGTATATCTGTGCACCATTGTTTTTAATTCAAAAAGTGCATAGCTTTCATTTTCACAGGAAGTTATGATGCCTCATACAGCAAGTACCTTTGGTACATTTGGACAGACTTTTTAAGGTAGCATCTCATTTTTGTCATGAATTTAGCTGCTGTCTACATCCTAAAAAGCTCAAATCAACTTGAAAACTTCCCCAGTCTAGTATAGTGTAGTGTAAACAGATCAATCACTATAGGAGGAGGATTAAACAGGCATATTCTGAGCAGGCGACTGGAACACAAAACCACTTAAAGAAGCAGAATTGGGCTTGTGTGTTTAAAAGCACAAAAGGAACTGTGAAATATCTAAAATCCAATAGCTAAGAGAAATTTCACATGGAGAGACTGAGAAACTTCTGCAATAATTATGAACGCCTTAAGTTATGAGTGGAAAAACTGTTGCAGAGATTTCCATAGTAATCTCCAAAAATGAATCTGTTGCCCACTGAAACTCAGGATGGTAAGGAAGCAGAAAGTTATGGCAAGACTGGGCTAGTTCTAATTCCATTGGCCATGCCTGGCTAAGCATTTCATTAATTCTTTACCGAGATGAGATTTGAATTACAGTTGACATCAAGAAGTAGTTACATCTCTATTTTCCAAGATCAATCATTCAGCAAAATTTAATAATTGATTCAGTAATACAGAGTCAGTCATTCCTAAATAATGTTTTCTGTTTGCTTTGTAAATTTCTGAAGCAAAAGGACAAAACAATTATTTTAAAAAATCAAAGGTCAGTATCAAAAAGGCAAAGTCAAAATTCTGCAAGAGCATGGTGCTGAGCATGGGTTGGCCAGATATACTTTATTGCTTTTGGAAATGGTTCTCGAGTGATTCGTGTAGGAAATAGTGTAGAAATATTCTGGAAGGGTTTTCTCTGCCTTTATGTGAACATTTCCAGTTTCCAGGAGCCACGGAGCCTGATTCAGTTGTCTACACACAGGTGATGATGATGATGATGATGATGATGCTACTGAGTTGTTTGAGCTCATTATATATATATATATATATATGATATTATATATATATATATATTCTGGTTCTTAATCTCTTGTCAGATGTATAGTTTGCAAATATTTTCTTCCATTCTTTAGGTTGTCTCTTCGTTGATTTTTTTTTTTTTTTTTTTACCATGCAGAAGCTGTTGAGCTTCATGTTTTTCCATTTGTTGACTTTGCTTTTACTGCCTGTGCTTTGGAAGTCTTACTCAAAAAATCTTTGCCCAGACTAGTGTCCTCAAGCATTTCCCCACAGTTTTCTTTTAGTAGTTTCATAGTTTGTGGTGATAAACTATGAGCATGCAGGTGTGACTCCATTCACCAATGTTGTGAACAGAAGTTGTGAGGACAGAATGGTTTGTGTTTTCATAAGTTTTCTATATGCAAAGTTGATTTGATGACAGTGGCCTCCTAAGAATGAACTTTCATCAAAACACTGAGGTCTCTGACCAAGCAGACAA